>NC_000011.10:14435000-15060000 GCF_000001405.40 Homo sapiens
CATGGCACATGTATACATATGTAACAAACCTGCATGTTGTGCACATGTATCCTAGAACTTAAAGTATAATACAACAACAACAAAAAAAAGAATTTCAAGAAGTCAGAAAAAACAAAACAAAACAAAACAAAACAAAAACAATCCTCCTGCCTCAGCCTCCAGAGTAGCTGGGATTACAGGTATGCACCACTGCTCCCAACTGATATAGGATTTTTCATATGTCTTGTACTACAGAGTTATTGGTGAACAATTATTACACCCCAAAGTCAGAAACCATTTAGTCAACCTTTGTGACCCCTGGTATCTAGTGTAAAATAATCTTACATGTAATGGAAACAGTAAAAAATTTGTTGATTAAATTTGAAAAATAAATATATAAATAGATAGATAATAAATAAAGGATGTTTGTTTAGCAAACAGCCTTGGAAGATGGAGAAAATGTCTCTCTCCATGGCAGAGGGCTGATTTGTTTCCTGATTCATCCAGTAAAGATAATGTCTTTGCCTGGGGTGAAGGTTGGGCAGGTTTGCTTGCAGCCTTTAGCTTTTAACCGTACACTATGAATACAGAAATTGACTTCAGAGTGTTTTCTCTTGTATGGCCCAAACACACACTTAAACATTTACAGCTATAAATATTTACAGCTATGATATGCTCCAGGAAATGCCTATACCAGGAGGCGGTTGGGGAAAGGAGGGATGGGGAGGTTGGAGAAGAAGAAACATGAAAAAGATTGTATAGTGGGAATAGAGTGAGGGTTGGAGGAGAGAACTCCACAAAAGAAAAATGTAACGCACAGCAACATATGGTTCAATAGAAGCTCTTTGGTTTGCAGGACAGTGGCTAACTCAGCAGACGAACCAGAGCTTCCTGCCCTTTGCAGATGGCATGAAGATAAGAGTTTGCCAAACAACTAAGATGGGCTCTTGATTGAGCAAAGAAACCACAACATGGGACACACAGAGCCACCCTATTGCCCTACTGTCATTCAAGCTTAAAGGAGACATATCTACAGACAGGGTTTGAGCCTAGTAATGGTGAGAACTTTCTTGGATGTCTCAACAGCCTGGAGATGAAATTCCCAAGAAGGCAGAAAATAGAGGTGGCACATTGGTTTTATTGTTTTTTATTACAATTATAAAAGTAATGCATGCTTTTTGTAAAAATTCAAACAGTACAGAGGATATAAAGGGGTAAATAAAAACCTTCTCCCTGCCAATTTCACTCCTTAGGGATACCTAATGTCAGCAGTTTCTTGTGCATGCTTCTATACACTTTCACTTGTATTTAATGTTTCTCAAAGTAATAAATGCACAACGCTTTTAAAAAGAAAGTCACATAAACACAAAGCTTGTAACAAAAACCAATAATCCCTGTTCTGCCTCTCCCTCCCCATTTCCCCAAGTCCCTTTTCTCCAAAGTAACCATTTTAGACATTTTTTTTTAATAGCCTAATCTTGGAAGTGACATTTTAGAGGCTTCTTCTGGCATTTATATATCTCTGCTTTTCCTAAATAATACACTGCTAATGCTAATTTTTGATTAATCAATTTTAGACATAATGTAATGACTTCTTGTATAGTGGATTCAGGATTTAGCTCTCTTACACCACTGTCCCATCTGCTTCTTCTCCCCTATACTCCCAATAGAATTGTACTACAATTTTTTCGCTACATCAGTATTTAGTATTTACATTATTATGCCTTACAACTATTTACTTGTTATGTTATTACAAGCACACCAAAATTATATATATATTTTGTTTTTTTGAGACAGGGTCTCACTCTGTCACCCAGGCTGAAGTGCAGTTGCATAACTTGGCTCACTGCAGCCTCCGTGCCCCCAGCTCAAGCAATTCTTCCACCTCAGCCTCCCGAGTAGCTGGGACTACAGGTGCCTGCCACCATGTGTGGCTAATTTTTGTATTTTTTGTAGACACAGGGTCTCACTATGTTGCCCAGGTTGGTCTTGAACTCCTGGCCTCAATCCGCCCTCCTGCCTTGGTCTCCCAAAGTGCAAGGATTACAGATGTGAGCCACCATGCCCTGCTCAAAATTATATTTCTTTTCCAACTTTTGCTTTTCCTAAATCTAATAATTGCCTTGGTTTTTCACCTGCTTAATTTTCTTTGTAATTATTACCTATAGTTATTTCTTTGACACTTTACAATAATCTTTCACTACAGATTCCCTTGTAGTCAATTACATCAGGTAATCTGTCTGTTCCAATTTTTCTCTTGAAAAATTGAAAATGAGTCTCCTAGAGACTCCCGGAGACTCATTTTCTTATCTGATTGCACCCTAGCCCTTCTGCTTAGCTGTCTTCCCAGCACTTTTCTTCCCTGTCATCCTGAGAATTCTTTTTTGCCTTTTTCTGAGTTGGGATCCCTGTTGCCTAGAATTTGTATCTTTCTCTTTCTCAGTTTGCACCCCTGTTTGGGAGATATCTGTTCCAGTAGTTTCATCAGTTTTAACCTGATGATACTCCTCAGTGAACCTCTCTTGAATCACCTTACTCTTTGGCCTGATTATGCTCGACACTTGGTGCAATGCTGTGATCCTAGAATCTCTACTGATTGTCACTCTTCAGGTGCTCTTCATCTCTTTCCTTGTTGGATCTTGTTTGTTTGTTTGTTTGTTTACTCCTATATTTTGGTGGGAAAGTGTATATGTCAGAGAAAATTTCTTCATCCTATCTTCACACTTGATTATAGTCTGAAAAGTATAGAATTCTTAGGAAGTATTTGCTTGCAGAATTTTTAAGCCATTGCTCCATTCCCTTCTTGATTCCAATGTTGTTAAGGATCCTCAAGACATTTTGATTCCTGATTGTATACAACCCATTGTTTCTTTTTGGAAGTTTTCAGAATCTTCTCTTATTTATTTATTTATTTATTTATTTATTTATTTATCTTTATTTTAGAGACAGGGTCTCGCTCTGTCACCCAGGCTGAAGTGCAGTGGCAGGATCATAGCTCACTGCAGCCTGGACCTAGTGAGCTTAAGCAATCCTCCTGCCTCAGCCTCCTGAGTAGCTTGGACTACTCAGGCATGCACCACCACACCTGGCTAATTTTTTAATTTGTTGTAGACATAAGGTCTTGCTAGGTTGCCCAAACTGATCTCTAACTCCTGGGCTAAAGTAATCCTCCCAAAGTGTTAGGATTACAGGCATTACAGGATTACAGGATTCCACTACACCCTGCTAGAATCTTCTCTTTTTCTTTGGTGTTCTGAAATTATACAACAGTGTTCTGAATTTCACTAAGTGCTGAGATATGAATATATTTTCATTCACTGTGCTGAGCAACTTCTGGAAGACAAAATCCTCTCCACAATTGGCTCAGCAAGTGAAGAGATCTTAGGAGGTCACATGCCAGCTATTTTACACTTTGGTCCAGAGTGAGATACTAATCACCTCAGCCTGCCTAATTGCTAAGTTCCTGGGAAATGTGAGGAGCAGAACAGAATATTTGGTAAACACCACTATCTCTGACATAGGAAGAGTGGACTATAGAAATTTTGTTATAAAGGGAAGGAGAGATAAGGTAGTAGCTAGGGTGACAGGAGGTGAGTGGATTTTTTGTTTTTCTTTTTTTTTTGAGACAGAGTCTCACTCTGTCGCCCAGGCTGGAGTGCAGTGGCGTGATCTCAGCTCACTGCAACCTCCACCTCCCAGGTTCAAGCAATTCTCCTGCCTCTGCCTCCCAAGTAGCTGGGATTACAGGCCCGTGCCACCACACCCAGCTAATTTTTGTATTTTTAGTAGAGACGGAGTTTCACCATATTGGTCAGGCTGGTCACAAACTCCTGACCTTAGGTGATCCGCCTGCCTTGGCCTCCCAAAGTGTTGGGAATACAGGTGTGAGCCACTATGCCAGGCCTGTTTTTTGTTCTTCTAATTAGAAGAGAATTGCATGTGTTTAGAGGAGAAGGAGTGGTTAATCAAGGGGCATGGTATTGGTCTTGGAGAAGGTGGAAGGAAGAATGATGTGCCTTAGAAAGGAGATCTGACCCTCTTTCTCTGAGACTGGCAGGAAGGAAGTGAAGGAAGTATAGTTAGCTAAATGTGTAGGTGTAGAAGCAGGAAATTGAAGTTCACACCTGATATTTTAAATTTCCTAAGAAGTAGGAAGCAAGTCAATTGCCAAAATTGGTAGTAGTGGTGGTGTGGTGGAGAAGGGACCAGAAGTAGGTTATGGGCGTTCAGGAGCTTGGAGAAGTTTCTTGAATCTATCTCCACTAAGCCATCTGCCTTCGGATGGACAACTATTAATACAATAGCTTCCCATCTGATTTACTTACCTCCATTAAGCCCTTTCAACATACTACAAACAGGCTGACCTTTTTTAAAAGGACGTATCAGATCATGCCACCCTCTGCGTGAAACTGTACACTTGCTCAAAATCCTTGAAATGACCCAAATATTTGGTTCACATTGTCTTCTTAGTCTTAGCCTCAACCTTCCATACACTCTAACAGGAACCCTTTTCATTTCCTTCCTCCTTTCCTCCTTGAGGCCTTCACAGATACTCTTCCTTGCACGAGGAGAGCACTTCCATTTCACTCCTACTCCTTTCACTTGGCTAATTTTAACCCTTTCTTTAGGTCTCGAATTAAATGTCACTTTCTCAGAGAGGCCTTCCCTGATTCTTTGGTCTAGGCTAGGTCTTCCTATTGTAAGCTCTTATGATACTTGGAGTTTTTTCCTTGGTAGCACTCTTCACAATTGTAATTATAGTTGGCCCTTGAACAACATGGGATTGAACTTCATGGGTCCATGTTTACAGGAATTTCCTTCTGCCTCTGCCACCCCTGAGACAGCAAGACCAATCCCTCCTCTTCTTCCTGCTGCTTGGGCTATTCAACAGGAAGATGATGAGGATAAAGACCTTTATGATGATCCATTTCTGCTTAATAAATAGTAAATATATTTTCTCTTCTCTTCCCTGTGATTTTCCTTTTCTTTTTCTTTTTCTTTTTTTTTTGAGACAGAGTCTCACTCTGTCGCCCAGCCTGGAGTGAAGTGGTGTGATCTTGGCTCACTGCAACCTCTGCCTCTCCAGTTCAAGCGATCCTCCTGCCTCAGCCTCCTGAGTAGCTGGGACTACAGGCATGCATCACCATACCTGGCTAATTTTTTTGTATTTTTAGTAAAGACGGGGTTTCACCATGTTGGTCAGGATGGTCTCAAACTCCTGAGCTCAAATGATCTGCCCACCTCGGCCTCCGAAAATGCTGGGATTACAGGTGTGAGTCACTGCACCCAGCTCCCTGTGATTTTCTTAATAACATTTTCTTTTCTCTAGCTGACTTTAGTGTAAGAACATAGTATATAATACGTATAACATACAAAATATGTGTTCATCAACTGTTTATGTTATCAATAAGATCAACAGTAGGCTATTAGTAGTTGTATTTTTGGGGAGTCAAAAGCTATACATGGATTTTCAACTGTGCAGGGGGTCAGCCCCTTAACCCCCATGTTGTTCAAGGGTCAATTGAATATGTTTGTATATAGTGAACAAGGGATCTGTCCTCCACTAGACCATAATTCCATGAAGGTAGGCACTGTGTCTGTTTGGTCTACTGCTACATGTTTAACATGTAGCACATTGCCTGGCATGTAACAGATGACAAATAGTTGTCAAATGAATAGGTTAATCAATTTTGTTAATTAACCCATATCTATTGTGAAGAGAGAATCAAGGTCACAATACCTATGAGAGCCCAATCAAGAATGGAGACCGCTTTTCCCAGGCGGCTGCCGAAGATGGCGGAGGTGCAGGTCGAGGCCATCTCCTGGGCCTCCTGGTAGCCATCGTGGCTAAGCAGGTACTGCTGGGCCGGAAGGTGGTGGTTGTACACTGCGACGGCATCAACATTTCTGGCAATTTCTTTTCTTCTTTTTTGAGAGAGCTTCGCTCTTGTTGCCCAGGCTGGAGTGCAATGATGTGATCTTGGCTCAAAGCAACCTCCATCTCCCGGGTTCAAGTGATTCTCCTGCCTCAGCCTCCTGAGTAGCCGGGATTACAGGCGCCACCACCACGCCCAGCTAATTTTTTGTATTTTTAGTAGAGATGGGGTTTCATCACGTTGGCTAGGCTGGTCTTGAACTCCTGACCTCAGGTGATCCACCCGGCTCGGCCTCCTAAAGTGCTGGGATTACAGGCGTGAGCACCACACCCGGCCATTTCTGGCAATTTCCACAGAAATAAGTTGAAGTACCTGGTTTTCCTCCACAAGTGGATGAACGCCAACCCTTCCCGAGGCCCCCTTACCACTTCCAGGCCCCCAGCAGCATTTTCTGGCCGACCCTGCGAGGCATGCTGCCCCACAAGACCAAGCGAGGCCATGCCACCCTGGACTGCCTCAAGGTGTTTGACAGCATCACACCACCCTAAGAAAAGAAAAAGTGGATGGTGGTTCCTGCTGCCCTCAAGGTCGTGTGTCTGAAGCCTACAAAAAAGTTTGCCTATCTGGGGCACCTGGCTCATGAGGTTGGCTGGAAGTACCAGGCAGTGACAGCTACCCTGGAGGAGAAGAGGAAGGAGAAAGCCAAGACCCACTACTGGAAGAAGAAACAGCTCACGAGGCTACGGAAACTGGCCGAGAAAAACGTGGAGAAGAAAATTGACAAATACACAGAGGTCCTCCAGACCCACGGACTCCTGGTCTGAGCCCAATAAAGACTGTTAATTCCAAAAAAAAAAAAAAAAAAAAAAAGGAGACCACAGCACTACTGCAGAGTCAGTCTGCAGGGTTATGTTCAACAGCTTCATTATGGGGGTGGAGAAAGCAGATAGTTGAACTGATGCAAGGTGGGTGTGGAAGAAAGAGGATAATGTTGGTCTTCATGTGGCACTATAAGGTCTAGGCAGAATAGGGAAGGGAAATATCAAGAGGAGTGATGAACTTGGTAGAAAATGGTAAGGCCAAAGACCTGGTGGAGTCCAGGATATGAAGGAGAATGTATGGTGGGAGTAAGAGTGAGAGAGCTAGGGAGCCAGGAGGTGATAGTCAGAGATTTAGTACTCCAGACCTTAAGATCTCAAAAGTGGAGCAGTGCCAGGTCTTTAAAAAGTCCAGGATATAATCATGGAAATGAATGAGTGGAATGGCTGTAAGGTGGTGGTTACTGTTGCCAAAAATAAGGAATACGGAGGCTAGGATGTTAAGTGGTTCCATACAGTGAAGTTACCTAGGTGATAGCGAGACTTAAAGTGAAGAAGACTTTGTGCCAGGTACCAAAATCTTTAAGGACTGAAGTGGTCAGAGGATGACTCCTATAAAGATAGCATATAAGATGGCATGAGCCCCAAACACAGGCCTTCCTCTCGTTCTTTCCATTCTTGGATCAGTCATTCAACAGTCAAAGTTCCAGGACAGAGGGTCTGATAGGCTGAGCTGGATGGTATAAGCCTCAAAGGACAAGTAAATTTTGCAAGTGGCAGAAGTAACGTGGTAGGTTAGTGTCAATGGGGAATGACAAGACTGCCAGTGAAGTCCCCAGTAGTATATGGAAGATGTGAGAAAAGGCAGTGTCTAATCAAGAAGCTGGAAGGCCCAGGCGCGGTGGCTCACGCCTGTAATCCCAGCACTTTGGGAGGCCGAGGTGGGTGGATCATCTGAGGTCAGGAGTTCGAGACCAGCCAGGCCAACATGGTGAAACCCCATCTCTACTAAAAATACAAAAATTAACCGGGCATGGTGGCATGCGCCTGTAATCCCAGCTACTCAGGAGGCTGAAGCAGGAGAATCACTTGAACCTGGGAGGTGAAGTTTGCAGTGAGCCGAGATCGCGCCATTGTACTCCAGCCTGGGGGACAAGAGCAAGACTTCATCTCAAAAAAAAGAAGCTGGAAGAAGATATAAGGGAGGTGTGGCATTGAGAAAGAGCCAGGTTTCCATTAAGCAGGAGGCAGAGAAAGTAAACTGCCAAGAAATTAAAGTTTGTAGGAGGGGTTTTTGCTTATTTGCCTATTTTCCAATGGATGAAGGATTATTCCAGCAGTAAAAGTAACAACATGTAATAGAGAGAGAACAGGCCCTGGTCAGAGGTCAGGATTCCATTCCTGGATCTATCACTTACTAGCCAAGCAACTTTAGCCAATTACTTTGCCTTAGCTCAGTTTTCCCACTTGTGAAACAGTAACCTAATAATTTGGTTACTTTGAGGATCAAATGAGATAATGGGTGCAATTCGCATTATAAACTGTAAAGTGTGGTCCCCACATATTGTTATCATTAATGTGCGGTGAGTTCATGCAAGCATTTGGACCAATGTTCTTATTCCTGACTTAGTTTGGAATAGTACTGGGAGGAACGCAGGCCAAATACTAACTCCATTTTAGAGGTGGGGCAAAGTACCATGCTAAATTGTGCTATGTGGTATAATGGTGGAATAGAGAATGCTGTGTGAGCACAGAAAAAGGAACAATTCAGAGCTTAAGTGAACTTTATAGTGGAAATGCCATGTGAACTGGCCATTGAAGATTAAGTCTGAGAAAGGGAAAGCTATTCCACTCTCCTTAGTTACTGGTAGATATCTAAGTAGAAGCCAGGGCCACAAACATGCAGTTAGGTACTGCTTCCCAGTGCTCTTGACCCCCGCCCCCAACACCTTCCAGAGCATATTCTCTTTGCTTTTGCTAAGGGCCTAGCTGCCATGGGAGCACCACCATTCTTGCTTAGTCTCTTTGCAATTTGCTGTCAACAACTTACTGTCAGTGTGCAAACGTACAGTTCACATCCTCCAGATATGCAGCATCACACTTCAGTTTCTGCCTCCAAGCCTCTTCCAAGTTCTCTGATGATGCCTGCTGTTGGCTGACTGCCATGCCTTATCTGGGAATCAATGAGACCAGTAGGTCAACTGTGAGCAGCTCTCCCAGGAAACCAGCAGGGTTAATTTTAAAGGAATTGTGACTTGTCACACACACTGTGATTGTTCTACACCTGAATGAGGTTGCTGGAGGTCCCTCTGTCCTATCCCCTCCTCCCCTATTTCCTTCAGTGACTTTGGAGAAAAAACAGATCCTATTTGATTTCCTTCTTCCTCAATCTCTTAGGTTCCCAAAGTCTGACTGCTCCGTTCACACTTTTTCAAAGGGCATTGGTGGGGACCCAGTAACCCACCTCATTCCTAAAAACTTGGTTACCCAGTGGTGGGCCATATTTCTATTTAATATCCTGTGATAATAATAACCATGGTATATCCATTTTACAGATGAAGAAGCTAAACCTCAGAGAGGGTAAGAGGTGAGAGGCTCAGGGTGGGGAGAAACCAGAACATGAGACGGGAATACAGCCTAAGGCAAGGCAATAATGACTATCTGTCAATGTTTGGCTGCCCAGCATCCATTTCCCCGCTTCCTGATAGTACCCTGATTTCTGTACACATTATGTGCAGTCTTGGTGGGAGCAGACATGCAGAGAGGCCTGTCTCCCACTACAGTTAGGGAAGGGCTACAGAATTCTAACCTTTGAGATTTAAGGGAAATAGCAAAAGTTACCTCCCTGCTGAGACTAGTATGCAGCCTAGCCCACACTCCATGTTTAGCAAAGGTCATTTCTGCTCAGCACTCTTTTCTTACAATCTGAGTGGTTTTAGGCAAGTCACTTAACATTCTTTGCCTCAGAAATGATGTGTGTAGGTCGGGTGTGGTGGCTCATGCCTGGGTGGATCACTTGAGGTGAGGAGTTTGAGATCAGCCTGACCAACATGGTGAAACCCTGTCTCTACTAAAATACAAAAATTAGCCAGGTGTGGTGGTGTGTGCCTGTAATCCTAGCTACTCGGGAGGCTAAGGCAGGAGAATCACTTGAACCAGGAAGGCAGAGGTTGCAGTGAGCCAAGATCTGGGCAGCCTGGGCGAGAGAGCGAGACTCCATCTCAGAAAAAAAAAAAATGTTGTATGTAACATCACCATCATTCCTAACGTGTGTTAAGTGCTCAGTGGTTAGTTACTGCTCTGATCGTCATAATTATGCTTTTGTCCCCAGTGAATGGGTTGAATCAATTGTGGTATATATCATCAGCATGACAGAAACTATTTAAAGTAATGTGGAAGCAGATATTGACTTATTGAAACAGAAACTGATTTATATGGTTGAATAAAAAGGTCAAATTATGATCATACTTTGATTAAAATATGTATATACGCCAGGCGTGGTGGCTCTGCCTTTAATCCCAGCACTCTGAGAGGCCGAGGTGGATGGATCAGTTGAGGCCAGGAGTTCAAGACCAGCCGGCCAACATGGTGAAACCTCATCTCTACTAAAAATACAAAAATTCGCTGGATGTGGTGGCATATGACTATAATCCCAGCTACTTGGGAGGCCGAGGCAGGAGAATCACTCAAACCTGGGAGCTGGGGGTTGCAGTGAGCTGAGATCACGCCACTGCATTCCAGCCTTAGCAACACAGCGAGATTCCGTCTCAAAAAAGAATAAAAATACCTGAAATAGTACATCCCAAAATGTTAATCAGTATTTATCTCTGATGTTTTATTTTCGCCTTTCTTCATTTTCTATTTTCAGTGAACAGACATTAATTAATAGTTACTAATTTTTAAGTTTAAAAAGGCCATCACTTAGTGGAGAATCAAGGCTTGATTTCAGCCAGGGGCAAATTCAAGCAGATAGCACAAGGCAGCCAGGTTCCACAAAATAGGGATGAAGTCAGAATAGCAGTCACATCAGACATGTGGTTGGCATACTTCCGATTTAAAGGGCAGTCCTAGGCAGTGGCTAGATACACAATCCAACCCTCTAGGGGAGCTGGGGGCCAGAGCAACTCAGGTCCTTGTAACTACTTTAATTCCTGAAAACCTTTCTTAATTACCCTCCCCATCTACCAGCCACTGTCTACTCCATTCACCTAATTTATTTCCTTCCCAGGACTTACTCTGAAAACACCTTATTTGGTTGTTGTCACAGGAATGTAAGCTCATGTGTGCAAAGATTTTGTCTATCTTATTCATCATATACATGCTGTGACATGAAGAGCGCCTGCACAAAATAGGAGCTCAATTAAAAAGAGAATTAATGCAAAATCAAAACCCACCAGGGAATAAAAATGAGGCAGAAATCCAGCTGTGCCTTTGGGATCTACAAGTGTGAGGGGTCAGCAATTATGAGTTCACCTTGTGGGGTTGGATTCAAAGTAAGGAATATAAGCAAATAAATACAATTTCAATGGTCTTTTTTCTTTTCAAAAAGCAGTTATCACATTTTTTAAAAATGGTGATGACACTTCCAGAAGAATATGACACAGTCTCTATGTATGAACTTATTGGAAGTCTGGGCTAAATGAGTAACTTCCTGAATGACATGAAAAGTGATGAGGCTCTGGCATTCTGGAAAAACTTGATACAAATTGTACACTAAAGTAATTCCATGGAATGATATTTAAAAGTTTAAATGGCTACTTAGTCTAAAAGATTTTGGCTTAAAGTTAAATGAATATTTCTTATACACATCAAAATCCCTGGCATAACTCAGTTTTTATGGGACACAAGGAAGCAGAGAATTCTGAGTTTTATGTCAAACTTTTTGTGAACGAGCAAGTAGGAAAAATGAAAGTGAGAGGGGACAGCTGAGACTTTCATTCATCTTTTATATGCCACACACTAACAAGCCATGAATTTTCTCATTTAATAACCCTACAAGGCAGGCACTATTTATTTCCATTTTCCACAACAAAAAAATAAGGCTGAAATAGATTGACTTGCCCAAGATCACAGTTAATAAATTACAGAGGAAAATCTAAATTCCAGGTTTATTTGATTCTAGAGCCTGCATACTTTTTATTTACCACACTTGCCTCTCCAGCATTCCTGGAAATCCCCTTGATGAAATATATTGCTCATCTTAAAAAGAAAAAAAAAGGCAATAATATGGCTTAAAAGGAAGCAGGAAGTAATAGGAAAAACTAAGTAATTCACAAACTATTAGGTTGAATCACATAAAATTGCTGATACTTGACTTTTTTTAACCCATAAAAGAAGCAGTTTCATATACTTCAACCTCATGGTATGGTATTATTTCTGTGGATAAAGATCACCATGACAACCCTATTAATAACTACTCCATCACTCATCTGTACACACCTTTACTGATTAAATTTCATGTCATTTCAGTAATGGCTTAAGACAGGAAGTGTTTTACATATGAGGAAGAGCAGATTTGATAACCCTACCCATTTTTCAGAGTAGCATTTGCCCTTAGGAAAACATGTTTAAGTTTTTTTAAAAGCTCCTACCTGTCCCTTACTCCCTGCCCCTTCCATGTCCCACTTTCCACATCATGTTCTGTCAAAATAACTTTTTTTTTTTTTTTCTAAAAAGAGACAGGGTCTCGCTCTGTTACCCAGGTTGGAGTGCAGTGGCACAATCATAGGTCAATGCAGCCTTGAACTCCTGGGCTCAAGCAATCCTCCCACTTTAGCCTCCCAAGTAGCTGGGTCACCATGCTGGGCTATTTTAGTTTTTGTAGAGACAGGGGTCTCACTATGTTGCCCAGGCCAGTCTCAAACTCCTGGGCTCAAGCAATCCTCCCACCTTGGCTTCCTAAAGTTCTGGAATTACAGGTGTGAGCCACTGCACCCAGCTTAAAATTACTCTTGAATTTTGCTTCTACAGTTGGCTTCTAACTGGTCTCCCACACTTCCAATCTATTCTCCAAAGGTTTTTTCCTAAATGCAAATCTGGGCTGGGCTCAGTGGCTCACACCTGTAATCCCAGCACTCTGGGAGTCTGCAGCAGGAGAATCAGTTGAGGTCAGATGTTTAAGACCAGCCTGGACAACACAGCAAGACCCTATCTCACAAAAAAGAAAGAATTTTAAAAATTAGCTCAGTGTGGTGGCATACACTTTAGTCCTAACTACTTGGGAGGCTGAGGTGGGAGGATTGCTTGAGCCCAGGAGTTCAAGCTTACGGTGAACTATGGTTACGCCACTCACTGCACTCCAGCCTAGGTGACAGAGCAAGACCCTGTCTCTTAAAAAACAAACAAAAAGCAAATTTGTCACTATCTGCTTACAATTTGCCATCTCCAGCCTAATCGTATTGCCTCCCAAAGATGCTATGTTGAATAGAACCCAATTCTCTGTGTCATGTACCTCTGTGACTTTCTCCCACCTGTTTTGTGGCTGGAATGGTTTTTTCACCCCTTTTCCCCCATCCCTTATTTGACATTAAGCAGCCAAATTTATGCTTTTCAAGGCTTAATTCAAATGTCACCTCTTTATGAAACTATACCTGACTCTCCTCTGATAGCCACCAGTTTTCTGTGCTCTCACAGCAATTGATACATTTTTCTATTTTAAGACTTTCAAGCAGTGCTCTGATTAGGTGTTTCTGTGCCCTTAAAATATTCACCAGACTTTATCTTACTCTTAGTAACACCAGGATGTTGCATAACACTAGATGTACAGCAGGTATTACCAGTCAGAACCCAAGGGTCCTTAGCACTGAGTCCCTGTGTTTTATCTTAGTTTGGGGAATGAGGGAAAAAGCATACAGGTTGAGTGCCAAAAACAAGGGTGCACTCTTCCAGGGCGTTTCCAGAGTTCTTTTACATTGAAGGCATAAGCTGGGGACTACCTGAACTGGGATTTACATTTCCATTACCAAGGCTTATTTCATTAGGGTAAACGGTGTTTATGAGCACTATATATGGATTACATAAGAGCATTTGGGTTTTATGTTTTATACAAACATCTAGGATGGTAGTGGGGCACCTAGAAACCAAATTGTCCTTTGCTACAACCATGAAATACAAATTCAATTTGATAAACAAGAAACAATTTGCTAGCTGAAAATATATGTATGCAATATAAAACCACCAGGAGCACATATGGCCACAAAGACAAGCTGTTAGATCAAGAACATTCATCCCACCAAATATTAATATTTCCATAATGCTTCCTCAGTACTTTTAAAGTTTGGTAGCAGGCATTAAAGTGTTAAAAATCTTTATAGAGAATAAACATAAAATTGACAAAATGTGTTCTACCAACTTGGGAAAAAGATCATCACTATCTGATTTTAGCTGTGGGAACACATTTGTCCAGTTTGTGGAATACTAGTGTTCTAGCAGGGAAAGTTTGAAAAACATGCTCTTAGCCTAACAGAAAGCAGTCATACTTTTACTCAAAGCAAGGGATCACTTAAAAAAAAAAAAGTGTGACTTACTTTGTAGAAAGAGAAAATTTTGATTATAATTCATTAAATTCACTTTTTAAATGTTGTTGGGCTTTCAGAAATGGTTTGCATAGCTCAGTAGAAGTCAGTAATTTTCCCAGACTCCTTGAGCCAGATGGGCATTTTCCCTACACCCTGGCTGGTGAAGTCCTGTGTGGTAGGAATCTGTTCCCACCCTCTTATAAGGGAATACATTGTTAACTCACAAGAGGATGCCCAGAAAAGGCTGAGGTTTCAGCCACTTTGAATCCCAAGAGATCAAGATCACAGATATAAAAATCACAAAAGCTGGAATCAGGGACTGTAGCCAATAAAATATCTTAGCTACACCCAGTAACAGGGTGGGTGGGGTAGACAACATTTATTTTCAAGATGTACTGGAGATAAGACTGATGTGATATTTCAATTTCCTATTCACTTGGAGAGATAGGCCATGTATCTGCAACATATCCTGACTCATCTTTTTTTTTTTTTGAGACAGAGTCTTGCCCCGTTGCCCAGGCTGGAGTGCAATGGCACAATCTGGGCTCACTGCAACCCCCGCCTCTCAGGTTCAAGCTATTCTGCTGCCTCAGCCTCCCGAGTAGTGGGATTACAGGTGCCCACCACCATGCCCGGCTAATTTTTTTTTTTTTTGTATTTTTAGTAGAGACAGGGTTTCACCATGTTGGCCAGGCTGGTCATGAACTCCTGACCTCAGGTGATCCACCTGCCTCGGCCTCCCAAAGTGCTGGGATTACAGGCGTGAGCCACTGCGCCCGGCCCTGATTCATCTTATGCAGGAGACATTATCATAATGTAGGAGAGTGCTGTCTTTTTCTCACCTAACATTTTTTTCCTAGGCACATCCCCACAGTGCAATTTAGTCCACACCCTAGTTATCTTTATGACTATATGCATTATTCATTTGGTCACTCAACAAATATTTATTAAGCATCTACTATCTACTGGGTACTCTGGTACAGACTATAGACACACCACCATTGCTTGTCAATACTCATTTTGGAGCATCTTGATCATTTTTCATTTTTATTATTAAAAATGTTATTAAATCTTTGGACTTTTTCTTTTTTTCAGTATGCCTCTCAAAAATAGTATTAGTAGGGAAGAGTCTGACCAGGTCCAAAAATTGTATAGAAACTGTTGTATGTGACTAAAATTAAGGCATAGGCTTTAATTTTAAAATTATATGTGAAGTTTATGGTTAGGCTACTGTAGGAGACCACGTTAAGGACGACG
The DNA here is from genome assembly GCF_000001405.40 of Homo sapiens. Taxonomy (NCBI): domain Eukaryota; kingdom Metazoa; phylum Chordata; class Mammalia; order Primates; family Hominidae; genus Homo; species Homo sapiens. Next base: position 14,450,448 of record NC_000011.10, read on the forward strand.
AGAGTCTAAACCAGGACAATGGCAGTGGAGTGGGGAAAGAAGATTAGAAAAATATTGAGGAAGGGAAAAAAATGAGTCTTGGTGTCTGATGAGATATAGGTGTGAGGGTAGAGTTAAAGATGACTACTGGGTTTCTAGCATAAATTACCAGAGAACACAGTAGAGGAGCAAGTTAGGGGAACAAGATAAATTCCATTTCATTTTGATGTGCCCATTGGTAACATCCAGGTAGAGATATCCCAGTTGATTTACAGAGCTTGTTGAAGAGGTAGCTATAAAAACACAAGGCTTTCCTGCTCCTTGTTTATGGATAAAATAAACAATAAAATAAAATAAGGATATTTTTAAAAACATAAAAAACAAAAATAAAACATAAGGCTTTTTAGTATAGATTTTTAAGCCAGAAACCCAGAAAGTCAGCTAGCTGAATTGTTTCATTTTACAGATAAGAACATAGGCCCAGTGACATCTGTCTGTTTTCACAAAGCTACTTAGTGAATTGAGAATAGATTTAGAAAAATTCATTCAGGACTCTTTCAGTCCAACATGCTGCATTTCATTTGTTTATTTTGTTGGTTTTACAATTGTGATGGTTAATATTGAGTGTCAATTTGATTGAAGGATGCAAAGTATTGATCCTGGGTGTGTCTGTGAGGGTGTTGCCAAAGGAGATTAACATTTGAGTTAGTGGGCTGGGAAAGGCAGACCCACTCTTAATCTGGGTGGGCACCATCTAATCAGATGCCAGTGTGGCTAGAATATAAAGCAGTCAGAAGAACGTGAAAAGACTAGACTGAGGCCAGGCGCGGTGGCTCACGCCTGTAATCTCAGCACTTTGGGAGGCTGAGGCAGGTGGATCACCTGATGTCAGGAGTTCGAGACCAGCCTGGCCAACATGGTGAAACCCCATCTCTACTGGAAATACAAAAAAATTAGCTGGGCTTGGTGGCAGGCGCCTGTAATCTCAGCTACTCCAGAGGCTGAGGCAAGAGAATCATTTGAACCTGGGAGGCAAAGGTTGCAGTGAGCCGAGATCATGCAATGGCACGCCAGCCTGGGCAACAAGAGCAAAACTCCATCTCAAAAAAAGAAAAGAAAAGACTGGACTGGACTGGCCTAGCCTCCCAGCCTATATCTTTCTCCAGTGCTAGACTCTTCCTGCCTTCGAACATCAGACTCCCAAGTTCTTCAGTTTTGGGACTCAGACTGGCTTTCCTTGCTCCTCAGCTTGCAGACAGCCTATTGTGGGACCTTGTAATCGTGTGAGTTAATACTTTATAAACTCCCCTTTATATATATATCCTATTAGTCTGTCCCTCTAGAGGACCCTAACTAATACAATTATTCCACATACAATTATTCCAAAATACATACAACGCAAAGTTTTCTCAGAATCCTATAATTATATACAGAGCCCAGATAAAAGACACAAATCCCACTTGCATTCTTTTGTCACTGCATGACTGACTTCTCAGAGATTCTGCCATTGCTAGATGGAGAAAATAAAAGAGGAAGTGGTCAGATTATTAGAAGTGACTTTTGATCACAGTGAGCAACCCCTAAACATCACACTGTTATTGTAACCTGGCTGCACATATCTCTGGGCTCAATTTTAAAGAACCAGTCATCTGATTGTCATTCTGAAAGCAAACAAAGCCAGTATGTTCACCATAGATGATCTATCACATGAGGAACATGGGTTATGACAATTACGTTTAGCTAACAATAGTTGATAGGCAAAAGTGCCAAGAGCTTATTAAAAAAACTACACAACAGGCTGGGTGCGGTGGCTCACACCTGTAAACCCAGCACTTTGGGAGGCTGAGGTGGTGGATCACCTCAGGTCAGGAGTTCGAGACCAGCCTGACCAATGTGGAGAAACCCCATCTCTACTAAAAATGCAAAAATTAGCTAGGTATGGTGGCAGGCATCTGTTCTTCCAGCTACTCGGGAGGCTGAGGTAGGAGAATCGCTTGAACCCACGAGGCGGAGGTTGCGGTGAGCTGAGATCGTGCCATTGCACTCCAGCCTGGGCAACAGAGTGAAACTCCGTCTCAAAAAACAAAACAAAACAAAACAAAACAAAAACAAAAAAAACTACACAACAAATAGTTACAGAGTCAAGGGCCAATGATACCTCAATTGAATAATTCTCAAGACATGAAGATTCTTTTAAGTAAGTTACTGTGTAAAACGTACATTTTACAGTGTAAAATGAAGACCTAAATTCTGAGGGAAGTATAAAGATAATGGGAACAGGGTTCAGTCTCCTCTGAAAGGTAAGGAAGGTCAATGTGGGAAAAAATGGAATGAATACATACTGATGAGCATCTACTGTGTGTTAAATATTCATAATAAGTATCATTTCATGTTCATATCACCTCTGTGAAATACACCTTAAAAGCACCTTACAAATGAGGAAACTGAGGTACAATTTATTAGGCTGTGGTGGCAATGTGTGACTAGTTACAAGGGCTTTAGTGTCAGATACCTGGCTTTATATCTGAGTTTGTCTCTTACTATTAAACCTTGAATAAGTGACTTAACCTGTTGTAAGACTGTAATCGTCATCCTTAAATGATGGTATTAACAGTATTTGCCTTAGAGGATCATTGTGAACACTGTAAATGTCATGGAAAAAGCACTCACAGTTATACCCTGGCACAAGTAAGCACTGACTAAGTTAGCTATTTACCATTGCCTGAGACTACATAGCACATAACTAGCAGATAGGATTCCATACTTTCCTAATTCTAAACTGAACTTCTGCATCATACCTGGTTACTTCTGTAGGCTCCTGAGATCCTGGAGGTAGAGAATGGAGCTGGGGACAGTAACAGTGATGGTGTACTGAGAATCTGGGAGAGGAAAGTAAGGCAGGAGGCTGGTATCCCTAACCGTTTTGAGGACAGCATTCAGAACTATTAAAAGACAAGCTATAATTTAAACTCAATCTTGATTTAAGAGAAAGGCTATACATTAGCTGACTGGAACATTCATCAATCTGGAAGGAACAAGTCACAAATAAAACTACTTAGTTTACCCAATACATAGCACAAATATTTCACCTCTGATATTATTTGAGTTTCTAAAGATATTTATGTTTTGGTTCTCTTACCTTTCTGATATCCCTAAAATGAGTTTTTGTCTCCCACATTATTTCCCACTTAAGTAGAAAAGTTTCTGACAGGTAGCAAAATATCACTATCAACCTTGGCATTTTTTTTTTTTTTTTTTTCTGAGACAGGGTCTCACTCTGTTGCCCAGGCTGGAATGCAGTGGCATGATCACAGCTCACTACAGCCTCAACCTCCTGGGCCTTATCAGTCCTCCTACCTCAGCCTCCTGAATAGCTAGGACTACAGGTGCATGCCACCACGCCCGGCTAATTTTTTAATTTTTTGTAGAGACAGGGTTTTGCCATGTTGCCCAGGCTGGTCTTAAACCCCAGGCTCATGCCATCTGCCTGCCTCAGCCTCCCAAAGTGTTGGGATTACAGGTGTAAGCCATCGTGCCCAGCCAAAGTTGTTTTTAAAAGAAGAAAAAGCAAGTTTTCTATTAGTGAGGTAAGCAAACAGCTTGATGTATCTGCCAACTATATTAACTTCCTTCTCTTTGTTCTCATTTACGAATTACCTTGCTAATAGAAAAATAGCCAGGTGCAGTGGCTCACGCCTGTAATCCCAAAACTTTGAGAGGCCAATGTGGATGGATTGCTTGAGCTCAGGAGTTTGAGACCAGCCTGGGCAACATGGCAAAACTGTCTCTACAAAAAATACAAAAATTAAATTAGCTGGGCATGGTGGCATGTGCCTGTGGTCCCAGCTACTCGGGTGATGAGGTGAGAGAGGTGGAGGTTGCAGTGAGCCAAGATCGCACCACTGCCAGACCCCGTCCCAAAAAAAAAAAAAAAGGCCGGGCACCGTGGCTCACGCCTGTAATCCCAGCACTTTGGGAGGCTGAGGTAGGCAGATCACGAGGTTGAGATTGAGACCATCCTGGCCAATATGGTGAAAACCCATCTCTACTAAAAATAGATAAAAATTAGCTGGGCATGGTGGCCCACGCCTGTAGTCCCAGCTACTCAGGAGGCTGAGGCAGGAGAATTGCTTGAACCAGGGAGGTGGAGGTTGCAGTGAGCCAATTGTGCCACTGCACTCCAGCCTGGTGACAGAGCCAGAGTCCGTCTCAAAAAAAAAAAAAAAAGTTTTTTAAAAAAGGAAAAATAATCTTGCTTTTTCTTAAATTTTTTTTTTTTTGATGGGGGATCTCTTTGTTGCTCAGGCTGGTCTTGAACTTCTGGGCTCAAGTGATACTCCCACCTTGGCCTCCGAAAGTGTTGGGATTACAGGCATAAACCACCATGCCCAGGCTCCTTTAAAAAAAAATTTTTTTTTAAAAGAGAGGGAGTCTCACCCTGTCACCCAGGATGGACTGCAGCGGCACAATCATAGCTCGCTGCAGCCTTGAACTCCTGGTCCCGAGAATTTCTCCCGATTCAGCTTCCCGGGCACATGCCACCATACCAGGCTAATTTGTAAAATTTTTTTGTAGAGACAGGGTCTATGTTGCCCAGGTTGGTTTTGAATTCCTGGCCTCAATCCACCCTCCAGCCTTGGCCTCCCAAAGTGTTGGGATTATAGGTGCGAGCCACCACACTTGACCCTTTTTCTTCTTATAAAACAACTGAGTGCCAATCTCTTCTAATTGCAAAATGAAAAAAAAAAAAAAAAAAAAAAAAAATCACTGCACAGAGCTCCCTCTAGTGTTGTGACATTACTGCAATGTAAGCCATTTAATGCTCCTGTAAGCTTTACAGGTTTATCCACATTCAATACATTAATATATTAAGCTTTCATTTGGTATTTAATGTTTATTCTCTACCGGACATCATGGTCCTAATTATATGGTATCTTATAATGTGAACAGCTACTATCTTTGAATGTATATTATATCCCAAATAACAGGGCATAGTGTAAACAGCTTCTTTCAACAATGTGCTGCTATCCAATTCAGTTCACATTTATTACATGCACAAAGCTAATGAAATGCTAATGAAGTAAACAGTTTAATGTATCTGACAATTGTGTTAACTTCTTTGTTCTCCTTATTTATGAATTTAAGAAAATGGCAATGTGAGGCAATCTGATTCCAACAAAAATGGCCTGAATATGTCAGGCAGGCAACTTTCTAAGAGTATCAACCGAGATATATTCTAGGATGTACACAGGCATAATTCCTTCAGATATGAAATGTGATACTGGTTAACTGTGATTACAACACTAATATCATTAACAGGCTAAGTCACTTTTCCTGTCCCATATATTGTCAATAGGTCATGGAAAAAGGATTCCCTGGTAAAGTAAGGTTAGGATATACTGGGTTAAACCAAACTAATCTGCTTTCCTCTCAGAATCTCTGGTATGCTAATGTACATTGTGAATCTCCAGTGCAGGACAGTTTGAAGCTTTTCCCCAACTTACTTGACTATGGAATTACTTTTTCACTCAGAATATCTAATGACATCTAAGGAAGCTAATGTTCAGTAGAACAGAGTTTGGGAAATGATGATCTAATCCAAAGTTGCACCAGCTCCTTCGCTCTCATTGCAAATCTCTACCCTTGAATCGACATCCCTTCTCTGCACTTCCAGTATATCTTTCCCATTTGATAAGCCCTGGCTTTGTTCTAAGATCTCAGTGTTCTGGAATCTCAAATGCCCTGTAATCTAGGCTTTTTTTTTCTTTTTTTTTTTTTAAAAGCAAGTGGCTTCACAGTTTATGACATCATACAAGGTATCAATCTCCTTATACTCCAAACAAATCATTTCATTCTTAATGAAATAGGAGATGCTTTCAGTCTTTCACAGACCTTATCTAAGGACTCACAGGGAATGCAGCCTGAACCCTAGCTGGTAGACAAATAATAGCCTTAAGTTTAGACTTAGCTAAAAAATCAGACTACCTCAATCACCCCCAATGAAAGTAAAGGCCAAAAGGAAAGCACAATCAGACGCTGGGAAACTTAGCTTGGAAATGCATTTGGAATTATACTGCAGTGTGATGGTACCCAGTCCTAGTGTGAAGTGAGGAAAAGGAGACGAGTGAGTAAGGCACAGAGGCAACAGAGAAAAAGGCAGCTTTTTGAATCCTCTCTAGTTGAATCCTCCCAGTACCAGCTTCAGTAATTGGTTAGAACCAGTTTTATTCCTAACAAACATAGAACACCCTAAACTAAATGTGAGTAAGGCACGGAGGCAACAGAGAAAAAGGCAGCTTTTTGAATCCTCTCTAGTTGAATCCTCCCAGTACCAGCTTCAGTAATTGGTTAGAACCAGTTTTATTCCTAACAAACATAGAACACCCCAAACTAAATGTGAATGATTAAAAAATCTATTTTGGATTATCTACTCTTCATTATGATTCAGGATAATTAAGAACAGTATATCTATTTCAGTTCGGGTACATAATACTTCTTTAAACTGCAGAGCGATCTGTTTTCTCAAGTTATTTTGGGCCGGGTGCGGTGGCTCACGCCTGTAATCCCAACACTCCGGGAGGCTGAGGCGGGCGGATCACGAGGTCAGGAGATCGAGACCATCCTGGCCAACATGGTGAAAGCCCGTCTCTACTAAAAATACAAAAAATTAGCCAGGCGTGGTGGCGGGCACCTGTAGTCCCAGCTACTTGGGAGGCTGAGGCAGGAGAATGGTGTAAACCCGGGAGGTGGAGCTTGCAGTGAGCCAAGATCACGCCACTGCACTCCAGCCTGGGTGACAGAGCCAGACTCCATCTCAAAAAAAAAAAAAAAAGTTATTTTGATACTTTCTCCCTGGAGCTAAATTCAAGAGCAAATCCCTTCAAAACATGATAATGCATTTTTAGAGATAGCAATGTTGGAATATTAAATAAGTAAAAAACAACCAAGTGAATCAAGGCCTACCTTATTTTATATCATTGAATTTGTAAATTCTCTTAATAAAGCTGCATATATTCACAACTCAGTAATTTAAATTTATAATAGAAATTTATAACCCAACTAAAAGAAATCCATTGCCATATAACTAAAATTATGTAATCATTTATTTATAAAATAACAAAAATTTATGAATAGATCTGTTTATTGTACTGTGAAAAGGGTCTTGGTACATGAAACATTATATACTTTGAGGACAGCATTCAGAACTGTTAAGACAAAAGACAAACTATAATTTTAAACTCAATCTTGATTTAAGGGAAAGGCTATAAATTATTGGCTGAAAAGTATTCAGCATGAACTCAGATTCTATATAAGCATGAAAGAGTACAAAAGATGTTGGAGTCCAGTAAGCCCATACCTAAATTAACTGTAAAGCTTCAAGGACTTTTTGTTTATTTTTATATACTAGTTTTCTTCTGTGACAAGTTGATTTTATCTCCAAGACTTAAGGCCATTCCCTGTAAAGAAAAATTAAGATATTTATAATTATTTAAACTATGTACAATCAGTAGGTTATTCCATATTATTAAGCCCCAATTCAATTCAATGACACCATTATCAACAATAAAATCAAGGACATACCAAACAGACTTACCAAACTTTACTGGTAATTACCTTTCAGTGCTAGATTTTTCAAGCCGTCACCAGATTTTTTTTTTTTTTTTTTTTTTTGAGACGAAGTCTCATTCTGTCACCCAGGTTGGAGTGAAATGGCACAATCTCAGCTCACTGCAACCTCCACCTCCCGGGTTCAAGCAATTCTCCTGCCTCAGCCTCCCGAGTAGCTGGGATTACCGGGTGTGCGCTACAACACCCAGCTAATTAGTCACTAGATTTACACCTTGGCTTTCAAAAAATTCTAGAGAACCCATTTCACAAACACCCCATAGGAATCAATCTGGTTTTAGGCAAATATCCCAGAATGAGGGGCCCAAAAGGTGAGAAATTTTAATGAGAAAAGTTATACTTCTATTCAGAGTATATTATTATTGTATGTGTATATGCATCTAATGCTAAAAAGATACTACATATAGAAATAATAAAGTCATAAATTCCTCCCCCCTTTGTCAGTCCAGAGATACTCTCAAAAAAAAAGGAACTGTTACCTGGCTCTTTGCACGAATTCTTATATGGCCGGTAACAGCAGCATCTGGTCCCTGGTGAATTGGCTTCTCAATGCTGACATTTGCAAGTGCATCTTCACCAAATATGGAACGAGCATAAAGGTTGGCTGCCATAAAGCCACAGTAACCAGAAAGGGCCTGGAAAAAATTTGTGATAAATTCATTACTTTACCAGATACCTACATAGAGGCAAAAACCAAACAGCATAGGTGACTTTTTTTTTTTTTTTTTTGAGACAGAGTCTCACTCTGTTGTCCAGCTTGGAGCTGGAGTGCAGTGGCGTGATCTCGGCTCACTGCAACCTTCCTCCCAGGTTCAGGCGATTCTCCTGCCTCAGCCTCCCAAGTAGCTGGGATTACAGGCATTCGCCACCACACCTGGCTAATTTTTGTAATTTTAGTAGAGACAGGGTTTCACCATGTTGGCCAGGCTGGTCTTGAACTCCTGACCTCAAGTGATCCACCCGCCTCGGCCTCCCAAAATGCTGGGACTGCAGGTGTGAGCCACCACGCCCAGCCCCATTGGTTATTTATCACTTAAAACAGTACTTACATACAGGGTGGTGGTTACATAATCTTATGAGTTTGTCAAAACTCAACTATACATGTAAAAAGTGTGAATTTTACTGTGTATTATACCTCAATAAATCTGATGTTAAATAAATAGTTCTTAATCCGATTTGTATTTATATATTCTGTTTACTTAACTTGCTTGACTGCCTCCCATATCAGACCTTAAGCGCCATGAAGGAAGAGACTACTTTTGTTGGACTCAGTATATGCTGAATAAACTAATATATAAATTAAAACCTACTTGTTTGGTAGCAGACATTATTTTATTTATAAAATGAATATTATAACATTATAGAAATTTTACATAAAGAAAAAAGTTCCTTAGAGCTCCAGCTTCATTTTTCTTTCTCTCTCGTTTTTTTCATACATACACAAACATAGCAAAAAGTCACAGTATAACAACGATTCTGTATTTGAGCACATATATTTTAACCAACAATCAGAGCCCACGGAAGAGCTCATGGACATTTTCTAATCCAGTATTACAAATAAACGATTTTATTTATCTTTTTGAGACAGAGTTTCACTCTGTCACCCACGCTGGAATGCAGTGGTGTGATCTCGGCTCACTGCAACCTCCACCCCCTGGGGTTCAGGTGATTCTCCTGCCTCAACCTCCCAAGTAGCTGGGATTACAGGCACGTGCCACCACACCTGGGTAATTTTTGTATTTTTAGTAGAGATGGGGTTTCGCCATATTGGCCAGGCTGGTCTCAAACTCCTGACCTCAAGTGATCTGCCCGCCTCAGCCTCTCAAAGTGCTAGGATCACAGGAATGAACCACCATGTGCAGCATAAACTACTTTAGAATGTGCCTCTAGCTGAATGGGGGAGAAGATTGAAAAGAAAATAAAAAAAAAATTAATCTGACTATTCAGTTGGGTCACTGCACTAGGAAAAAGTAGGATGGTATAGTCCAATAGAAAGAGGTAAGCAGATTCCAACATTCTATGGGATAACATCTTTTAGATAGCCTAGAATGGTACTGCATATTGAATAACAAAAATGTGCTAGAGGAAATACAGGAAGGCCAGGAACCTACTCTACCATTCCATCAGATTTCTGAATTTCCTAGTCAAATTTTACCTTTTCTGGAGTCAGGCATTTCATATTGGTTGACTTTAATATGTGCTGTAAGTAGTCATTTAAATCAACCATGTTGGTGTTAACTGTCACCTGTAGAGAGGAAAAAAAAGTCAAGGAGATCATAAATCTTACTATGAGAAAGCTGTGAATCACCAGTATGTCATATTAAAAACTTGTTCCAACTGTTTAGGTTGGAAAGAGTAGACACCAAGAAACTAAATAACATCTATAAAATCCAACAAGCTGTAGGTTGGTATCAGTACTTCCCAATAGAGATAACTTCACAGAGATTCAATATGAAGCATATAGAATATTTCTTTTTTTTTTTGAGACAGGGTCTCACTCTGTCACCCAGGCTAGAGTGCAGTGCGTCATTTCAGCTCACTGCAGCCTCAACCTCCCATGTTCAAGTGATCCTCCCACCTCAGTCTCCGGAGTAGCTGGGACTACCACACCGGGCTAATTTTTGTATTTTTTGTAGAGATGGAGTTTCACCATTTTGCTCAGGCTGGTCTAGAACTCCTGAGCACGAGCAATCTGCCTGCCTCAGCCTCCCAAAGTGCTGGGATTACAGGCACGAGCTACCGTGCCCAGCCTCATATAGAATATTTCTAATAAAAGTCAAGGCTCAAAGGGACAAAGTTCCTCAACAGACCATGAACTTTGTAAAGCCTTTTTCGGGCACTAGATTAAATGGTAAGCTCTTGGTCATACATAGAAGGGATGGAATATTACCTATAATGTCTAAACCTATCAGATTGGCTATAGAACTGCTACTCTAATCAATTTATAACAGCAAATTACCAAACTACTTACATGATTTTTAGTTAAGGCTAATTTGCAAGAACAGATACTGAAAGACTATTTGCTTTTCATGTTAAACACTTTTTAGCGAGATTAATTTTATTAGCAGACTCCTCAACAGCAGGCAAAAGGAAGAAAGATAAAGGAATATGAGAAAATCTCCCAAGGACTAACTTTGTTTTCCCATTCAAATTCGGCCCACATCTGACGGAATTCTGCATCAGTGCAAGTTGCAGGCTGGATATAGTCCATGATGTCGATGTGAATATCACTGAGAACCACACAATTTCTGTCACTTGCTGCTCCAGAGACATCATAAACTGCAATTACATATACAAAAAGATTCGCAATCACTGGGGCAAACTTGAATTTAAAAAATCTTAATATCCAAATATCCAAAGAACTACACTATTAACAATAAGATTGTTTATATAATACTTATTATGTACAGAGCTCTATTCTACATGCTTTATAAATATTACTGGTTTAATACTCCCATCAATTCTGATAGTATTATTATTTTCCATCTTACATATGAGGAAATGAAAGCAGAGAAGTTAAGTAAGTTGTTCCAGATCACACAACTGATAAGTGGTGGGGATAGGATTCGAACTCAGGCACACTTTGTTTTTTGTGGTTAAACAAATAATTCAATTCAGTGAGTACTTACATAGCAGTTGCAGCATACTAGGCACTGCAGCAGATATACAAGTGGACGATGTTCCCATAGGAGGTACTTAACTAATACTTTTGAATAAATATTGCTGACCCATACTACTTAATGATACAAGATTAGTCATCCCTCAGTATTAATGGGGAATTGCTTCCAGGACCCCCTATGGATACCAAAATCTACAGATGCTCAAGTCCCTGATATTAAATGGCATAGTATTTGCATTACCTATACACATCTTCTCATATATTTTAAATCATCTCTAGCTTACTTACAGTACCTAATACAACATAAATGCTATGTAAATAGTTATACTGTATTGTTTAGGATATAATGACAAGGAAAAAATGTCTATATATGTTCAGTATAGACACAACCATTTTTTTTTTTTTCTAAAATATTTTCAGTTTGTGGCTGGTTGAATCCATGGATGTGGAACCCACGGATACAGAAGGCTGACTATATTTGCTTCTATGACCATTTCTTCCACAGTAGAGAGTTATAATCTGATTGGAGCCTACATTCCTCTTTCTAGGCTCTTTTCTTTTCTTTTTTTTTTTTTTTTTGAGATGGAGTTTCACTCTGTCACCCAGGCTGGAGTGCAGTGGCACAATCTCAGCTCACTGCAACCTCCACCCTTCGGGTTCAAATGATTCTCCTTCCTCAGCCTCCTGAGTAGCTGGGACCACAGGCGCCTGCCACCGCGCCTGGCTAATTTTTTGTATTTTTAGTAGAGATGTGGTTTCACCATCTTGGCCAGGCTGGTCTTGAACTCCTGACCTCATGATCCACCCGCCTTGGCCTCCCAAAGTGCTGGGATTACAGGCATGAGCCACTGTGCCCGGCCTCTAGGCTCTTTTCTTGACATTCTTCCACTCTTTCAACTTTCAGGGAAAACTGAGGCTACCAAGAATAAGCTCCTTTAATTTTCAGCTCCACATCTAAAAACAACTCTCTCTCTTGGAATTCACTCTCACATCCTTCCCTCTCATACGTATCAGAGAAGTACTACCTCATTTCTTCAAGATTAATACTTCCTGCCATCTGTGATTCCTGCTTTGGTCCAGGACCCCACTCCAATCACTATCTCTTTCATCCTTATGTCTTTACTTTCCCATTCTCTACCAACTTTCTTCCCTTATGGTCTATAAATATACTCGAGGTTCTCTTATTTTCAAAAAATAAATCCTCACTCATTCTTGCCTTCTCTTCTTGGTACTGCCCCTTCTTATTCCTATCAAAGCCAAGATCCTACACTCAGAATAGTCTACACTACCTGTATTTCTTCATATCGTATTTAGTCTTCAACCCACCACTAACACCCAAGATGTCCCACAAGAAATGTTTTAAAATCACTAATAGCCAAATCCAAAAGACCTCTCTTTCAGACTTTAATAACTAAAGTTATTTTATCCTGTGGAGCTTCAAATACTTTCTGAAGGTTTTTCCTTACTTTTCTAACCACACTTCAGATACCCTTGTAGGCTCTTTCTCCTTTGACCAAGCTTTCAGTGTTGCTGTTTGCTTGGATTCTGTTTTCAAATCTCCCCTCTTTTTAGTCTGTATGCCCTCTCTGGGTGATTTCTTCTATTCCTATGGCTTTTAAACAAATACTTATCTCTAGTTTATTTTTACTTATTTATTTATTTTTGAGACAGAGTCTCACTCTGTTGTCTAGGCTGGAGCGCAGTGGTGCGATCTCGGCTCACTGTAACCTCTGTCTCATGGGTTCAAGCTATTCTCCTGCCTCAGCCTCCCGAGTTAGCTGGGACTACAGGCGTGCGCCATTACGCCCAATTAATTTTGTATTTTTAGTAGAGACAGGATTTCGCTATGTTGGCCAGGCTGGTCTTGAGAACTCCTGATCTCAGGTAATCTGCCCGCCTCGGTCTCCCAAAGTGCTGGAATTACAGGTATGAGCCACCACACCCGGCCTATCTCTAGTTTAGACCTCTTGTTTGTGTCCCAGACTCACATCAAACTGTCCTTGAATATCTTTAGGCACTTTAATACCGAACCTGCTCAAGATTTAACCTATTATGTCTCTCTAAAGTTTGTTCTTCTCTCCTGTATTTCCTGTTATGATGATGACATAAACAACCCAATAAACCTAATCTGGAAATCTGAGTGTTACTCTAGCCACTTCCTCTTCAATCATTAACCATATCCTTAATATTATATTCATCCTTCTCTCCATTCCACTACTGTGTTGGCTCAAGTCCTCTGCCATCTCTCACTTGGGCTTCTCTACTAGTTAATCTTCCTGCCTCTTCCAATCAACCTTCTATAGTACTGTCGCAAAAAGATATAATGCTATAAGTCATTCATTTGTAATTCCTCAATGTTTCCTCTCTCCACAGATAAAGTCTAACATCCTTAGCATGACAAGTAAAATATGGCTTCCACAAACCTTCCTAACTTCATTTTTTTCCTGCCATCATCCTCCAACCCATTCTGAACTCCAAGTGTATCAAATCATTTGCATTTATTCTAACTGCATCCTTGTCTATCTGTAGTCTTCTACTGAGCACTTGCTCCTCCATGAAGCCTTTTCTAAGCTTTTCTCCCAATCCCCCACCACTCTGAGAACTGACCAAATCCCTTTATGGATTCCTACCTTACTTAGTACAGGTTTACTTATTTTTTTCTTTCACAGTACTTACCATTACATACTGCACATATTTATTTTATATATCTGTTTTCCCTTACTCAACCATAATCTATCATTTGTTCCTCACCATGGTAGCCCTATCCTTATGACAGAAATTGCAACAAAATAAGCTTACTGACTGAATGACTCTATACAAGCTAATCCCTAGGTCTGAGATACCCTTGTGCACCTAGCAACAAATGACTCAGGTAAAATATTATCCTTTGATAACACACCATCTTCCTTTATAAAGCCTTCCACACTGTTAGCATTTTTTTTTTCCCTAACCTCAAAGCATATGGTATATAAACCAACCTGTAACACACTGGACTACAATTATATATTGCCTTAGCTAGCTCCTCCTTTTGCCTGACAGTTTCTAGAGGACAGTGACTCTATCTGGTTCATTTCTGTACATCCAGAACATAGTTCAATGCGTGGTACCATAGAGAGTATCTCATAAATTATGAATAAATGGATTTAGATCCTCTCCTCATACAATGTCCCCAGCTACTCACTATAGAAATTCTTCAGTAAAAGTATTCAAACATTACATGCCATAAAACAGCACCTTACCTATATTACCAAAAATTATTCCATTTTCTGTTGATGCTACTTTGACGTTAGCTTTAATATTTGCGAAGTCATGAGGAGCAAGAGTCAAAGGAGACGGCTTTTCCACAAGTTTCAGATCCCCTGAAAGAAAGAGTTTGGATATGGTTAAAAATACACACACACACACACACACACACACACACACACACACACACACACACTAACCATAAAACCTTAAATGTATGCAGCTTAATAGTTTCTAGGAAAATAAGGAATATGACGAATATGAGAAGAGTATGAATCAAATATAATGAGGACAAAATAAAGAAACCACTTAACCATCCTTATTATTCACCATCAATAGGCATATTTTCTTTTAAAAGGTAATAGGCATCTCAGAATAATTCCATATTTAATTTGTGGGAAGGGAGGATACTTTGAGCCTACCATTTATTTATTTTGAGATAGGGTCTTGCTTTGTTACCTAGGCTGGAGTGCAACTGCATGATCATAGCTCACTACAGCCCTGATCTTCCAGGCTCAAGCGATCCTCCTACCTCAGCCTCCTGAGTCGCTGGGACTACAGGAGTGGCCCACCACACCTGGCTAATTTTCTTGATTTTTTGTAGAGATTGGGGTCATTTTATTTCAATGAATGAATGCAAACTTCTCAAAAAGCTTAAGTCTTAAACTATATACTTCATTATGAAGAAAGATAAAACAATCTGCATAAAGACTTGTAAATGCTTAAGAAACATGGTTTTTTATACAGCCATCAAGCTATGCTGAGGACAACAGGGCAAAAGTATGTTTTCCCCTTGATATCTTGAAGTTCCTTAACACTTGCATAAGCCATATGAAATCTGATGGGGGTACTGCACTGTTCCCATATACAATTTATATTTTCCAACTTCAAAACCAGATGTGGAAGTAAGCAGTCTGACCCATGTGTCTTTACTAAGAAAAAAAAATGCATCTCATATTGCTAAATGTAATATGATTTATTACTTTGGTCACATGTGGTATCTAACAGTTATGCATTCAGAAAATACTTAGTTCTGTAATGAGGCAATTAGAAATTAACTAAGTGAGCTACCTGGTCAATCTGCGACTTAAACAGCTCGTATTATAACTAGAAATACTGACATTTGCTAGATTAAGCTTATTAAATGAATCCACCTGAATGTGCCAAGAGCATAAAAATTCAGTATGACAGAGGTTCAGAAAACTGGAGTTTAAGGAAACTAAATGATAAATGAAAAACTAAGCCTTGATTCAAAATGTCAGAAAAGGTTCAAGAGAATTTTTATACTGAAACCTGTGCACCTCCCTTAATCTGTCATAAAGATCTACTATGTGACAATCTCTTTCCTGAATGGTAAGTTTCCTCACCTAGTGTAGCTAGTTCTAATGTGCAATTCTGCAAAGTATCACTGGTTTGGTTCACAACAAGTACATCCAGGACAATATCATATTGGTTGACATGAACGTAAGCTTCTGCATATACAGGATCTGAGAAACCTGTCAATTGGGTGACCTGTCAAAACAAAAACAAAGACATAATCAAATGACAGATGCAATTTCACCAAACATACCCTGGCCAAATGATTAAGTCTGGTAGGTTATTAACAGAGTTGCTTAGAAGTCATTTTGAGATAGGTAAAATAAAATTGTTTTATAATGCAGAAATGGAAATTGAAACCAGAATATTAAGAAATAACAGGTCCTAGAGTTTAAGACATCTATTTGTTTTTAAGCTCAATAACTCAGTATAAGGTATTATACATGTTGATTTTTGAGCTTATAAGTTCAGTAGTAGAAAAATGTTAAATATATTTAGCAAATACATTAAACATTATCCCAATTTTGCCAACTAAATAAATTTGGATACACTTTCATTTAAATCCCTCAGTAAGTATCTAAACTCACTACTTGATCTATGAAACTCAGGATCCAAATAAAATCCAAATCATGTGGTAGCCCTTGCTCCACAAACTGAGGCACTAAACAGATTATATAGTAAGAAATGATTGTAATGCCACAAAAATAAAATTACAAATGCCCTCCCACTCCAAATTTAAACACACTGAAAGCACTGTACTTTAAAAAGCTAATATTGTCACCAAAAGCATAGGCAATAAAAGAAAAAATAGATTAAACATCAAAATTAAACACTTTTATGCATCAAATATTATCAACAGAATGAAAAGGCAACTCACAGAATGGAAGAAAATATTTGCAAATCATGTATCTGATAAGGGGGTTAGTATCCAGAATATTAATAACTCCTAAAATTCAAACAAAAAAAACCAACAACCCAATTTAAAAATAGGCACAGGACTTGAACAAACATTTCTCCAAAGAAAATATACAAATGGCCAATAAGCACGTGAAAAGACACTCATCATCACTAATCATTAGGAAAATGCAAATCAAAACCACAATGAGATACCACTTCACATACCCATTAAGATGGCTATCATCAAAAAAAAACAAAACAAGTGTTGGCAAGGATATGGAGAAATTGGAACTCTTGTGCACTGCTGGTAAGAATGTAAAATAGTGTAGCTACCATGAAAAACACAATGGAGGTTCCTCAAAAAATTAAAAGTACAATTATCATATGATCCAGCAATTCTGCTTCTAGATATATACCCAAAAGAACTAAAAGCAGGGACTTGAACAGATATTTGTACATCTGTGTTAACAGCAGCATTCTTCACAGTAACCAAAAGGCAGAAGCAATGCACATATCCAGGGATGGATATATGGATAAACAAAATGTGGCATATACTTACAATGTAATATTATTCAGCCTTAATAAGGCAGGAAATTCTGATACATGCTATGACATGAATGAATCTTGAAGACATTATACTGAGTGAAATATGCCAGTCACAAAAGGAAAAATACTGTATTGTTCCACTTCTGTGAGGTACTTAAAATAGTCAAAATCACAGAGACACAAAGTAGAATGGTGGCTAGGGGTAAGTAGAGGTTGAGGGGAAGTAGGAATGACGAGTTATTGTTTAATGGACATAGTTTCAGCTTTGCAAGATGAAAACAGTCCTGGAGATGGCTGCATAACAATATGAATTTAATTAATGCCACAGAACTGTACACTTACAAATGGGTTAAAATGGCAAATCTTTTGCAACTTTAACTATAATTCAAAAAAACTAAAAAAATTTTATAAATGTAATATTATTGATATCAATTCCCAATTTTAAGGGAGGGAAATTGTTTTAGTAATTCCAATTCTGCTACTGACCTTATCTTAAACAAAAGTAATGTAAGACTGTTCATTCAGTCTAATAGATGAGGGATCACTGATTCTTAAATTTATATATTTAAGAGAGTAGAATCATTTTCCTAATAAAATTCTATATGGAACTCGATATATTAAGAATATAAAAGTAGAACTGCTCTGTTTAAAGTAGCAGAGAATAAGAGAAGGTGAGGTCAAGGTGTGGGAAGAGGCCAGGGCTGTTGCCTGTTCAGCTTCCCTTTAAAAACCTCAGCTAACCTTTAAGGATCCCCTTCCCTCAACTTCTATTTATTGGTCTATGATTCCAGACACAACTGGATCGAGTTAAACCATCTGATGGACTTACAGTACTATCACATATAGTAGTAAGGTACTTCATCAGCTTCTGAGTTTCAACTGAGGTTTAATGGACCTATCACAGTGACTTGACAAAATAGTTATCTTTCTTTTAAAAATAGCAGCACTAACAACTTCCTTAAGGAGTCGATTTAAATAATTTAGAGTCTATCAGACATTTTGTTACCTTGTTAAGTTTAGATGCTAGGGGATCTGCTGCCTCTTTCCTCTGTGTGTTACCCATTGCTGCCAGTAAACTCAGCTGAAACTGATCTTCCTTGCAGTTCATTTCATTCTTAGCAGTTAGTTGCATGAAGGAAATGGGGTCATCAGGCTGTACTGTCACATTCCTCTTTTCAGATTCTTTCTGTGTTGAGAATATAACAAAGTCTCTCTTTAATATGAAAAGATAGTTTTTTAGAGGCTTTTGACAGAGACAGCCCTCACATATGAAAACTGAAAAATCAACAAAACAACAAGAAAACCCACAAAGCACTTTTCTTTTCTTTTTTTTCTTCCTGAGACAGGCTGTTACTCTGTTGCCCAGGCGGAGTGCAGTGGTATGATCACAGCTCACTGCAGCCTCGAACTCTTAGATTCAAACGATCCTTCATCCTCAGCCTTCCAAGTAGCTGGAATGACAGGCACATACCACCATGCCTGGCTAATTTTCTCATTTTTTTTGTTGAGACAGGGGCTTGCTATGTAGCCCACACTGGTCTCAAACACCTGGCCCCAAGGAGTCCTCCTGCCTCAGCCTCCCAAAGTGCTGGGATTACAGGCGTGAGCCACTGCACGAAGAGACACAAAACACTTTTGTTGCCTCATCATATATACCTTACCTTTTGGGATAATTTCTCTTCTTCTAGTTTAGCAGATAACATGTGAGAAAGGGACTGTCTGCATTCCTTATTGAAAATGTCATTCATTAAAGGTGAACATTCAGACAAGACCTTGAGGCACAGGGAAATTCGATCCACATCATCATCAGTAATTGGCTTCTTAGGAAGAGAGGATTTTCCCAAATGCAGGATAGTAGCCATGAGCAACATAGCCTCAGCAACAAAAGACTAAGAAAGTAAAGAAATCGGTTACTGATATTGTCTTGATTCTCAGATTGCAATCATGTCACTTCATTATAACTCACAATCTAAATTTTCACTTCACCTGAATAAGATTTCAAATTCTTTGGATTTTATGTCCATATCTGTTTTTGCATTCTTCTCCTTCCTTTCTACTCTTAACTGCCACTCTCTAAGACCTGCATTAATCCTCAATTAGAGACAGCAGAGGCTTTTTAACTGTTTTCCCTTGCTCCAGTCCTTCTCTGTAACCACTTCATATGCTGATGCTGTCCTTTTTAATCCCAACTACAGAAAAGTTAAAAGAATGATATACTTTACCAATTGTTAACATTTTGCCACATTTGCTTACCTATTCTGTATATGTACACTTATTTTTTTTGGCTGACATGTGAAAAAGTCTTCACCTCATAAATGCTTCAGCATTCATCTCCTAAGAGTCAGAACAGTTTCCTACAAACCACAATTTCATTTTCTCATCTGAAAAATTCAACAATTCCAAAATACAGCTTCTATACTCTGAATTCAAATAAATCTCCCTAAATTGTCTTAAAATGTTTTTGTTTTATTTTTTAAATCCAGGATCAGCTTCATGCATTTTATCCCTCTTAATCTAGACCAGTTCTCTGCCGTTTTGTTTTTAATCGCACTAACTTTTTTAAAGAACTGAGGCCAGTTGTTTTATAGAATATCCCACACTTTTGATTAGAATACCAGATAGGTGATGTTTTGTATTTCACCCTGTACTGCATCACAAGGTACCTAAAGTTAGGCTGTCCAATTATTGTGCTGCTAAGCGTGATCACCTGATGCTGCTATCTTAATCTTTATACTGCACCAATCATTTCATTCCCTATGTAAATACCTTTAATGAATGTCAGCCTTCATACTGAAGTCCGTATTACTTAGCTCGCTATTCAAAGTCTTCCACAAGTGATTGCAACTTACTTTTTTAGTCTCATGTAGCATTATCCTGACACATATGCTCTAAGCCCTTGCCAAATTGCCTTTGGCTGAGTACTGATCTGCACACATGCATGAAAAACTACTGGAGGCCTGGGAAAAACCAGCAGAAGAGTAAGTATATGTCCCCCAAGTTTGGATACTGTCTCCAAAAGGAGAGGAAAGAGAGGAGGGGACAGAAAAAAAAATCCGAGGAAATGACTGAAAATTTCCCAAACTGATGGAGATATAAACCTGCAAACCCAACAAGCTCAATGAACCACAAGTACAGCAAACATGAAGAAAACCACACTAAGGCATATCCTAATCAAATTACTGAAACCAAGTGAAAAGGAGAAAATCTAAAACCAGTGGAAGAAATACACACACACACACACACACACACACACACACACACACACACACACTCTCTCTCTCTCTACACCCAGGGAGATAAGAATGACAGTAGACTTCTCACCAAAAAGCCAGAAGACAATGGAGCTTTACTTTTACACTACTGGGAAAAAAAAACAGAAGACTTAGAATCCTATACCCACAAAGGTAACTTTCTAAAGTGTACAAAAAAATAGGCTTTTTCCAGACAAAAACTGGAACAATCTGTTGCCAACAAATCTGCACTATAAGAAAAGTTAAAGCAAATTCTTTAGGCAAAAGATGTATGATACCAGAAACTTAGTCCTACACAAAGAAATGAAGAGTGTTGGAAATGGCATAAATGAAGGAGTGCCAGTGAGATTATAAGCAACCAAACTTCCTTCTTGTACCAAACAGTGCAAACATTATTAACTCGGTATGTTACAAGAAACTGGCTCTTTTAAGCAGGTATCAGTAAACACTCCCAACTTCCAGAAGTGATGCAACCAGGAGAGGAAAGCAAATTCAACTCTGAGATAAAAAAATGTTGGAGACTTTTAAAAAACATACTTTAAAGATTATACTGTGACCAGACCTGAATAAATAAATGCCCACAAAAGAGTTACAAAATAAATTATTGCTCAAAAATCAAATCAATTAAGGGATAATATACCTTGTAAATTATCTGGCTCTCATTTATGGCTTTTCTTATAATGGAATTAAAACAAAAACAAAAAGAACCTGGCCAGGCACGGTGGCTCATGCCTGTAATCCCAGCACTTTGGGAGGCCGAGGTGGGCGGATCACCTGAGGTCAGCAGTTCGAGACCAGCCTGGTCAACATGGTGAAACCCCAGTCTCTACTAAAAATACAAAAAAAATTAGACAGGCGTGGTGGCAGGCGCCTGTAGCCCCAGCTACTCGGGAGGCTGAGCCAGGAGAATTGCTTAAACCCAGGAGGCGGAGGTTGCAGTGAGCTGAGATCATGCCATGGCACTCCGGCCTGGGCAAGAAGAGTGAGACTCCGTCTAAAAAAAAATTTTTTTTTAGATCAAGCTGTTAGTCTCCAAAAACGAAGGAAATATGAGTGATGTGAGTGAAAGTGTTTCAATTTAGAAACCTGCTGTATAGATAACCAACATAATACGAAAGCTGAAGGAATCAAAAGGAGTCCCATTGCTACAGGCCCAATTTGAATGTCAGAAATTGCTGTGGTAGGACATTGTAACCAACTCTGCGCTACTACCACAAATGTTCTATGGATTCTGTTTCTTAAATAATAAGAGTTGAAACTACTTGATCAGTGGCAGCATAATGGATGTTGTCTTAGCAGGCATGAAAACATTCATTTCTTTCTACATCTCCATCAGAGCTCTTGGGTGACCAGCTAAATTGTCAATGAACAGTAATATTTTAAAAGGAGTCTTTTATTTCTGAGCAGTAGGTCTCAATGGTGAGCTTAAAATACTTAGTAAGCCATCCCGTAAAGAGGATGTGCTGACATCCAGGCTTTGTTGTTCCACTGACAGAGCACAGACAGAGTTGATTAAGCACAATTCTTAAGAGCCCTAGGATTTTCAAAATGGGAAATGAGCAATGGCTTCAACTTAAGTTACTGGTTGTATTAGCCCTTACCAAAAGAGTCAGCCTATCCTTTGAAGCTTTGAAGCCAGGCACCGACTTCTCTCTAGCTACCAAAGTCCTAGATGGCATCTTCTTCCAATATAAGGTTGTTTAGTCTACACTGAAAATCTGTTGTTTAGTGTGGTCACCTTCACCAATGATCTTGGCTAGATCTTCCAGATAACTTGCCACAGCTTCTCCATTAGGACTTGCTACTTCATGTCAAACTTTTACATTATGAAGACGGGCTTATTTCCTTAAACCTCATGAATCAACCTCTGCTAGCTTCAAACTCTTCTTCTGAAGCTTCCTAACCTCTCTCAGCCTTCATGGAATTGAAGAGAGTTAAGGTCTTAGTCTGGATTAGGCTTTTGGCTTAAGGGAATCTTGTGGCTGGTTTTATCTTCTATCCAGACCACTCAAACTTTCTATCAGCAATAAAGCTATTTCGCTTTCTTTCTTCTTCTTTTTTTTCCTCGAGACGGAGTCTTGTTCTGTCTCCCAGGCTGGAGTGCAGTGGTGTGATGTCAGCTCACTGCAACCTCTGCCTCCCATGTTCAAACAATTCTCCTGCCTCAGCCTCCCAAGTAGCTGGGAGTACAGGCGCCTGCCACCACACCTGGCTAATTTTTGTATTTTTAGTAGAGACAGGGTTTCACCATGTTGGCCAGGCTGGTCTCGAACTCCTGACCTCGTGATCCGCCTGTCTCGGGCCTCCCAAAGTGCTGGTGTGAGTCACCACGCCTGCCAAATGTTTCACTTTCTTATCATTCATGTGTTTACTGGAGTAGCACTTTTAATTTCCTTTAAGAGCATTTCCTTTGCATGCATAACTTGGCTACCTACTTGGCAAAAGCAGCCTAGCTTTTGGCTTAGCTCAGCTTTTGACATGCATTCCTTACTAAGTTTAATTATTTCTCACTTTTGATTTAAAGTGAAAGACATGTGACTCTTCCCTTCACTTAGAAGCCACTGTAGGATTATTAACCGGCCTAATTTCAATATTGTGGTATCTCAGGGAATAGAATAGGGAGGCCCAAGGAGGAAAGAGACGGGGTAACAGCCGGAACACACACAACAATTATTGATTACGTTTACTATTTTATATGGGAATGGTTCCTGGCATCCCAAAACAACTATGATAGTAACATTAAAGATCACTGATAACAGATCACCATAACAGATGTAATAATAATGAAAAAGTTTGAAATATTGTGAGAATTACCAAAATGTAACACAGAGATATGAAGTGAGCATATGCTTATTTGGAAAAATGATGCTAACAGACTTGCTCAACTCAGGGTTCCCACAAACCTTCATTTGTTTAAAAAAAAAAAAAAAAGCAATATGTGCAAAGTACAATAAAATGAAGTATGCCTGTAAATGCTATGTAAATAATTGTTACACTGCATTGTTTTCAACTTTCTATTATTTTTTACTGTTTATCATTTTTTAAAAAAGATATTTTCAATCCATAGTTGGTTGAATCTGCAGGTGCAGAAGCTGTGAATATGGAGGACCAACTGCATACCATTGTAAATGGGTGTTTGGTTAGAACGGTCAGAAGCTACAAAGCAGGCATGAACTACAGATGAGAATAACTTAAGAGACATTCTGGGATAAAACAGACAATGACCGAATGGATGCAGATGCTGGAGAGAAGGACATTTCCTTCACTGGTCCTGAACTAATCCCAGCAAACTGAGGTGACTTCATAAATCCTTTCTCTTCCACTGGAATAATCACATGACATTGTTATTGTATTACTTTGTCAATTTTCATTTTTTTAAAGCCCAAACAGAAGAGGAAGATACTTTATCAATTTTAGAGTAATATATTACTGTGTCCACTTCTGCTATTAAATCATAAACTCTTTCATGACAGAAACTTAGCATTAATTTTTGAGTCCCTCACTGTTCAATGCATATAGTAGGCACTCAATGTTTAATTGTTGGTTAAATGTAAAATAAATGAACTTACATTTTGCTTTTTCTTCTCCTGAACCAAAGCTACATAGCGCAATGCAATCTTGGTCAGAGTTGTGGCAAGGGAGGCAGCAACAAAGAAATCTCCATCCAGAAGGAATCCTCTCAAGGGAGGTCTGCAAAGCAACCAAGGAAAATCAAACCCACCAACTTGCTAAGCAGCATGCAGCTTCTGTATAAATGAATGATATAGGCCTATTAAACACTCTTATTACCATCCTTCAGTGATAAGGATACCTTAGCTAACTAACTCCTTAGCTCCCAGAAGAAAGAAGGAAAAAGAAAAATAATACATGACTTTAAAACTTATCTTTGGCCAGGTGCAGTGGCTCACACCTGTAATCCCAGCACTTTGGGAGGCCAAGGCGGGCGGATTACCTGAGGTCAGGAGTTCGAGGACAGCCTGGCCAACATGGTGAAACCCCGTCTCTACTAAAAATACAAAAATTAGCTGGGCATGGTGGCACAAACCTGTAATCCCAGCTACTCAGGAGATTGAGGCAGGAGAACTGCTTGAGCCCAGGAGACAGGTTGCAGTGAGCCATGATCGCGCCACTGCACTCTAGCGTGGCCGACAGAGCAAGACTCTGTGTCAAAAAAAAAAAAAAAAAAAAAAAAAAGAAAACTTATCTTTGAATGACACAAAAGCCATCAGAATATGGAAAGATACAATATTTAATTAGGGGCATACGTAATTGCAGCTAATGAAGTACCTCCGAATTCCAGCTTACCTGTTTATTTACTGGGTAAGCCTCAAATTCTTCTTCCATAAAATGGAGATAATATATTCTATCTCAAAGGCTTATTGTCAAGACTATATGAGACAAACTACTTAGCACAATGCCTAGCACTTAGTGGGTATTCAGTAAAATTTTAGGCAAAGATTTCACCATCTTCACCATTAAAATTTACTTAATAGAAAAATGCACAATTTTATTCCATCATTTAGAAATTGAAAAATCTTCAAAATGTTTTCAGATGCTAATAAACAACAAAACTCAAATATCTTCAGTTACCCCCACTTAGCATTTTCTGAGTAAAAATAATTTGAGTTTAAACAGAACAGTTATTTCCATAAAAACACTGGAAGGGACAGAGAATTAAAACCATCAATACAATTCCTAGGGGGAAGAACTTAAACATCCTCCGCTTCTCAAGTACCTTAAATGGCAAAGATTTTCATTTTGGTTGCAAAAGCAAGAGGAAAGAAATCATTTGACTGTCTTACATACAAGAGTAATAATAAAAGTAGTACAGCTGGCAGGGTATATGTGCCATAAATTACCTGTCTTCCTCTTTCTTGGTGGGTCTAGAACTGCTAAGGGCACTCTGAGTTGCATAGGTACCCATTTCAGTAACCAATTTCTGAACTGGCCCTACAGTTATTTCTTCTTCAGGTTTTAATTCACCAGCTTCTTTCTTTATTTCTGACTCTACAATTGGGATCTAAAAGTCAATTGGAAACATCATTTTAGTAATAGTATCAACAGCAAGCAAAATTATCTTTAAATATTTGATTGTTTCTCTAAAAAAGGCATTACCCTAATGGGATTTTTGGAACTGGGAACTCTGCTTTCAATTTATTTCCTTCCCAGGATAATGTAGTAGGTAGAATAGGGGCTTCAGAGATGGATATTCCAGGGTTTGAATTCTCACTCTGCCACTTACTACTTTGGACCTCAGTTTCTTAATCTGCTAAGTGGAAATCTTAATTCTTTCTACACATTTTACCTAATAGAAAAATGCATTGGACAGTGTCTAACACAAAGCAGATGGTCATTAAGTCGTATTCCTCTTCTTCATTCCTTTCCTTGAAATTTTAACCAAAACAGTACTCATCCTTCTAAAATGAAATAAATCCGACTTATTTGTACATAATAACCTCATCAACTAACTTTTAAATTAACTGAATGGCTATTATGTATTTATTACTCAATACCAGTCCATTACCTAATATAAGAGCACTAAGAGTATTTAATCATTACCTATTTTAATTTATTTTATAGGTGAAAAACACTGATGTCAAGTTAGGTTGAGGAACTTATATTCAAGGTCCTCCAGCTAACTGTCGACACAACAATGACTAGAACTAATTGTCAGGTCTCCTGATAATTAGTCCACTGTTCTTTCTATTCTACCATAAGGTTGTTAGGATGAAGAATACTGTCAGTTTTACTGCATAAATATTCTGAAGTCAGACTTACTCTAAGGCATTCTTCCTTCAGAATACAGGCTAAAGCAGAATTTTACAAGCTACTGCTTCTTTTTTTTTTTTTTTTTTTTAATAAACACAGAACATTTTGTTCAAACAAAATCTAACTCAGAAGTGTAAATAATGTAAGCAAATCACTATAAAAAGTCAGATTTTCCTAAAGGAAAAATTACCATATAAACTAACATTTACTAAAGTAAAACATACCTCTCCAAGGGACCTGCGGATCTCAGTCATCACACTCTGAATGTCTTCCTTGGTACTACAGTATTCTCCCAGGATCCATAATGCTCCTCGGTAAATCCTAGCACAATACAAGATCTGAAACATGAACTTGGCAGACAAATCTTGAAGCAGAGATCTTTCTTTGTTAATTTAAGCTCAAATAAAAACAAGGGCCAGGCACTCACGCCTGTAATCCCAGCACTTTGGGAGGCCGAGGCGGGCGGATCACGAGGTCAGGAGATCGAGACCATCCTGGCTAACATGGTGAAATCACGTCTCTACTAAAAATACAAAAAAATTAGCCGGGCATGGTGGCGGGCGCCTGTAGTCCCAGCTACCCGGGAGGCTGAGGCAGGAGAATGGCGGGAACCCATTCTCGGGAAGCGGAGCTTGCAGTGAGCCAAGATCGCGCCACTGCACTCCAGGCTGGGTGACAGAGCGAGACTCCGTCTCAAAAAAAAAAAAAAAACAAGGGCCAGGCACGGTGGCTCACGCCTGTAATCCTAGCACATTCGGAGGCTGAGGCCAGCGGATCACTTGAGCCCAGGAGCTCAAAACCAGCCTGGGCAACATGGTGAAACCCCATCTCTACTAAAAATACAAAAATCAGCCAGGCATGGTGATGCACATCTGTAATCCCAGCTATTGAGGAAACTGAGGCATAAGAGCTCCTTGAGGCCGGGCACAGTGGCTCACGCCTGTAATCCCAGCACTTTGAGAGGCTGAGGCGGGCGGATCACCTGAGGTTGGGAGTTCAAGACCAGCCTCACAAACATGGTGAAACCTCGTCTCTACTGAAAATACAAAAAAAATTTGCTGGATGCAGTGGCACGCACCTGTAGTCCAGATACTTGGGAGGCTGAGGCTGGAGAATCGCTTGAACATGAGAGGCGGCGGTTGCAGTGAGCCGAGATCGCGCCACTGCACTCTAGCCTGTGAGACAGAGCAAGACTCCATCTCAAAAAAAAAAAAAAAAAAAGAACTGCCTGAATCCAGGAGGCGGAGGTTGCAATGCCCTGAGATAGCGCCACTGCACTCCAGCCTGGGTGACAGAGCAAGCTTCTGTCTCAATAACAAAAAAACAAAAAACAAAAACCAACAAGATTCTGCAGTTCTAAAGTATTTTAGATAAATATTTCAGAAAGAATCTAACAAAACCTAGGTTTCAGTTCTCTCCAGAAATCACAAAGATTAAAAGTAAAATAACTGTTCTTATTATTAGGAACATTCTAAAACTGGTAAACCTAGCAGTAAAAATAAAATACCAAAATGTTTCCCAGTAAAGTGTCCATTTAGGACACAGTGAAGGCAAATTTGGCTTAATCTCTTACTACTCTAAGAAATGTATTATTTTATGGCCAGACACTGTGGCTCACACCTGTAATCTCAGCATCTGGGGAGGATGAGGTGGGAGGATTGCTTTAGTCCAGGAGTTCGAGACCAGCCTGGGCAACAAAGCAAGGCCCTCATCTCTCTTAAAAAAATAAATAAATAAAGTAAAAACAAAACAAAAACAAAAACAAAAAATCAGGAATGTATTATTTTAATGTAAAAAGTAATTCACTTTTTATTTTCAGTCACTGAAGAGGCAAGGTGTTGAACTGAACAATGGATACAGAAGAAGTACAAGGGATCAGTAAAAAAATAATAGTAAAGAAAGCAACCATTCATTCATTCATTTAGATTAAAAAAATAAATAGAGACAAAGTCTCACCATGTTGCCCAGGCTGGTCTCCAACTCCTGACATCCAGCAATTCTCCTGCCTTGGCCTCCCAAAGTGCTGGGAATACAAGTGTGAGCCACCATACCCAGCCAACAATTCTTTAGTTTAAAATGTTAAACTGAATAAAGTCCTTAGTCATCTTTCCCCTAAGATTTTAATTAAATTTATTCAGAAAAACTTAATTATAGAAACCAAAGCTCTAAGAGATTATGGCTGTCAAAAACAAATTCTTAATGTCATAGCTCTTTTAAAATTTGTTTAGCAGGCTTTCTGGTTTTTGCCGGAAAGCCCTCTCACAAAAAAAAAAAAAAAAAAAAAAAAAGCAAATCCTTAATATGATTTTCTTCTCACAAAGGAAGCAAATCCTGCTCTGCTCACTTCCATAAATATTAATATATTTTCATATCATAAAAACAATTTTGTACTTGTCCCTTCCTTCCTGAGACATATTTCAAGTCTGTTAGAGACTATCCATCAGATGCTTTAAATGAAGCAAAATTTAGATGCAACAGTCCTTTCTCATTAGCAAAGGCTCTCTGAAGGGAAAGACAGATTTAGGTTGCATTTTCAATCTTTCTCTTCATTAAATGTGAAAGGAAGATATAAATAATAGTAATAGCCAAAAAGTGATGCCATTTAAAAATATGCTCTTTAGTTACTTTAAGATTCACAATGTTTTAGAGAAAATCAGAATAGAGACCCTGAGCTAAATCACTCCTAAAAAAATTATTTTGGGCCATTTATTATAGACTAAATGAGAGTGGAGTTAGCGAGATGCTTGTTGTACAAACTTGTCTTATTTTGGCTTGATTGTCCTCTCCATTCTATTTTCTATCAACTGACCCTTTAAAGATAAAAACTGATAAAATGCTTACTTGACCTTACATTTAAATGTATTTTAAACCTACTTGACAGATTTAATAGCATGAAAGACTTCAAGCATCTTCTCAACAATAAGCATTCTCAGGTTATCAAAGCGCTGAATGGCTTCACGAACAAACTCCAAGACATCAGCAGCTGCTGCTTCGTTGTTGTCACTGAGAAATTCCATTAACTAAAAGAAAAAAAAAAAAAAGAAAATGGAACTAACAATTTTCGAAAAGAAAATTATCTAGGACAAGAAATAAATTAAAAGAATGTAATTCTTTTTTTGTTTTCTAAGAGACAGGGTCTTGCTTTGCTGCCCAGGCTAGAGAATAGTGGCACAATCATAGCTCACTGCAGCCTTGAACTCTTGGGCTCAAGTGATCCTCTGGCAGCCTCAGCCTCCCCAGGAGCTAGGACTTCAGGCATGACACTATGCCTAGCTAATATTAATTTTTTTGTAGAGACAGGGTCTCCCTATATTGCCCTGGCTGGTCTTGAATCCCTGGCCTCAAGTAATCCTCTTGCCTAGCCCTCCCAAAGTGCTCGAATTACAGACATGAAGTGCCATGCCTGACCCTTGTAATTCTTAATAATTTTCAAATACACAACAAAATGTAAATTGAGAGACAAGTACTATTATGTAAACAAAGTCACAATGGCTTTTCCATTTTATGTGCAGCAAAATTTATTTTAAAATTCACTATAAAAGATAAGCTAGAGATCCAAAACTCCAAATAAATAAATGAATTCGATCCTCCTAAATTGTAACTAAAATCATTTTAGAGAGAACTCAAGAGCTCAAAGGCAAAAATCAAATTATAATAACATACCTCACTTATCTGACAGTGACAGCAAAATATTCTACATATGTGAATTTTTCCTATAACTGATTCCTTTAAGAGCTAAAGCTATTTAAAATAAATACCTATTTGCCTTACTGAATAATATATATACACAGCATAATTTTACTTTAGGTAACTGTATCATCAATTAAAATAATATGCAAAGCTTTTTTTTGGTCACTGTTTTTGTTTTTTTGATGAATATATAAGTGAAAGAAGTCAGTCCTCACCCTTCTGAGTTTAAAGGTAGAGGTAGATATAAAGATCACTTCTCACCATGAGATTTAATGGTTCTAGGCAGCTGAGATTTCTGGAGTTTGTCAAATAACTATATTTTTTAAAAAATTCTTTTAGATAATTTCAAAATTAAAGTCATCAGAATTACATACCACAGGAATAACATTTGCAGCCATATCTGGAAATCGGACAGAACAGGAATGCAATGTTCGCACTAGGAGTTGTCTGTATTTGTCAGTATCTTCATGCTCAGACACATTATTTGTTTTTATCACTTCCTTCTTCAGGACAATAACCAGCTTATAGAATGAAGTAAAAATAAGTGAGAGTTACATCATATTTGGGCCTGATAGCTACAAAGTGCTGTCAGAGTTTCCTTTTACCTCTTCAACATTTCTAGAAGAGACAAGATCCAGTGCTAACTGCAGAGTTTTCTTTCGTACTTCTAAGTCTGGTGTGCTCAATACTCTTAGGATATCCATAACCAGATCCTAAAAAAGAAGAAAAAATCAAGAATTAACACCAATCTTTCTGGTCACAGGAAAAAAATCTTCACTGCAGAATGGTGGGGTTTATCTATCATCACTTTAATTCTTTAATCAATAACAAAACCACTAGTGGTGGAAGAACTAGATAGTTTGGGTCTCCTGATACACTGCAATATGAAATAATAGCACATGACACATTCAAACTGATAATGTTTACTTTGACTCTGTCAAGCTAAAGCTAAAGCTCCAACTTACAGTTTATAGAAAGTAACAGAAGTCAAAGAACAAGCTAAACAACGTAAGAAAGTAGCCATACACATCCAGAAAGAGGGGCATTTTATAGTATTACTGGTCTGGTCTCTTCAACAAATCAGTGTCATAAAAAAAAGATACTGTCCAAAATTAAGAGACTGAAAGGGCATAACCACCAAATACGATACATGGTCACAAAATGGGCAAACTAAACAAAAAGGGCTTTTGGGATAACTGGGAAAATCTACATATAGACTTGGTATTAGATAACATTCATAAATTATTAACAATTTCGTTAAATGTGATATTATTTGACTCCATAGGAAAATGTAACATTTAAAAGATGCACACTTAAAAACAATTCGAAACTGATAAAAAAGTTCTAAGAGTGAACTCCTGTATATCCTTCACCTACATTCACCAGTTAATATCTTCCCACATTTGCTCTTTTCTTTTTTTTGAGATGGAGTCTTGCTCTGTCACCCAGGCTGGAGTGCAGTGGCAAGATCTTGGCTCACTGCAACCTCTGCCTCCTGGGTTCAAGCAATTCTCCTGTCTCAGCCTCCTGAGTAGCTGGGACTACAGTTGCACACCACCATGTCCAGCTAATTTTTGTATTTTAATGGAGACAGGGAGGGTTTCACCATATTTGTCAGGGTGGTCTCGAACTCCTGACCTCAGGTGATCCACCTGCCTCAGCCTCCCAAAGTGCTGCGATTTTAGGCATGAGCCACCACACCTGGCCCACATTTGCTCTTTACTGCTGATAATTTTAGTGTATCTCTCTCAAGGGTAAGGATAATTTCTTATATAACCACATTATAATTATCAGAGAATTTAACACTGATCAATACTATTAACTAATATACACACCATATTCATATTTCTCAATCTGTCCCAATAATGTCCTTCATAGAAATTTGTTGTTGCTGTTGTTCTGATCCAAGATCAGCACTGCATTTACCTGCCATGGGGTTTTATTTTTATAACCATTATTATTCTCATGGATTAAACAAATATGGTGATAATTTTCTAGAATCAGATCACCTTTTATTCTCAATTGGTATAATAATTTTCCACGAAATGTAAATTATATTCAAATTAAAATGAGTATGTCACTGTCGCTAAGAATAGTCAATACAGTACAAACCGAAAAGATAAAAAAATATAATACTGATTCACTTTAGAAAAACATTTTTTTTTTTTGAGACAGAGTCTCACTCTGTTGCCCAGGCTGGAGTGCAGTGGCACGATCTCAGCTCACTGCAACCTCTGCCTCCTGGGTTCAAGTGATTCTCCTGCCTCAGCCTCCCAAGTAGTTGGGATTACAGGCGCACTTCACCACACCCAGCTAATTTTTGTTATTTTTAGTATAGACAGGGTTTTACCATGTTGGCCAGGCTGGTCTCAAACTCCTGACCTCAGATGATGTGCCCGCCTCTGCCTCCCAAAGTGCTGGGATTACAGGCGTGAGCCACCGCGTCCAGCCATTTTAGAAATATTTTTTGTGGTAAAGATAATACCCCAAAAGGCTATGATGACTCAATAGTTAACACTTTAGCTGATCAAAATATAAACTGCTCAGTTTCCAAGCATTTAGGTTAACCAAGATGGGCAAAGCTTGAGAATGACCTAAATTTGAAAAACATTTTATTTAGGATCTCTCTTTTTCAGATAACACTTACCTGTAGTACTCGTTCATGAGCAGGATGCTCTTTTAATTCTATCAAGCGATCCAAAACTATGAGTTTTACATTGTTGTCGCTCTCCTTAATAATTAAATCAATGTAACACTGAGCAGCAGCCTATATAAAAAAAGAAATACATTTTAAGAAGTTATTCATCTATCATAAAATTTGAAAATAAGCATGCGCGCGCACACCACACACACACACACACACACACACACACACTCCCATGAAGCCAAAATACACTCATTAATTAATCCCTGTACTAGAGTTTATATATTATACATTTTGTTCTGAGGAATGGGTTCCTCTAGTCCCTTGTTATTTTTCAAACTTACAGAAGATTAGAGGCATTACAAATTAAAAGGATGAAAAAAAGCTGCTATAGGTAGACATACTTACTAACAGCCAAAATTTAAGGGTTAAAACTAAGGAACAAGCCAGAAAAATGCAGGAAAAGAATCCCAAGAAGTACATCGATTAAGCATATTTCAGTTTAGAGGCAAAGTCTAACTCATCTGCATTGCAGTACACAAACAACAAGAATATAAAGATCACCCAGAGTTGTTAAAATATTTTAGTATTTATAATAACTATTAATAAGACAAAAAATGTGTAAAGTATTTTAGAATGATAGAATAAAATGTCCATACTGATACAAAGAAAGAAGGAAGGAAAAGAAGGGAGGGAGGGAAGAGAAAGAACAGCCCTTCCTTGCATAAGAATTCCAATAAATAAATACTGAATGAGAGAAATAGAAAACCACCATTAGAATACCAAAGCAATAATTGTAAGAAAATCCACTGATGGATGCTAAAATAAGTAGGTGTGAATTTGAGGAACAACATATTTGCATAGTTTCAAAGTATCTCCCCCTACAACATGTACTGATTACACTAGAAGAAATCATAAAACTGGAAGATCTGGCAGACAGCACCTTCACTGATCAAGGTTAACATCATCAGTAATAAGACATACAGACATCATGTACTCCTTGGTAAGATACACTAAGAAGGACACATCACTTCTGTGGTATTCTTTCCAAAAATGTACAACCTCAATCTGAGAAAACATCAGACAAACCCAAGTTACGGGATATTTTACAAACAAACCAGCCAGTATTCTTCAAATGCGTCAAGGTCATGAAAAATAATAAGTGACTAAGAACTAGCACAGATTGGAGGAGACTACGATATGACCACTGCATACAATATGGGATCCTAGGTTAGATCCTGAACAAAAAAAGGACGTCAGTGGGAAAACTGATGAAATATGAATAAAGCCTGTAGTTTGGTTAATAATATTGTTCTGATGTTAATTTTGTAGTTTTGACAATTATATGATTATAGAAAATGTGAACATATGAGAAAGGCTGGGTGAAGAATATATAAGAATGTTGTCCTCATCGGGCATGGTGGCTCATGCCTATAATCCCAGCACTTTGGGAGGTCGAGGCGGGTGGATCACAAGGTCAGGAGATCGAGACCATTCTGGCCAACATGGTGAAACCCTGTCTCTACCGAAAATACAAAAATTAGCTGGGTGTGGTGGCATGCGCCTGTAGTCCCAGCTACTCAGGAGGCTGAGGCAGGAGAATCACTTGAATCTGGGAGGCGGAGGTTGCAGTGAGCCAAGATCCCACCAGTATCTTCCAACCTGAGCGACGGAGTGAGACTCCGTCTCAAAAAACAAAAACAAAACAAAAAAACAACAACAGAAAAGAACTTTGTACTATGCAATTTTTCTGTAAGTTTAAAATTATTTCAAAATCAAAAATTAAAAAAAGTTCAAGTTTTGGGTAAAGCAGTAAATTCTCCAATTTAAACAATTTGGCTTTTAGAACAGCTCATTCTCTGAATAGATTAGGGGCTGATGATATAGTCTTGATAGAATAAATTAGAGAAAGGGAGAAAGGTAAATACTCTATTATTGAAAACACTCACTAAAACTTAAAATCTACATGTAACATTTTTCTTTTAATTTTTATTTTCTTAGAGACAGGGTCTCACTGTTTCACCTAGGCTGGAGTAATGATAGCTAACTGCAGTCTTGAACTCCTGGGCTCAAGCTATCCTCATGCCTCAGCCTTCAGAATAGCTGGGACTATAAGCACACACCACCATGCCCAGCTAATTCATATTATTTTTTGTCTTTCTCTGTTGCCTTGGCTGGAGTACAGTGGCACCACGATAGCTCACTGCAACCTCGAACTCCTGGCCTCAAACGATCATCCCACCTTGGCCTCCCAAAGTACTGGGACTCCAGGCATGCACCACCACACCTAGCACCAGCTAATTAAAAAAAAAAGGTTCTGTACAGATAGAGTCTCTCTTTGTTGCCCAGGCTGGTCTCAAACTCCTGGTTTTAAGCAATCCTCCCAGCTTGGCCTCCCAAAATGCTGGGATTTTAGGTGTTAGCCTCTGTGCCCAGCCACGCACGTAACTTTTGACTCCCCAAAAACTTAACTACTAATAACCTACTGTTGGCCAGAAGCCTTACCAATGACACAGTTGATTAAAACATGTTTTGTGGCCAGGCGCGGTGGCTTACGCCTGTAATCCCAGCATTTTGGGAAGCCGAGGTTAGCGGATCACTTGAGGTCAGGAGTTCAAGACCAGCCTGGCCAACATGGTGAAACTCCATCTCTACTAAAAACACAAAAAATTAGCTGGGCATAGCGGTGGGCACCTGTAATCCCAGCTACTCGGGAAGCTGAGGCAGGAGAATTGCTTAAACCCAGGAGGTGGAGGATGCAGTGAGCCAAGATTGCCTCACTCCAGCCTGGGTGACAAAGCAATACCTTGTCTCAAAACAAAACAAAACAACCCATATTTTGTATGTTAAATGTATTATATAATGTATTCTTATCAAGTAAGCTAGAAAAAAGAAAATGTTAAGAAAAGCATAAGGAAAATATTTACTACTCATTAAGAGGAAGTAGATCATCATAAAGGTCTTCATCCCCAACCTCTTTACACTGAGTAGGCTGAGGAGGAGGAGGAGGAAGAGGAAGAGGGATTAGTCTTGCTGTCTCAGGAGTAGCAGAGGTAGAAAAAAAGTCCATGTATAAGTGGACCTGCGCAGTTCGAACCTGTGTTGTCAGAGGTTAACTGTACTGTCATTCTCTGTCTGTATCTATATATGTGTGTATGAAAGCAGGAAGGAAGAAAAGAAGGAAGGCTGAACAATGTAAGGCATCAAATAATTTTATAAGTTTGTAGTTATTCTCTCTGTGCCATGTAACCACATAGTGAATTGAAATGTCACTAAATCATGAGTGCTAAGACAGAAAATCTATCATCTAATCTGGCCCCAAAAGAAATACACAGTACCTTGATTGCAGTTGGTGCACTAGAGAGTGTCACTAATGTCCCAGCAGCTTCATATTTTACAGCAGGGCTGGATGACTGTAATAAGTTATAGATGCAGCGAATAAAACGAGCTCTTTCTGATGGATTAGCATGACAGACCTGGAGAAGAAAACATTAACATTTCAACCGATTTCAGGAACGCTTGTTTTCAAATGGAGTTTTTTCATGAATGTCAGCTTATGGGATGCTAGTTTTCTCAATATGAAAGCTAAGAACAGTCTTATGAGGACATGAAAATATCAGACAAAATGGGATGAGACACTATGACACAACATCAGTAATTTCAGAAAGAAGCAAGTTAGAGGCCAACAAAAACATAGATAAGAAATGGCTTTACTAGATAGGATGGTGTGAACAAAATAATTTTTACAGCTGTGCACTTATTTATTCATCCCATCATAATTTATATTTTTACTGTTTCGTAAAAGGTTTTCTGATGACTTAAAATGTGTATGCTATACACAAGTGAAAGAGAAAAAGAAAATGTAAAGTAACAAAAGTAAGGACACATTAACCCAGTACACTAATATGGGTACTGTCACAGGATATTAAATTTGGTCCTAAATGTTTATTCTGGATGCCAAAGGGAAACATGACGGATGATATAAATCTCAATAGCTAATAAAAGGAAAATACCAGTTTTTCAAGCAAGAAAGATAACACATTTTTCCCAAGTACTACTACTTATTATTTGAGACTATATTCAACATTGGAGAGAAAACTAAAAATTTCTATCCCATTCTAAATGTATCCTGATACCTTTACTTGTATAGTAAATATCCCTTATTTTTTCTCTTTTGAAGTCAGTATTTGTAGTAGATTTTCCTAAAATATATATAGTCAAAACTCTATTACATGGACATGACTTAAAAGTTATTTCCTTTTACTATAACATGGACCCTACTTAAGTCATTAGATAGCAGGGAACCGCTAATTTTGAGAACCTCAGTGGTATCCTAAACTATACACATGAATTAAAAAGAACTATAGGCTGGACATGGTGGCTCACGCCTGTAATCTCAGCGCTTTGGGAGGCCAAGGTGGGCAGATCACGAGGTCAGGAGTTTGGGACCAGCCTGGCCAACATGGTGAAACCCCGTCTCTACTAAAAATACAAAAATTAGCTGGATACGGTGGCGTGCACCTGTAATCCCAGCTACTCAGGAGGCTGAGGCAGGAGAATCGCTTGAGCCCAGGAGGTAGAGGCAGCAGTGAGCCGCGATCGCACCACTGCACTCCAGCCTGGGCAATAGAGTGAGACTCTGCCCAAAAAAAACAAAAAACAACAAAAAAAAAACAAAAAAAAACTGTACAGTAAGTCTTGGTTTCATCTTAAATTCCCATTCCAAACTACTGGTACCTTGTGTTAAGAGGAGCCCCTTTCTTACAGAAGCAAGACAGCTATAATCAGTTAGTAATGTCTACCGGTGTTTTGACCATACTATCATATTTAATAAAGCCATCTGGACCTATGTTTTGTTGGCCTCTAATGGTATCAATAGCAAAGTTGGATCTTCTTGTACCTTTTATCAGAACATTAAGATGTAACCAACTCTTTCAAAGGATATATCATAGTAAAGTGTTGCCAATATAGTATTTGATTTAAAAATCCAAAATTCTTAGCTGGTTTTAGATTTCCTGTCAATGGCCTACAATGTCATATTAATGCATTTAAAGTTTTTCTATTCTCTTTTACAAACAGGGAACATAAAAAGTATTTAAGGCTTTTTTGTTTGATTTTAGTCTGATGTATGCTCAAGAAAATCTTGAATTTTATTTTAAAGCCTAATTATAATCTATTCAGTGACTGGGAAGTTCACAATGATTTATGTGCAGCTACACTGGCTCAAGCCATGAATTTTTATCAAAATCTTTATGGAGGTTTAGAAAGGATATAAGCAAGTATTCTACTTGGAAAATACAATAAACCAAAAGTAAAAGAAACAAAGGCTTTAATAGGCTATGCTATAAAATATTTATACTATTAAAATATATTATCCTAGCAATAATTATCCCAGAAAGAAAGTATTTAACCCTGTCTTAAACTGCTGAGTTTATTTTACTCATCATA
Organism: Homo sapiens; assembly: GCF_000001405.40. NCBI lineage: Eukaryota > Metazoa > Chordata > Mammalia > Primates > Hominidae > Homo > Homo sapiens. The sequence continues at coordinate 14,488,477 of NC_000011.10, forward strand.
GATTATCATTCTTACCTTATAAATCAGTTCAACAATAACCAGCTGCAGAATGTCTCCAAATGTTTGAACTTGATCAATGCAAGTACTTAAGTAATCCAAAGCTCGATCCTAAAAAAAATAAGAATATATTTATCATTCTCCACCTCATTCAATAGAAGGACTTAATGCATCTTAAAAAATACACACATTACAACTCAATATAAAACAAATGAGGAGATCAGGGCAAAGAGAAATTAACTGGGAAAAAAATCAAGAATAAAATTAACATATAAAATATAAGACATAAAGTTAAATATATTTTCTGGAAATGAGCCACAAACCTGGGGTCTGATTTTCTAGCAGCTAAACCAAAGAGGGAAAACACTATGTGTTATGGGATTCAGGGTATCCATACAATCAAAACCAGCTGCTTAGGTGTATAGTTATTCCTATTACTGAGACCTAAAAGAAAAATCTCCTATGTGTCCTCATATATTGGACACTGTAATATACAGAACTACAATGCTGAAAACATCTCTCCAGTAAAAGTATCAATAAATTTTATTGGACTATTTCTGATTACGCCCCTCAATGTAGGTTAACAGCATAATGCCAAAAGCATTGGTCAGTAAAACCAATTACACAAGAGGACAAAACACTGCTCATATACGCAGCTTTCTCATAATCTTGTTTAGGAAGACAAAATGACAATATTGAATACCACTTCACGTGCCCATTAACATTGCTACTATCAAAAAAACAATAGCAACAAGTGTTGGCATGGATGTGGAGAAAATGGAACCCTTGTGCACTACTAGTGAGAATGTAAAATGGTAGAGCTGCTGTGCAAAACAGTATGGCACTTCCTAAAATAATTAAAAACAGAATTGCTGTATATTCAGTAAATCCACTTCTGGGTGTATACCCAAAATAACAGAAAGCAAAGTCTCAAACAGATACGTGTACATCTACGTTCACAATAGCATTATTCCTAATAGCTAAAAGATTGAAGCAACCCAAGTGTCCACCAATGGATGAACAGGTAAACACAATGTAGCATATATTTACAATGGGGTATTATTTAGCCTTAAAAAGGAAAGAAATTCCAACACATGCCGCAACATAAATGAACCTTGAAGACATTAGGCTAAGTAAAATAAGCCAGTCACAAAAGGACAAATACTGTATGATTCCACTTATCCGGAATACTTAGTCAAAATCACAGAGACAGCAAGTAGAATGGTGGCTGCCAGGGACTGGGAGGAAGTGGTAATAAGGAGCTATTTTTTAATGGGTACAGAGTTTCAGTTTTGCAAGACAAAAAAAGTTATGAGGATGGAAGATAGTGATGGTTCTACATTATAAATGTATTTAAAATCATTGAACACTTAAAAATGGTTAAGAGGGTAAATTTTTTTGTTATGTGTATGTTACCACAATTTTAAATAACTGGGGGACAATCCATTAAAGGAAGATCTGGGGGAAAAAAGTCACAGTGTCTAGATTTCAGAGGACTGGAAGGCCTCCATATTTTTCAGACTTCATGCATATTATTTCCCATATTTTGGTGATAAATACTGGCTAGAAAATTTCAAGATTAGATGGCATCAAGGTGTACAGAGTAATTGCTAACCAAAAGTAGATCCATGTACTTTAACCACCAGCAGAGCAGGATGTGGAGTTGGCACCCGTGTATGAAAGTTGAAGAACCTAAAAGGATACACCTCTACACTGAAGGCCACCCTATTTCCACAGGCATGGCTAAGGATGTATCTATGCAAAGCTACTATTTTTCTCTACTAAACAATTTTAGATCTATACCATCATAGGAAAGAACAGTCATAATAATTTTAATTTTTAAAAACTGTAGGGTGGCTGCTCTAAAATGCCTCTTCAATGTTTAATTGAAAAAAGAATGTATACATATGCAATATTTTAGAGAAGGGTTAAGAAAAAAATGTATTTTTCTACAAGCTTAAAAATTTCAAAATACACAAACCACATGAACTATAAACAAAATTACTGACTAAAAACATGATTAAGTCTATGTAATACTTTCAATTGTCACTTAAATACAGTAATAAGAGTATTTTTTAAAAAGTACCTCACCTGATCTGCATGAATTAGCATCATAAATGCATTCCTTTTGCAACTTGCATCCTTCTCATTCACCAGAAAATCATGTATCAGTTCAGGAGCATCAGGTATAAGATGTTCAAAATTTCTTTAAATAAAACAGGTAACATCCATATTTAATAAAAGCCTACTTTACTATTTTAGTAACTCTCTGGACAATACCAAAATTAAATTTAATCAAACTTTACAACATACTTTTGCTTTTTTTTTTTTTTGGAGACAGAGTCTCACTCTGTTGCCTGGGCTGGAGTGCAGTGGTGCGATCTCAGCTCACTGCTGCCTCCACTTCCAGGGTTCAAGCAATTCTCCTGCCTCAGCCTCCCGAGTAGCTGCGATTATAGGTGCCCACCACTATGCCCAGCTAATTTTTTGTATTTTTAGTAGGGATGGGGTTTCACCATGTTGGCCAGGCTGGTCTTGAACTCCTGACCTCATGATTTGCCCACCTTGGCCTCCAAAGTGCTGGGATTACAGGTGTGAGCCACCGTGCCCAGACAAGGCTAGAGTGCAGTGGAGTGATCTCGGCTTACTGCAACCTCCGCCTTCTAGGTCGAGTGATTCTCCTGCCTCAGCCTCCTGAGTATCTGGGACTACAGGCACGTGCCACCATGCCAGGCTAATTTTTGTTATTTTTTTAGTAGAGACAGCATTTTGCCACGTTGGCCAGGCTTGTCTCATATTCCTGACCTCGAGTGATCCACCCACCTCGGCTTCCCAAAGTGCTGGGATTACAGACATGAACCACCACGCCCGGCCTGCTTTTTGAAACTTCAAATCAATTAGAACTGGGAGAAGGAGCCGGGCGCAGTGGCTCACACCTGTAATCCCAGCACTTTGAGAGGCCCAGGTGGGCGGATCACCTGAGGGTGGGAGTTTGAGATGAGCCTGACCAACATGGAGAAACTCCATCTCTACTAAAAATACAAAATTAGCCAGGCGTGGTAGCGCATGCCTGTAATCCTAGCTACTTGGGAGGCTGAGGCAGGAGAATTGCTTGAACCTGGGAGGTGGAGGCTGCAGTAAGCTGAGATCGTGCCATTGCACTCGAGCCTGGGCGACAAGAGTGAAACTCTGTCTCAAAAAAAAAAAAAAAAAGGAACTGGTAGAAGGAAACACAAAGTTATACCTTCATCTATTAAATTATCAAATTATACGTTTTCTAGTTCAATACAGAAAAAGCTGATTTATTCAACACACCATCTGTTAACCAATGTCTCTAATAACTGTTGTGCATACATTTTAAGCATATCAATATATTAAGAATTACATTAAGAGGAAAAACATAGTCCCTTGAATTTTATTAGTTGTGTACTATTTGCTTACTGACTTGCCTCTTCTTTTGGAAATTTAGAAATATTAGTACAGAGAAGAGTGAACACTAGCTTAATAAAATCCATCACCTTGCTTCAACAATTATAATTCATAGCTAGTTTTGTTTCATCTATATCCTTGCCAAATTTACCTCTTGCCATATTATTTTGAAGCAAATCACAGGCAATGTATCCTTTCTTCTGTAAATATATTGGTAGGTTTCTCTAAAATCAAGGACTCTTTACTTGCAAAACTAATTATTCATCATCACACCTCACAAAATTAATAATTTCCTAATATCAAGACATAGTGTTCACATTTCCAATTGTCCTATAAATGGCCTAATTTTTCTATGTGCACTATAGTTTAAATTCTGAAATTTGTGTAGTCTGTATGGTAACATTAAAGGAACTCACCCTACATTATTATTATTATTATTATTTTTATTATTATTTTTTGAGATGGAGTTTTGGTTTTGTTGCCCAGGCTAGAGTGCAATAGCGCGATCTCGGTTCATCGCAACCTCTGCCTCCCAGGTTCGAGCAATTCTTCTGCTTCAGCCTCCTGAGTAGCTAGGACTACAGGCATGTGCCACCACGCCCAGCTAATTTTGTATTTTTAGTAGAGACGGGGTTTCTCCATGTTGGTCAGGCTGGTCTCGAACTCCCGACCTCAGGTTATCGGCCCGCCTCGGCCTCCCAAAGTGCTGGGATTACAGGCATGAGCCACCACGCCTGGCTCATCTACATTATTAACCAGAATACCACTTTCCTTAATGGATAAAATCTAACAGTAAGATAACTATGAAATTATATCTTAACCAACAAATCTACTAAAGTACAAAGATGCTTATAAAAATTACATTGTAGTCCTTAATAAATTGATACCTGTGACTGTAAAAACTGAGCATTCTAGCTTCATCTAACTGGTTCCTTAAATTGGTTTAAAAATCCAAAATCTCAGCCGGGCGTGGCAGCCTGCACCTACAATCCCAGCACTTTGGGAGGCCAAGGCGAGTGGAACACTTGAGGTCAGGAGTTCGAGACCAGCCTGGCCAACATGGTGAAACCCCATATCTACTAAAAATACAAAAATTGGCTGGGCGTGGTGGTGGGTGCCTGTAATCCCAGCTACTTGGGAGGCTGAGGCAGGAGAATCACTTGAATCCGGGAGGTGGAGGTTGTTGTGAGCCGAGATCGCGCCACTGTGCTCCAGCCTGGGCAACGAGAGTGGAACTCCATCTCAAAACAAAACAAAAACAAATAAAAATTCAAAATCTTCAGCTTTCTAAGAATTGGACTCAGTTATAACTGTAGCCCTTCTCATTTAAAAAGTTCCTTCCTCAAAGCTTCTGACAGTAAAAAGACCGACATTCCACAAAACGAATTCTAAAACAAGGACCAAAGTTAAAAGCCTATAGAGGCTAAGCAAGTGAACATATAAAGTGGCTTGGAGTAATACGGTTGAGAATGACAAGCACTGTCATAAACTGTAAAGTATATAACTTATTTAAAGGGGGTTACTGTTATACAAGTTCAGCAGAATGTTGTCTTGTGGAAGCTAGGAACAGCGCTGCCAGATCTTTTGACTTTTCAATGTTCATAATAAAAAATACAGTGCTGGCCATACAAAATATATCTTCAAGCTATATTCAGTCTGCAAGCAACCACTTTGGAACCACTAGTCTAAAAGACTAAACAGTACTCACAGAATGAAGCCAAAGCAGTATCTTTATTTACCTATAGATGGTATAGATGGCCAAAACAGCATTTCTTCTAACATAGCTGTGTCGATGCTCCAAACATGCACGAATAGCTGGCATTAAAGGTTCTAGCAATTCTGCTTCTTTCAATTTGCAAAGAAAACGAAGAGTAGATCCTCGAATAAATTCATTAGGATGTTGAAGATCCTGATATAAAAATTAAAATATGAAATGCTGAGTTTCAGCTTTTTACAAAAAGAAAATTTTAATGCAAAACTTTCCAATGGAAAAAAAATACGTTTGAGAAAAAACCTAGATTACCGACAATTTCCATCATATTCTTGTTGACTGAAGCAATTTTTACCTATCTCATCAATGTCTTATATGTGTGTCACTGTTTTTTAATTAATATATACACATAAAATGCATAGAAAATGTCTGAAAAGTGACAATAAAACTTTTAAAAATAACTCTTTTACAATTCCAAATCTCTACAACTTACATCTTATCAAAGACTCAATTTTAACAATTAAAACACAGCCCATTCTACCAATTTTACATTTAAATTCAAAGCAATATTCAGAAATAATTATGATTTGGTTTACCTTTCTGTATGCATCACATACAAGGATCATCTCATGTAAAAGTCTCCCATCTGGAGTTGTTTTAGGAACAATTTCCCAAAATACCAGAAGTAATTTCTTGATAGTGTGATCCTGAAGAGGTAGCACAAAACGAATGATGGTCATCAGAAGTCCAGGAAGTTTTTCACCATTCAGAATCATAATGATTACTTTCTTCAAAGCTTCAGTCTTTGACTTTACATCTCCTTTTTCTGAATCAAAAATTTTTTTAAAAAAAAGCACAATTATTTCAAAAGAAAATTCATCACATAAATTTAAAAGCAATTAACAAAATAAAATGTACCTTCTTACTTCAGTATCAGCAATGGTAATAAAAGTACAAACCCAAGTGACAAGGTTCTCCACCTGGTTCTCCACCAAATAATCTGTCTTTGCTCAAGTCATTTATCTCTGGAAATCAGACTCTTTATATATAATATGAAGGCGCTGGATTAGATTTCTGGTTCCTAACCAATTGAGTTAATGCAGGCTCCATGAATCTACAGTCATACCAAGTAAACGTGTTTCAAAACACATATAGCTATTTTTCAAAATGTAAATACATACTATTAATTGATTTTGAATTCAAAACAGCTTTTAGCTATTTGTGTGCATTTTAACAAAGTTAAAACTACTATTATGGGAGGATAAATATGTAACTTTTTTAACATTAGAAAGAGAAACGTCATACTCAAAAAGGCTGAAAACTAAAGTAGTGGATTATTTCTAAAATCTCATCATAGTTCTGCAGGCAGGCTGTAAAACTTTAGAATCTTTCTTAAGATATCATCTGGAAAACTGGGAGGTAATTCAAATGTTCTAGATTAGTAGTCATTATTTAGAATTAAGGATGACACATTAAAGATAAAATGCTAGTTTACTGTTATTTAGCCTAAAAACTCTGCAACATAAAGTATTTTACGCAAAACTATCTAAAATTTCACACCATTATCATTGCATACTGAAGAATTTATAGTACTAAAAATCTTCTGGATCCAAAACTCAAAGGCAGAGAAGTATGTAGTAGCACACTGTACTACAACTGTTTAGATCATCAAAATAAATGAATTATCTTGGGAAGGGGAGAACAAAGAATGATTACAAGTCTTCAATAACCTTAGGGCCATTATGAGGAAAAGAACTACAACTAATGGGTAGTAGTTACCGGGAACCAGATTTGGGCCTAAATATGAGAAATACATTTCTAATGATTAGAGCTAAGCGGCTATGAAACAGAGTTCTGAGCGTCAGATGCGGTGGTTCATCTGGCCCACAGAACTCTTCATTTAATAGCCACTTAAAATTTTTGTATTTTTACTAGAGATGGGGTTTCGCCATGTTGGCCACGCTGGTCTCGAACTCCTGAAGTCAAGTGATCCACCTGCCTCAGCTTCCCAAAGTGCTGGGATTACAGGCATGAGCCACCATGCCCAGTCTCAACTCTTCTTAATGGCAAAAATATACATTAAACTGGAGAGTATGTATTTATTTATTGGTTGGAGGAAGGTAGCTAAGGCAGCTTCAATTAAGACTAGGGCATTGTTCCAACTAAGGGCAGATTTTATTCTTTACCTTCCTAGCTATAACCTTAGGTATCCTGAGGATCTAACAATGAAAATTTTTAAATTATGAGGAAAAACACTAATGAATGTATTCACTATTTTGCATTCAACTATCCTACATGAACATGAAAAAAGGGAAATATATGTGGCTTATGTATATAATGGTATCATTTTAAATATCATAAAACTGGGTTTCTTTTCCCTTCTCTAAAAATAGACCTCAATAGAAACCTAGTATTAAGTAACCTAGAATCAGGAGGTATTCCATTACTGCTGATTAAGAAGTGGGAATAGGCAAGTAAAATATTAAGTTTCTTTTCAAACTGCAAACTATCTTCTAAAAGATCCTTTCTATATTTGAAGCATAATTTTCACTCTGCTCTGTTTAAACAATATTTATCAGTTTAAGTTGTATTTATTTTTAGCAGTTCAATTAAACAAGAATCATTACTTTGGAAAGCATATTAATTATAAATTTTTTTTTTCTTGACAGAATCACTCACAAAAAGGAGACACGGTATACATTTTTAAAATTCAGAAATATGATAAATTTAGTAAAGTTCCAGGACACAAAATCAACATACAAAAATCAGTAGCATTTCTATATGACAACAGTGAACAATCTGAAAAAGAAATTGAAGAAGTAATCTAATCCCATTTACAATACCCACAGATAAAATTAGATACCTAGGAATTAATTTAACCAAATAAATGAAAGATTTCTACAATGAAAACTATAAATACTGATGAAAGAAATTGAAGAGAACATCAACAAATGGAAAGATATTCCATGATCATGGATTAGAAGAATCAGTATTGTTAAAATGTCCATACCACCCAAAGCAATCTAGAGTCAATGCAATTCCCATCAAAATACCAATGACATTCTTCACAGAAAAAAAAAAAAAATCCTAAAATTTATATGGAACCACAAAAGACCCAGAATAGCCAAAGCTATCCTAAGCAAAAAGAACAAAACTGAAGGAATCACATTACTTGACATCAAATTATCCTACATAGCTACAGTAACCAAAACAGCATGGTACTGGCATAAAAACAGACATAAAGACCCATGGAAAATAACAGAACCAAGAAACAAATCCATACACCTACAGTGAACTCATTTTGACAAAGGTGCCAAGAACATACATTGGAGAAAAGACAGTCCCTTCAATAAATGGTGCTTGGAAAACTATGTGCAGAAGAATGAAACTTGTCCCCCATCTCTCAACTTACACAAAAATAAAATCAAAATGGATTAAAGGCTTAAATCTAAGACTTTAAACTATGAAACTACTACAAGAAAATATTGGGAAAAATCTCCAGGACGCTGGTCTGGCCAAAAATTTCTTGAATAATACCCCACAGGCACAGGCAACCAAAGCAAAAACGGACAAATGGGATCACATCAAGTTAAAAAGCTTCCGCACAGCAAAGGAAACAATCGACATACGTGATGAGACAACCCACAGAATGGGAGAAAATATGTGCTAACTACCTATCTCACAAGGGATTAATAACCAGATATGTAAGGAGCTCAAACAACTCTACAGGAAAAAAAAAAACTCATAATCTGATTTAAAAATGGGCAAAAGATTTGAACAGACATTTCACAAAGACATACAATTGGCAAACAGGCATATGAAAAGGTGCTCAACATCACTGATCATCAGAGAAATGCATATCAAAACTACAATGAGATATCATCTCACCCCAGTTAAAATGGCTTTTATCCAAAAGACAAGCAAAAACAAATGCTGGAGAGGATGTGGAGAAAAGGGAACCCTCGTACACTGTTGGTGGGAATGTAAACTAGTATACCCACTATGGAGAACAGTTTGGAGGGTCCTCAAAAAACTAAAAACAGGGGTACCATACGATTCAGCAATCCGACTACTGGGTATATATCCAAAAGAAAGGAAATGAGTACATCAAAGAGATATCTGGACTCCTATGTTTGTTGCAGCACTGTTTACAACAGTCAAAACTTGAAAGCAACCTAAGTGTCCACCAACAGATAAATGTATAAAGAAAATGTGGTACATATACACAATGGAGTACTATTCAGCCATAAAAAAAGAATGAGATCTTGTCATTTGCAAAAATATGGATGGAACTGGAGGTCATTATGTTACATGAAATAAGTCAGGCATAGAAAGACAAACTTCACATGTTCTCACTTATTTGTGGAAGCTAAAAATCAAAACAAACTCACGGAGACAGAGTAAAAGGATGGTTATCAGAGGTGGGAAGGGTAGTGGTAGGGAAGTGGAGATGGTTAATGGGTACAGAAAAAATGAGTTAGACCCGATATTTGATAGCACACAGGGTAACTACAGTCAATAATAATTTAATTGGACATTTAAAAATAACTGAAAGTGTAACTGGATTGTCACACAGAAGACAAATGCTTGAAGGGATGGATACTCCATTTTTCCATGTGATAATTATGTATTGCATGCCTGTATCAAAGCATTTCATGTACCCCATAAATATATACATCTACTGTGTACCCCCAAAAATTAAACATTACAAAAAGTTCAGAAATATAGTTGTTTTCTTATTTGCAAAAATGCATAAAAAATGAAAAGGTAAACTTTTCTGGAAAATACATGTTTATTCCAGTGTTCACCTAATTGTTTGGGTGGGTAATCCAAAGAACAAAGTTCTTTTGGTTTTACAAGCTAAGTAACATGAAGTTAAGTGCACGATGGAATTAAGATATTCCAATACACATCCTCAACCTGTTGCCTAGAGAAAATAATCAGCCACATTAATATATTGAAGTCTACAAAAATTATGACATTTTGAGGAATATCTAAACTATTACAATTTCTTTAGGTTTACTAAGATAAACTGAGATGTTCTATTTCAAACAACCAATATTTAAAGAAGTTCGCATTTTTAATAAAAGGTCTATCGAAGAGATCCTAGAAAAACTTTAGACAAAAATTAAGCATTTCTAATTATAAAGGAATATGAAATATGAGTTTTTTATTTTTGTTTTTTCTTTTTTCATTTCATTCTCAAAATAATATCGAAGTTTACCTAGATCATTTTTTAAGCTAATTTCAGATGGTGGTTCTGAATCCATTGGCACGTTAATTAACGTGTAGCATACGTTCTCAGCCGCCGTCATGGTTTCTGGTTATATTATAACCAATCCTTGACACAAGATTTAAGGATGCCAGAAAATCTAGAAAAATAAACACAGACATATCATTACAAATTAAAAAAAAAAAACCCACAAACAAGTACCTATAGTGACCTTTTAAAGTATTAGAAAGGGCAGGTCAATCTATATCGTGTTCCCATAAAAATAAATTCTAGTAAAAACCACATTATCAGCTCTGGCATAAGGTATATTATCTATCACTCCCTCATCGCATCCCGGTCCAGTGTTTGAGAATGCTGTATAGCCGAATGAAGGCCCACAGAACAGTGACAGTCCCCCCAGCCACACCCCACAATGTTATGGACCGTATGGTTTTTACACAACACACAATCTGCATGCTCAAGTTAAGAGACCTTGTGCCTGAATACTCTGCCAAAACCCTAAAGCGCTTTATCGCGGTCCTTGGTGGGTTCCGACTCTATGTCCGCGGGTCCCTTAATCAACGCGCTGCACCCCCACCTCGCCCCACCCGCTTCCTCCTCCCCTTCCTCCAGCAAAGCAGCCCTAGGCCTGAAAGGGTACGCCTAGGGGTCTTGGGAGGGAAAAGACCCCCGGCCAATACAAAGGACGGGATGGAGCGTCCGACCCGGAGCTTCCTAGCCCTCCGCCCCCACCCCGACCCGCACCCCCACCCGTACCCCCACCCGGTCCCTTCTGCCAGGCCCAGACGCAAGCGGCCTAGTCGCTCCCCTTCCGCATCTTCCAGCTAGAAAGCCAGTTCTTCCGACTCTGCCCGACCCACCACGCCTCTGGGACTGGGGGCTTGTGGCCCACTACCAGGCTCCGAGGGGCAGTGGTTTGGTGCAGCCGCGGATCCGTCTACTGCGGCTCCGTCTACTCCGGCTATGAACCGCAGCAGCGGCGGCGGCGGCTCCAGAGTCCTTGGCTGACGTGGAAGGGGGTGGGGTAACGACCGAAGCCACAGCCACCTAGCACCTACGGCGACTCAGAGAGGACATGCTTTCTTTGTGCAGCGCTTGCGCGCTGCAAGTATATCCTATTTTCTTCCTCTTCTCTTGTCCAGGGTTTGATTAGGCCGCAGAGCAATGAAACCACGTATTTTCTAGTTTTCCCTGCAAGCCAAGCTCTGAGTTAAGCACTATGCTAATTTAAACGCTAACTGGAAATCGTTCCTTCTTCAGGAACAGTCAAGGGGAGAAAGTGCTTGGAGAGAGGGAAACTTTTACAGGGCTCTGTTCCCGTGAAAAAGAGCTCTGGACTAGAAAGTGGAAACCCAGTAATCCTTTTTCTTGTCCACACCCTAATAAACTGGGAAAGTAACTAATACTATTGGGAAGGTAATTCAGTTATTTTATTAATTATCACTAGATTAAAATCCATTTCAGTTCTTAACATCGCTAGTAGTTTGAATCTGCCTCTCTGCAGGTAGGGCTGGAGTTATTTGAAAATCCAAAGTCACATTGGTATAATTTCTGCTTTTTATTTAATAATGGCCTCTTTCCGTGATCCTTTCTGAGCACCCAGTAGATTAGAAAAAATTTTTATGCATAAAGGGAGACAGTCACTGTTTTAAAGGATTTTACGTATCTCCAAAGACCTGTTACAGCTGCAATCAGCCATAGTACTTTCGGTTTTGCCCATTTGAAGTTCCATAGCACGCCCCGCCCCTACACCTCCCTCTGCCCACAAAAGGGTTTTATGGCCAATTATTAATAACAAAATATCTTAAAGCTTAAGCAAAATACTGCGAATAAAAACAGATCTGACGGCAACTGCCCTAGTTAACAGGTTCATCTCAGGAAGATGGAACACCAATAGTACCTCATTTATGTAGGATCTAGCTCTTTTGAGCTTTCTCTTTTTAGAACCATCAAGCAATCTACAAATTCTTTGAGCACCCAAAATTGTATTCAAAGGCCATGTGTTGACAGCACTTTAAGAGTGCCTCTCTGATTCTGTGCATTCATTTTTTTTAATATTTAATCTTAATGGTAGAGTGACATGAATACAGAGATCCCATATACTCTTTACCTAGTTTCTCCCAATGGTAACATCTTGCATAGTTATAGTACAATATCAATTTCAGGAAATTGACAGACATAATTCACCCAGCCTTGTTCAGACTTCACTAGTTTTACATGTACTCGTTTTTATATTCACTTGTAGACAATTTTATCATGCTTATATGTGTGTAATCACCAACACAGTCGAGACAGAACAGTTCTATCACAAGGATTCTCATGCTGTCCTTTGATAGCCATAGCCACCTCCCACACTAACCTGTGGCAACCACTAATAATTCTCTATGATTTTTATCATCTCAATGTTATATAAATGGAATTATACAATGTAATCTTTTGAGATTGGATTTTTTTACTGAGCATAATTCCCCTGAGATCAATCCCGGGTGTGTGTACAACAGTTTGTTCCTTTTCTGTGTATTCGTTTTTAACATGGAAGTTTTACAAATGCAGTTATCTGGTTTCCAAGCCCACTTAACTTACCAAAAAGTGACAATCTGTCAGCAAGAAATGAGGCCAAAAAAGGTATAAAAACTAGATTTACAGTAAGAAAGCTCAGTTTAGGGCCATCATGGTGTAGGACTTAAACCGTACAGACTTCATTTGCCCCAGAGGTTCATTCTGTTACAGAATAACTTTGAGGTTTCTCATGACCCCAAGTCATTAAGTTCTAAATATGAAAAGGCAAGAAAATGTAATGTTTTACATATTACTTTAGTTAGATCTGAACCTACAATTGTCATTGGCAGTGCATATATTTTTCCATATTCTTAAGTACAAAGCTTTTTGAATGGGTATAAGGACCTTAATATTAACCTCATTAACTCTTCCTGATCTGTTGTAAAATACACTTTGTTTGGGCTGTTTTACTCTAAGATGTAATTATATAATTTTGAATGCCTTTAAATTATAAATGCAGAGCAAAGACCTTGTCATTTTATCAAGGACCATAGAAATTGTGGTATCTAAAAAGTCAAGGCCTAGAGAATAGGGACTTGCCCCAAATCATGTAATGGCCAAACACTGAGTTAGAACTAGGACCTGAATCCTGTCATCTACGTTATTATTTTTATTTTTTTGAGACAAGAGTCTCACTCTGTCACCCAGGCCGGAGTACAGCGGCATGATCATAGCTCACTGCAGCCTCAGACTCTGGACTCAAGTGATTCTCCCACCTCAGCCTCCTGAGTAGCTGGGACCACAGGTGTGTGCCACCACACCAGGCTAAGTTTTAAAAATTTTTGTAGAGATGGGGTCTCACTATATTGCCCAGGCTGGTCTTGAACTGAACTCAAGCAATCCTCCCACCTCGGCCTCTCAAAGTGTTGAGATTACAGGCGTGAGCCAACACACCCAGCCACTGCCTTTTATTCCATGCCAGTTCTTCAGAGCTGCACACATACATGCTCAATAAATTCCAGGTGAATTGAGTATCTTTGTATCAAAGTGACAGGCTTTATAAAACATCATTAGGATTTTACTGTTTGTAATTATTCAACAGACTAAATGGAATATGTGAGTACAACAGACTAAACATGAAAGGGCATCACAATGAACTGTATATACAGTGGGGTTGAGTATTACTGGAGTGGGGAGGACTTTAAGTTCTAAAGTCAGTATATAAGACTAAAAATCACATTGAAAAAATTACTTAAATTGCTCCCAAAGTATAATACAGAATATTTATTTTTTTAGCTGAATACAAGCCAACTAGTGGTTTGTATTTGTGGAACAGGTGCATGTTCCACAATGATAAACATAACAATATCTTTGGTTTTATTTTTTGAGACAGAGTCTCGCTCTGTCACCTGGCCAGGCTGGAGTGCAGTGGCATGATCTCGGCTCACTGCAACCTCTGCCTCCCAGGTTCAAGTGATTCTCCTGCCTCAGCCTCCCGAGTAGCTGGGACTACAGGCGCGTGCTACCATGCCCATTTAATTTTTGTATTTTTAGTAGAGACGGGATTTTGCCATGTTGCCCAGGCTGGTCTCGAACTCTTGACCTCAGGTGATCCACCCGCCTCGGCCTCCCAAAGTGCTGGGATTACAGGTATGAGCCACAATATCTTTAAACAGCAGAATCATTCAGCAAAGACAGAGGCTCACCCAATGGAATGCATGTGGAAGAGAGATCTGCCTAAGCAAAGGGCAGATTATTATATTTCCCACTTATGCTCCCTCCCCAGACTAAATACCCATTGAGTGTAGAGGCAGGTGGGAGTTCCTGAGTTCACTATTTTGTGTGTGTGTGTGTGTGTGTGTGTGTGTGTATGTGTGTGGAAAGTTACATGTGCTTGATGCAACTCCACTGTAGGTCAAATAGCCACATGGTACTTGCGTCTAACTCCCAAGCTTGCATGGTAGATTCCTGAGGCTACTGCTGGAGAAACTGACATCTCTCACATTCCAGTACTTAGACATCTTTCCCTTAATAAGGCTCCCAGAGCTACTTTTACCATTCTCTAAGAAATCAGGGGGATTTAAACCTACTAAGGCTTTTGAAGATTTGGGAAAGTTGGGGGGAAAAAATAAACTATGAATTTTAGAGTTTAAAAGGTGTTATCACATAAATTCTCCCTTTTAACCCTCACTATAATTCTCCAAAGGGTTTCCTTAAAAAAGAGCTAAGTAACTTGCCCAAAGCCAATAGCAGCTAATTAGAATTAGGTCTAAAATGGGTTACTATCTATAAATGAATTTTTCTTCAGAAAGATGTATTATCTCAGAAAATAAAATAACTCCTCTAGATGTCAGCAGCCAAATTTTGGATTATGGTTTTTGTCTTTTTTTTTTTTTTTTTTTTTTGAGACAGAGTCTCGCTCCAGGCTGGAGTGCAGTGGCGCGATCTTGGCTCACTGCAAGCTCCGCCTCCCGCGTTCACGCCATTCTCCTGCCTCAGCCTCTCCGAGTAGCTGGGACTACAGGCACCCTCCACCATGCCCGGCTAATTTTTTGTATTTTCAGTAGAGACGGGGTTTCACCGTGGTCTCGATCTCCCGATCTCGTGATCCGCCTGCCTCGGCCTCCCAAAGTGCTGGGATTACAAGCGTGAGCCACCGCGCCTGGCCGGATTATGGGTTTTTAAAAATTAAATTAAATTAAAATTTTTTTTGAGATGGAGTTTCACTCTTGTTGCCCAGGCTAGAGTGCAATGGCACGATCTTGGCTCACTGCAACCTCTGCCTCCTGGGTTCAAGCGATTCTCCTGCCCCAGCCTCCTGAGTAGCTAGGATTACATGCATGTGCCACCACACCCAGCTAATTGTTTTGTATTTTTAGTAGAGATGAGGTTTCTCCATGTTGGTCAGGCTGGTCTGGAACTCCCGACCTCAAGTGATCCGCCCACCTCAGCCTCCCAAAGTGCTGGGATTACAGGCATGAGCCACCACGCCCAGCCAGGATTATGGTTTTTTTTTTTAAATCAGATTTCCTCTAATTTCAGTTTACATGGTCTAAGATAAAAATGGTTCTGCAATACCTGAGTATGCCACTCATGGGAATAACAGAAGGCAGCCTAAAGATCATGCTGGAGTGGGGCTGGAGAGGATAAAAGGTTTGGGATTACAATTTCCCATGTGTTGTTTTTACAGAAGTTCCCTTCAAAGACCAGAGCTACAACTACTGCCATTTGCTGGTTGGAAAGAAAACCATTCATATGATAACTGATGCTTATATCAGGAAGTGGTGGTTTCTTAAGTTTTAATTAAAATCACCACAGTTGAACCCTGAAATTTGTATTCTAAACCAAATCTCCATGGATTCTCATGCAGCCAGTTCATACACTGGAGAACTGTTATAAGGCTATGACAGATAAGAGGTATTATTTTTCTCCATCACTAAAAATAAGGCAATTTAATTAGGCAAATGACCAGTTGTAATCCCAGACTACTATATAGAGTTGAAGCTACTTAAAAAAACAAAAACCCAATATACCAGGCGGTGAAACAATTTTATTTCACAGTTGTCTTTAAAACCACAAAGACACCTATGTTCTTCATATAAAAACATTAGTATAGATACCCATACTTTCTAGAAAATGATTATACAGACCCTTTCAAAGAAAAATGTATTCCATTATATAGGTTTCAGTGAGGTTGCTTGGAAAAAACTCACATCTGGACTGATTCCTAAAACATAGCATTCCACCACTCTGCAACTTTTGGTTCAAAGTATAGATTATTGTCATCAGTATGTGGTGCCTGTATTCTTACATATTTGATAATACATATATAGACTGGCTTATCACTTAATGTTCCATTGGTTCATCAGCCTTTTCTGCAGGTTCATCAGCAGGTTGAGCAGGCTTAACAGGGAAAGAAAAAAAGAAAATATGTAAAATGAACACTTGATCAATATACACATCTAATCACAAATATTACGTTATTAAAAATTGAGAAAAAGGGGTAAAGAGATATTCTGAATACTCAGTTTTAGTTCACTGTCCTGTTAACATTTCTGAGCAGTATTTTTTTTCTCCTTGAGTGCTCATGATTTGAGGGAATAAAGATTTTTTATTTAAAAAAAATACAGTTGGCTCGAACAACAAAGGTTTAAACAGTGAGGGTCCACTTATATGCAGATTTCTTTTTCTTTTTCTTTTTCTTTTTTGTTTGCTTTTACTCTAACATTGTTTAGGGTGAAGCTTTTTTTTGTTTGTTTGTTTTCCAATAAATATAAACTAGCAGACCAACTGTGTAGCCTAGAAATATAAAAAAAAAGAGTAAGAAAAAGTTAGGTATGCCGAATGCATAAAATATATGTAGAAAATAGTCTATTTGGTCGGGTGCAGCAGTTCACACCTGTAATCCCAACACTCTGGGAGGCTGAGGCATGAGGATTGCTTAAGCCCAGGAGTTTGAAACTGGCCTGGGCAACACAGTGAGATCCCATCTCTACTAAAAAGAAAAAAAATGTGCTGGGCATGGTGGCACACACCTGTAGTTTCAGCTACTTGGTGGCGCGGGGGAAGGTAGGAGAATCGCTTGAGCCCAGGAGTTCAACCTTGCAGTGAGCTATGATGGCACCACTGCACGCCAGCCTGGACAAGAGGGCAAGACCTTGTCTCAAAAAACAACAAAAAAGAAACTAGTCTATTTATGTGTTAATTGTCAGTTTATGTTATCAGTAAGGCTTCCAGTCAACAGCAGGCTATCAGAAGATTTTTAGGAGTCAAAAGTTATATGTGGATTTTCAACCATGCTGGGGTTTGGCACCACTAAACCCCACACTGTTCGAGGATAACTGTATATATAATTTCACATTTCTGAAAACCTAAATATCATTGAACAATTCCACCATTTTATCGTACTTTGCATTGCTCAGGAATAAAAGCTTTCCTTGTATTATCACTACTATGTTTAAAATACAATCAGCACTTTTTAGACATTCTTTTCCCCTTTGCCAAACTAGTTTGTGGTATTCCACAGCATTCTTCCCAACAGTGCTAGTTTTTACCAAAAACAGTTTAAATATTGCAAATCTTGATCCCCCAAATAGTACCAACAATATCCTTTCCAAGTTAAAAAAACTCATGCTGTAGAAATTTCCATACTAGATTCTTTTTTACTTTCAATTACACTGCTATCAAATAAGCATCTATAAATAGCAAATGTATATTCTAAACATCTAGCAAAAAGACCCATATTTCACCTGAGATTCACTTCTTGATGCTTTTCTCTTTATGAAGAGCCATCTTAGTGTCCAAAGCTGGCCCCCAATGAGCATTTCTCCCAGTCTCTGCTCAAACAGAATCTGGGCCAGGCCAGTGACTCACTTTAACCAACAGAATGTGTACAAGTGATGTTGTGCCAGTCCTGCATCTCAGCCTTAAGAATGCCTGGCGGCTTTCACTTCTGACTTTTGCAAGCCCTGAGTTGCCAATATGCTAGAGAGACCCTGCTGAAGAAGCGGCCCTGAAACTACGTGGACAGAGGCTCAGTCATCCTAGCAGAGGTCTCTGCCTTCTAGATGCTCCTCTAAGACACCTAAAAGGTGTGAGTAAAGAAGACATGTGACTGAAGTTATCTTGGGTGTTCCAGTTGCACCCCACAAATGACTGCAATGTTTGAGAGATCCCAGGTGAGACCAGCAAAGAACCATGTAGGTGAGCCCCAGTCAGCCGCAAAATTGTGAGAAGTAGTGTTTGTTGTTCTAGCCCCTAAGTTTTGGGGTAGCTTATTACCTAGCAATAGATAACCAAATAATCAACACTTCTCCCTTTTTGTGTTTGTTTTTTTTTTTTGAGACAGAGTCTCTCTCTGTCGCCCAGGCTGGAGGGCAGTGGTAGGATCTCAGCTCACTGCAACCTCCGCCTCCCGGGTTCAAGCGATTCTCCTGCCTCACCTCCTGAGTAGCTGGGACTACAGGTGCATGCCATGACGCCCAGCTAATTTTTGTATTTTTAGTAGAGACGGGGTTTCACCATGTTGGCCAGGATGGTCTCCATCTGTTGACCTCGTGATTCACCCGCCTCGGCCTCCCAAAGTGCTGGGATTACAGGCATGAGCCACCGCACCCGGCCCCCTTTTTGTGTTTATGGAGATCACTGCCCTTTCAATATTTAACTTTACTCAGTTCTTAATTTTCCTGTTGCCATTTGAATTATGGGCCCATTTCAATATTTAAGACAAAATGGAAAATTTACAGACACAGTTGTGGTAAGAACAGCAGCTTACAATAGAACTAAAGCCTCTTGTGTTATGATTATATACCTGTGCCTTTCTCTGTGGTCTTTCTTCAAGACCTTCCAGGAATGGAGACACATCATCATCATCATAGATTGTAAACTCCAAGTCTTTACCAACAATTCCAATGGAAACATTCTGAAGGGTAAAATATGGTAAAAGTAAAATAAGAGAATTTGGATGAAAAAATACATACGATAAAATATTGGGTGAAAAAAGCAGAATAAGAATTTATATAGCATTTGAATAAAACCTTAAAAACCACTTATGTGTAGGAGAAAAAAGAAGGAAACTAGTGGACCCTTGTCATTTGCAGATTTAATATTAATACTAACTTTTGATTATCATGAGTAACTCCAAAGATCTATGTTATCTAGAAACATTTTTTTAAAAAGATAATGCAGGCTATAAAGTCTTCACATTGATATTAAACAATAATTATCCAATCACCATAACAAAATGGCTTTATAAAACTGACTAATCTCACTTTATTAATGATCATTAACTTCAAGTAGGCCTTAGTGGTTCCTGGATCCCACTATACCCATTTCTACATCATTCATGCTCCCCTTCTTTTAGACACTTCTAACATTCTCCAAGCTCTTTGAAGCTGAAAACCTTGTTCCTATATTACTGCGAAAACAGAAGCAATTAGAAGAGAACTTTCACAAGTTCCCACTGTATCCACTCTTTCCTGTACCTATGTCCCTAGATTCTCTCCTTTCCCATTAAAACTTCCTAAGGCCAACCCTTCCACCTATGTACTATTAAAGGACATTGTTCTAACAATTTTCTCATTATTTTTCCTCATAAATGCTTCCCTAAATTTACTTGGATTACTCTCACAATCATGCAGCAAATGTGATGTAATTTCTTCCATCTTAAAAAACAAAACAATTTATTTCTCTCCTCTTCCAGTCACCACTCCATCTCAAAAAAAAAAAAAAAACCCAGATTGTAGGGGTAAATAGATAGTGGGGCTATGGGTAGAAATAGTTTTAAGGCTATTCAGGTAATTCATGTGAGAGATGATAGCGATTGGAGCAGAGTGACAGAGTGACCGTCAACAGAAATATCCTCCAAAAAGCTATCTGCAATTCCTCGTCTCCCATTCTCTCCTGATTCCACTATCAGGTTTTTGCCTTATTATTCCATTAAGCCTGTTTTGTCAGGTCCTCAGTGACAACTTCATTGCCCCTCCTCCTTGAAAGTTTATTCGTTTGCCTCCAAAGATGCCTCATTTTCCAAGTTTTCCTCCTACTTCTTTGACCACCTCTCTCAGTCTTTTTTGCCAACACCTAACTCATCTCCCAGTTGCTAAAGGTTAGTGTTCTTGGTCCAGTCCTCACAATGCTTGTCTAACTATTCAATTCCTTTAGGAATCTCTTCCAGTCCAGACTCTAAATGCCATTTCTATATAAAGACTTCAAAAATTTGAAATGTAGGTTGGACCACTCTCCATGGAACTCCACGTGTTGCTTATAACTGCTTACTCTGTACCGTCAATTAGACAAAAAGGCATTTCAAATTTTACATGTCCGCAACTGACTGCCTGACCTTCCTCCCCAACGCCTACTCTAAAACCTGTTCCTCCCACTATCTTCTTCACCTCAGTAAATCATAAATCTTTCATTCCAATTAATTAGGCCCAAAACCTTGGAGACATTCCCCCCTCACACCCTATAACAAATCTATTAGCAAACTTTTTTGGCTGTAATTTCAAAAGATATCCAAAATTGAACCACTACTCTTCATCTTTAACTCTGTCACTCTGCTGCAATCACTATCATCTCTCACATAATTACCTGAATAGCCTTAAAACTATTTCTACCCATAGCCCCACTATCTATCTACCCCTACAATCTGTTTTTTTTTTTTTTGAGATGGAGTTTTGCTTTGTCACCCAGGCTGGAGTGCATGCACCGCCACGCCCGGCTGATTTTTGTATTTTTAATAGAGACAGGGTTTCATCGTGTTGGCCAGGCTGGTCTCGAACTCCTGATCTCAAGTGATCCACTCACCTCAGCCTCCCAAAGTGTTGGGATTACAGGCGTGAGCCACTGCGGCTGGCCCACAAACCGGTTGTTTTTTTTTTTTTTTTTTTGAGACGGAGTCTCGCTCTGTCGCCCAGGCTGGACAGGCTGGAGTGCAGTGGCGCAATCTCAGCTCACTGCAAGCTCCACCTCCCAGGTTCACGCCATTCTCCTGCCTCAGCCTCCCGAGTAGCTGGGACTACAGGCGCCTGCCACCAAGCCCGGCTAATTTTTTGTATTTTTAGTAGAGATGGGGTTTCACCGTGTTAGCCAGGATAGTCTTGATCTCCTGACCTCGTGATCCACCTGCCTTGGTCTCCCAAAGTGCTGGGATTACAGGCGTGAGCCACCGCGCCCAGCCTCAATCTGTCGTTAAAATGCCAAACAGAGTGACTGTTTTAAAACCTAAACCAAATCATGGTATTCCTCTGCTCAAACTCTTAACAGCCCACCCAGAGTAAAATGCAGAGTAACCACAATGGCTTATGGGACCTCCATTACCTCTCTGATTTCTTCCCTTTTCCTCTTCCTCTCGATGATTGACCTCAACACTACTGGCCTCCTTGCCTTAAATACTAGGGCCTTTGCATTTGTATTTCCTAGAATAATTTTGCTCTAGATCTGCATAGCTCATACTCACTTACCTCCTTTATATCTTTTCCTCAAATTTCATTTTCTTGGTGAGAATATCCTCAACCACCTATTTTAAATTACACCTACCTACATCCAATTGGTCATTCTTTCTCCTTTTAACGCTTTTTTATTTTTTACATAGCATTTATCTTCTTCTAATATACTATATAATGTACTTATGTATATACTGTCTATCTTTCCCTACTAGGATGTACGTTCCATGAAGAAAAAGTTATTTGTTGTGTTTACTGTATTTTCAATGCTTAGAAAGTGCCTGCACATGGTAGGTGCTCAATATATATATATTTTTGTTAACTAAATAATACCAAGATATGCCAATCTGCTGAAAATAATGAAGGACATTTTGCATGAAATTTACTGGTTTTACTGCTTTGTACCAAAAAGAAATGTTTAAAAAATAAAATTGGATTACTTAGCAAATAGCTTAAAGGAAAAGAATCTGCCAAGACAATCATATCCCAAATTACAGAATGTTGCATATATACTCCATTACATTTATGCAATAAAGGTTTAAACTGTAACGTTAATATCTACAATTGGAAAAGACAATACTTACCTTTGTAGTCAGGTCCTGTTCTGCAGGAAGCGTCTCTCTTAAGGCACGCAGACCATGTTTAACTAGTTCATTTAAATTACCTATATGTAATAAATTAACAATTATTTCTTAATTTCATTGTTATGCTAGGCTTCTGTTATTTATCAAATCTACAGTCTCAAATTGTGGTTTTTAGTTACACACTAAATTTATCACAGTAAAAACAGCCAAGTTTAATGCTAGTCATATAATCTTTTAATAGCATTCTATGACATTGCTGATTCTTATTTTATTTAATGAGAGGACTCATGATTTTTGTTACGATTTTGATCTTCTCTTTTGCTAGGTCAAATCAAAATCCCGACTATAAATTATACAACTCCAAGTTTTGTAGAATGTGTTCTGTAGAATCCTAGTCCTTATATTTGCTCATTGTAAAAAGGAATCTCCAACTTATTCTATGTGGCCAGTATTACCGATAACAAGAATAAAAACATCACAAGAAAATAAAACTACAGACCCAATATAGATGCAAAAACAAAACAAAACAAAACAAAACCCTCAACAAAAACTACAAACGGAACCTGGCAACACATTAAAAAAATTATATACCATATACAAGTGAGATTTATCCCAAGAATAAGTTAGTTTAACAACTGAAAGTCAGTGTAATTTTCAGTTACACTGAAGGAAGGGAGAAAACCTGCATAACCACCCCAAGAGATGCATAAAAAGCACGTGATAAAACCTAAAATGTTTGCATAATAAAAACACAAAACAAACTAGTAATTGAAAGGAACCTCTTCAGTCTGATAGAGGGCATCTACAAAAAGCTGACAGGTAACATCAATCTTAGCAGTGAATGACTAAAACCTTTTCCCTTAAGTTTAGGAACAAAAAAAAGAAGGTTTGTTCATGCAACTTATATTCATCATTGTACCAGAGGTTCCAGCCACGGCAGTTAGAAAGGAGAAAGTAAAACTATCTCTATTCCCAGACAACATGATCTTAGGAATCTATAAAAAAATGACTAGAACTAATAAACAAGTTCAGCAAGATTGCAGGATATAAGATTGATATATAAAAATCAACTGTATTTCTATATAGTTGCAATGAATAATATGCAATGAAATTAAGAAAACAATTCTGTTCACAACAGCACCAAAAATAATAAAATACTTTAAGACAAATATGATTTGTACACTGAAAACTACAAAACATCAGTGAAAGAATTAAATACCTGGTTGGGTGTGGTGGCTCACGCCTGTAATCCCAGCACTTTGGGAGGCCCAGTTGGGCGGATCGCCTGAGGTCGGGAGTTTGAGACCAGCCTGACCAACATGGAGAAACCCCGTCTCTACTAAAAATACAAAATTAGCCAGGCGTGGTGGCGCATGCCTGCAATCCCAGCTACTCAGGAGGCTGAGGCAGGAGAATTGCTT
Organism: Homo sapiens; assembly: GCF_000001405.40. Taxonomy (NCBI): domain Eukaryota; kingdom Metazoa; phylum Chordata; class Mammalia; order Primates; family Hominidae; genus Homo; species Homo sapiens. The sequence continues at coordinate 14,512,293 of NC_000011.10, forward strand.
GAACCTGGGAGGCAGAGGTTGCAATAAGCCGAGATCGCGCCATTGCACTCCAGCCTGGGCAAAAACAGTGAAACCCCGTCTCAGGAAAAAAAAAAAAAGAATTAAATACCTAAATAAATGAAGATATTCCATGTTCATGGATCAGATGCTTTGTATCATCAAAGTAGCAGTACTCCCCAAAATTATCTATAGATTTATTGCAATCTTTAGGAATTTCCTATCCAGGTTGAAATGTGCTAGGCAGAGGGTGCTGATATGAGCAGTTCTGAACCAAACTTTGGACACTGAGTTTCTAATGAGCTTCTCTGGGCAGAAACATCACATACATATTGCTGCAAGTGTACTCTGTGACTCCTTATGGGAAGGAAAGAGCATAAGGAAGCCTGCACATAGATTCCTCTGGACTGTATTTTTCCTTAATGATCCACCTATGTACTGTTATTTTATTGTTAAAAGTCTTACCTGGGAGTACAACTATATGCTGTGCGCTTTAAGTCCTAGCATATCTCCAAATTTAGGGGTAACCTTGGGGACCCCAAACCATTTACCATAATTTACAATGTTAAACTTTAAGCCAGCATTTACCAAGCTTATTTGTCCAAGGAATCCTCTTTTCCCAAAGTTAAACCTATTGTCATCCCACAAGTTTGCTTTGAGTAATGTCAATTAAACTATTTTTCTCTGCATTCACTAAACCCCAAATATTTCCTCCAAAGAATGCTTTGTCACCAGAAAACAGATAAGATGACAAAGAGAAATGTAAAACCCGATACCCTCCTTCCAATGCAAAGCAAAGCACTTGAAAACCTGTCCTGTCATAACATCTTACCTCTTTTACCTTCTTCTCCCTCAACTACACTGCCTTTTTATTTCTTGTTTATGGACTACTAATGCAGAAATGTCTGTGTGGCTTAAAATAACAAAAGACTCACAGAAAACTAAAAGTGAACAGAGCTTACAACTGGCAGGTAGTACAGTGGTTCTCCACTCTCCACTCCACAGGGCACACTTCTGACCAAATGAATCAAGAATTTTCAAGGTTGGGAACACATTTATATTTTGAAAAAGTTCTACTCGTGCTTGAAACTACTGTGGTAACCAGAAGTTAAGATTAGTATATGTGACAGAAACAATAAACTCTTCATGGGCATAATTTTTTTTAAAAAAATTCTTTCTATAAGACTTACAGTTTTATGCATTTAGGATACTATGTTTATTTACTATATAGACTGGAAAAGGCAAAAAAAAAAAAAAAAAAAAGCAAGGCTGTCACTTACACTCCATAAATTCAGACATATGTCTCTCCAAGTAAGTACGAGCTGATTGGGAACGGGCTCCAATGGACATGGCTCTGCAGTCAAAATAGTTAGCAGATGGACAGGTTTGGAAAATGTGAGGGCCCATATCCTACAAATAGAAATAAATACACCACATAATTATTTACTTTGGTTGAACTAAAAATTATAAAAATTTCTAGTTAATTAAAAAAAATCATTAACATATAACAATATTCAATGAACTTACATCATAACCAGCAATAAGGAGACCAACACCATATGGTCTCCGGCCATATCGTTGTGTTGGTATCTGGGTCTCTTAGACTGGTTAACGAGCTTGTTTTAACAAGGAATGAAGTACTGTCTTTATTTTCAAATTATACATTATTAACAAAGGTCTCTGGCTTATTCTTTAATTGTTGCATAATCCACCAGAGAAATAATGCAATAGGACACTATTTCTTTGGCCTAATATAAAATGTTTGACTTTCTACCGAACCTAAGAAAGAGTGCCAGCAAAATAATTTCTTCCCATCTAAAACCTGATTTGTTTTGGATACAAGGGGTCTAGGATTTCTTGGGACATCTAGAACCATTAAGAAACTTTAAATCCCCTCTAAAAAGATGCTTAGATGATTTTCCTGAAGTTGGGCTTATTTGTGTCTAGCAAATATAAATTGCTTATAAAGGCTAATGAAAGAGCAATCCAATTTGTTGTTTTAAAGTTTTCACAATCTTACCTATGTCATATTATTATTATATTCCTAATAATTAACACAAGTATCAAAACCCTTCAAAGTTCATATCCATAAATGCTAACATAAAAAGGATACTGCTTCCAATTAGAGATACAAGACGAGACACAGGCAGTGGTCTATCGAATACAAATCTGGAATCCAAACACTCCTGACGCATAAAATTACTAAAAAAGAAACAAAAAAAGTTTAGTAATTTCAAATTATAGACAACTATTCCAATCTAAATTGTTTGATTTCACTTCAAATTCTTCCAAGCGTTTACATGGATAACATCCATATAAGAAAAACAGAAGGTAAGAAAGACATGCCTGCAAGGGTGCGTTTTTGTGCTAAACTCTGGAGCCACATAAGGTTTTTAAAAAAGACTGAAACATTTTTTAGCTCTAGAAAATCTTTGTATCAGAGCACTTATGGAACAGAGAAGAGAAGGCTGAACAAAAGAAAAACAGCAACCTCTCTTCTCTTATCCTTCCCACTGTCAGCAAGCTTGTCGTAATTCTAGATCTCGAACCAGCAAAAAGATTATCTACTCTGTCCTTTTTTCTTGAAAGCAGACTAACATTTCTCCAAAAGAGCAAATATAAGAAATGGAAAACACAGCAGGGGGGATCTTTACGTGTTTCTGCCACTGTTACTTCTATTCATAAGAAGCACTCTAGAGGAGATACTGGACACTAGCCGCTGAGTCTCACTGTTAAATCTGATGAAATTCAAGCAAGGTTAACATTGGGGAGAAGAGAATTTATGCCTATAAATAAGATAAACAAGAAATGGATATGCTCCTTTTTCTCAATGTTGCTTTGTCCAGTATATGCGTATGTCACATCTGATCATCACATGGTTGACTACAGGAACCAAGCTATTTGTTCAGTACTTATATTTAAGTCCATTTCCCAATGCTGCCTAAAAGTATACTGCCCAATATGGCAGGCAATAATCACATGTGGCTATGGAGCTCTTGAAAAGTAGCTAGACTGAATTGAGATGTACACCAAGTACAAAATAACATACCAAATTTCAAAGACTTAGTACCTAAAAACGTGCAATAACTCATTAATAAAGTTTTTATATTGATTATGTGTTGGCATGGCAATATTTTATAGATTGGGTTAAATAAAATGTTTGATAATATAATACATTTTCCATTTTGAAGAGTAGGTGGAAACCCTTAAGGCTGTCATTATATTGCTGACTTAGAGCAAGGGACTGGCTGAGTAAATTGAAATTCTTTTTTTTTTTTTTTAATACTGAGTTTCGCTCTTGTTGCCCAGGCTGGAGTGCAATGGCATGATCTCAGCTCACTGCAACCTCTGCCTCCTGGGTTCAAGCGATTCTCTTGCCTCAGCCTCCCAAGTAGCTGGGATTACAGGTGCCTGCCACCACGTTCAGCTAATTTTTTTATTTTTAGTAGAGACAGGGTTTCACCATGTTGGCCAGGCTGGTCTTGAACTCCGGACCTCAGGTGATCCACCCGCTTCAGCCTCCCAGAGTGCTGGGATTACAGGCATGAGACACCATGCTCAGCCTGAAATTCTTAAACCATAGCATTACTATTTACACTGTTTTTGCTGCTGCTGTTGTTTTAAGAATAGGGTCTCACTCGGCTAGGTGCTGTGGCTCACGCCTGTAATCCCAGCACTTTGGGAGGCCGAGGCAGGTGGATCACGAGGTCAGGAGCTCTAGACCAGCCTGGCCAATATGGTGAAACCTCGTCTCTACTAAAAATGCAAAAATTAGCCGGGTGTGGTGGCACATGCTTGTAGTCCCAGCTACTCGGGAGGCTGAGGCAGAAGAATTCCTTGAACTCTGGAGGCGGAGGTTGCAGTGAGCCGAGATCATACCACTGCACTCTAGCCTGGGCGACAGCGCGAGACTCCGTCTCAAAAAAAAAAAAAAGAATAGGGTCTCACTCTGTTGCCTACGCTAGAGTACAGTGGCACTATCATAGCTCACTGCAACCTTGAAATCCTAGGCTCAAGCAATCCTCCCACCTCAGCCTTTTGAGTAGCTAGGACAACAGGTGTGTGCCACCACACCCAGCTAAGTTTTAAAATTTTTTGTAGAGATGGGGATTCACTATGTTGCCCTGGTCTCAAATTCTTGACCTTAAGCTTCTCAAAGAGCTAGAATTATAGGTAGGAGCCACTGTGCCAGGCCCACCCTTATAATTTATATTCTTTCTTTCCTAATCAAATCACAAATTTACAAGATTAGTTTTAGCTAACTACCTGCCATCCACAACACACATACTCACATAATACCTGAAAGGCTCTGTGTTAGTGGTTTACAGTAGGCAATTTAAAATATTTAAAAATAGGCTGGGTGCAGTGGCTCACACCTATAATCCCAGCACTTTGGGAGGCTGAGGTGGGCAGATTACCTGAGGTCAGGAGTTCAAGACTAGCCTGGCCAACATGGCGAAACCCCGTCTCTACTAAAAATACAAAAATTAGCCAGGCGTGGTGGCGGGTGCCTGTAATCCCAGCTACTCGGGAGGCTGAGGCAGGAGAATCGCTTGAACCTGGGAGGTAGAGGTTGCAGTGAGCTGAGATCACACCACTGCACTCCAGCCTGGGTGAGAGTGAGACTCCATCTCAAAAAAATAAATAAATAACATTTAAAAATAGCCTTGATAAAGAAAACACTGGAAAAAATTCAGTGTTTAGGTATTTAGCCAAATCTCAGATACTAAGTGGTGAAGGTGAGAACTCAATATGTGCAATTTCAAAGCCCTATCTCTTCATTTATGTATTGCCTTTTAACCATAAATAATCTGTCTCTTCTAGACTCTCACAGAAATTTTTCTGTTATATTATAGATAAACTACATTTGAGTTTATAGATAAACTTGCCTTCAAGTTCCCTTAAGACAAGATCCATGTCTGAGTCACTTATGTATACCCTGCAGTATCCAGTATTGAGCATTGCAAAAAATAAATGTCTAATAAATACTGATGTATTGAAGAAAACAAGCACAAAGAAAACAAGTGTGGTTCAGCTTGTCCTTAGAAACCAGACAAAAGTATCACGTTCTTCTTAGACATAACAGGGTCTCAAACGATATACATTGTATTAACAAACATCACATTACTCAGTGACTTCTGAAAAGTGCTAATGTTTAATCTTATTAGTTACTCCTACAGGGATCAAAAAATGGAAAATTTAATAACAAACTCAAAACCACCAAGGTATTCATAATCTTAATTTACAAGAACTTTGGCAGACAACTTCCTAAAATACCTTATCTGGATCTTTTTGAGAAAACTAATCAATTATGAAACAAAAAGGATGTTTATTTTTCATGATTATACTTACCATAACAGTCTAGCATCAGCAGTAAGCCCCGCAATTGAGATACCAATATGGTTGTCAACATGGAGAATTTTTTTCTGATGAGCTGCAAGCTCTGATTGCGCCCTCTAAATAGAGACATTATAAGATGTAAAAAAAAAAAAAAAAGAGACAAATGTAAAAATAAGTTTACAACCTTATTTTCTATGGTGAAATTTACATTGTTTTCTACAGAGGAAGACATATTTATTACTGTACTTACTTTCAATGCAACCAAAACTGCATGAGTTTTTGATTTCAGACCAACTGTGGCTGAACCTTGTTTAACAGCTTCCATTGCATATTCAATTTGATGAATCCTGCCCTAAAGAAAAAAAAAACAAAAAACACACATCTTAGAAGATCTTTTATAAATTAAAAATTAGGGTTTTCAAATATCAGGTGAGCACAGTTAAATCTCAACTGATTTTTTTTTTAATCAAGAGACCTTTTTTTTTTTTTGAGACAGGTTCTCACTCTGTCACCCAGGCTGGAGTGCAGTGGCACAATCTTCAGCTCAGTACAACCTCTGCCTCCTAGGCTCAAGCAGTCCTCTCACCTCACTGTCCACAGTAGCTGGGACTATAGGCAAGCACCACCACGCCCAGCTAATTTTTGTATTTCTTGTAGAGTCCGGGTTTCATGTTGTTCAGGGTGGTCTTGAACTCCAAGACTCAAGCAATCTACCTTCCTTGGCCTCCCAAAGTGCTGGGATTACAGGCATGAGCCACTGCACCCGGCTGAAAGCTTCTTTTAAAATAAATTTTCTTGTGTATATTTAACGTATGCAACATGATGTTATAAGATACACATATATAGTAGGGTCACTATCGCAGAATGAACACATCCGTTGTCTCACATAGTTACCCATTTTCCTCTGCTGTGGCAAGGGCTATAAACTACTCATTTAACAAAAATCTTGAATACAAAACACTACCTGCATTATTAACTGTAGTCTTCATGTTGTACATTAGATCTTTCCACTTGCTCAACCTACATATTTGCTACTTTGTATCTCCTCTTTTTTCCTCCCCACTGCCACCCCCTACCCTGGTAACCACTGTTTTACTCTCTCTATATATATATTTGCCCTTTTAAACAAAAGATTCCACATATAAGTGAGAGCATGAAACATTTTTCTTTCTGTTTCTGGCTTATTTCACTTAACATAATGTCCTCTAGGTCCATCAGGAAACCTATTTTAATTATAAATGCAACTTCCAAGAACGTCTAAAATAATTATATTCCATTTTCCCCAAGCCTACGCTCTCACAAGTTTCTAAATATATTGCAGCCACAAAAAGCCACTTCACAGAAAAGGTTTAAAAACATTATTTTACCTGGGGGCTCCAAACAGTGACATCATTGTCATACTGATTTCGAAACTAAAAGTAAAAGAAAAAAATACCTGTTAATAGAAGAACATTTCAAATCCCAACTCTTAACATTCATTAAGAAATATGCTTGTATTTCCATTCAATGTTAAGGCACTCTGTTCATGCAGTCTTACTGGAAGATTACTACTGTACTCAGATGTAAGCCAATTCTACATTTACCATAAACTCGTGGGAGAGGGAGAAGCAGATCTAAATGGGTCCTATTTTTCCAAACTCTTATTCTAACACCCTCCATATCAACCCCTTTAGGCTCAATTACTAAAGTTCACAATCAACTTTCTTGCCTATTTTTGCTTATGCTGCTCCCTTTTATTGGGCCCTAATAAATGGTTAAAAGTCTTCCTTTTCTTTAAGGTAGCTTAAATGTCGATTTCTTGAAGTCTTCTCCTTTTCTTCCCAAATCCCCCTAACATATACTCCCACAGCTCTTTATCTAAACGTCCCTTTCTGTTTTTATGATTAGGGACATGTATGACTTATTTTTTAATGTTCACTGTAGTTATGCCTGTACAAGTGCTGTCTGTATATTCACATTGAATGAACAAAAATGTCCTCACAAAGTTAGAGGTGGACACAAATAGCTGCAGCGATAGAACCATTACGGCTATTACGACTATTATAATAATAGTCATGGGAGTGAGATTGAGTGCTAGAATGGCAGACAGAACTGGAAACCCAGAACCCTATATTGTAACCCTGATTCCATCACTTCCCCTCTCAGCCTCGGCTTACTCATCCGCAACTAGGTGACTGGACAAAATGATTGAAAAGGGCCTCTTCTAATCGAAGTCTAGGCGAGAGATAAATAGACGGACCCACCAGGAAAACGGACGCTGTCCAGGAACACAAACCTGGGGGTCAAGTCCGCACTGGTGGTACAGGTAGGCCTCCAAGTCAAGTCTCTGTCTTCTCCTCTCCCATACACAGCACTAGGAGCTATTCTGGACCGCTCAGAATCTACTCCACTGAAGGAACCTGAGGGGCGAACTCATCTAGCTGACCGAGGAGGAAGTGTCGGAGGCTCCCCGGGAAGCGAAAGCGGTGGAAAGGCCGCACTGGCTACCGATAACCCCTAGCCCGGCCAGGCCGGAGATGCTGAATCACTGCCGGAGCCCGGCCGTCTGCCGAGGCTCTCATACCTCGTGGCACCGGGCGACGCTAAGGATGACAGGAGAGGTGGCTCGTCATCCCCCAGTCACCAGAGCTCTGCCCTAAACCTTCCAGAGATCGGGATTCAACGTACCATGGTGGCGGCGCGGGCCTGGTTGCGGCCTCCAGCAAAACTGAGAATCAAGGAGGTGCTGCCGAAAGTATCGCTCAGCGATCTACAGAGAAGTCTGCGGGAGTTTGACGGCGGCGGCGCAGGGTAGCGCAGTCTATTCCAGAGATATCGATAGGCTTGCAACACTTCCCCCTCCTTAAAACTTTCCGACCGCTCGGCGGCGGGCGGAGCCTCGGAAGATCTAGGAACTGAGACTGGCGGGAAAACCTGGCTGGGAGTGCCGGCGGCTGAGAGCTGCGGGGCAGCCCCTGTCACGTAGCCCTTCTAGGTTCCTGTGTATGGCGGATTCCCTCCAGTTTCTCCCGCTGGCGGGCTGCATCTAAAGTCGTCCGAGTCAACAGCCGTGACTCTGGGTGATACTAGCTCTCATTAACCGTCCACAGATTTGGGGTGTTATGTGACTGAAAGGAACGAGGCTGCAGGAAAGCCACAAGATAACGATCCGTTTCTGTGTGTCAGCTGTATTCTTCCTCGAGTATCTTGTTTGTGTACATGCTTTTATTTGCATTAAGGTTGGTGCAAAAGTAACTGCGGTTTTTGCCATTTGGCAAAATACTTTGGAATGCTCTTCCTTATTCCCTGGAGATGTTATCTTTCAAGGGTCTGTTGTCGTTAACCCCTCATTGTTATTATGATTGATTTCTTCCACCAGACTTTGAACTCCATGAGGGCGCTAATGTCTTTCTATGCCCCCAAAACCAAGCATGGTACCTGACAGATTAGGCCACTGAGAAAAAATGGACACTTTCTTTCGATTTATCTATTTCGTCTTTTGAGAGCATCTTTCCATAACGAAATAGTCTGACATCCACCGGCTATTTATATTCTTTGTAAAAAAGAGACTGGGTGTGGTGGCTCACGCCTGTAATCCCAGCGCTATTGGAGGCCGAGGGCGGAGGATCGCTTGAACCCAGGAGTTTGAGATCACTATATTATTTTAATACAGTGGGACCTCGTCGCTACAATAATAATAAGAATAAGAATAAGAATAAGAATAATAAAAAAAAAAGGCTGGGCATGTTGGCATGGGCCTGTGGTCCCAGCCACTCGGGAAGCTGATGTGGGAGGATCTCTTGAGCCAGGGAGATCGAGGTTGCAGTGAGCCATGGTCGCGCCGTTGCACTCCAGCCCGCCTGGGCAATAGAGATTCTGTTTCAAAAAAAAAAAAAGCCGGGCGCGGTGGCTCACGCTTGTAATCCCAACACTTTGGAAGGCAGAGGCGGGTGGATCACGAGGTCAGGAGATCGGACCATCCTGGCCAACATGGTAAAACCCCGTCTCTACTAAAAATACAAAAATTAGCCGGGCGTGGTGGCGTGCCTCAGGAGGCTGAGGCAGGAGAATCGCTTGAACCCGGGAGGCGGAGGTTGCAGTGAGCTGAGATCGTGCCACTGCACTCCAGCCTGGGCGACAGAGTGCGACTCCATCTCAAAAAAAAAAAAACAAAAAACAAAGTACTAAATTGTTCTCCAGAAATGTTTTACCAACATATACTCTCAACAGTAGTATATGAGGTTACCTTCTCTAATTCATCAACACTGGTTATTGTCGTATTTCTGAAAAACACTGTTGATTTGGTGGACTAAATTAACAGATTAAATTAATAGATTGTTCTCTTTCGTTTCTCCAGGACCTAGCACAATGCGTAGCACATATTAAGTGTTTATAAATAGTGCTAACTGATTAAATAAATGCTCATTTAAAAATTGTCATATACTACATAAACATTTTGAAAATTCTTTCCATATATATCTCTCTAGTCACATGCCTCACACAGATGTGTAATAAATATACAATTTTTAAAAATAAGATGATACTGTTTTTATTAATACACTTAAAAAGTTATAGCTATCATATGTCCATAAGTAATGGTCTATATTATTTTCAATAGTCGCATAGTATTTTATTGTATGGAAATATAATAATTTGCTTAATTATTAGTGTGCAATTCAATTGTTTCCAAGTTATTGGTATCATAAAAATACTATAATGAATATTCTTGTACATACACACCTATTGTGTGCATAATTACCTTACCTGATGAAGAATTCATAGAAGTAGAATTGTGGGGTCAAAGGGAACTTACATTTACAGTTATGATAAATATGGCTGAGTTGCAAAAAAAGTTATATCCATTTAATATTCTACGCTGCCTGAGAGTCAGTTTTCTCTGTATTCTTACCAACACTGGATATTATAAGTACTTTTTACTTTTATCAATTTGATAGGCCAAAAAAGAAAACCTGTTTCTTTAATTTTTAATTTTATTTATAGTTTTTTATTACTAGTAAAAAAATCTTTTGTTGTATTTCTTGGCTGTTTATGTTACTTTAGTGGATTGCCACTTCATTCCTTTCCTCATATTATTGTGTTAATCATTTTCTTACTGACTTGTAGGAGCTTCCTGTAATTAGGGATGGTAACCTCTTATTACTGTGTCACTTTTATAGAAAGGGCCTTTTGGATACAAATAAAAGAAACCCACTGAATCTAGTTTAAATAAAAGTTGAAGCACACATTGTAAATATGCAACAGGGAATCACATAAATATCCAAACATAATTTTTTGACTTTTTAAAAATTTACTGAGATATTCCTAGTACCTGAAACAAAGCCTGGCATATAGTAGGCACTCACTAAACATTTGTTGAATGAATGAGTGATAGATCTATCACTCCAAACCTGTCCTTCTGATAATTATTTCCTAAGCAAATATCTGGGGCTTTGCGATACATCCTTTATTCACAGCAATTGTCTGTACTCTTCAGAATGGCTGTTATCAAAGCTCTACTTGTAGACCAAAAGAAGGGGCATTTGGTTGACCTTTTTGTTAAGAATGAAAGTCCCAAGGGCTTATTAAAGGTTTATATGATTTTCAGCTCCTCTTTGTGTGTTTTGGGGATTTGGCTCAAGATACATCGTTAAAAACAACAACAACAACAACTTTTTTTTTAGAGACAGAGTCTAGCTGTGTAGCCCAGGCTAGAGTACAGTGGCATGATCATAGCTCACTGTAACCTTGAACTCCTGGGCTCAAGCCATCCTATTGCCTCAGCCTCCCAAGTAGCTAGGGCTACAGGTGCACACCACCATACCTGGCTAATTTTAAAATTTTTTGTAGAGACAGGGTCCTACTATGTTGCCCAGGCTGGTCATGAATGCCTGGCCTTAAAGTGATCCTCCCTCCTTGGCCTCCCAAAGTGCTGAAATTACAGGAGTGAGCCACCATACTCAGCTCCTCAGCTCTCAGGATACATTTTTTTTTTTTTTTTTTAAGACAGGGTATTTCTCTGTTGCCCAGGCTGGAGTGCAATGGCACAATCACTTCAGCCTGGACCTCCTGGGCCCAAGTGATCCTCCTACCTCAGCCTCCCAAGTAGCTGGGACTACAGGCAAGTACCCCCATGCCCAGATAATTTTATTTTTTTTGTAGAGACAAGGTCTTACTTTGTTGCCCAGGTTGGTCTCAAACTCCTGGACTCAAGCTATCCTCCTGCCTGGGCCTCCCAAAGTGCTGGGATTATAGGCATGAGCTACCATGCCCGGCCTCAAGATACATCTTGAGCATTAATCAGAAGCTGAAAAACTGATCAATAAAGATATTTTGTAGGAAGACTAGGTCAGCGAACATAGTACTACTTCTTTAAAGGTCATTGGAAGCCAGGCAAAGTGGCTCACACCTGTAATCCCGACACTTTTTTTTCTCCTGCTAATGCAGGAGAATTGCTTAGGGCCAGGAGTTACCAGCCTGAGCAACATAGCAAGACCCTGTCTCAAAAAAAAAAAAAAAAAAAAAAAAAAAAATGAAGGGAGGGAGAGAGAGAGGGAGGAAGAAAGGAAGGAAAGAAAATTAGCCAGGTGTAGTTGTATGCACCTGTAGTCCCAGCTACTCGAGAGGCTGAGGTGACAGGATCACATGAGCCCAGTGTCAGGCCTCTGAGCTCAAGCTAAGCCATCATATCCCCAGTGACCTGCACGTATACATCCAGATGGCCTGAAGCAACTGAAGATTCACAAAAGAAGTGAAAATAGCCTTAACTGACGAAGTTCCACCATTGATTTATTTCTGCCCCAACCTAACTGATCAATGTACTTTGTAATCTCCCCCACCCTTAAGAAGGTTCTTTGTAATTCTCCCCACCCTTGAGAATGTACTTTGTGAGATCCACCCCCTGCCCCCAAAACATTGCTCTTAACTCCACTGCCTATCCCAAAACCTCTAAGAACTAATAATGATAATCCACCACCCGTTGCTGACTCTCTTTTTGGACTCAGCCCGTCTGCACCCAGGTGAAATAAACAGCCATGTTGCTCACACAAAGCCTGTTTGGTAGTCTCTTCACACGGACACGTAAGACATTTGGTGCCGAAGACCCGGGTCAGCGGACTCCTTTGGGAGACCAGTCCGCTGTCCTCACCCTCACTCTGTGAAGAGATCCACCTATGACCTCGGGTCCTCAGACCAACCAGCCCAAGGAACATCTCACCGATTTTAAATCGGGAGCCCACTGGAAATCAGACTATCCAACTTGCCTGGCAGCCACTCCCAGAGCCCCTGGAACTCTGGTCCAAGGCTCTGACTGACTCCTTCCCAGATCTCGGCTTAGCGGCTGAAGACTGACACTGCCCAATCTTCTCGGAAGCCTCCTGGACCATCACACTTACAGTGGAGGGTAAGTCCGTCTCCTTCTTAATCAATAGGGAGGCTACCCACCCCTCATTACCTTCTTTTCAAGGGCCTGTTTCCCTTGCCTCCATAACTGTTGTGGGTATTGACGGCCAGGCTTCTAAACCCCTTAAAACTCCCCCACTCTGGTGCCAACTTGGACAACATTCCTTTATGCACTCTTTTTAGTTATCCCCAACTGCCCACTTTCCTTATTAAGCCAAGACATTTTAACCAAATTATCTGCTTCCCTGATTATTCCTGGACTACAGCCACACCTTATTGCCACCTTTTGCCCCAGTTCAAAGCCTCCTTCACATCCTCTCCTTGTATCTCCCTACCTTAATTCACAAGTATAGGACACCTCTACTCCCTCCTTGGCGACCGATCATGCACCCCTTACCATCCCATAAAAATCTAATCACCCTTACCCCGCTCAACGCCAATATCCCATCCCACAGCACGCTTTTAAAGGATTAAAGCCTGTTATCAGTTGCCTGTTACAGCATGGGCTTCTAAAACCTATAAACTCTCCTTACAATTCCCCCATTTTACTTGTCCAAAAACCAGACAAGTCTTACAGGTTAGTTCAGGATCTGTGCCTTATCAACCAAATTGTTTTGCCTATCCACCCTGTAGTGCGCAACCCGTACACTCTTTTGTCCTCAATACCTTCCTCCACAACTCACTATTCGGTTCTTGATCTTAAAGATGCTTTTTTCACTATTCCCCTGGACCCCTTGTCCCAGCCTCTCTTTGCTTTTACCTGGACTGACCCTGACACCCATCAGTCCCAGCAGCTTACCTGGGCTGTGCTGCCGCAAGGCTTCAGGGACAGCCCTCATTACTTCAGCCAAGCTCTTTCCCTTGATTTACTTTCTTTCCACCCTTCTGCTTCTCACCTTATTCAATATATTGATGACCTTCTACTTTGTAGCCCCTCCTTTGAATCTTCTCAACAAGACACCCTCCTGCTCCTTCAACATTTATTCTCCAAAGGATATCGGGTATCCCCCTCCAAAGCTCAAATTTCTTCTCCATCCGTTACCTACCTCAGCATAACTCTTCATAAAAACACACGTGCTCTCCCTGCCGACTGTGTCCAACTGATCTCTCAAACCCCAACACCTACAAAACGACAACTCCTTTCCTTCCAGGCATGGTTGGATACTTTCGCCTTTGGATACCTGGTTTTGCCATCCTAACAAAACCATTATATAAACTCACAAAAGGAAACCTAGCTGATCCCATAGATCCTAAATCCTTTCCCCAGTCCTCTTTCTGTTCCTCGAAGACAGCTTTAGTGACTGCCCCCACACTAGCTCTCCCTGACTCATCCCAACCCTTTTCATTACACACAGCCAAAGTGCAGGGCTGTGCAGTCAGAATTCTTACACAAGGACCGGGACCGCACCCTATAGCCTTTTTGTCCAAACAACTTGACCTTACTGTTTTAGGCTGGCCATCATGTCTCCGTGCAGTGGCTGCCGCTGCCCTAATACTTTTAGAGGCCCTCAAAATCACAAACTATGCTCAACTCACTCTCTACAGCTCTCATAATTTCCAAAATCTATTTTCTTCCTCACACCTGACGCATATACTTTCTGCTCCCCAGATCCTTCAGCTGTACTCACTCTTTGTTGAGTCTCCCACAATTACCATTGTTCCTGGCCTGGACTTCAATCTGGCCTCCCACATTATTCTGGATACCACACCTGACCCCCATGACTGTATCTCTCTGATGCACCTGACATTCACTCCATTTTCCCATGTTTCCTTCTTTCCTGTTCCTCACCCTGATCACACTTGGCTTATTGATGGCAGTTCCACCAGGCCTAATCGCCACTCACCAGCAAAGGCAGGCTATGCTATAGTATCTTCCACATCTATCACTGAGGCTACCACTCTGCCCCCCTCCACTATCTCTCAGCAAGCCTAACTCATTGCCTTAACTCGAGCCCTCACCTTTGCAAAGGGACTACGCGTCAATATTTATACTGACTCTTAATATGCCTTCCATATCTTGCATCACCACGCTGTTATATGGGCTGAAAGAGGTTTCCTCACTACACAAGGTCCTCCATCATTAATGCCTCTTTAATAAAAACTCTTCTCAAGGCCGCTTTACTTCCAAAGGAAGCTGGAGTCATACACTGCAAGGGCCACCAAAAGGCATCAGATTCCATCACTCAGGGCAACGCTTATGCTGATAAGGTAGCTAAAGAAGCAGCTAGAATTCCAACTTCTGTCCCTCATGGCCAGTTTTTCTCCTTCTCATCAGTCACTCCCACCTACTGCCCCACTGAAACTTCCACCTATCAATCTCTTCCCAAACAAGGCAAATGGTTCTTGGGCCAAGGAAAATACCTCCTTCCAGCCTCACAGGCCCATTCTATTCTATCATCATTTCATAACCTCTTCCATGTAGGTTGCAAGCTGCTAGCCTGCCTCTTAGAACCTCTCATTTCCTTTCCAACATGGAAATCTATCCTTAGGGAAATCACTTTTCAGTGTTCCATCTGCTATTCTACTACTCCTCAGGGATTGTTCAGGCCCCTTCCCTTCCCTACACATCAAGCTCGGGGATTTGCCCCCGCCCAGGACTGGCAAATTGACTTTACTCACATGCCTCGAGTCAGGAAACTAAAATACCTCTTGGTCTGCGTAGACACTTTCACTGGCTGGGTAGAGGCCTTTCCCACAGGGTCTGAGAAGGCCACCGCGGTCATTTCATCCCTTCTGTCAGACATAATTCCTCAGTTTGGCCTTCCCACCTCAGTTTCTCAGGCTCTTGGTATTCAGTGGCACCTGGTTTTACCTCAAACTGCCACCCTTAAGTCTCTCTTTAAGTGGATAGAAGATCTTCAGTGACAAAGTACACTTCAATACTTTCACCCTGATGAAGTCCTATTCTTTACTTTTATACTTACTCTTATTCTTGTTCCCAATCTTATGCCACCCTCTACCTCTCCCAGCTATCTCCACCACACTATCAATCTCAGTCACTCCCTCCTAGCTGTTTCTAATCCTTCTTTAACAAACAATTGCTGGCTTTGCATTTCTCTTTCCTCCAAAATCGCTGAGGCCTCGACTTACTACTAAAAAAAAAAAGGGGGAGGGAAACTCTGTATATTTTTAAATGAAGAGTGCTATTTTTACCTAAATCAATCTGGCCTGGTATATGACAACATAAAAAAACTCAAGGATAGAGCCCAAAAACTCGCCAGCCAAGCAAACAATAACGTTGAACCCCCTTGGACACTCTCTAATTGGACATCCTGAGTACTCCCAATTCTTAGTCCTTTAATACCTATTTTTCTCCTTCTTTTATTCGGACCTTGTGTCTTTTGTTTAGTTTCTCAATTCATATAAAACCACATCCAGGCCATCACCAATACTATATGACAAATGCTTCTTCTAACAACCCCACAATATCACCCCTTACCCCAAAATCTTTCTTCAGTTGAATCTCTCCCACTGTAGGTTCCCACGCTGCCCCAATCCCGCTTGAATCAGCCCTAAGAAACATCGCCCATTATCTCTCCATACCACCCCCAAAAATTTTCGCTGCCCCAACTCTTTACCACTATTTTGTTTTATTTTTCTTATTAATATAAGAAGACAGGAAGGTCAGGCCTCTGAGCCCAAGCTAAGCCATCATATCCCCAGTGACCTGCACGTATACATCCAGATGGCCTGAAGCAACTGAAGATCCACAAAAGAAGTGAAAATAGCCTTAACTGACGAAGTTCCACCATTGATTTATTTCTGCCCCAACCTAACTGATCAATGTACTTTGTAATCTCCCCCACCCTTAAGAAGGTTCTTTGTAATTCTCCCCACCCTTGAGAATGTACTTTGTGAGATCCACCCCCTGCCCCTAAAACATTGCTCTTAACTCCACTGCCTATCCCAAAATCTTTAAGAACTAATTAATGATAATCCACCACCCGTTGCTGACTCTCTTTTCGGACTCAGCCCGCCTGCACCCAGGTGAAATAAACAGCCATGTTGCTCACACAAAGCCTGTTTGGTGTTCTCTTCACACGGACACATGAGACACCCAGGAGTTCAAGTTTGCAATGAACTATGATCAGCCTGGGTGACAAAGACCCTGTCTCAAAAAAAAAAAAAAAAAAAATTAAAGGTAATTGGTAAGTTATGTTAGGCTTTTAAAAGAATCAAATAAAAGTAAATTCTAAATAAGAGCCAAGTTGAAAATTTTTTTCATGGATGTGTAAATCTTACCGTGTTATTATGTTTAGCACCTATAACTGGTACATTGAACAAATAGATGTATAGGGTGCAATTTGTAAGTAACTTATTTTCACTCCACATGTTAAAACACACCTGGTGGAGTTAATCCTCCCATGCTCATTGAATAAAATAAGATACAAATCTCATGAGTTTTCTGGTTGTTCAAGTAAAAAATGTTTGACTTCCCTTCTATGTCCCTGTCTAAAATTTCTCTCCTAATCGCCACCACATCTGCCCCCACCCCAACTCCCATCATCACCACCAACTCCAGGTTTCCTTCCTTCTTTCAAGTTCAAACAGAGGAACAGGCAAGAACATTCTTAACTTGGCTACTACAGTTCTGTGATTAAGGGCTGGTACTCTTTGAGCTTGGCAGATGTTTACAGTTGACACTTGTAACTTTATGCGTGCGTTCTTTGGTAACACCTTAACTCTCACCTTAGCCCAATGAGAAAATACTGGTAATCTTGTGCTTACCCTTGGGTAAATATATTTCATCTGGCTATCAGCTCAATATTAATAGCTAGCATGTATAGCTACACTCCCAGCTTTTTTTCTGTGGAAGTCTCATCCTTCTTTGTGAACCTTTCTCGTAGCCCTGGTCTAATCCAAATACCTACAGAGTGGCTTTGCCTCTGAGAGTGCAGACTTTGACCATATCCCAAACTCATTTTTGCAATTAGCCAAAATTTCTTGCTCTCATCCACTAGAATGTTAGCTCCATGAAGCGGGGAATTTTTATCTATTTTGCTCACCACTGCATTTGCCTATACCTAGAATAGGCGAATACAGTGCCTGTACTTAATAAGTGCTACATTAAGTATTGAATGAATGAATTCCTCAGATATGAGTCAGACACTAGTCCACTGTGACCTCAACCCCTGCCCTACCCCCCTGCTAGGTGTAGGGATCATATATCAAAGTTTCATTAAAGCCTCTTTCCCTAGGTGTGAGGTGAGGAAAAAGCAATGTCCACTCACAGCACACCAAAAACTCTCAAAATCTTCTAAACTCCAGTCTCTGAATTAGAAGTAGATGGACAGCTAAGAGTTGCAAAAACAGTTCCCTTTCCACTCCTGCCACCTTTTTTGGGCAATTTCTACTTTTTATGGTTTTCCACTTTATTATAAAATACGAGAATATTGGCATTTTACTTTCTTGGAGCCTCAGCCAAACTGAGACAGAAAGAGTCCCTTTTAAAATGCAACTACACATATAAAGCTTAATTGCACTTATTTGTTCATATGTTGTCCTCACATTAAATCAGGAGCCGCTGGAGGATAATGTTTCATATTTATCTTTGTACATATGTTTAATGTGTCACACTGACTCGATGCTCAATAAAATTTAGTTAAGAGTTAGTGGGCTGGATGCAGTGGCTCATGCCCGTAATCCCAGCACTTTGGGAGGCCAAGACGGGCAGATCATGAGGTCAGGAGTTCGAGACCAGCCTGACCAACATGGTGAAACCCTGTCGCTACTAAAAATACAAAAATTGGCCAGGTGCGGTGGTGCACGCCTGTAATCCTAGCTACTTAGGAGGCTGAGGCAGGAGAACTGCTTGAACCTGGGAGGTGGAGGTTGCAGTGAGCCGAGATCACTCCACTGCACTCTAGCTTGGGCGACAGGTCAAGACTCCGTCTCAAAAAAAAAAAAAAAAAAATTAGTGAATGAATAAAAGTTCTCTAGTAGTAGTAGCAATAATTTCAAATAATTTACATAGTACCAAAAGTTGAAGTCTAAAACTCTATGTTTCTAGTACTCTTCTAGTAGATAGTTTTATCTGGAAATATTTATAGGAAAATTGTGGAATTGCTTATACTTTGTCATTGTGCTAGATATTCTCTGATAACCCTATAGATATACTTCACCCTTTTTTTTCCTTTTTTCAACTTTTATTTTAGATTCAGAGGGTACATGTGCATGTTTATTACATGGGTAGATTGCGTGTTGTTGAACTTTGGTGTACAAATGATTTCATCATGCACATAGTGAGCATAGTACCCAATAGGCCCTTCTTCCACTCCCTCCACTCAAATCGACCCTGGGGTCTATTGTTCCCATCTTTGTGTCCATATGTACTCAATGTTCAGCTCGCATTTATAAGTGAGAACATGTGGTATTTGGTTTTCTGTTCCTGTGTTAGTTCACTTAGGATAATGGCCTCCAGCTCCATCCATGTTACTGCAAAGGACATGATTTTGTGTTTTCCTTTTGGTTTTAGAGATAGGGTCTCATTCTGTCTCCCAGGCTAGAGTGCAATGGCGCGAACTTAGCTCACCGTAGCCTCGACCTCCTGGGTTCAAGTGATCCCTCTACCTCAGCCTGAGTAGCTGGGATCACAGTTCTGTGCCACCACACCCACCTAATTTTTGTATTTTTTGTAGAGATGGGGCTTTGCCATGTTGCCCAAGCTGGTCTTGAACTCCTGAGCTCAAGTGATCCGCCTGTCTTCACCTCCCAAAGTGCTGGGATTACAGGAATGAGCCACCAAGCCCAGCCTCCTGTATTTTTTATGGCTGTATAGTATTCTATGGTACTTTAATCTTTTATAGATTGCATCAGTAAGATCCCTTCCTCTCTAGCTCCTGGTTGGGCTCAGCTAATGGAAGACACTAGTAGATCAGAAAGCAATAGGAAAGAGATATCAGATTATGTATTACCTTCTCCCGCTCCATGTTGGCCACAGGTTGGCAGTGGTACTGCATTACCACTTGCTGTTCCCCTGCCCACATTCTGATTATACTCTCTTCAGTTACCCCTTTGGAGAGTGCATCTGATTCTTGCTGAGACTCTGACTAATATAATACCATTTTAATTTTTTTCAGGGTACAGGAGTTATCCAATACTTTTTTCTGTGAAAAAAAAAAAATCCTCATCTTTTTTTGACATTAAGTTTGTATTATACTTCTGGAAATGTTAATATCAATAGGTCTAAAACAGCTGGAAAATAGAACCTAAGTTTATTATCTATGCCCTTCCCTATTTTCGACCTGTTCAAATATATAGGAAAAACAGCTTACAGCTGGTTTTATAATATACATTTTTTCTAATTAAAAAAGGGAGGCCAGGTGCGGTGGCTCACGCCTGTAATCCCAGCACTTTGGGAGGCCAAGGCGGGCAGATCTCCTGAGATCAGGAGTTCGAGATCAGCCTGGCCAAAATGGTGAAACCCCACCTCTACTAAAAATACAAAACTTAGCCCGGCGTAGTGGCACATGCCTGTAGTCCCAGCTACTCGGGAGGCTGAGGCAGAAGAATTGCTTGAACCTGGGAGGCAGAGGTTGCAGTGAGCCGAGATTGTGCCACTGCACTCCAGCCTGGGTGACAGAGCGAGACTCCGTCTCAAAAAAAAAAAAAAAGGGGGATATACATTGAAGATTTTTTTTCAATAAAGACAATATGATTGGCCAGGCTAGGTGGCTCATGCCTGTAATCCCAGCACTCTGGGAGGCCAAGGCGGGCAGACCACTTGAGGTCAGGAGTTGGAGACCACCTTGACCAACATGGCGAAACCCCAGCTTCTTGGGAGGCTGAGGCATAAGAATTGCTTGAACCAAGGAGGTGGAGGTTGCAGGTGAGCCGACATCTGCCACTGTACTCCAGCCTGGGTGACAGAGCAAGACTCTGTCTCAAAAAAAAAAATTTAAAAAAAATCTAAAAATAGCTGCTAAAAAAAGACAATATGATAAATTACTATATTGTACTAGGTAGTGAAACTTACTGTGTTTTTTCCCCTTCAATACTATCCATCTAGAGAAGGGAGAATATCCTGAGAATATATTTTCCAATATGTGTAACATGTATATACATCGTGTGTACATATGCATATTGTGTATATGATTCTTATTTCATAGAAATAAATACTGCATTTCTTTAGGTCCACTTGAATCTAAGCCTGAGCTCCCATCCTGCCATGCTGGTGAGAAATTCTACCTTAGTTATCATTGAGCATTTCCTCTCCATCCAGGGTTGTACAAAGTTTCTAGGGCTTGAATTATTATAGAAGTACCTGGAATTATCTCAAATTACTTGGTCATCTCTCCACATTGATTTGGTGCTGGGATTCCCTTTTGTGCCATCTTCACTTCAGACTGGTGACTCTCATATTTCTTTACCACTGTTGGTACTCAAGAATCTGGAATCAAGTAAGTGAATGTGGCAGCCCCTGCACCCAAGTACAGCTTCCTAAGGTACCCCATGTGGCTTTCCTCTTTGAGGTTTTGCCACTATCTGGGCTTTGTTACAGAACAAGATGGGAATCTTAGCTATTCACTCAAACTATAGGCTTCAGACTTCTAAGTTTTTTTCTTTTTTCTTTTCTTTTCTTTTTTTTTTTTAATAGAAACGGGGTCTCACTATGTTGCCCAGGCAGGTCTTGAACTCCTGGGCTCGAGCCATCTACCCAGCTCAGCCTCCCAAAGTGCTGGGATTACAGGCATGAGCCACTGAGCTTGGCCCAGACTTCTAACTTTTGAGGAATCCCTCTTTCACCTCCCTCTTCTCATTTCACAAGACAGAGCCTATGGTATTTCTGAGCAGTGTTTGCTTTTTGCCTTACAAAAATCTGAAGTCTAGATACTTGCTTGAATGGGAGAAAGGGGTAGTAGGATAGGAGAACACATAAAATTAATATCTCAAGGCTGGGCGCAGTGGCTCATGCCTGTAATCCCAGCACTTTGGGAGGCTGAGGAGGGTGGATCACCTGAGGTCAGGAGTTTGAGACCAGCCTGACCAAAATAGTGAAATCCCCATCTCTACTAAAAATACAAAATTAGCCGGGCATGGAGGTGCATGTCTGTAACCCCAGCTACTTGGGAAGCTGAGGCAGGAGAATCACTTGAACCCAGGAGGTGGAGGTTGCAGTGAGCCGAAATTGTGCCACTGCACTCCAGACTGGGCAACAAGAGCAAAACTCTGCCTCAAAAATACATACATACATACATACATAAATAAAATAAAATAAAAATTAATATCTCAAAATAAACTGCCACAAAAAATTTGTATCAAATTATATATGATTCTTTTTAAACCTGCTTTTCTATGTAAACATTAAACCACGAACATTTCTTCATGTCACATGCTTTAAATGTCTGTATAGCTATAAGGTATTACATCATATAAATGTTTCATAATTTATTTGACTAATATTTGATAGCCTTTAAACAGCTTGCTTTAAACTAGCCTTATCTGCACCCACTCCCACCTTTTTAAAATTTTAATTTTAATTTATTTGTTTATTTTTAGGACAGGCTTTTGCTCTGTTGCCCAGGCTGGAGTGCAGTGGTGTGATCAAAGTTCACTCCTGGGCTCAAGCAACTCTCCTGCCTCAGCCTCTAGAGTAGCTGGGTCTACAGGAGTGAGCCACTGTGCTGACCATTTTTTTTTTAATTACTGTGTTTTTTCCCTTTCAATACTATCCATCTGGAGAAGGGAGAATATCCTGAGAATATATTTTCCAATATGTGTAACATGTATATACATCGTGTGTACATATGCATATTTAAAAAAATTAAAAAAACAAACAAACCTGCTTATAGGAGGCCAGGTGCGGTGGCTCACGCCTGTAATCCCAGCACTTTGGGAGGCAGGCAGATCTCCTGAGATCAGGAATTCAAGACCAGCCTGGCCAACATGGCAAAACCCCGTCTCTACTAAAAATACAAAATTAGCGGGCATGGTGGCAGACGCCTGTAATCCCAGCTACTCGGGAGGCTGAGGCAGGAGAATTGCTTGAACCCAGGAGGCAGAGGTTGCAGTGGGCCGAGATTGCACCACTGCAATCCAGCTTGGGCGACAGAACGAGACTCCATCTCAGGAAAAACAAAAACAAAAAACAAACAAAAAAACCCCTGGTATTTTAGAAGCTTTTTATTTTTAACTGGTTATTCAGAAGCTAAGGTTTTTTTTTTTTCTGGCAACAGCTAACACTTGGAATAGAGCAATCTGGAATTAATAGACATAATTGGGAAGAATAACAATTTAGAGTTATATCTAAACTGTATAATATAATTTTCCTCCCTCAGTGTGTGACTAAAAGAGAGGCCTGTACAAAAGCCATGGCACACTTGAGTTGTTTAGAAATATTTTTTTCCAGAAATTAAGCAATTATTACAGACTGTCATCTAGATAGTTGAGTAACAATGAATCTTACATGTTCATGGGAAAATTTCTTTTTCTTTCTTTCTTTTTTTTTTTTTTTTGAGACGGAGTTTTGCTCTTGTTGCCTAGGCTAGAGTGCAATGGCACGATCTCGGCTCACTGCAACCTCCGCCTCCAGGGTTCAAGAGGTTCTCCTGCCTCAGCTTCCCGAGTAGCTGGGATTACAAGCATGCGCCACCACACCCGGCTAATTTTTGTATTTTTAGTAGAGACGGGGGTTTCTCCATTTTGGTCAGGCTGGTCTCGAACTCCCGATCTCAGGTGATGCGCCCACCTCGGCCTCCCAAAGTGCTGGGATTACAGGCATGAGCCACCCCACCCGGCCATTCATGGGAAAATTTCAGTTTGGCTTTTATTTGGATTTTTTTTATTCTAAAAAATCCTGAAATAACTAATAATGGTCTTTAAATTGGAGAATTAGTGTTGTTTTTCTGTTCCATTCTTCCTGCAAGATACCTCTATTGATCAATTTTGCAAATACTGGTTAAGAATCAGGGTGTATCCTGATCCAAATCCCCAAATCATGCTTCGAGGAGTTGAAAGCCATTAAAACCCCAAGAAACCAAATATCTCTTTTGTTGGTCCACAAGTAGGGCTTTTATATAAGAGCCACTCTGAAGTGTCCAGCCAAGCACTTTCAGCCACCAATATATATGCATAGAAGGTAATAGTGAAAAGCACAGGTTTTGGAGCCAGACATTTCTCATTCCTTCAAAAAATATTTGTTGATCACCTTACTATATACTAAGCATTATTACTAACAATAATAACTGTTATTACTAATCCCGGCCAATGTCTTCTCATTTTCAAAATAAACCTCTCTTAGGCCGCGCGAGGTGGCTCACGCCTGTAATCCCAGCACTTTGGGAGGCCGAGGGGGGCGGATCACCTGCGGTCAAGAATTCGAAACCAGCCTGACCAACATGGCGAAACCCCGTCTTTACTAAAAATACAAACATTAGCCGGGCTTGGTGGTGAGCGCCTGTAATCCCAACTACTCAGGAGGCTGAGGCAAGAGAATCGCTTGAACCCGGGAGGTGGAGGTTGCAGTGAGCAGAGATCTTGCCACTGCACTCCAGCCTGGGCGAAAGAGCGAGACTCCGACTCCAAAAAACAAACAAACAGAAAAACAAACAAAAAAACTCAGATATTTCTTCCTCTAATAGGACAAAGGCAGCATTTAAAAAAATTTTTTTTTATTTTTATTTTTGAGACGGAGTCTCGCTCTGTCGCCCAGGCTGGAGTGCAGTGGCACGATCTCGGCTTATCGCAAGCTCCGCCTCCTGAGTTCATGCCATTCTCCTGCCTCAGCCTCCCGAGTAGCTGGGACTACAGGCGCCCGCCACCACGCCAGGCTAATTTTGTTTTTCTATTTTTAGTAGAGATGGGGTTTCACTGTGTTAGCCAGGATGGTCTCAATCTCCTGACCTCGTGATCCGCCCGCCTCGGCCTCCCGAAGTGCTGGGATTACAGGCGTGAGCCACCGCGCCCTGCCAAAGGCAACATTTTTTCGTGTCATGATGGCTTCAGAATTTCTTTTCCTTTAGCTTGTTGCTGGAGTGGCAACGGCAACAAGAGAACAGACATTTTATGATGGAAGGAGTATGCTTACAAATAGGCCAAATATTTTCATTTGTTTTATTTCTTTATCTTTCCTCAAGACAAGAGAGAAAAAATTCAATCCTTAGTCTGCCAATAGACCAATAATTCCTAAGATATTGTTTACAATAAAAGTAATATGTCCTTTAAAACTAATGTTTTCTAGAATTTCAGTGGCAAACTAAGTGCGCAGTTCCTTCCTCTACTGCTAGGTGGCGATTAATGCCTTATTTAGAAAAAACAATTCTTCCTCCCTGACCCCACCACCCTCGCCCAGAAAAATACGTGCATTTTCTCTTCTTTAAGGTAAGACTTCCCTTAAGGATAATATTCTTTTATTCCTGTTTTGTCCAAGTGAATTTACATTCACCTTTTCCTTTAATTGTTAAGAATAACACATACAAATCAAACGCATACTGCAATAACTAAGGAAGAATAGATCATATCTTTTAAAGAGGGTGGTTTCCAAACTGAGTGTATGTTCATGAATGATACAGAGTAGGAAGTTGCTATAACTTCCCTGCAGGGTTTTTTTTTTTTTTCAGTTTCACTAAAGAAAAATTTCCTGGCCCATGCTAACATCATGCCTAATGTGATTAATTATAAATATAACATTATTAAATATAAAATAAAAATAGAGAAGGAAAATTATTTTAAAGACCTAAAGGCAATTTTAATGTGGTAAAATTACCCTTTTTTTTTTTTTTTTAGACAGAGTATCACTTTGTCACCCAGGCTGGAGTGCAGTGCCATGATCTCAGCTCCCTGCAACTTCCATCTCCCAGGTTCAAGTGATTCTCATGCCTCAGCCTCCCCAGTAGCTGAAATTACAGATGTGCACTGCCACACCTGGCTAACTTTTGTATTTTTAGTAGAGATGGGGTTTTGCCATGTTGGCCAGGCTGGTCTCGAACTCCTGGCCTCAAGTGATCCGCCTGCCTCGGACTCCCAAAGTGCTGGGATTACAAGTGTGAGCCACCGCGCCTGGCCTAAAATTGCTTTTTAATGTGAACTATGGGAAAAACAACGAAATAATTATTCATAAAAGTAACTGAGGGGGTATAATATAAAAAAATTTTTTTTCAGGCAATCTTTCAATATTTATTCCTAGCAAAATTACTTAAAAACTACACATAGTTCCTATGTATTTATAAGTCTAGTGAATCTGGTCTACATTTTTTTCTAAGTATGTTTAATTGTGTGTACATTGCTGTCTCCAACCTTCTTTGCCAAAAAGAATACGTGTAGTGGATGTTTGTTTTATATAAAATTCAAATATTGAATCCCTGTTTAAAGAAGACTCTCGGTTTGGGTCTTAAACTAAAGACTTTTCCCAGGCTGGACTCGATGAAGTCTAAAATCAAAAAGAAAAGCTGCTTCTGGCATTCTAGGCCTTCCCTGCATCCAGATGGCCTGTCTGTAGCCTAGCCAGAACCAAACCCTTCCTGCTGCCTTTTCAGCTGGTCTTGGATGACAGCCCCATGCTACGCCAGCTTCCATATCCCTTAACTCTTGAATGTCCAAGATTTTTAAGAAGAAGTGGGACTTCCCATGTGAATTTGGTTGAAAGGGTAAATCAAGTTTTATACTTGAAGTTTAGTTTATAAAATATTTATTCACATCACTACCACCAACCCCTTCACAGGCTTCCTCCCACAGTAGCTCAGTCAGCCAAGTGGCATCAGAGGGAGCACCGTTTGGAAGGGAGTGTGTGTGGGCAGCTTGCAGGTGAGGACAGGGCTGCCAAGGCAGACCATGCGGTCTGTCCTGTGCCTACACCCAGTACCTGACTTCTGCCTTTCCAGAGCATTTGTATACACACAGCAGTTCTGTTGTTTGGGGTGTGCGTAATTTCAAAAAGTACTTTTTAAAATAACTCATTGACAAGACTTACATTTAGCAAACAAGAATATGTAATGGCAGATATAAAATGACCATGCATGGATTTAAGTGGGAACTTCTCTGAAGTCGTTGGGACAGAAAAACAAATCTACTCCATGTTTTAAAAGTACCTTTGGAAATCTTACTAGTGGCAGCCATTGTTTTCTTATGGGTTCTCAAAGGCTTATTTGTCTGTGGGAATTTCAACAGAAGGTAATACACAGGCAAACTACACTTGAAGGCAACATTTCTCTCTGGCTTTCCTTTTCTACACAGAGAGATATTCTAACTGATTTGCAAGGGTGCTTCTCAGTTGGCCGGAATGAGATATTTTCAGATGAAAGCCTATGACTCTGTGTCACTTTCCCCCTTATTTTTGAATCTCATGTCTTAGTTCTGCAGTCACTGTTATTTTTAATTATTATTATTATGCCTGTTGCCAAGCTATTCCACTTTACACAGAGTTGATTAGAGACCTGACAAATCCAGGCCAACATAAAGTCCTGGCTTCCAGATCAGACTACGTGAACAAAGAAAAAAAAGAAATCTACCAAAGTGCCAGCTTTTAGAAAGCTCTTAAAGGAAAAAAAGGAAGAAAAAAATAATTTTAAAAACCAAAACAAACTAGAGTTATAAAGAGTGGAGCTTAAGAACAGGACCCACGGGCCGGGTGCGGTGGCTCACGCCTGTAATCCCAGCACTTTGGGAGGGCGAGACGGGCGGATCACGAAGTCAGGAGATGGAGACCATCCTGGCTAACATGGTGAAACCCCGTCTCTACTAAAAATACAAAAACAGAATTAGCCGGGCGTGGTGGCAGGCGCCTATAGTCCCAGCTACTCAGGAGGCTGAGGCAGGAGAATGGCGTGAACCTGGGAGGTGGAGCTTGCAGTGAGCCGAGATTGCGCCACTGCACTCCAGCCTGGGTGACAGAGCGAGACTCCGTCTCAAACAAACAAACAAAGAAAAAAAAAACAACAACAGGACCCACAGGAGGAAGATAAAGGATAAAAAAATCCTATATGGCTAAGATAAAAAGGAAACATATAAATGAGAGAATAAAAATAGACCTGATATCACTATAGATTTGCAGCATTTAGCCTGTAGTGCTGCGTGACTACTCTAAGCAGCAGGAACCTCTCTCCACCACTAACATAAAAGGGGCACTCTGGCACAGGGTTTCCATTTGTGGCTTCAGAACTGAAATGTTTCCCTTGACCCTCTCTACCCACCCAGCTCTGTTCAGATCTTCACTCCCTTGTTTTCAGCTTCCCTACTTGCTCTCTGCATTTGCCTGGCCCACAAATGCACAAAGTTGCCTTCTGTGGGTGACCTTGTCTTTTTGCAACTAAGATGATGAAAACTGGAACTCTCCATCCAGCTACGTTGTCTCAGGCCACCCTGGGTGACACTCCTCCCAGTTGGATCCAGTCCTCAGGATTTTTCCCTCTGAAAAACACAGTGAACTAGACAGGCTTTTAGGAAACATTACGTCCTCAGGAGAGATACGATATTGCTTATGGTTCAGCGCACACTTCCAGAAAATAAACTGAGATCGCCTAAATGCAGAAAGATCAAAAAAGCCCTTCATTTCTGGAGGTAAATGTCTGTTTTTCAGTTCTACACATACTACCTTACTAAAAGCTGATACCTGATGGATTGCAATTGGGTTTTCACACAACAATAAAATACTACTCCTATCAGAAAGGAAATGTGAAAAAAAATTGTGAACGTAAAAAAGGAACATGTGGAGTTAAACATCAACTTTTCCTCTTAGAAAATCTGCAGAAAAGCCCAGTTAAAGAAGAAGATTGTTTTAGAATAAGTCATCTAATGCTGGCTTACTGTTCTTTTTAAAAAAGGTACACTTTTTGTGAAAAGAATTTTACTTCCCCTGTCATTTTGGGATGGGGGACAAAAACTTGGGAGTATCACTCCCATGTTCTAGTGTAAAAGAAAAAAAAGTTCCTGGTATGAAAAATGTTATAAAGTTAACACTTGGACACAGGAAGGGGAACATCACACACCAGGGCCTGTTGTGGGGTGGGGGGAGGAGGGAGGGATAGCATTCGGAGATATATCTAATGTAAATGACGAGTTAATGGGTGCAGTACACCAACATAGCACATGTATACATATGTAACAAACCTGCACGTTGTGAACATGTACCCTAGAACTTAAAGCATAATTTTTAAAAAAAGAAAAATGTTCTAAAGTTATATATAACAATAGTTTTCTCCCCTAATTAAAATGTTGTATTTTTCTACTTTTCCACATTAACATGAGAATATATAAAAGGCATCCTTGCATAAAACCCTTTGACCAGATTTCACAACTCTAGTCCTATGCTAATAAGAAGTCTTTATTTAGTTTCAGTCTTTCCAAATAAGCCTGTATGCTTCTGACGCAGCAAACACCAGTTTGGTCCTCTCTGTCCTCTGTCCCTTGACCCCCAGGCTCAGTCTATTCACCTAAGGTAAAACTAGACCCTATTTGTACAGAACATATTCGTCTTTGTGCAGGCGCACACAGAACTGGGGGAGCTCTGCTCTGGCCCAGGAAAGAGATAGAGATTGGCTGCCATCCAGTTGAGTTGGCTCAAGAGAAGTTCAGCTTTCTTGTCCTCTCACAGACAGTCCCTTCCGTGCTGACCTTTAACTAATTGGCAGGGCTCTGGAGCCTTGACTCTGCTTCCCCACTGCCCACACTCTTTTCCCCCACATTCTTGATACCTTTTGGAAGGCAGAAAAGCTGGAGAAAGAGGCACTAGGGAGAGAAAAGTGCAAGTCTGAGCCTCTTAGGAGTTCCCCTCCTTCTTGATAAGGGAGTAGGACTGTTAATTTCAAAGGATACCAACACATGGCATGGAAAATTTGCAAACACATGGAGAATTTAGCATGGTCTATGCATCAGGGCGGATAGTTTATAAACCTTGGAAGAATATGCTAGCCTTTCTGCAGATATCCTATAGTCTTTTTGAAAGTCCATATTTAATGGAGCTTTTGCAAATATATTGCCGCTTTTTTATAATGAGCATTATCAGTATTTCCACTGTGTAAGATTAGATTCCAGGCAAAATTATAACGCATACAATGATCAAATAGTTTATAGCTACAGCTATTGTATATAGCTTTAGCTATTACAGCTAATAGCTAAAGCTTTTTAAAATGCAAACTATAATTACTTAATTTTGAAAAAGACCCAACAATTCTATATTAAAAATTCTCTATACCATGGTTAAAACTTTTAAAAAAGTAAATATTACAGAATAAAAATTATAAAATTGTGGAAGTACCTTTACAATTGTAAAAGCAAAGATTTGATTGTATTTTCCTGATTTTTGTTCCCCTTTCATGATGTTAATGATGATGGCTCAGTTACATGCTTGGCATCCTTCCTCCTGCTAATTTTGTACAAACAATCTTCTCCCTCATTTGGGGGCATCTGTAACCCATTCATCTAAACCACTCTATTTACCTTTCAAAGGCTGGCATTCAGCTGTAAGCAGGGAAAAAAAAACCCAACAACTTTCCAGTTTGTTGGCAACTTGTTGAAGGCAATTGACTGCTTTTCAATAGAAAATGTTTCCTTCCCCTATTGTGTCACCTCTACCCCCTAAAACATTTCACAAAGCTCTGGCTGAGCCCTCCCATGATTGCCAGACAATGGCTTCCTTTGGAAGAAAAATAACAGAAGCAGCTGGTGTCATAAACCTGAGGTGTTTTATTAAAGAGTCATTGCCCTCCACCTACAATGTCTGCACAATAAATGGCACCACAGGGCTGGAAGGGACTTCCCAATTCAATCCTACCTATTAAATTTTACAGGGCAGGAACCTGAGTTCCAGAGAAGTAAGGATATATAGTTCCAATTCTAGAGCAAGAGTTCTTCACTTTTTCTGTGCCAGAAACCATCTTTGCAGGTTGGCGAAGCTAATGGATTCCTTCTCAGAATGATTTTTTTCTTTCTTTCTTGAGACGGAGTCTAGCTCTGTCTCCCAGGCTGGAGTGCCGCGGCAAGATCTCGGCTCACTGTAACCTCCGCCTCCCAGGTTCGAGTGATTCTCCTGCTTCAGCCTCCCGAGTAGCTGGGATTATAGGTGCCCGCCACCACACCCAGCTAATTTTCACCCTGTTACCCAGGCTGGTTTTGAACTCCTGAGTTTAGGCAATCCACCCACCTTGGCCTCCCAAAGTGCTGGGATTACAAGCGTGAGCCACTGTGCCCTGCCAGAATAAGGTTTTTAAGAGCATAAAATAAAGTACATGAGGCTGGACCTTTCCTTGCACCAAATTTCAAAAATTAACTCAAAATGGAGCCAGGTGCAGTGGTATGTGCCTGTAGTTCCAGCTACTCTGGAGGCTGAAGGGAGAAGATCCTTTGAGCCCAGGAGTTCAAATCCAGTCTGGACTACATAGCAAGACACAGTTTCTTAAGAAAACAGGAGTAAATCTTAAGACTGTGGATTTGGCAGTGGCTTCTTTTGTCTTTTGAAAGATAGCTTTATTGAAATATAACTCATATAACCATAAAATTCATTCATGTAAAGCATACATGATTCGGTGGTTTTAGTATATTTACAGAATTGTGCAACTATCACCATGATCTAATTTTAAAACTTGATTTGGTTTCTTTTTTTTTTTTAAACAATAAGGAGGATTTATTGGCTTGTGTACAGAGAAAGTCAAATAATATAATAACACCAAGGTCTGCATTTTTCTCTGTCCTTCTGCCATTTTGGCTTTTATAAAAAACAGCTTTATTGAAATTAATTTACATACAGTAAGTCCTCACTTAAAGTCCTTACCAGGTATTTGGAAACTGCAACTTTAAGTGAAACAATGTACATCAGGTCCTTGAATAAGACTGTTTAGTTCAACTTCATTTTATTATAATGATGAGAAAAAAATATTGGTTCTGTTATATGTCCTTTTGCTTAAAGTCATAGTTTCCAAGAACCTACTGACAACATTGAGGACTTATTGTACTATACAGTTCACTCATTTAAAGTGTTCTTATGCCAAAAGTTTTCGGCATATTCACAGAGTTGTACAACCCTCACATAGGCAGTAACTTCTTAAATATGACATCAAAAGCTCAAGCAACAAAAGAAAATATAATAACTTGTACTACCTCAAAATAAAACTTTTTCTTTTTTGAGACACGATCTTGCTCTGTCATCCAAGCTGGAGTGCAGTGGCACAATCACTGCCTCGACCTCCTGGGCTCAAGCGATCCTCCCAACTCAGTCTCCTGAGTAGCTGGGACCACAGGCGCACAACACCAAGCCCGGCTAATTTTCGTATTTTTTGCGGAGACAAGGTTTTGCCATGTTTGCTGCCCAGGCTGGTCACAAACCCCTGAGCTCAAGCAACCCGCCCGCCTTGGCCTCTCAAAGTGCTGGGATTACAGGCGTGAGCTACCGTGCCCGGCCGGTAAATTAATAACTTTTGTGTTGCAAATAATATCATCAGGAAAGTGGAAAGGCAGCCCACAGAATGGAAAAAAAAATTGCAAATCATACATCTGTTAAGGAATTATATCCAGAATATATTAAGAACTCTCACAGTTCAATAATAAAAAGACAACCCAATTAAAGAATGGGCTAAGGTTTTATTTATTAAATAGATATTTCTCTAAAAGGAGATATACAAATGGCCAATAAGCCCATAGAAGATGTTCAACATCATTAATCATTAGGGAAATATAAACCAAAACTACAATGAAATACCACTTTATACTTACTAAGATGGCTACAATAAAAAAGATACGTAATCACAGGGGTTGGAGAGGATATTGAGAAATTGAAACCCTCAAACCACTGCCAGTAGTAACATAAAATGGTGTAATCACTTAGGAAAACAGTCACGCAGTTCTTCAAAAGTTTGAATGTAGAGTTACCATATGACTCAGCAATTCTATTTCTAGGTAATAACCCAAGAGAATTGAAAACATATATCCACCCAAAAACTTGTACATGAATGTTCATAGCAGCATTATTCATAATAGCTAAGAAGGGGAAACAACCTAAACGTGCATCAACATTGATAAACAAAATATGGTAAATCCAAACAATGGAATATTATTTGGCATTAAAAAGAACTGAAGTCCTGAAGTCCAGAAGATGGAGTGGAGTAGAGAGTAACAGCTAATGGGTTTCTTTCTGTGGTGATAAAAAATGCTGTAAACTTAGATTATAGTGAAGATTGCATAATTCTGTGATTAGAGCCAGTGGATTGTATACTTTAAGTGGAGAATTTTATGACTTGTATCTCAATAAAGATGTTTTAAAAAATAAAACACATAAGAATCCAAAGCAAACCAATTCTATTGAAATGCAGTTATCAAAATATTAAAAACAAATTTGGGATATAGTGATACATGTGATTGTTTAATTATTTTATTTTTAAAATTTAATTTAATTTAAGTACCAGGATACACGTGCAGGACGTGCAAGTTTGTTACATAGGTAAATGTGTGCCATGGTGGTTGGCTGCACCTATCAACCCATCACCTAGGTACTAAGCCTTGCTTGCATTAGCTATTTATCCTGATGCTCTCCCTTCCTTTCCCCTCGTACAGGCCCCAGCATGTGTTGTTCCCCTTCCTGTGTCCATGTGTTCTCATTGTTCAGTTCCCACTTAGAAGTGAGAACATGCGGTGTTTGGTTTTCTTTTCCTGTGTTAGTTTGCTGAGGATAATGGCTTCCAGCTCCATCTATGTCCCTGCAAAGGACATGATGTTGTTCCTTTTTTAATTAACACATTAAATTATAAGGTATAGCAGTAGATCTATTAACTACCATAATTTTGAAGTGTAATTAGTATATGTGATGTTTTAGATATCTGCAACAAATGTGAAAGCAATAAAAAAAAGTCTGTGATTTCCACTGGTGAAAGTCATAAGGACTGCTAATACTTTATGATTTCTTGTCTACATTAATAATTGAAGAACCATGTGCCAATCTAAGCCTACACATAGGAAGAGGTGAAAGATAGGGCAGAGATTGGGGGAGATCCTGAAGGAAATGCTAAATTTAAATTAGAGGTCAGTGAAAATAATGTAATTTTACTTTCCTTCCAAGTTCATGCACACCCTGAATTCTGTCTCTAGACTCCTTTGGGGGGGTCCATCAAGCTCAAGTTAAAAACCTTTGTAAAGAGAGTTAGTGAATGAGCTGGTTTAAAATTCAGGCCTCCTGTCTCTAAGTCTCTTGTTACCTAATTCTACCTTTCTCTCTCTCTCTCTCTCTTTTTTTTTTTTTTAGTAAAGGGGATTAGGTGGAAGAGATAGAGTTTTTATTTAAACCGCTAGACTGAGTCAGTTCTAAAAAGAGAGGGGCAAGAGGGTTGCTTATGTAGGAGTTTCCAAAGAAAAGAGGATTTTGATTGTGACCCTCCCCTTTTTTCTCCACCCTGCCCCCCAACAACACCAGCACCCATACAACCATATACAGCAAATGATGTTAGAATGCTTTTCCCTTTCAGCAGAAGACATTACTTTAGAGAAATAATTGTTGTTTAGAGCTCTCATGGAAATGTGGCTTTTTTTCCCCCCAGACAGAGTCTCGCTCTGTTGCCCAGGCTGGAGTACAATGGCACGATCTCGGCTCACTGCAACCTCTGCCTCTCGGGTTCAAGCAATTCTCCTGCCTCAGCCTCCCAAGTAGCTAGGATTACAGGCGTGTGTCACCATGCCCGGCTAATTTTCGTATTTTTAGTAGAGACAGGGTTTCACCATGTTGGCCAGGCTGGTCTCGAACTCCTGACCTCACAATCTGCCCACCTTGACCTCCCAAAGAGCTGGAATTAGAGGTGTCAGCCACCACATCCAGCCCAGGAAATGGGGATTTTAAAGTTTTTTCAGAGGGACTACTTTCTAGAATTTGCTTTTGAATGCCTGGAGAAGCAGAAAAGCTGCCAGCAGAGATTGAGTCAGTTGGATATAGAGTGGGAGTAACCTAGCTCAAACCACTCATTTTGGATTTTGCAAAAATTTAGTCACTCTTCAATTTAGAGGGGTGCTTACCAGAACATGCCTTATGATAAAGCTTTAAATAGACAGGTGCTAATATACACATGGTGACTAAGAGATGGAATGAAGGAAAACAGTGGCTCAAGTTGTTAGTTTCCATCATAATGAAATGACAACAAATATCAGATGATTACAATATGCATACACAAATACAGTAAAATAATATTTAAAAATAAGAATGGAATGTGTGGATGTGTGGCAGAAATCTGCCATTAATTTGAAAACTGGGGCAAGGAGATTTCTGGGTCCTCCTCTGAACTTTGCCTTCTTTCCAAATCACCTCTATCATGTAATATGGTGCAGCTTGTTAGAGTAGTAGGGCCTGGGCACTGGTTTAGAATTGGTCATCACTTCAGTACTGGAAATTAGAAGGTTAGAGAAATCTTTTTAAATGACTGTATTTTGTGAATTTAAAAATTCAGGGAATTTTGTATTTCTTTTCGTCATTAACAATTTTCTGGGCAGTATACTTTGCATGCCAAAACATTAGAGTCAAAAGGACAAAATATTTAAAGTTGACTCTCTCTGGAAAATCCAGGTTAAATGGTCATTATAGTTATAGATTTCAGGGAAAGTATCACAGATGAAGGGAACTGGGAGTGCAGTAAAAAATGGATAGGAACTGGGGAGGGTCCAGAGCAAAATCATCATTCAGGATTCCAAGCCAAAGCAAGGTCATGGGGTCAAGGTCCAGAGATTTGGACACACACTCTGAACAGGGATCATCAGTCAGAAACCAATAGACAAGAGACAACCAGAGGAGCTCAGAGGCTCTGTGGGGGACCAGGATAGGTAGCCAAACATCCAGGGCCATACTCCTTAACTGGAGCTCTCCAGGGATCGATGGAGGGAGGCAAAACAGGCAAGAGAGCAGACACGATGCTTGCTTAAAAACAGCTCCTGCCTCAGGTCTAAAGATTTACTGTGATTCTGATTGGAACAGAACTTAATCCCTACTTGGCTAACTTGAACCTGCAAATGGGAGGAGGAGGGAGATGGAGCAGAGGTCCCAGAGTAGAGGAGGAGATGGAGATGAGCATCAGCTGCTTCTGGTGGGCAAGATCCTGAGAGATCACTATATACAACACACACACACACACACACACCACACAGAGTTGTATATACAGATAATAATAATGATAGCAAAAATAATAGCTGATGTTTATATAGCTCTTATGTGTTACTGTTGTTAGCACTTTATAGATATTAATTTAATATTTATAACATACCTACTAAGTGCTACTTTTTTTCTATTTATTTATTTTTTAACTGGGACAGGACTATTGCAGTAAGTGGTACTATTATTATGTTCTATTATTATGTACTATTATTATGTTCACAAAAATGTTAAGTGATTTGCCCAAGCTCATATGACTGGTAGGTGGTAGAGGTGGATTTCAAGGTAGACACTGGCTTCAGTCTCTGTCACTACTTCAGACTTCTTGGTATATGTATGTGGTGTATACACACCTGTACACACAGGTGTGTGTGTGTGTGCATGTATACACATACTTTTACATACATATGTATGTATATATACACATGTATAGATACAGTAGTGTCTATATGTATAGATACTGGTGTACAAGTATCAAGTGTGCATATCTCTTCCCAACTCCATATTCAGGGACATCATATTGGCAGCTTGAAACTGGCCATAGTGGAAATATTTACAGTATGGAAATGAGCAAAGGCAATAGATCAGGATTTAATTTTTTTAAGAGTTGATTTATCAGCACCCCACTGGATATACATATCACACAGACACATACATCATGTGGATAGACATATGTAACATAGGTAACCAAGAACATAAATAAATTAATTCGCATCTTAAGCCACAAATTAAAAATATATTGTCTTTTCTTGACTGTGTAATAAATATTTTATTTTGACCTACTTTCCCTCACACCCAGTCTATACTGATTAAAAGATCCAATAAAGAGATTTCCTTATAAGATACTTGTTATAAATGTTAAACTAAATTTCAGTATAGAAAATAATGCCTTGCTACTGCTCTGTAGACAACACCTTATGACAGGTCTCTATCAGTCTGAAATCTGCTATGTTGTTTTATGAAAAATACTGATTTTTTTAAAAAGCCCTGATGGTTGCTATTACTGTTTTTTTTTTCTTTTCAGGTAGACTCATGATAGAGTCAGTAGTGAAAAAGATACATTACAATATCTATTTATGGTTTTTGATGAAATGTGCTTATAGGTTGCTGTTAATTTTAAATAAAACTTATTGCCTGGGACCTGCATGACTTTTTTGTTTAACTTAATAAAATCTTCTGGATATGGATTAACCTCCTTTGCTCAATATTTGTTATTGTTTCATCTGCAGTGAAATGGGAACTGTACACATTTTGTAAGTAGGTTGAAAGGCTTCTAAATCTCACTCTACTCTCTTGGAGTGAGCCCCATTATATGCAATCTGATTTTGTGATTTCCTGAAATGGAAATCAAACCTAAAGAGACATTCTTGGCCGGGCGTGGTGGCTCATGCCTGTAATCCCAGCACTTTGGGAGGCCAAGGCAGGAGGATCACAAGGTCAGGAGATCGAGACCATCCTGGCTAACACGTTGAAACCCTGTCTCTACTAAAAATACAAAAAATTAGCCGGGCATGGTGGCGGGCCCCTGTAGTCCCAGCTACTTAGGAGGCTGAGGCAGGAGAATGGTGCGAACCTGGGAGGCAGAGTTTGCAGTGAGCCGAGATCGTGCCACTGCACTCCAGCCTGAGTGACAGAGTGAGACTCCATCTCAAAAAAAAAAAAAAAAAAGAGACATTCTTGTCACCTCATACAACGTGGCAATAGTAGGCAGCTCTCCCTGTGCCTACTGGATTCTCTTGGTCAAATGAGTGTCACACAGTGTGCTCAAGGCCAGCACTCTGTCTGGGGCCATGAGAATGTGAACAGATTTTGCCCTGCTGCTCCAATGGCAAGAGGATGGGGTCAGTAGGTAATATGTTGGATGGGATCTTTGTTATCTCAGCAAAACGAAAGATGTTAACTCTTCTCAGCCTCATCTTCTCCTAATGTCTGGTATTCTGTATTTAACAAAACATATCATGGGTAAAACAATCATCTGAACAAATTCTGGGCACAGTCATTATTTGTAATCATGCTGAGATGCAATGGAGACCATATGACTGCCCTCTGGGGTTATGACTGCATCTCTTCATCTCAAAGGACAGAGCTGAACACAACTAGCTTATTATTATTATTTCAAGTTTACGTGAAAAAGCGTCCTTGTGCATGAGTTAGAGGCAAGCAAAGCTCAAAGTAAATATATTCATGTATTTCATAAACATTAATACGTTTCAAAAATACTGAAGGAAATCAAATCAAAATAAAACACAGCTTGATAGAAATATTATGCTAAGTTTTATCCCCAACCCAGTTGAAGTGATCTTTAAAAAACTTCAGTTTATCATATACTGCCTTTGGAATCCTAAAATTGTAGTGGAATTACTTCAGAAGCCCTAACATGTTACAGCAAATCTATTTATCTTGATAGATAAAGTTATTACAAAATCACTCATAAAGCCAGTTGCCTGGTATTTTTTCTTGGCTTTACTGGACATAATCAATTGACAAAGTTTGGGAAGACCTTATTAGTAATGATGGGTACCGTGAAGGTGTCATTTTAAGAAAACTAGAGAAGAAAAAAAACATTGAAAAGAGAGGTAAGGCAAGCAAAAGGATTCTAGAGAATACCAGATAACTAATTAGAGTTTGAGGGTGGGGGATCAGTTGGAGTGTTATTTTTGCTGACGTGAGTGATGAAACTTCTTAATTTTTTTACGGGAAAATAACCTTATAATTTATTATTATTAATTATATTTTCTTATTCTCCTGTAAGGAAGAAAATAGGATAATTCTTCATGTGTGTATATATACACATATATATGTGAGGAATTACCATCAAGATTGCATTTAAGCCTTTTGCAAATTTGGAGTATCATACTTTCATTAGAACGTCCATTATTTCTATGCAAAGAGTGGGGAAATGTCATGGACTTGCTTGACCTAACTAGGTTATTGATATATCTAAAGTTTAGGTATCTAAATATAGCACACAGCACAGTGCATGAACTCAACACTTAAAAATCTGACTTCAGTGACATTACTGTTGTGTCATTTGCATCTAGCAGATTTCACTATTATCATACATGCCGCAATTAACTAGTCTTCAAATACTATAATGATGTAATTTTTGATGTATAATTATTTTTAAGTTTCTTAAGACAGTTTCTTTGCTTGGATGCTTCTGGTGTTTTGAATCCTAGATTGAAGATCTAATATAATTTGTTTTATATATGCCATTATCAGGATGTGATGGGTACAGGAAGGCTAACCCAAAAGCAAAGAAATTATATGGCTTTCAGAGTTCAAATTTAGAGTCCCTACGTAATTTACTGGAACAGATCTATGCAAAATCATCCTGAAGAGACATGGATATTTGGTCAGCAGAATTGGCCTGTTATTTGATGGAAGGGGTGGTGAGCTGTTGAGGCATAGAAAAAAGACGGCCTCCAGGACAAATGTTGACAGTGTTCATCCAAGTGCTGTCAGGGGGAAGAGAGTCCCAGCCAGCCAAATGCCTCTGACGATTGCAGCTCCACAGACAAGGACATTTTCAAAGTAAACATGGATTTGGGAGATCATAGCCAATGAACTTCCAGTGTTCCCAGCTCCCCTACCATGATGTGAATGTCCCTATTGTGGGATTAATACATCAGACTCTGATAACCTGATCCCTTTAAATGTTGAACTATTCTAAAGCCTCTGGCTCTGCTTCATGTTCACCAAGCAACAGTCTAAGGAGGATCATGAAAGTCTACTTTAAAGAGGGGACAGTGGGCTAGCCATATGGATGTAACCCATTGCTGTGACATTTATTGCAAATTAATAAAGTGGCTTTTGTAGTTTGGTAGGGTAATTTGTTAAAATATTAATTTTATTTTATCCTCTCTATATTTTCCTCTTCTCTGCATTTCACAAGGTAGTGAGGCTTTATAATTTCTTATAATAAGAATGTTGGCAGGACAAAAATTAGAAGCAGCTTCAAGTTAGTGGTTTTCCTCAGCTCTGGAAAAGCTAAGCTGATTGACTAGATGTTGCTGGATTTCTTGGAGGGTTGAGACAGAAATGATCTTAGAGAGGAAAGAGGCTTCTCTAGGAGTTTCCCTGAGGCTGGAGAGGGTGAGATGTCAGAGCACAGAAAGATAGCAAGACCTCAGAGAGCAATTGGAGTGCCCATGGAGGCTGGATCCTCAGCACGAAAAGTTCCCGAGTCCGAAGCATCACAAAAGCCACAGTCTCTACTCCTGAGAGTGCCCTTCAGACTACAACAGTGGGTGTCTGGACAGTAACCAGACCAACAGTGCCTTGGCAAGGAATTACTTAGGCTGAATTTCTCTCCAGCTCATATGATGGGGATGTGGAGTTCAAAATAAGTTGATTTAAAGAAGAGAGAGAAACTTGTTTTTTTCTTGCACATCTGAAATTGCGGCTGAGATTGTCACACATAGTACATCAGTCCTGTGAGCTCAGTTAATATGAATTCATGCTAGGAAATCAAAATTTTGAACCTGAAAAGATAAGGGCAAGACAATTACTCTATGGTAATAAGTGCTATTCTTTAACAACTCTTGAAAATATGCTACTTGCCTTCTTGAAGCAGTGAGCATCTGCATTAGAGTCCCCCTGGGCCCCTTTGCCTTCACCAAGTTTTGCAAGAGCAAAACTTGATGAATTTCTATAATTTCTACCAACATCCCAAATGTTTAATTCTAATTTTATACAATACACAGTTTGTTAAATAAAGGTAAACTTTAATCCCTAATTAATGAAGTTTTATTATAGAGCTTATATAACTTTTTTTTTTTTTTTTTTTTTGAGACAGGGTCTGGCTTTATCACCCAGGCTGGAGTGTAGTAGTGCTATTATCATAGCTCACTGCAGCCACAATTTCCTGGGCTCGAGCAATCCCTACACCTCAGCCTCCCTATTAGCTGGGACTAAGGCATGCATCACGACACCCAGCTAACTTTTTACTTTTTGTAGAGATGAGTTCTTCCAATGTTGCCCAGGCTGATCTCGAATTCCTGGGCTCAAGCGATCTTCCTGCCTTGGCTTCCCAAAGTGCTGGGATTACAGGTGTGAGCCATTACACCCAGCCTATAACATTTTTTATAAGATACATTTTTTTGGAAACTTTTTATTTTAAAATTATTATAGATTCATAGGAAATTCATAGTACAGGGACGTTCTGTGTACCCTTTATCCTGTTTCCCCCAATGGTAACATCTTACATAACTATAGTACAATATTAAATTCAGGAAATTTATATTGGTACAATCCATTGAATTTATTCAAATTTCACCAGTTTTTACCTATACTCGTGTGTGTGTGTAGTTCTATGCAATTTCATCACATGTAGTAAATTGATGTAACAACAGTAAAAGTCAAGATACAGAACTGTTTTATTACTACAAATATCCCAAATGCTACCTCTCTATGGTCACACCTGTACTGCCCCCAACCCATCCCTAGTGCCACTAATCTGTTCTTCATCTCTGTAATTTTATCATTTTAGGAATGTTAGATAAATGAAATCATACAATATCCAACCTTTGAGATTGGCTTTTTTTTTTCACTCAGCATAATTTTCTTGAGACTCATACAAATTGTTGCATGTACTAATAGATTGTTTCTTTTTATTACTGAGTAGTATTCCATGATATAGATGCACCACAGTTTGTTTAGCCATTCACCCATTGAAGGACATTTGGGTTGTTTCCAATTTAGGCTACTACAAATAAACTTACAATGGGTATTCTTGTATAGGTTTTTGTGTGAACATAAATTTTCATTACTCTGGGTAAATGCCTAGGAATGTGATTGCTAGATCATGTGGTAAGTATAAGTTTAGATTTTTAAGAAATTGCCAAACTATTTTGCAGAGTGGCTATACCATTTTACACTACCACCAGCGATATATGAGAGAGTCAGTTTTCTCCACAGGCATTTAGTATTGTCATTATTTTAGCCATCCTAATAGGTATATAATGATATCTCATCATGGTTTTAATTTGCATCTTCCTAATGGCTAATGACATTGAACATATTTTATTTGCTTATTTGCCATTTGTATATCCTCTTTGCAGAAATATATTTTCATGTCTTTTACCTATTTTCTAATTAGATTGTTTCCTTGATGTTGATTTTTGAGTGTTCTTTATGGTCCTTTGTCAGATGTTTGGTTTACTATATTTTCTGCAGTGGTTTTTGGTTTGCAGACACCTTCTTTCAGCCTGTGTCTGTCTTCATTCTCTTAATGTGATATTTTACAGAGCAAAAGTTTTAAGTTTGATGAAGTCTAATTTATCAATTTTTCTCTTAAGGATCATTTCTGGGTATCATGTTGAGGAACTCTTCACATTGCCCTAAGTCCTGAAGGTTTTCTCCTTTGTTTTTGTGAAAACATTTTATAGTGTGACATTTTACTTTTAAATCTGTTATCCATTTTGAGTTAGTTTTTCTATAGGGTGTGAAGTTTAGGTTGAAGTTCATTATTTTGCCTATTGACATCCAGTTGCTCTAGCACTATTTATTGGAAGACTATCTTTTCTCCATTGAATTTTTTTTTGCAACATTGTTGAAAATCGGTTGGCTATACTTGTGTGATATATTTCTCTATTATATTTCACTGATCTATGTGTCTATCTCTCCATCAATATCACACTGTTTTCTTTACAGTAGCCTTAACATGTAAGATTCACTTTTTTTAAAAGTGGATTTTTTAAACGGATTTTTTTAGTGCTTATATATGCCAGGCATTGTTCTAAGTACTTCACATGCATAACTCACAAAATTCTATGAGATGGTATTATTAGACCAGTTTTATCGATGAGAAGACTGAGTACAAAGTAGTTAAGTAACTTGTTTGACAGATAGATTTGGAACCCAGGCCAACACTCTTACTACTATGCTTTATTGCCTCTCTAAACAGATTTTTATTTCTTCATAGAGTTGCTTTTACTGAGCACTGCATTGGCATTTTGCCATTCACCTATGTTGAGAGACATGACAAGAAACAGCTCTATGAAACTTATTGTTGCATTTACTGTTGGCAAGTTAAGGAGGATGTGGTTCACTACGTCACATGTGTCCTCTTTAGGAGAACAGATGGGAGAACTGTCTCTCAGATCGCAGTACCAGGAATAGCTATATTTCTCCTGAGTAAGTGGTTTGTTTTTATCTCTTGGACATTGTGAAACCATGTAAACAATTACATTTCCCACTTTATGCTTGCTGCTAAAAAGCTCAGAACCAAATTTTCAGCCTATCTTTAGCAATGATGTGTACTGGATGATGTGCATTACTTCTGACTTCATCTTATTTTTTTCTACCCTAATTTTCCCTTCTCTCTTATTTCCTCTTTAAAATTTTTTTTGCTTTAGTCTTTTAAAAAATAGAAACATACAAGAATTCTTCAGGCATCATATCTAGAGGAATAAAAATAAAAGAAAAAATATATAAGCACATAGCATAAAAAGTCAAATCCAAGGCTTTTAACAACAAAAAGAAACAGTATTTTGCTCACTCTTCCCCACCTCTGTGTTTTGCTCCACACAGCTAACTGTAGTCACATCTTTAGCCATTTCTTCTGGTGCTTGTACTTTTTCTCTCTTGACTTTTCAGTTTTAGATATCATCTCTTGATTTCCTACTATGGTGGTTAGGATCTAGTTTTCTTCTACCACCCTCTCCAACATAAACCCTTCACCTATCCCCATCCTCCCATTACATCACAATTTCAGTGTTTAAATTATTAGGCCTAAGAAAATATTGTTCACAGATGAACTGCTTGATGTTCACTTCATATCTGATACAATCATTTTGTTTTCCCTTTAGTTAATAATTGTCTTTTTAAAACATCAATGTTCATGAATTAATCACTAATTTCTCCCTAGCCCTCTAACAGAATTATAAATCTCTCCTTCTATCAGTTTTGTTTTCTCACTGACTTCTCTTCTGGATGTCACCCTGGGGACCTTCCTTGTCCGGCTCTGGTCTGGGTTGTTGCTGTCCAGGGCAGCTCTCCAGCTGTTTGAGATGCCCCCTTTTCATCATTTTGGGAATTCCTCCACATCCCCCTTTTGTTGGATCTCCTGTTTCCTTAGATCTCCTATATTCCTTTTGGTTTACTCACTGGGTTTGGTGGAGCTTATCCTGCAATAGCTTCCTGAGAAAAAGTTTATGGAATGTGTATTTCTTTGAGACCTAGCATGACTGAAAATGTTTTAAATTTAGCATTGCACTTGAGTGAAAGTCTGAGTATAGACTTCTAGGTTGGAAAAATTTTCTCTCAGAATTCTAAAGGCATTACTTCTTTGTCTTCTAACTTTCCATGTTGCTGTTGATATGTTTTACATTAATAATATTTCCTACGGGACATGAAAGGGTTTTTTCCCCTCCTCTCTGGAAAGTTTTGGAATCTTCTTTTTTTAATGTTTCATGATGATACACCTTAGAATAGTGTCCTTTTTCATTCTGTATGAGGAATGAACGTCAACACAATAGGCCTTTTAAATCTGAAAACACATTTCCTTCAGCTTTGAGAAACTACCATGTGTATTCTTTTTTAAAAGGCCATATCAGCTTCAGGCATCTTATTTTAGTAATTCCCTCCCCTCCACTTTCTCTGCTTACTCTTGAGAAAAAATTTTTTTGACATTTTACTTTTAAATCTGTTATCCATTTTGAGTTAGTTTTTCTATAGGGTGTGAAGTTTAGGTTGAAGTTCATTATTTTGCCTATAGACATCCAGTTGCTCTAGCACTATTTGTTGGAAGACTATCTTTTCTCCATAGAATGTTTTTGACATTTTACTTTTAAATCTATAGAACTGGGGGACTTGCTCTGTTGCCCAGGCTAGGGTACAGTGGAGCAATCATGGCTCACTGTCGCCTCCAACTCCTGGGCTCAAGCAATCCTTCCACATCAGCCTTCCAAGCAGTGGGAACTACAGGTGCATACCCAGCTACTTTTTTTATTTCTATTTTTTGTAGAGATGGGGGTATCACTGTGTTGCCCAGACCAG
Source organism: Homo sapiens (assembly GCF_000001405.40). Lineage (NCBI taxonomy): Eukaryota > Metazoa > Chordata > Mammalia > Primates > Hominidae > Homo > Homo sapiens. The sequence continues at coordinate 14,557,051 of NC_000011.10, forward strand.
TCTCAAACTCCTGGCCTCAAGTGATCCTCTTGCCTTGGCCTCCCAAAGTTCTGGGAATCCAGGCATAAGCGACTGCACCCTGCTCATTCTTTCTAGAACTCCTGATTCAGTTGTTGGATCACCTGAACTGACTTTCTAGGTTTCTTATCTTTCCTTTTTCTTCTGGGAGATTTTTTTAACTTTATCTTTTAATTTTTCTTTTTTTTGAGACGGAGTCTCACTCTGTCACCAGGCTGGAGTGCAGTAGTGTGATCTCGGCTCACTGCAACCTCCGCCTCCCAGGTTCAAGTGATTCTCCTGCCTTAGCCTCCAGAGTAGCTGGGACTACAGGTGCACAAGCGCACCACCACACCCAGCTAATTTTTGTATTTTTAGTAGAAACGGGGTTTCACCATGTTGGCCAGGATGGTCTCGATCTCTTGACTTCGTGATCCGCCCACCTCGGCCCCCCAAAGTGCTGGGATTACAGGCGTGAGCCAACGTGCCTGGCCATCTTTTAATTTTTCTACTCAATTTTAAAATTTCTGCTATCACATTTTTATTTCTAAAAGCTATTTCTAGTTCTCTGTTTTCCCCTCACTCCTAGAGGGGTGAGGGAATTCATCATTCAGTCTGTAGACTTCCATTTAAATCCCTTGTTTTCAGTTGTGTCTAGCATATACTGCCCAGAGCGTTTGACCCAGCCTTTCATGAGAATAAACCTTCAGGCTTTTTCCTGGGTAACAGAAGAGCAGTCATTTGACAATAGTATGTTGGGAAGAAGATCTGGGGATCTAAACGGTCATTATAAAGCTTTCAAATAATCTTTTCTTTCTACCTACACCCCACAATTCCATCTTCAGAGACATCTGGTGCCTCCAATTGCAGAATTGTCCAGGGTTCCATGGTGCTATTTATCGTCCTTCTTTCAGCTTTCTCTGATTTGTCCCAGTATGAGTGAATCTGAATCCTGATTCAGGAGCAAAACAAAAGTTTGAAGTCAAAGCCAGAGAAATGGTGCCGATAGTCAAATACAAACGATGAGCAAAAACAAGAAAGTTTCTGCAAGTGGAAGGATAATCATATTAAAAGTCACAATCTACCTTGGCATGGTGGCTCACGGCTGTAATCCCAGCACTCAGGGAGGCCACGGTGGGGGGACTGCTTAAGGACAGGAGCTCGAGACTGGCCTGAGCAAGGTAGTGAGAGCCCATCTGCACAAAAAAAAAAAAAAAAAAAAAATACTGTGCATGGTGGCACACATCTGTAGTCCCAGCTGCTAGAAAGGCTGAGACAGGATCACTTGAGCCTAGGAGATCAAGGCTGCAGTGAGCTATGATTGTGCCACTGCAATCCAGTCTGGGCAACAGAGTAAGCTCCTGTCTCTAAAAAAATTAAAAAACAATAATAAATAAAAGTCACAATCTTTGTCTACCTTCTCTCTACATTTCCCTGTTTGAAAAGACTCTGCTTTGAGATAATGTGCTAAAGAGGAGCTGTAGTTCCCTCTACTGACCCAAGCTATTCCCTGAGGGAGAAGCAAGGCTATAAATGGGAGAACGAATTGCAAGATCAGAAACCTGGAGGTTGGGGAAAAGTTGAGATGTGTGTCCAGGCTTTAGGACTAAGGTCAACAACAATGTGAGGACAGAGAAGATCCAATTTTATGTGGTTTTTGATTTAGAAGTGCACAGGAGGGCCTGGTGTCTTAAAGGAGCCACTGGGAGGGGGCTAGGTTGTGGTTTCCATCCTCCCTGTCCAGTTGGTCTTTGAAGACTGGCTGGTTGATAGAAATCTACTGGTTAGGAACATTCCACATTACTACACGAAATATAGTGGGCCTTTACAAAACTTGGAGGCGTTCCTACACAAAGAGAATGCTGTTAATAAACTCTCCATCCAAGGGCATGAGCTCTGGGTTGTTGGTCAAGTGGGATGTGCTGCAAGACTCAGCCAGACCACCAATTTGCTGCCAACCTTGGCCCCTGGGGAAGTTTTGAGAGGGAATAGTTGTGTCCTTAATATCACATTTAATAACCTTAAATAAGCATAGGTATAGCCTACCTTTACTTAAGAGATGACTCAGAGTTAGTGAGCAAGAAATTTGCTGAAGGAAGGAGAGAAGGAAACAAAAAAGAAAGGAAGCAAAGAACTTACTTTCCATTTACAGCTTTATAATTCAGAAATTGGAAGGTGTAAATCACGAATACAAGGATTTGCTGTGAAAAGGTGTTGAAATCCCAATGGGAAGCAGAAGTTGAAGATGTAGTGGGTTAAGGAAGGAACTTTCTAATCATGAGAGAAAAGGGCAAAGGAAAGAAATAGAGAAACAAGATGGTGACTGCTAGCCAGAGGAATTTTAGTTCCCTTCCTCCTGGCAACACTGGAGAGATTCCCACAACCCTCAGCATCCGGAACTTAGTTCACAATGGGTGCGGGCAGATAAGTGACAGCTAGTGGGACTAGTGGCTTTCTGGAAGGATGGGATGGAAAAGCTCAGGACTTAACACAACCAGAGAGCAGAAGGGGATAGAAAATGACCACTAGACGGAAGCAGAACTGAAAGGCTGGCTGCTTTTGGTATTTAGCACATGCAAGGAGGGCTGGGTTGCAAGGAAACAAGGTGTCCATGCTGCTGGTGAGGTAAATGAACTTTACAGACAAAGATGACCCAGGGATTCTTAATATCTTTATACAGTCAAATGCTTAGAGCTTTAAGTGTTAGTGTCTTCTGTTAAAATATAAACACAAAAAATGAATATAACTGTTGTATCCTGAGTTCCCTAGAAATAGACTCTGAGATGGATATTTGCAGGCAGGGAGTTTATTGGAGAGTGCCTAGGGATTCAATATCAGGGAAAGAGTGAAGGAAGTAGGATTGGCTAGAAGAAGTTAAACTGCAGTAGGGTCACAACAAAGGTCTCTTGGCCAATCCTACAGGGAGCTCTGGAGTTGTCCTGCTTTGAAGCAAAGAAGGCTGGGCCTTAATACCTGGGCATGGACTAGTTATTAGATATGGGCTACCTATGAACTTGGGCAAGGTGACTCTCTTTAGCTGAAAACAATTATCAGGAGATAAATTATATGAGAGCTATCAGTGGCCAATATTCCTAGTAGTTGTGGGAATGACTGCCTTAATCCAACCAGGGGATCTGAGTGGCAAACCACAGCATTCATTACAGCCAATGCTTTGTGTTGGATCTACTAATTTTGCACAAGTTCCAGGAACAGTTCCTCCAGTATCCTGGTTAGACTCTTTTTTCTGGGTAAACTTACAAGCAGAAAGTTAGTGGGGTAAACTAGAACCTTGTTACTGACCTCTGGTCTGAAAGTTGCCACTGATACTCATTGTGTTCCTGTTCTACAACCCATTTTAGCTTCACTCACCCTCAGCTCTGCCATCCAGGTGGTTTACCTGGTGGGTTTCTGGTTACTATGTCCTTCTTGGGCCATGGCTGCTGCTCCTGCCTCCATTTACCATCAAAATTGGGCAAAGTGATACCAAGAGATGTACCAGTCAATCACCAGGACCTCCAAACCCACAAATCCCAGGGTTGCAGGGATAAGAAGCACAAATAACACAAGTGGATCACTGTGAGCGATGGTAAGCAGGGCCCAGGGCCACTCCTACTTCTTACTTTTGGTTCCCAGACTTATGTGTTGTACCTATTGAGAACACATGCCCATATAATGATGGTAGATTTAGAGTGTATGCTGCATCCTGGAAGATATCACTCTATCTTTGCAGGGTATCACCTATAAAGTAGCACCTCAGTTGCACCTGCAGAAGGCGATTTCATTACTCTGTCAAGCTGACAGCTTCTGTACACAGAAGCTGTATGGTATGAAACAGGAACAGTGGAATAATTTTGGTTTTAAAATATAGGCATATAATCATAGGTACATACATACGATATGCAAGCATAAAATATATGAAAGGAAAATTTTAACAGCAGTTAACCTTGGATGATTGGATTACAGATGAACATAATATTTTTCTTTTCATGTATATGAATATTTTAATATGTATCACAATGAACACATATCACTTCGTTGCTTAGAAAAGGAGAAACTAAATAAAATGAACATAAAAATATTAACTGCTAAATAAATCACAATTATTTAGAAAATAAAAAGAAGAGGAAGGTTGGGAATATGTCACATTATGGGAAAACTCAGATAGATTGCATTTGCTCTCTTTATGTGGCATTTTCCTTCACCATGCTGACTCAAAACAGCTCCTTCAATATCCGTTGAACTGAGCTTTGATCATTGCTGCTTTATAACATTACCTGAGACTGTCCAGTCCACTATCTATACATCTCCACATAGTTGCCTGCTAATGTGCCTGAAATGCCTAACTCTCCTATCCCAGTCTGTATTGGTCCTGTTCCTGGAATCTATTTCCTGTAACTACAACTGCATCTGCCTTTGGCTTTTGCAGTCAGCTGGTTACCACAGTGACTAGTGTCACTGATTTCTTTCTGGATTTCTGGTAACAGATTTTCTCCTTTGTGTGTTTGTATAATTCTTCTCAAATCTCTTTGTAGTCCTTCCTCAATTGTCAACCCTCCTCACTCTCATGTTACCTACCCACCCATTCCCAACTCCACCTGGACTGTCCTAGTCTCAGCTGCATCAGAAAGTGTGGGATGATAGACTATCTGCTCAATGTAGCCATGCCCTGCGCTGTTTTTGGGGGCACAGAGGTGGATACCTGCACAAAAGGACAACAGCTTATGATTTGTGCACTCTAGTCCTAAACTAAACTAAACTAAATTAAACTAAACTAAACTAAACTAAACTAAACTAAACTAAACTAAACTAAACTAAACTATAAACTAAACGAAATAAAGGGCAGTGTTGAAGCTAACAATGTATCAATCAGGGTCTAATCAGGAAATTAGAAATCACTCTAGATACCTTAAACAGAAGGGATTTAATTCATGGAATTTCTTACACAGGTGTTGGAAAGCTGGAAAAGCAAAAAGAGGAAGCTAGGAAAACCAAAGATTCATATTTCAGGAAGCCGCTTCTACCTTTAAGACTGGGAGAACAAAAGTGAGCCAATGCTATGAACATCCTCCAGAGCTACCACTGCTTCAGGGCCTGAGACTGTGGGAGGTGGGATGAGGTGTCCCCCAGCTAGTGCTTAGATCTCAGGGAGCAGGACCATGAAGAATTCTTGAGATATGAAGAGAGTTGCCATGGTTCATAGTTTCAGAGCAGTGAGGTCCAGCTGTTCTCTGTTACTGTCATTAGATGAATTGAGAAAGCTTGTTATAGCTTTTTTTCCCCCTTGTACATGAGCTACTTTGAAGGAGGTCTCTGTGTCTTGCAAACCAAAAAACCTTTCCAAGGCACCCAATGGTGCCTCAATGGTCTTTAGCCCAGACCTCAATGGTCTTTAGCCCAGACATCTTTCCTAACATTTTCCTTTACCATACTGGCTCAGAACAGCTCCTTCAATTTCAATGGAACTGCCAAAGAGTTTTGATTATTGCTGCTTTATAACAGTACAATATTTTTAAATCCATGAAAGAGTTCTACAACATTATCTTTTTTCCTTCGTGAATAAATATGCTTCTATTCATGAGCATTTTTTTTTTTTTTGAGACAGGGTCTCACTCTGCCACCCAGGCTGGAGTGCAGGGGCATGATCAGGGCTCACTGAAGCCTCTGCCTCCTGGGCTCAAGCGATCCTCCCATCCCAGCCTCCCGAGTAGCCCGGCTAATTTTTGTAGTTTTAGAGACTGGTCTCAAACTCCTGGACTCAAGTATCTGCCCACATACTGGCCTCCCAAAGTGCTGGGATTACAGGTGTGAGCCACCGGGCCTGGCTGTATTCATGAGCATTTTACAATTATTATGTCAAGTTCTGGTTTATAAAACTCTTAATGCCCCATTAATTATCATTGCATTAAATCTATGAATTAATATGGAAAGTGTTATTATGTCATTTATGTAATCTTTCCAGTTACAAGCAAAGATGGCTATGCATCCAGTCTGATTACCTTTATTGTGTCATTATGGTTTTAGAGTTTTCTTTTTAGTTCTTGTTAGGTTGACATTAAAGTATTTAATGGGGATTTAGAATTTCATTTGGAGATGGGATTGCTTTTTACGCTTTTATTCCTGGCTATTGATTGTAACAACTATTTTACAATCTGTTTGTTTCCTGCTGACCACTTGAGGAAATGAGAAATTGTCCAGTATGAGAAGAGGTGCTTAGCAGAAATGGATTTGAGATGCCTGTTTACTTTCACGTGTTTGTGTCTCTTGTGGACAGTGTTTGAGTAGTGACTGTCCCTTGTGAGCCATGCAGGCAGTGTACCTTTACCATTTTCCTCTACGAATAAGCAGAGTTAATTGACCTGTGCTGGGATCAAACCCATATCCTTAAACCCCCTAATGGCACAGGCAGTGCAGACCTTTGCTTTCAACAGCTCTCATTTCAAATAATTAGAGCTGCCTGGGCTGCTTTGGGAGCTATTGGTTTCTATGGTATTAAAGACTGAAGTGACTAATTATTTGAGGATTCATTGCAGGTTTTCAAGCAATGGATTAAGGGTTGGTCTAAATAACATCTTTAAAATATCATGTTTCTTTAAAATTATGTCAGTAATATGTGTTTACTGTAGAAAATAAGAAAATGCAGATAAGCTAAAAAAAAATGCCCATAATTCTACCATTTAGAGATAATCACTGTTAGGAAGACTTTGTTGTCTTTTCCTCTCCTAAATGGTTCCCTATTTCTGATGCAAATAATTATACAAATAAATATGCATACTTAATATATTTCCTAGTTTCTAAGTTGTACTTTCTCATTTTTCACATTTTTGAAATTTAGGTGCAATTTTATAATCAATGATTAAATTTAATAAAGTGTTTCTCTTCTCCCATGAAACAACCATAATTAAATAAAGTCTGTTGGGAGAAAGATTTTTAATTAAACTTTTAATTTTTAGATAATTTTAAATTTATACATAGTTGTAAGAAGTAATACAAAAAGATACCTTATATCCTTTACCCAATTACCCCTAATGGTAAACATCTTACAAACTTATAATACAGAACCACAACCAGCATACTGATATTGATACAGAACATTTCTAACATCATAGGATATCCCATGCTGCCCTTTTATAATCATACCCACCATCCTCCTACCCCCCCACCCCACCTACTCTGTTACCCTGGTAGCCACATATGTTCTTTGTTTCTATAATTTTGTCATCTGAAGAACGTTTCAAAAATGGAATCACACAATGTGTAAATTTTTGGCCTTTTTTTTCATTCAGCATAATTCTCTGGCGATTCATCCAGGTTTTGCATGCATTGATAATGTGTTCTTTTTTATTGTTGAGTAATATTCCACAATATAGATGTACTCAATTTTTAAACTATTCACTCATTGAAGTATATCTGGATTGCTTCCAGTTTTTGGTATTACAAATAAAGCTGCTATAAATATTCATGTACAGATTTTTGTGTGAATGTAAGTCTTCATTTGTCTGAGATAAATGCCCAGGGGTGCAATTGCTGGGTTGTATGGTAGTCACATGTTTAGCTTTTAAAGAAATTGCCAAACTGTCAGAGTGGCTGTCCCATTTTACTTTCCACCAGCAATGTATGAGTGATTTGTCTTTTCTTCATCCTTAGCAGCATTTGGGGGCTATTTTTTATTTCAGCCGTTCTTACAAGTAAGTGAATTTCTTTAATAGTTATAGTACTTTTCTTTTCTTTCTTTCTTTCTTTTTTTTTTTTTGAGAAGGGTCCCACTCTGTTGCCCAGGCTGGAATGTGGTGGTGCAATCACAGCTCACTGCAGTTCAACCTCCTAGGCTCAGGCCTTCCTCCCACCTCAGCCTACCAAGTAGCTGGGACTACAGGTACACATCACCACGCTTGGCTAATTAAAAAAATTTTTTTGTAGAGATGGGGTCTTACTTTTTGTCCAGGCTGGCCGTGAACTCCTGGGCTCAAGTAATCCTCCTGCCTCAGCCTCCCAAAGTGCTGAGATTACAGGCATGAGCCACAGCACCCAGCCTATAGGGCTCTTCAAATGATCTATTTCATATTGGGTGACTTGTGGTTGCATTTTTCAAGGAATTGCTCTATTTAAACTAAGTTGTCAAATTTATGTGTATAGAGTTGTTTTTAGTATGCCTTTATTATCCTTTAGATGTCTGCAGGGTCTGTAATGGTATCTCCTATTTCATTCCTGATATTAGAAAGTTGTGTCTTTTATCTTTTTTCTTTCTCAGTCCTGCTAGAGGTTTATCAGTTTTACCGATCTTTTCAAAGAACCAGCTCTTAGTTTTGTTAATTTTCTCTATTCTTTGTTTTTCACTTTCATTGATTTCTGCCCTTTGTTATATTTCCTTCATTTGCTTTGTGTTTATTTTATTCGCTTTTTCTAGGTTCTTGAATGTGAGCTTAGATTATTGATCCGATAATTTTCTTCTTTTCTTATATATGCTTTTAGTGCCATGAATTTCTCTGAGAGACATTTTATATTGCATAGAGAAAGCCTTAGTGTATCTGCTATGTTTATAGCTACCTACCAAGGAATTCAATTCAACAAATATTTATGGAGCACTTGGGCCAGGCACTGTTCTAAATCCTTGGTATATCATGGAGCAAAGCAGACAAAGATCTCTATCTTTGTGGAGCTTATATTCTAGCAGGGAGAGATAAGCAATAAGTAGTAAGCAAAATGTATATAATATGTTAGAAAATGGTAAGTGCAAGAACAAAAGGTAAAGCAGCGGCAAGAAGGCATGGATCTGTGGGGAACTATAGTGTTTATTTCCACAGTATTTACTGTACGGCATTTATCCACCACAGTTGTAGAATAAAATAAATTAGTCAGGCAAGCCTTCTGGAGAAGTTGAAATTTGAATAAGGATCTAAAGGAATTAGGGGAGTTACTCAAGCCATTATCTGAAAGAAGATTTTTTTCAGACAGATAGGGCAGCTGGAACAAAGGCCCCATGGTGGGAGCATACCTGGATATCTGACAAAAAGCAAGGCCAGTGTGGCCGGAGTGAAGTGAGCAAGGGAAAGTGGTAAAGATGGAGTTGGAGGTAATGGGGCTAGGGCTTTGGCTTTTACTTTGAGTGAAATGGGGAGCCAGGAGTATATGTGAAACAAAGGAATGACATGATATGACTAAGGCTTTAAAATAATCACTCTAGCTGCTATATTGGGAATAGACTATGGGTAGAAGCAGGTGACTTCTTAAGCTACTGGAGTAATGCAAGTGAAAGGCAGAGTGGCTTGGAGCAGAGGGGTAGCAGTGGGAGCAATGAGAAGTGATTATATTCTAAATATATTCTGAGGGTAGAGCTAATAGGATTTCTTCACAGTTGGACATGAGGTATTAGAAAAAGAGAAGGGTCTGGATAACTAGCTTGATGTAAATCCTTCAACATAAGTGGCCACATGTGATACCATATGCACACCTCCAACCCCTACAACTCTGCTTACTGCTTGTTAGGCTATGATAGGCCCTTACCTAGGGGCAGCTGATCAATAGGCTGGACATTGGCCTGTTGGGTGTCCTGGCAGGAAAATTCTGCCCAAACACATGGCAATTAACTATGTCAATAAGATATTTTATTTCAATAATCAGAACTGGAGAGACACAGGGAAAAATTCTTCAGTGAATGAAAGCTCAAAGGTGCAGAGTGAAGCCAGTATCAGACTTCATGAGTAAGCAGAAACCATGAATAAACAGGAGCGCTGAGCAAACAGAAGCCACAAGGCAGTGAAAAGATACAAAGAATAACAACATAAATGATAGAAGATAACCAAGACAAATCAAACCCTCAGGAGAGAGTCAATGGCTGGGTCTCGCTCACAGGCCAATCCTGGAGCCAGTCAGTTCCTCTGTTACCAGAACTGGGAGAATGGTGCTAGACAGGCAAAAACGACAGGTGTGCACCAGACATGTAGAGTCAGGCTGGAATCAGTGCCATGGAAGTCAGAACCACATGAGAGTCAAAATTATGAGGGTGCAAGAAAGCCAGAGAAAGCAGAGGAAACCTGTCTGCTGAGAGAATCAGAAAAGTGTAGCTAGCAGATGCTCAGAGAGGCACAGATGGCAGAGGATGCATCCACCTGAGAGTTGGGACTTCTTCTGATCTTCCTGTTTCAGTCCCAACGCAGGGTGGCCTAGCTATGCTGAACCCTGCACTTTGGTGCCTCAAGAGATTGCCTCTTGTGTCTGTTCAAAACACCTTCTTTTCTATTTTAGCTAGTGTGAGTAGTTTTTGGTCTATGCTCCCAGGATAAAGATGAGACATTTGGCTGGAAGTTTCTTGATATCTACTTATCTCTCAGATTTGAGCATGGCAGATAAGGTACAGGAAGTGAAAATGTAAATATCTGGTATAAAGAAGAACTAACTGTAACCATGCAAGGCATTTTACATGCCTTCTTTCATTTACTCTGTAGTGTGAGGGAGGTATCATTACTAAGGCTCACAGAAACTTAGTACAGTTCATCCTCATTATTCATGAATGGATTTGCCTACTTGCCAAAATTTATTTGTAGCCCAAATCAGTGCTCATGGAACTTTTGTGGTCATTTACAGATATGCGCAGATCCGTGACAAATGTGAGTTGTCTAACATGAATATTCCCAGCTGAGATTGAACAAAGCAATGCCTTGCCTTCTTGTTTCATCTCTTATACTGTAAACAAGAATCTTTTTGCAGTCTATTTAGTGCCACGTTTTTCTCATTTTTGTGTTTTTTGGTGATTTTGCTCTTTACAATGATTCCTAATAATAGCGTTGCAGTGCTGTCTGGTGTTCCTGAGAGTAAGAAGGCTGTGATGTGCCTTATACAGAAAACAAACGTGTGTTAGATAAGCTTCCTTCGGGTAGGAATTATAGCCCTGTAGGCTGTGAGTTCAGTGTTAATAAATCAACAATATATATTAAATAAGGTGTCTTTAAACAGAAACACACATAAAACTAGGTTATGTATTGATTGGTTGATGAAAATGTGACCAGAGGCTTGCAGGAACCTAACCTTGTATTTCCCCTGCAACAGCTCATAGCAAATGCTAGGTCAATGCTTCAGATTTTATAGAATATTAACTACCATAAAAGAGAATGAGAATTGACTGTAACATGTCTAGGATCAGGCAATCTGTGGAAGAGTGAAGTGCCCAACTCCAAAGCCATACCTTTCTAACTCTGGGCACCTTGTGCTCATTCCATCCCACCATGCTACCTTTCAGAAGAGAAAGAAAAGCTCCTTTGCTCAGCTTCCACTGCTCCTTCCACTGCATAATGCTGCCTTCCCTGGAGCTTGTTGCCCAGTTGGAAAATCAACAGGTATGTGAAACAACTGTGAAAAATATAAGATAGGCTACATTAGGGCTGGGATAGTAATGTGTGCCACATTTGCCCTCATTCATCCCTTAAATACATGTGGCTGACATTGCTAATCTATCATAGCTTCTTTTCCTGCTGAACTCAGATGGAATTTCACAGTCCTTAACTCAGGACTCTAAACCACAACTACCAGTCACTCAGAGTTGGCATCTAAGATGAAATCTTTATCTTCCTTGCAAAAGTGTCCTTACAAAATCAAGCATACTCCTGGAGGATCTGAGTTGCCAGGCTTAAAGAACTTTAGAGTTTAAGCAAATTTATTTGTCTGTTTCAAAGCCTATATCCTCTTAGGGAGCTCTTAGTGTCTTGGCTAGTGATAGCTCTTAGTGTCTTGGCTGACTCTGCTTTGGAAAGGCTTTCTGGAGTCCTTTGTATAAGACTTTGCTTCTGCAAGATTCACTGTAGCGGGGACATCTTTCTTGTTCATCTCTGAATCTCACCTGTGTGCCACAACTGGAGCTGAAGCAGCTGAGACACAGGGCACCATGTTGTGAGGCTGCACAGAGTAGGGGGGCCCTAGGCCTGGCCCATGACACCATTTTTCCCTCCTAGGACTCCAGGCCTGTGATGAGAGGGGCTGCTGCAAAGGTCTCTGACATGCCCTGGAGACATTTTCCCCATTATCTGGGCGATTAACATTTGGCTTCTTGTTACTTGTGCAAATTTCTGCAGCCAGATTGAGTTTCTTCCCAGAAAATTGGTTTTTCTTTTCTACCACATTGTCATCAGGCTGCAAATTTTCTGAAATTTTATGCTCTGCTTCCTATTGAATGCTTTGCTGCTTAGAAATTTCTTCTGCTGGGGGGAGGTTCAAAGATGGCCAAATAGGAACAGCTCCAGTCTGCAGCTCCCAGCATGAGCGACGCAGAAGACGGGTGATTTCCGTATTTCCAACTGAGGTACCAGGTTCATCCACTGGGGCTTGTCGGACAGTGAGTGCAGCCCACAGAGCATGAGGTGAAGCAGGGTGGGGCATTACCTCACCTGGGAAGTGCAAGGGATTGGGGAATTCCCTTTCCTAGCCAAGGGAAGCCATGACAGACGGTACCTGGAAAATCGGGGCACTCCCACCATAACACTGCACTTTTCCATCAGTCTTAGCAAATGGCACACCAGAGATTATATCCCACGCCTGGCTCAGGGGGTCCCACACCCACGGAGCCTCACTCACTGCTAGCACAGCAGTCTGAGATCAAACGGCAAGGCGGCAGCAAGGCTGGAGGAGGTGCGTCTGCCATTGCTGAGGCTTGAGTAGGCAAACAAAGCAGCCAGGAAGCTTGAACTGGGTGGAGCCCACCACAGCTCAAGAAGGCCTGCCAGCCTCTGTAGACTCCATCTCTGGAGGCGGGGCATAGCTGAACAAAAGGCAGCAGAAACTTCTGCAGACTTAAACATCCCTGTCTGACAGCTTTGAAGAGAGTAGTGGTTCTCCCAGCATGGAGTTTGAGATCTGAGAACAGACAGACTGCCTCCTCAAGTGGGTCCCTGACCCCCAAGTAGCCTAACTTGGAGACAACTCCCAGTAGGGGCCAACTGACACCTCATACAGGCAGGTAGCCCTCTGAGACAAAGCTTCCAGAGGAAGGATCAGACAGCAACATTTGCTGTTCTGCAATATTTGCTGTTCTGCCGCCTCCACTGGTGATACCCAGACAAAGAGGATTTGGAGTGGACCTCCAGCAAACTCCAACAGACCTGCAGCTGAGGGTCCTGACTGTTAGAAGGAAAACTAACAAACAGAAAGGACATCCGTACCAAAACCCCATCTGTATGTCACCATCATTAAAGACCAAAGGTAGATAAAACCACAAAGATGGGGAGAAACCAGAGCAGAAAAGATGAAAATTCTAAAAATCAGAGCACCTCTTCTCCTCCAAAGGAACACAGCTCCTCACCAGCAATGGAACAAAGCTGGATGGAGAATGACTTAGACGAGTTGAGAGAAGAAAGCTTCAGACGATCAGTAATAACAACCTTCTCCAAGCTAAAGGAGGATGTTCAAACCCATTGCAAAGAAGCTAAAAACCTTGAAAAAAATTAGACAAATGGCCAACTAGAATAAACAGCATAGAGAAGACCGTAAATGACCTGATGGAGCTGAAAGCTATGGCAGGAGAACATGATGCATGCAGAAGCTTCAGTAGCCGATTTGATCAAGTGGAGGAAAGGAGTGATTGAAGATCAAATGAAATGAAGCAAGAAGACAAGTTTATAGAAAAAAGACTAAAAAGAAACAAACAAAGCCTCCAAGAAATATGGGACTATGTGAAAAGACCAAATCTACATCTGATTGGTGTACCTGAAAATGACGGGGAGAATGGAACCAAGTTGGAAAACACTCTTCAGAATATTATCCAGGAGAACTTCCCCAACCTAGCAAGGCAGGCCAACATTCAAATTCAGGAAATACAGAGACCACCACAAAGATACTCCTTGAGAAGAGCAACTCCAAGACACATAATTATCAGAGTCACCAAAGTTGAAATGAAGGAAAAAATGTTAAGGGCAGCAAGAGAGAAAGGTCGGGTTACCCACAAAGGGAAGCCCATCATACTCCAACAGCAGATCTCTCAGAAGAAACTGTACAAGCCAGAAGAGAGTGGGGGCCAATAGTCAACATTCTTTTTTGTTTTGTTTTGTTTTGAGATGGAGTCTCGCTCTCTCACCCAGGCAGGAGTGTACTGGCGAGATCGCGGATCATGGCAAGCTCCACCTCCCAGGTTCTCGCCATTCTCCTGCCTCAGCCTTCCAAGTAGCTGGGACTACAGGAACCCACCACCACGCCCGGCTAATTTTTTGTATTTTTTAGTAGAGATGGCGTTTCACCATGTTAGCCAGGATGGTCTTGATCTCCTGACCCCGTGATCTGCCCGCCTTGGCCTCCCAAAGTGCTGGGATTACAGGCATGAGCCATCGTGCCAGGCCTCAACATTCTTAAACAAAAGAATTTTCAACCCAGAATTTCATATCCAGCCAAACTAAGCTTCACAAGTGAAGGAGAAGTAAAATCCTTTACAGACAATGCAGAGAGATTTTGTCGTCACCAGGCCTGCCTTATAAGAGTTCCTGAAGGAAGCATTAAACATGGAAAGGAACAATCAGTACCAGCCACTGCAAAAACATGCCAAACTGTGAAGACCATTGATGCTAGGAAGAAACTGCATCAACTAACGAGCAAAATAACCAGCTAACATCATAATGACAGGATCAAATTCACACATAACAATATTAACCTTAAATGTAAATGAGTTAAATGCTCCAATTAAAAGACACATACTGGCAAATTGGATAAAGAGTCAAGACCCATCAGTGTGCTGTATTCAGGAGACCTATCTCACATGCAGAGACACACATAGGCTCAAAATAAAGGGATGGAGGAAGATCTACCAAGCAAATGGAAAACAAAAAAAAAGCAGGGTTGCAAGTCTAGTCTCTGATAAAATAGACTTTAAGCCAACAAAGATCAAAAGAGACAAAGAAGGCCATTACATAATGGTAAAGGGATTAATTCAACAAGAAGAGCTAACTATCCTAAATATATATGCACCCAATACAGGAGCACCCAGATTCAGAAAGCAAGTCCTTAGAGACCTACAAAGAGACTTAGACTCCCATACAATAATAATGGGAGAATTTAACACCCCACTGTCAATATTAGACAGATCAACGAAACAGAAAGTTAACAAGGATATCCAGGAATTGAACTCAGCTCCACAGCAAGTGGACCTAATAGACATCTACAGAACTCTCCACACCAAATTAACAGAAGATATATTCTTCTCGGCACCACATCGCACTTATTTCAAAATTGACCACATATTTGGAAGTAAAGCACTCCTCAGCAAATGTAAAAAAACAGAAATTTTAAGAAACTGTCTCTCAGACCACAGTGCAATCAAACAAGAACTCAGGATTAAGAAATTCACTGAAAACTGCTCAACTACATGGAAACTGAACAACCTGCTCCTGAACGACTACTGAGTACATAACGAAATGAAGGCAGAAATAAAGATGTTCTTTGAAAACAGTGAGAACAGAGACACAACATACCAGAAACTCTGGGACACATTTAAAGCAGTGTGTAGAGGGAAATATATAGCACTAAATGCCTGCAAGAGAAAGCAAGAAAGATCTAAAATTGACACCCTAACATCACAATTAAAAGAACTAGAGAAGCAAGAGCAAACACATTCAAAAGCTAGCAGAAGGCAAGAAATAACTAAGATCAGAGCAGAACTGAAGGAGATAGAGACACAAAAAACCCTTCAAAAAATCAATGAATCCAGGAGCTGGTTTTTTGAAAAGATCAACAAAACTGATAGACTGATAGCAAGACTAATAAAGAAGAAAAGAGAGAAGAATCAAACAGACACAATAAAAAATGATAAAGGGGATATTACCACCAATCCCATGGAAATACAAACTACCATCAGAGAATACTATAAACACCTCTACGCAAATAAACTAGAAAATCTAGAAGAAATGGATAAAATCCTGGACACATACACCCTCTGAAGACTAAACCAGGAAGAAGTTGAATCTCTGAATAGACCAATAACAGGAGCCGAAACTGAGGCAATAATTAATAGCCTACCAACCAAAAAAAGTCCAGGACCAGATGGATTCACAGCCGAATTCTACCAGAGGTACAAGGAGGAGCTGGTACCATTCCTTCTGAAACTATTCCAATCAACAGAAAAAGAGAATCCTCCCTAACTCATTTTATGAGGCCAGCATCATCCTGATACCAAGCCTGGCAGAGACACAACAAAAAAAGAGAATTTTAGATCAATATCCCTGATGGACATCGATGCAAATATCCTCAATAAAATACTGGCAAACCGAATCCAGCAGCACATCAAAAAGCTTATCCACCATGATCAAGGGGGCTTCGTCCCTGGGATGTAAGGCTGGCTCAATGTATGCAAATCAATAAACATAATCCAGCATATAAACAGAACCAAAGACAAAAACCACATGATTATCTCAATAGATGCAGAAAAGGCCTTTGACAAAATTCAACAGGCCTTCATGCTAAAAACTCTCAATAAATTAGGTATTGATGGGACATATCTCAAAATAATAAGAGCTATTTATGACAAACCCACAGCCAATATCATATTGAATGGGCAAAAACTGGAAGCATTCCCTTTGAAAACTGGCACAAGACAGGGATGGCCTCTCTCACCACTCCTATTCAATATACTATTGGAAGTTCTGGCCAGGGCAATCAGGCAGGAGAAAGAAATAAAGGGTATTCAATTAGGAAAAGAGGAAGTCAAATTGTACTTGTTTGCAGATGACATGATTGTATATCCAGAAAACCCCATCGTGTCAGCCCAAAATCTCCTTAAGCTGATAAGCAACTTCAGCAAAGTCTGGAACTTATTGGGAACTGGAGCAAAGGTCACTTTTGTTATGCATTAGCAAAGAGCCTGGCGGTAGTGTGCCCCTGCTCTAGACATCTGTGGAACTTTGAATTTGAGATATATGATTTAGAGTATCGGGCAGAAGAAATTTCTAAGCAGCAAAACATTCAAGAATTGCCCTGGCTGCCTCTAAAATTCTATGTTCATATGCATGAACAAAGAAATAACCTGAAACTGGAACTTATATTTAAAAGAGAAGCAGAGTATAAAAGTTTGGAAAATTCACAGCCTGGCCATGTGGTAGAAAAGAAACACCCATTTTCAGGGAAGGAATTAAAGGAGGCTGCAGAAATTTGCATATCTCAAAGAGAGGGAAGTACTAGTAGCCAAGACAATGGGAAAAAGACCCTGAAGATATTTTACAGACCTTCACAACAGCCTCTCTTATCACAGGTCCAGAGGCCTAGGAGGGAAAAATGATTTTGTGGGTCAGGCCCAGGGCACACTGCTCCCTACATCCCAGCCACTCCAGCTCCAGATGTGGCTCAAAGTTACCCAGGTACTTGGGCTGCTGCTTCAGAAGGTGCAAGCCATAAGCCTTGGTAGCTTTCACACGGTGTTAAGCCTGCAGGTGCACATAGTGCAAGAGTTGAGGCTTGGATGCCCCTGCCTAGATTTCAGAAGACGTATGGTGATATGGTTTGGCTGTGTTCTCACCCAAATCTCATCTTGAATGGTAGTTCCCATAATCCCCATGTGTTGTGGGAGAGACCCAGTGGGAGGTAATTGAATGATGGGGGTGGTTACCCCCATCTCCTGATTGTGAGTTTTCATGAGATCTGATGGTTTTATAAGGGGCTTTTCCTGCTTTGGTCAGCACTTCTTTCCCCTGCCACCATGTCAAGAAAGACATGTTTGCTTCCCCTTCCACAATAATTATAAGTTTCCTGAGGCCTCCTTAGCCATGCAGAACTGTGAGTCAATTAAACTTCTTTCCTTTATAAATTACCGAGTCTTGGGTATTATCTTTGCAGCAATGTGAGAATGGACTTATACAGTAAATTGGTACCACTATAGTGGGGTGCTGCTATAAGGATACTAAAAAATGCAGAAGTGACTTTGGAACTGGGTAACAGGCAGAGGTTGGAACAGTTTGGAGGGCTCAGAAGAAGAAAGGAAAATGTTGGAAACTTTAGCACTTCCTAGAGACCTGTTGAAGGGCTTTGACCAAAATGCTGATAGTGATATGGACAATGAAGTCCCAGGCTGCGGTGATCTCAGATTGAGATGAGAAACTTGTTGGGAACTGGAGATGAACTCTTGCTTTGCTTTAGCAAAGAGACTGGCGGAATTTTACCCCTGCCCTAGAGATCTGTGGAACTTTGAACCTGGGGGAGATGATTTAGGGTATCCAGCAGAATAAATTTCTTTTTTTAAATTTTAAAAAAATTTATTATAGTTTAATTATAATACTTTAAATTCTAGGGTACATATGCACAATGTGCAGGTTTGTTACATATGTATACATGTGCCATGTTGGTGTGCTGCATCCATTAACTCGTCATTTACATTAGGTATATCTCCTAATGCTATCCCTCCCCCCTACCCCCACCCCACCTCAGGCCACAGTGTGTGATGTTCCCCACCCTGTGTCCATGTGTTCTCATTCTTCAATTCCCACCTACGAGTTAGAACATGCGGTGTTTGGTTTTCTGTCCTTGGGATAATTTGCTCAGAATGATGGTTTCCAGCTTCCTCCATGTCCCTACAAAGGACATGAACTCATCCTTTTTTATGGCTGCATAGTATTCCATGGTGTATATGTGCCACATTTTCTTCATCCAGTCTATCATTGTTGGACATTTGGGTTGGTTCCAAGTCTTTGCTATTGTGAATAGTGCCGCAATAAACATACGTGTGCATGTGTCTTTATAGCAGCATGATTTATAATCCTTTGGGTATATACCCAGTAATGGGATTGCTGGGTCAAATGGTATTTCTAGTTCTAGATCCTTGAGGAATCACCACACTGTCTTCCACAATGGTTGAACTAGTTTACAGTCCCACCAGCAATGTAAAAGTGCTCCTATTTCTCCACCTCCTCTCCAGCACCTGTTGTTTCCTGACTTTTTAATGATCACCATTCTAACTGGTGTGAGATGGTATCTCATTGTGGTTTTGATTTGTATTTCTCTGATGGCCAGTGATGATGAGCATTTTTTCATGTGTCTGTTGCCTGCATAAATGTCTTCTTTTGAGAAGTGTCTGTTCATATCCTTTGCCCACTTTTTGATGGGGTTGTTTGATTTTTTCTTGTATATTTGTTTTTTTCTTGTAAATTTGTTTAAATTCTTTGTAGATTCTGGATATTAGCCCTTTGTCAGATGGGTAGATTGTAAAAATTTTCTCCCATTCTGTAGGTTGCCTGTTCTCTCTGATGGTAGTTTCTTTTGCTGTGCAGAAGCTCTTTAGTTTAATTAGATCCCATTTGTCAATTTTGGCTTTTGTTGCCATTGCTTTTGATGTTTTAGTCATGAAGTCCTTGCACATGCCTATGTCCTGAATGGTATTGCCTAGGTTTTCTTCTAGGGTTTTTATGGTTTTAGGTCTAACATTTAAGTCTTTAATCCATCTTGAATTAATTTTTGTATAAGGTGTAAGTAAGGGATTCAGTTTTAGCTTTCTACATATGGCTAGCCAGTTTTCCCAGCACCATGTATTAAATAGGGAATCCTTTCCCCATTTCTTGTTTTTGTCAGGTTTGTCAAAGATCAGATGGTTGTAGATGTGTGGTATTATTTCTGAGGGCTCTGTTCTGTTCCATTGATCTATATCTCTGTTTTGGTTCCAGTGACATGCTGTTTTGTTTACTGTAGCCTTGTAGTATAGTTTGAAGTCAGATAGCATGATGCCTCCAGCTTTGTTCTTTTGGCTTAGGATTGTCTTGGCAATGCAGGCTCTGTTTTGGTTCCACGTGAACTTTAAAGTAGTTTTTTCCAATTCTGTGAAGAAAGTCATTGGTAGCTTGATGGGGATGGCATTGAATCTATAAATTACCTTGCGCAGTATGGCCATTTTCATGATATTGATTCTTCCTATCCGTGAGCATGGAATGTTCTTCCATTTCTTTGTGTCCTCTTTTATTTCGTTGAGCAGTGTTTTGTAGTTCTCCTTGAAGAGGTCCTTCACATCCCTTGTAAGTTGGATTCCTAGGTATTTTATTCTCTTTGAAGCAACTGTAAATGGCAGTTCACTCATGATTTGGCTCTCTGTTTGTCTGTTATTGGTGTATAAGAATGCTTGTGATTTTGCACATTGCTTTTGTATCCTGAGCTAACACTTGCTAAATGCCAGTCACTGTTCTAAGAAATCAGTATGTTATTTACTAACTTATTTGATTCCATGAAAGCCCTATAAGATAGGTCACTATTATTATCTTCATTTTACAGAGGAGAAATCTGCTCATGGTTCTGTAGTGGTACAGATGAGAAAACAATTAAGTAATCTGCTCATGGTTGCGCTGCCATTAAGTAGTGAAGGCAGGATCTGAACTCAGGTACTCCAGTCTCATAAAGAACATGCTTTAATACTACTACTAATTTTCTCCTTCCAATGATGATCTTTCCTCCATTCTACCTCTGCTATCCACTTCCACTGTCATACTGTGAACCCTCACATCACCTCAACCTGCCTCATCTTGAAATCACTAATTCAGGCATCTCACCCTCTGACCAACTTCCTGTCTCTCCAGAGAAGTTATAAAACAACAATAAAAGTAATAGTAATAATAGCATTTATATAGCCTAAGTGCTCTTCACAAGTTAACTTATTTATTCCTCACAATTCCCTGGCAAATGTAGGTATTATTACAACTGTTTTACAGATGAGGAAATTGAGGCAAAGGAGGTTAGGTGACATGCTCAAGGCCACACAGCTTATGGGTGGCAAAGCCAGAATTTGAACCCAGACAGTCAGGCTCCAGTGTTCACATCCTTAACTATTGTGTTAAGGATGATAAGCCTGGAGTTGAGGGAAAAGTTATTATCCCACTTAGGAGTTAACAAAAAAATCCATGCCTAACTCATGTTCCAAATATTTGTTTATCTGTTTGTTTGAAAGAGCCTCTAACATGATTTGCATATTCACTCATATTGAGAACCACAAATTAGATCATTTAAACAGCCACATGTTGTCGCTCATAAGTGGGAGTTGAACAATGAGAACACATGGGCACAGGGAGGTGAACATCACACACCGGGGCCTGTTGGGGGGTTGGGGGCTAGGGGAGGGATAGCATTAGGAGAAATACCTAATGTAGATCACGGGTTGATGGGTGCAGCAAGCCACCATGGCAAGTGTATACCTTTGTAACAAACTTGCATGTTCTGCACATGTACCCCAGAGCTTAAAGTATAATTAAAAAAAAATAGTCTCCCAATCTGGAGTTCTGGTCAAGTTTAACCCTATTGTTTGTTGTCCTGCTGGCCTTGGTTAGAATTGCTTCACATAAACAGGACAGGGCTGGGCTTGAGAGTGTCAGCATTATGACTTGTCCAGTTAAATGAAAAAAGCATCATTGTCAGTAGCTTGGCAGGGCTGGAGCAAGAAAGGATGGACAAATTTCTTGATACAGACATGATACCTGACGTGTTATTACTTGTGTTCATCTGATTTAATCCAATAGCTAGGAAGAAGACTAACTGATTAGCTGGGAATAGCTCAGGGCAGCAGTTTGCAACTCATTAATATGATGGCTTCTACTATAAGAAGAAAGCAGAATGAGAAATGCAAAGTAAAGAAGGTATTCTTGGCATGGGTCCAGGGGAAAAGCAGTCTGGCTGAAACCATTCAGTTTCGTCAGTCAGGAAGCAGCTATCTACGTAAACAGGAAGTAGAGAAGGTTGCAGGAGAGGGCAGTGGTTAGTTGGTGACAAACAAGAGCTGATACCAGATGGGTGTAAGTGGTTACATGTAAAAGAGATTCTGATAGAGGCCCAGACATTGCATGTTAATTATCCCGGCCTTCTCCTGGGAGAGCTTGTTTCACCAGAGTGTCTATGCAACATGTGTTGAGTCCTATTCTCAAATAGATACTTCCTTTAGAGCCTGGTTTTTGCCAGTTGTCTGCTGGGTAGTTTTATTTTATCTCATTGAATCATCTCAACATTCTGTGAGGATGGGATTAGGTGAAGAAACCAGCTCAAAGGGATTAAGTTACCTGGCCTAAATTCATTTACATCATGCTATTATACAACACTTTGGAAACTGTCTCCTCTCTTAAAAGTAACTATTAGGTATAACCTATTAGAAAGAAGGTATGTTGACATTCTAGAGATGCCATAACAAATTGCTACAAACCTCGTGACTTAAAACAACATAAATCTATCCTTTTACTATTCTAGAGGACAGAAGTCTGAAATCAAGGTATTGGCAGGGCCATGATCCTTCTGAAGGTTCTAGAAGAGAATGCTTCTTTGCCTTGTCCAGCTTCTGATGTCTCCAGGCATTCTTTGGCTTCTAGCTACGTAACGGCGATCTCTACCTTCATCTTCATATGGCCTTTCCTCTTTGTCTTTGTCTTTTACTCTTCTGTCTGTTATAAGGATACTTGGAATTGGATTTAAAATCCATCTGGATGATCTCATTTCAAGATCCTTAACTTAATTACAGCTGCAAAGACTTTTTTTTTTTTTTTTTTTTTTTAAATAAGGTAACATTAACAGGGGCCAAGTATTAGGACATGGACACATCCTTTTTGGGGCCAACTTTCGACCAACTATAAGAGGTGTCACTATTATAATATAAATGCAGATTTTGTAGTATTTTAATAACAACTAAGGAATTGAGAGGAGTATGTCTTGATTAGAGTTTCCATGTCTAGATCTCTATTCTTTAAAAGAATAAACTTTTACAAAATGCTAGTTCCCCTAGAAACCCCCCTCAAACCTTTGGCCTATTAGAATTTCAGAGCAAGAGGGGCATGTGATGCAAAGGCACATGTACTTTGAAAATGCCCTCCAAGTGAACATGATATATCCTTCCTACAAGCTACACACCCACATGTGTTTGAGAATTGCTTCTCTGAGGAAATGCCATTCCCAGGCTGATGGATGGGTAAGAGGGAACTTCAAGGTACACTGATTGTGTGCTGAGGAAAGGGAGAGAAAAATCTGTCTGCAGTGATAATGGAGGCCACAAATTGGGTTGATCTGAAGAACCTCAAATCCAAAGAGCAGGGCTGGAAAGAAAGATCTGATTACTACAAGAGAGCGACACTGTTGCTCATGTGATCTGTCTGCAATACAAATGTAATCATGTCACTCTCGCTTGAGATCTCATTGGCTGTCTATGAATAATGGATGATTTTCAGATTCCAGAACACAACACACAAGGATTTCACAAGCTGGCTTCTACCTACTATTTTAGAATCATCTCTCACCACTCTCCCTCAAAGACTGTCTGCTCCTGCCATACTAAAATTCTTGCTATTTCTCAAACACGTCTTATCCTTTATTGCCTTCCTAGCCTTGAACATGCTGTTCCATCTGCTTGGAATGCTATTCTCTGCTGGATAATTCCTGCTACACCTCAAGACCACTTTTCCTGCCACTCCATCTTCTGTCCTGCATTAAAAAGCCTCCTTATTCTCTTCAATAAGTTGGCATCTGCCTCTGCTGTGATTCTAAGTCACTCCATTCATAGGAACTGTTGGCCTTGTGTCCCATCTTAACTTCCCCTGAGTCCAGTACTTTGAGAGCTTCTAGAAAGATAAAACTGTGTCATACTCATCCCTAAATCTCCAGTGCCTAGTAAGTGCTTAATAAACATTTGCTGAAAAATGAAAGGATCAGATCATTATGGCTTCAAGTCTGAAATACATACTTGGTTTGGTGATAGTGGGATCCAGGCTTTAGATCTTAAGCCTGTCAGACTGGAGCCATAGGCAGAGAAGAACACAAGGGAGTAAGTCTGGAAGAGGCACAAGAAGAGGGAATTGTAGGAAACTGAGAGATTATCCAGTTTGGAGGCATAATGGGGGTTGTTTAAGAAGATTAGGAGCCCTCAGTTCATTCTCCCATCTTCAGCATGGAAACTACTGAAGTGGAATCGTGTTGGGATTCCCCTTAATACCAGTGGCAACACATCAGGAGTGATAGGAATGACAGATGAACTACAGATAGAAAGTGTCATACTGACACCAGGGAGCTATGTAGTTATGGGATGAATCGAGGGAAAGAGGACAAAGGGAAACACATATGAGAGAACCTTTAGAAAGTTCCCAAATAAGAAAAGAGGGATTTGATGTTGGGTCCCATTGGCTGGTGTACATATATTGGCTGGTGAATAGTCTACTATATTCTTGGTAGCTGTCATTCTCAGCCAATTCTGACGAAAGTGAACTACATTGCCCACCCTTGCATTTGTTCTAAGGGCATATAATTCATAGGCTGGCAACCTCTAATGAAGTCTTGGTATGAGAGCTTTTCTTAAAAGGATGTTAGTATCATCTGAATCAGTTGGCTCAAGCAGCACAGTGTAACAGTTAGGAATCCAAGGTCTAAAACCAAAGTGTACACCAATTAGACAAGTTAATTAACTTCTATGTGCCTTCGATTTCCTCTTTAGTAAAATGGATATGATAATACCAGTACATACTTCATGAGGTTGCTTTTGAGATTCAGATGGGCTAATATGAGTAAAACCCTTAATAAGAGTGATCAGTAAGTGTTATCTATGTTATAACTATTCAGAGGCAAATACACTAAAAAAATCACCTTCTGAGTTGAAATAATAATAATTATTTTTCCAGCATATAAGGACCTGTATTAGTCAAGACTCAGTTGCAACTGCCAGAACCCAACTCAAAATAGCTTAAGAAAAAAAGAGGTTTTTATTGATTTGTCTGTCTGAAAAGCCCAGGATTATCTGTAGTAACTTCAGTATTGTTTCAGGGTTGCAAAGTCACATTATTAAGACTTGGCTTCTTTATATCCCTTAGCTCTGCTTTCTTCTATACGAATTTTATTCGCAGGCAGTTTCCTCTTATAGAAGCAAGATGGTTGTTGGCAATGCCACACTTGCATTTCCACACAACTTAGTAACTTTCAACTTAATAACCCCAGTAGAAGGTCCAGCAAAAACTTTGCCCCTGATTCTTATTAGCCCAAATTGGATCACGTACTTATTCCTGAACCTGGATCATGTGTCTACTGCTGAGTGAGCAGAAAACCTTTCCACAAAGGCAAATCAAGGTTTGGTTACCTTGATCTGCAGAAGAAAGGCAATTGAGGCAGATAGGGATAGATTCAGATTTTATGGAACTGAAAGCCTTATAATTTTGGGGTCTTCTTTAATTAAAAAAAATACAAATTTAAAAACAGGTATAAAAGTTGGTTTTATTTAGAATGAGAAAATAAATCCCAACAAATTATTGAACTCTTGGAGATTTAGGTTCTTTACTTCTTAGATCGATTTAGACAATTTACCAGAAATGCTAATATATAAATGCTTGTTGATTGTAACCTGGCTTTCTCTCCCCACCTAGAATACTCCATAACTCCCAGCACCTCCCATGCAACTGAAGGCTTCTGAAGCTTAAGCTTTGTTAGTTTCACAATATAATCCACCTCTGGACACAGGGCAAGCAAAAACAAAACAACAACAACAACAACAACCAAAAAACCCCTAGCAAATATCCACTTCATACATTTCTTCCTTTTCTTTTTTTTTGAGATGGAGTCTCACTCTATCACCACGCTGGAGTATAGTGGCGCCATCTTGGCTCACTGCAACCTCTGCCTCCCAGGTTCAAACAATTCTCCTGCCTCAGCCTCCCAAGTAGCTGGGATTACAGGCACACGCCAACAGGCCCAGCTAATTTTTTTTTTTTTTTTTGTACTTTTTAGTAGAGATGGGGTTTCACCATGTTGGCCAGGTTGGTTTCAAACTCCTGACCTCAAGTGATCCACCCATCTCGGCTTCCCAAAGTGTTAGGATTACAGGCGTGAGCCACTGCTCCCAGCCTCATACACTTCTTAATAGCAGATTCCTTATTTTAAAGAATGGGCAACTGAATGTATATCCAAGTAACTCTGCTCAGTCCACCACATCTGGAGAACCCTGGGTCTTGGCAGTACAAATGATCATCATTTTGTACTTTGTGGCGACGGCCAAACCCAGCTGGATTTTTGCTACACTGATTTTAACAGCTCTGCGCTCACGTAATTCGGTGCTTTAAAAGGCCATGTTTTATTTGGCACTGATGCTTTCAACAAACTTACAGGGACCATTGGCCCCAGGAGCCAAAAGCTGAACCTGTGCTGCTACAGCTCCTGGCCCTGTCCTAATTTCCTCTTCTTCTTCTCTGCTGTTTCTTCTACCTTTCACTTCTCTTCTTCCTCTTTGTTTTCCTCCACCTTTTCTTCTTCCTTCTCCTCTTCTTCCCTGATTGTTTTGACAGATCATTGAGTTCAGACAGTACATCACACATGAGGCCTAAATTATGAATAAATTCCATTGACGTCAGGCCGTTTGTACATCCAGTGAACTTGGCTCAATTTTTGGCATCTCTAAGCCGTGTACACTGGAGATGCAGACGAGTGCCTTCAGGGCAACAGAGGCATTCCAGATGGTGGCGTTCAGATAGACTCCCCAACACACTGCCTCCCATCTGGGCCAGCGCTCAGAATGCCATAAGCCACTCTCAGCACATCCCCAAAGCTGCTGTTGACTCTTGGAAGGAGTGCAGCAAACATACTGTGACTTATCAGGGCAAACCTGCAGATGATTAACTTTGGGCTCATTATATGCTGCATTTCCACCCAAGTGGACTCCAGGCTGGGGGTAAAAGCAGGGTAGGAGAGAGGGCAGACAGAGTGAAACAACAGGAGTTAGGCAGCAATTATAAAAGTTTTCCCCAGCAAAGGAGACACAACATTAGGAGAAAAGTAGACGTTTAAAAATAGGCAAACATAAGTTAAAGTCCCTGCTATTTCACTCATTACTTGTGTGCACCTGTTAGGTTGTGGTAGATATCTGCTCAGTATTTTTCCCACACCCCTGCTTCTGAAAACGGCAGCCTCTTTTCACTTGGGGGACTCCTTTACTACTCCACATGGCTTCAGGGCTCATACCCTCCTACCCTAACCTCATCTGTCTCCTAGGGAGTGATTATCCCCAGCAGAGCCAATTACAGTGTCACAGCCCCCTGGACACAGCAAATAAGCACGTGGCTAATGCCAGTCCATAAAGTCCTTCTTTGAAAGTTTTTTAAAAAAATTCTATATTGGATCAAAGCTATGTAAGAATGTTAATATACCTTACAACTCCAAAATAAGGGAGAAAGGAAAATCACTGTCATACCAGCTGGGAGAAATGGAGACATTCAAAGTCAAAAAGCGATGCCTTCACTTTTCTGAATCACTGCCATAGCTACCTAGATTTATGGAGGCAATGTGGGATTATACATATGTGAATTTTCCTGGCAGCTAAAAGTTATCCCTTCAGAGGTAAAAGGACCTCTCTTTTTGTTTTTAAACCACGCTATTCGCAGGCTTTTCTAAAATATTTCACATATTTCCCTTACTTTTTAAGTGGAAGATACCACATTTAGCCTCTTCCGGATGGCTCAGAGGCATCAAAATAAGTGTCAGTTAATAGGCTATGTGATAATATGGTTTGGAGTGTTTTTTTTGTTTTTTGTTTTTTTTTTTTTTTTTTTTAAAGACTGTCCCAACCTGCACTGCCTAACTCTTTCCTGCTTACCCAAGCACCACAGGGCAAGCTCTCAACAAGAATGAGCTTGAGGTACCCTGGCCTCATTCATGGCCAAAGCCCTGATTCTATTCCTGTCTCATATCCCCCTTCCTGATATGTTCTTGCATTCCTCTGGCTCCTGAACTTCTGTTTGCTTCCTGCTTTTAGTCCCGCAGTTTTCCTTTAGATCTCACCTGTGACACAGCTGTTCTGTGACTGACCTTTGGTTCTCTTCCTCATATGCCATTCTGCCTTTGCCCTTAGGCCCTGTTCTGTCTCCAGCTGGCAATTGTAGTAAGACAGGCTGGGGTCCCATGACGAGGATCAGATGCTAGTGTTCCTGTCTCCTTTCACATGGTTAAAGGGACTGGAATCATTTACTGTAGAGACAAACAACCTTATACACTACAGTAACCCTCAGAGTAAGATTTTAAAATAACTGGAGATAGGGGAAGGGTTATAGAAGATATTCATGTTACTGCAGATTAGGCAGTATAGAAATCCATTTTCTGGGAAGCATCAATTACTCTCTTTACTGATTAATTGGGTTATACATGCTTCTTTGGAATTGTCAAATTTCCAAGCCTGACACTAGGCTCGATTGCTTGTTCCTATACTATCCAGGCCTAGCTTTCTCTTGTTCCTTTTCTGCTGACCCAGGAGTCCAAGGCTGCCAAAGGTATAACATTTTCTTTCTGCTTCCCTTCTTTCTGAACAGGTCTCTTTCTTCATCTCCATAAAAATGAATTAAAAAAATAAAACATAGAAATGCATCTCTCTCTATATATATGTTGAAAGTGGATGTTATACTTCTCAAGGGAGATAACATGCTAAAAGTATTATTCTGAATGAATAGATGACCTTATTTAAAGCTATAGGAAACATTGTGAAGGATGAGTCATTGCCAAATTAAAAGTTTACATTAAATATAAACTTTTGAGTCCCCTTTTAAGAACTTCAGAGAACCCTAGCTAAGCCTATGTTCTCAGTAACCCCTGCTGAATTGCTAAACCTCTCTTGCCTCTTTCACATGCAGTTGATCCACCCATTCCGACACAGAAAGCACATAAAAGTCTAGCCTGGAGGCCTCATCTCTGATAGGCAGACAGAAATTTGCCCCTCTTTTATTCGCCCCTCCTACTTATCCCATTCTCTGTTCTGCTCATGCTAGCTCTGTGATCCCATGGCATATTGCAGTGCAGTAGCCCTGAAACCTGGCTGCACATTGGAATCTATCCAGAGAGCTCTTGAACAGTTTTGGGGTGCTGAGCCCAATCTCTTCCCTCCACTGCAAGACTTCATTGCAGTGGTCAGAAAAAAAAAATCTGGTGTCCAGACCCAAATACAACCAATTAAATTAGAATCTTTCAGGCATGGGATTTCTCTTCTCAGTATTTTATTGAGAAAATTTTCAAACAGACAAGACAGTTGAAAAAATTTACAATCTTGCCACCTGGATTCTACCATTAGCATTTTATTATTCATGCCTATCCATTTAGTAACATTTTATTACCACATATCTATCCATCTGTTAACATCCCTCTGTCTACTAATCCACTTATTTTTTGATACATTTAAAAGTAAATTGGACCAGGTGTGGTGGCTCACACCGGTAATCCTGGCACTTTGGGAGGCCGAGGCTGGAGGACTACTTGAGGCCAGGAATTCGAGAGCAGCCTGGCCAACATGGTGAAACACCATCTCTACTAAAAATACAAAAATTAGCTGGGCATGGTGGCGCATGTCTGTAATCCCAGCTACTTGGGAGGCTAAGGCAGGAGAATCACTTGAACCCGGGAGGCAGAGGCTGCAGTGAGCCGAGATCGTGCCATTGTACTCCAGCCTGGGCGACCAAGTGAGACTCTGTCTCAAAAAAAAAAAGGAAATGCAGATAAATGATGTGTTACTCCCTGAGCCAGGGTAGTATGCATGTGGGTGTTTGTTTTTCATTATTCTTTATACTGTACACATATATGATAGGTATTCTATTTTATCCCCAAATAAAAAGACATTTAAAAAGAATGAATAGTATTCTTTGCCCAAGGGAAAATACTTAGGTAGTTTTTTCTGTGTGGAATACCTACCTACCCTCTTCTTTTCACCCATAGAAAGTCTACCTTTTTTTAGGAATTGGTATAACTTTCCCCCACCGAAGAATCTCTCCCTTGCTACTGCAGCCATCATCAATCTCTCTTTCTTTCTTTCTTTCTTTTTTTTTTAGATGGAGTCTTGCTCTGTCACCAGGCTGGAGTGCAGTGGCACGATCTCGGCTCACTGAAACCTCTGCTTTCCAGATTCAAGCCATTCTCCTGCCTCAGCCTCCTTAGTAGCTGGGATTACAGGTGCATGCCACCATTCTGAGCAAATTTTTTGTATTTTTAGTAGAGACAGGGTTCCACTATGTTGGCCAGGATGGTCTCGATCTCCTGACCTCGTGATCCGCCTGCCTCGGCCTCTCAATCTCTTTCTTTTGAATTTACTTAATATCTTTGCCATTCATCATAGCCCCAAATTAAATGCTATTTAATTTATATTCTTTTCATTTCAGGTAGAAAGGTAGCTTGCTGACACTAGTCTCAGATCCATTCCCACCCTTTCCCTGCTCTTCTCTGTTGCTGCCTCTCACAGGCTGTCTTGTTCTTTCATTCTTGATAGGTTAAAGCAATGAGAGGCACCACAGGAGGACTGGAAACGGGAAGAGAGAAGCCAGGCCATTTCTCACTCTGTTCCCTGTGTCCTTTGGAATCTGGCGGTGTCCCTCTGGACAGCCTCTCCCTTCTTTCTCCCAGATCTACTCAGGCAGTTCTCCTGGTGGTTTTTGCTCCTTCTGTCTGACAGCCAAGGCTTCTGGGCTCTGGTGACAACTGCTCCTCCCAGTGTCACCCTTGCAACAAGGAGAATAACTTCCCAATTTTGCTAATCTGTGAATTACTTCACCATTCCCTTTTCGACTTCTTCACTGCTCCATTCATCTGCATAATGAATCCTCTGTTGAAACAATTTCCCTTCCTCTGAAAGACCTGTTTTTTTTTTTTGTCTTTTTTTTTCCTGGCTAGATCCCAGCTGACATCATGTATAGTGAAAGAGCACAGGCTTGGAAACTGGAGGGACCTAAGTTTGAATCCTATTATTTATTCTATGAACTTGTTTAAGTTACTTAATTTCATTCTTAAACTAGGGGTTATAACACCTACTTCACTGGGTTGCTATGAGTGTTAAATGGCATACTATATGAACAGTGCCAATACCATAGTTAGGACTCAATAAATGGAAGCTACCATTATTGATTTATATACTCCCTGACAGCATAGCCATTTTCTTCTTTTTGTGTCTCAGTGCTTTACCTAAAGGTGTTTATCACATTACTTCCTCTGAAATTTAATTTAATCAGCAACTTATTGAGCATCTACTCTGTACTGGCAATTGTGTTAGGTAGTACTTCTAGAAGATATGATGAAAATACAGCCCTTGCCTTTAATGTGCTTACAATCTAATGAAAGTAAGAGATGTGACAACAACTAAGTCTGCAGAAATGCAATCTGACAAACACACCAAACTGAGGTACAAGTGACACCAACAGGTACATGGTTGAAGGAATGAGTGAGTGACTCTGCCTGGGAATATCAGGAAAAACTTCAGAAAGGAATAGGCGCTCTGCTGGTTTTGAATGAAAAGAAAACTTTCAACAGGCAAAGAATGAGGGAAAGAAGAATTTGGGCTGAGGGAATGGCATGAACTAAATGGTGGAGCTATAACCATGCACGTACATTTACAGCACAATTTCAACACCTCTAACAGGAGTAGGTGGAGGGAGATGTAGGGAGAGACCTTGAAATCCTTGATAGCTGCTGGGTATGGACTTGATCCTACAAGTAAAAAAACAATGCAAATTTTTGAGAAGGGGAGTGATTTCTGAGTGACCTCAGAAATCCAACTGTAACTTAAGAAAGAAAAAACAGAGTTTGGAGACCCATTATCAAGTTCTTACTATAGTCCTACTGTGACATAATCCACAACACATGGGGATAGATTGATAGGAAGGATGGACAAGAGTGTTCATTAAAATTGGCTTTGAAACAGCATTTCTCCATCTGTTTAGCATACGAGTGTCTCATGAATCACAATAATCGCAATTATAGCCAATTATTTTTTAATGTATTTAGAAAAAATATACATTCTTTATACTGGCCTATAATAAGGCTTTATGTGATCTGACCCAGAAAGTTCTCAGACTTCATCTGTATGCTTCCCCTTGCTCAGTCTACTCCAGCTCTATAAGCCATTTTTCTGTTGCTTGAATAGGCCAACCACGCCCTGGTTCTGACTCAAGGCCTTTGCAGCTGCTGTTCTATCTGCCTGGAGGAATTTTATTCCAGACCTTTGCTTATCCTTACATCTTCTGGCACTTCACTTCTTACTACCCTTCCTTTTACTTACCCTCCTTTAGGCATTCACCCTTCTTACTCTTTCTTGAATAAATCAAGCATGCTCTTGCCCCAGGGCCATTGCACTTGCTGTTTCTGCCTAGAATTCTCTTCTCCTAGATTTCTGCATGGCTTATTTCCTCACCTCCTTCAGGTCTTTCTTTGCTTATGTGTCAACTTTTCTGTGAGGAATCCCTGCATCCCTATTTAAAAATGTGAAGTTAAATATTCTTTCTCCTTTTCTACTTTCTTTTTCCCCATAGCACTTAACCACTTGGGATACTATGTATTTTCCTTTTCCTTTTTGTTTTTCCATGGTAGAATTTGAGGTGCATTAGGGAAGATATATATATATATGTGTGTGTGTATATATATATATATGTGTGTGTGTGTGTGTGTATATATATGTGTGTGTATATATATATGTGTATATATATGTGTGTATATATATGTGTGTGTGTATTATATATATATATATTTTTTTCTTTGTCAGTAGAAGGTGACTTACTGGAAAATTTAGAAACATGTGGCAACAAGACAGGTAGATCTCTGTACTGTTACTCCCCAGACCCAGAGCTTACACACCGTATAGAAAGAGCATACGTGCTTCAGAAGGAATGTGTAGGATCACTGAAATTGACCCCTCAGGGAAAGGTAAGAATGCTGTGTCTCATAGCCCATAATTTGCCAAAGGACAGCACTTAGGTAAGTACATGTTTATGATAACATCAAGGTTGTCTTGGCTTACACAAGCAACAGTACATAAAGTAGAAATCTTGAGGCATTCCTGGGCCTGGGGTTAATCAGAAGTCAACATGGCAGATTAGCATCCAAGATGAAGTGGCATCATCCTGCACAGTGTCCAACGCTGTACACTCGATTAGGAGGGAGTAAACAAGATTGAGCACTGGGAGCAACAGTAGCAGGACACCCAACAGCCCAAAGTTGGAAGGAGCACAAGTGTTCACTGATGGATGAATGGATAAACAGAATGTGGTCTAAACATACTATGAAATATTATCCAGCTTTAAAAGGGGAGGAAGTTCTGATGCATGCTACAACATGGATGAACCTTGAGGACATCATACAAATGAAATAAGCCAGGCAGAGAAGGATACATGCTGTATGATTCTACTCATATGAGGTACCTAGAGTAGTCAAACTGATAGAGAAAGTAGAATGTTGGTTGCTAGGAGTTGTGGGGATGGGAAGATGGGAAGTTATTTAATGGGTAGAGTTTCAGATCTGCAAGATGAAAAGAGTTCTAGTGATGGATGGTGGTGATGGCTTGCACCACAATGTGAATGTACTTTACTAACTGCACATTCAACACGGTTAAGATAGCAAATTTTCATTTTGTGTTTTTTACCAGAACTTAAAAAGAAAAACAGGGTTTTTTTTGTTTGTTTGTTAGTTTTCAAAAGAGTCACAGGACAAAACAAGGTGAGAATGGTCTCATGAAAACCAAAAAAACAGAGTGTTTCTAGAATGAAGGATTCATTGAATGCTGCTAAGAAAAAGATGAGATGAGGAATGAAAACATCAGTGGGACTAATGAACAGGGGCATCACTGCTGAAAAAATACAATGTCTTTAAGATGTAGAAGTGGGGTTGAAACCACATTGAAATGGGTAACACTCTCTTCTTCCTTATCTGGGAATGAGTTGGTTGTTGGTGATCATCAGTCTGATCCACTCCAAGAGAGATCGTAGCGGGGTCCAGTCTGTGCTCCCCTGGGATCGTTTGCCATGGCTAGAAGTTAAAACTACACAAACGCAAGATCAAAACCCGAGACCCGCACGCCCAGATGACCGGGACGAGGCCATACTTCACATCTTCTCTCACAGACTCACAATTAGGCAATGGTTACCTCAAACGACTTTATATGGCGGACACCCCAGTGAGAGGTGACAGTGTGCTGGCAGTCCTCACAGTTCTCGCTCGCTCTAGGCGCCTCCTCTGCCTGGGCTCCCACTTTAGCGGCACTTGAGGAGCCCTTCAGCCCACCACTGCACTGTGGGAGCCCCTTTCTGGGCTGGGCAAGGCCAGAGCCGGCTCCCTCAGCTTGCAGTGGAGGGAGAGGCGCGAGCGGGAACCGGGGCTGCGTGCAGCGCTTGCGGGCCAGCTGGAGTTCCAGGTGGGCATGGGCTTGGTGGGCCTGCACTCGGAGCAGCCGGCCGGCCCTGCCGGCCCTGGGCAGTGAGGGACTTGGCACCCAGGCCAGTGGCTGCAGAGGGTGTACTCTGGGTCCCCCAGCAGTGCCAGCCCACCGGCGCTACGCTCAATTTCTCACCCAACCTTAGCTGGCTTCCCGAGGGGCAGGGCTCAGGACCTGCAGCCCGCCATGCCTGAGCCTCCCACCCACTCTGTGGGTTCCTGGGCAGCTGGAGCCTCCCCGATGAGTGCCGCCCCCTGCTCCAGGGCGCCCAGTCCCATTGACCACCCAAGGGCTGAGGAGTGTGGGCGCACGGCACTGGGACTGGCAGGCAGTTCCACCTGCAGCCCCAGTGTGGGATTCACTGGGTGAAGCCAGCTGGGTTCCTGAGTCTGGCGGGGCCTTGGAGAGTCTTTATATCTAGCTCAGGGATTGTAAACATACCAATCAGCACCCTGTGTCTAGCTCAGGGTTTGTGAGTGCACCAATCGACACTCTGTATCTAGCTGCTCTGGGGCCTCGGAGAACCTGTGTGTCCATACTCTGTATCTAACTAATCTGATGGGGAGGTGGAGAACCTTTGTATCTAGCTCAGGGATTGTAAAGGCACCAATCAGCGCCCTGTTAAAACAGGCCACTTGGCTCTACCAATCAGCAGGATGTGGGTGGGGCCAGATAAGAGAATAAAAGCAGGCTGCCCCAGCCAGCAGTGGCAACCCGCTCGGGTCCCCTTCCACACTGTGGAAGGTTTGTTCTTTTGGTCTTTGCAATAAATCTTGCTACTGCTCACTCTTTAGGTCCACGCTGCTTTTATGAGCTGTAACACTCACTGCGAAGATCTGCAGCTTCACTCCTGAGCCCAGCGAGACCATGAGCCCACCGGGAGGAAGGAACAACTCCAGACATGCTGCCTTAAGAGCTGTAACACTCACTGCGAAGGTCTGCAGCTTCACTCCTGAGCCAGTGAGACCACGAACCCGCCACAAGGAAGAAACTCTGAACACATCATCTGAACATCAGAAGGAACAAACTCCAGACGCGCCACCTTAACAGCTGTAACACTCACCGCGAGGGTCCGCGGCTTCATTCTTGAAGTCAGTGAGACCAAGAACCCACCAATTCCGGACACACCAGGACCTTCCGCTGCTCGCTCCTCCTCGTCCCTTCTACCCGCTGGGGTCAGCCTCATCGACCCCGTCTCAACTCTGACACAGTCTCTCTCTCTCTCTCTCTCTCTATATATATATATATATATTTTTTTTTTAGATGGAGTCTCGCTTTGCTCCCCAGGCTGGAGTGCAGTGGTGCAATCTCTGCTCACTGCAAGCTCCACCTCCTGGTTTCACGCCATTCTCCTGCCTCAGCGTCCCAAGTAGCTGGGACTACAGGCGCCCGCCACCACACCCTGCTAATTTTTTGTATTTTTAGTAGAGACGGGGTTTCACCGTGTTAGCCAGGATGGTCTCAACCTCCTGACCTTGTGATCCGCCCGCCTGGGCCTCCCAAAGTGCTGGGATTACAGGCATGAGTCACTGTGCCCGGCCAGGGCAGATATTCTTGTAGAATTTTGTTTCTTGCTTTATCCCTGGTGCCTAAAACAATTTGTGGTATACAGTAAGTACTCAATAAACATTTTTTGAATGAATGACTGAATAAATGGATAAATAATTCCAGTCTCCTCATATCTCAGGTCTCAGATAAAATGCCTTCCTCAGAAATGCCTTTCCTAATCCTCCTATCTAAAACAGCCCTTCTCATCCTAGTTGTGCTTTATAATATCATTATGTTTTACTTTTCTCATATTACTTGTCATTATCTGAAATTATTCTATTTATTTACTTGCTTATTGTCTTCCTCCTCCCTCCTCCATTAGAATGTAGGCTCCTTGAGACCTGGGCCCTTGACACAATAATTGTTAAATGAGTGAATGTACAAAACACTGTGTTGAAAGCCTCAGATGAATTATCTCACCCACTTCTCATAGCAACCCCAATTAAATAGTACCATAGAATTCCCTTATCTCAAATGAGAAAACAGAGCTTTAAAGAGCTTACATAGCTAGAAAGTGGCAGAGCCCAGATTTGAACACAGGCATTTTGATTCCAGGACTCATTCTGAGTTAGTTTACGTAACTGAAGACTTCTGAGAGCCTTGTATATCTACAATCTGCAAGAGAAGGAAAGCATCTACAACGCTGCCCAAATTTACCTGACCACAGAAGCTTCTTCTTTGTGGGAAGTTCCTAGAATTTTATGGATATACTTTTGAAAATGCTTCCATAAGGTTCTAGCCCTTTTGACTTGGAAGTTGTTAGAGCTTTCTTTACAGGTCTAACATAACTTCATTGTAATTCAAGGCATGTCACCTAACATGCCTAAGAGCCATGGTGGGAAGAAGGAAGAGAGGTCTGCTGAATGGAAAAGCAAAGACATTCCGGGGTTACTGTCAAAGAAAGTAATAGAGGAGGAAAAATGAGAGAGAGAGAGAGAGAGAGAGAGAGAGAGAGAGAGAGAGAGAGAGAGCGCCAGCCCTAATGTGTGGTCCTAATAAGAGAAAGGCACAAAGATCGGCTTTCTTTCAGCAAAATCTGTGACTATTCAGTATGTGGTCCTGGGTAAGGCAGCAGAAAGTTAATTTTGGCATGTAAATCTCCAGTGGGTGAGTAGACATTGGTGTTGTTTACTCAAAATTCATTCTCTTTCTTCCTCTTTTCTAACAGAACACTGTATCTTGCCTTGTAATTCACCCTCAGGCCCTTAGCCTGTGCTTCCCTAAGCCAATTGCTCCCCTCACCAGTAAATGCTGTAGGAATGAATAGGTTGCCTTACGCAGTTGTGGTCAGTGAGACATAAAGGCAAGTCTGCCTGGGGACTTCTAGGAAAGGTTTACCTCTTCATGGAAAAGAGGCACATAGGAAGAGATGTTGGACAAAGCTAATGTTAATAATGAGAATGGCAGAGCTGAAGAATGGAAAGAACCTGATTCATGATGACATTCCTTGGCCAACCTACATTCTCATCTGGACTTCTTCTTATGTGAAGTAATAAATGTTTCTTATTATTAAAGCAATTTTCTTAAGTTTTTCTGTTACTGGTGACCAAAGCATCTCAACTGATATAGTTAGGAAATAGAACCCCTCATATCCCCTCCATATGTTCACACAGGTCAGAGTGTGAGCATTTGGAAGGAGCACTACAACAGTGGGAAGTCCAAATAGAGAGATCTACATCTCTGCAGTAAAAGATACTAATAAGCTTGATAAATTGTTGGCACAGGGAAGGGGGGGGTTCAGCTTTACATTTCCATCATGTCTAGACCAAGACATGTAGGTTCCCATGCAAAAAAACATTTCGTACTCCTTTAACCCAATATTCAGTAAATAAGTGTTCAATATTGATTTAATGGGGATGAGAATATCTGATTTTCTGTTAATCAAAATTGTAGATGTCTTTCCTTGTGTTTTAAATAAGAGATTTACCACATATATTGACCATAATACAACATTTTAACTTACTTGGAATTATTTTTCCATAGCACAATGTTAGCTTCTAGTTATCATTCATATTACAGTTAAAGGTAACTTATATGGGTCTACTTATGGGTTGAAAAAATGCATAACGTTTCTTTTTTTTATTATACTTTAATTTCTAGGGTACATGTTCACAACGTGCAGGTTTGATACATAGGTATACATGTGCCATGTTGGTTTGCTGCACTCATCAACTCATCATTTACATTAGGTAATTCTCCTAATGCTATCCCTCCCCCAGCCCCCAACCCCCAACAGGCCCCAATGTGTGATGTTCCCCACCCTGTGTCCAAGTGATCTCATTGTTCAATTCCCACCTATGGGTGAGAACACGCACTGTTTGATTTTCTATCCTTATGACAGTTTGCTGAGAATGGTTTCCAGCTTCATTCACGTCCCTGCAAAGGACATGAACTCATCCTTTTTTATGGCTGCATAGTATTCCATGGTGTATATGTGCCACATTTTCTTAATCCAGTCTATCATTGATGGACATTTGGGTTGGTTCCAAGTCTTTGCTATTGTGAATAGTGCCACAATAAACATACGTGTGCATGTGTCTTTACAGTAGCATTATTTACAATCCTTGAGGTATATACCCAGTAATGGGATTGCTGGGTCAAATGGTAATTCTAGTTCTAGATCCTTGAGGAATCACCACACTGTCTTCTACAATGGTTGAACTAATTTACACTCCCACCAACGGTGTAAAAGCATTATTTCTCCACATCCTCTCCAGCATCTGCTGTTTCCTGACTTTTTAATGACTGCCATACTAACTAGCATGAGATGGTATCTCATTGTGGTTTTGATTTGCATTTCTCTGATGACCAGTGATGATGAGCATTTTTTCATGTGTCTGTTGGCTGCATAGATGTCTTCTTTGCAGAAGTGTCTGTTCATATCCTTTACCCACTTTTTGATGTTTTTTTCTTGTAAATTTGTTTGAGTTCTTTGTAGATTCTGGATATTAGCCCTTTGTCAGATAGGTAGATTGTAAAAATTTTCTCCCATTCTGTAGGTTGACTGTTACTCTGATGGTAGTTTCTTTTGCTGTGCAGAAGCTCTTGAGTTTAATTAGATCTCATTTGTCAATTTTGGCTTTTGCTGCCATTGCTTTTGGTGTTTTAGTCATGAAGTCCTTGCCCATGCCTATGTCCTGAATGGTATTGCCTAGGTTTTCTTCTAGGGTTTTTATGGTTTTAGGTCTAACAGTTAAGTCTTTAATCCATCTTGAATTAATTTTTGTATAAGGTGTAAGGGAGGGATCCAGTTTCAGCTTTCTATATATGGCTAGCCAGTTTTCCCAGCACCATTTATGAAATAGAGAAATCCTTTCCCTATTGCTTGTTTTTGTCAGGTTTGTCAAAGATCAGATGGTTGTAGATGTGTGGTATTATTTCTGAAGCCTCTGTTCTGTTCCATTGGTCTATGTCTCTGTTTTGGTACCAGTACCATGCTGTTTTGGTTACTGTTGGCTTGTAGTATAGTTTGAAGTCAGGTAGTGTGATGCCTCCAGCTTTGTTCTTTTGGCTTAGGATTGTCTTGGCAATAAGAGCTCTTTTTTGGTTCCATATGAACTTTAAAGTAATTTTTTCCAATTCTGTGAAGAACGTCATTGGTAGCTTGATGGAGATGGCATTGAATCTATAAATTACTTTGGGCATTATGGCCATTTTCATGATATTGAGTCTTCCTATCCATGAACATGGAATATTCTTCCATTTGCTTGTGTCCTCTTTTATTTCCTTGAGCAGTGGTTTGTAGTTCTCCTTGAAGAGGTCCTTCACGTCCCTTGTAAGTTGGATTGCTAGGTATTTTATTCTCTTTGTAGCAATTGTGAATGGGAGTTCACTCATGATTTGGCTCTCTGTTTGTCTTTTAATGGTGTATAGGAATGCTTGTGATGTTTGCACATTGATTTTGTATCCTGAGACTTTGCTGAAGTTGCTTATCAGCTTAAGGAGATTTTGGGCTGAGACGATGGGGTTTTCTAAATATACAATCATGTCATCTGCAAACAGGTACAATTTGACTTCCTCATTTCCTAATTGAATACCCTTTATTTCTTTCCCTTGACTGATTGCCCTGGCCAGAACTTCCAACGCTATGTTGAATAGGAGTGGTGAGAGAGGGCATCCCTGTCTTGTGCCAGTTTTCAAAGGGAATGCTTCCAGTTTTTGCCCATTCAGTATGATATTGGTTATGGGTTTGTCATAAATAGCTCTTATTATTTTGAAATACGTTCCATCAATACCTAGTTTATTGAAAGTTTTTAGCATGAAGGGCTGTTGAATTTTGTCGAAGGCCTTTTCTGCATCTATTGAGATAATCACGTGGTTTTTCTCCTTGGTTCTGTTTATGTGATGGAGTACGTTTATTGATTTGCGTATATTGAACCAGCCTTGCATCCCAGGGATGAAGCCAACTTGATCATGGTGGATAAGCCTTTTGATGTGCTGCTGGATTCGGTTTGCCAGTATTTTATTGAAGATTTTTGCATTGATGTTCATCAGGGATATTGGTCTAAAATTACTTTTTTTGTTGTGTCTGTGCCACGCTTTGGTATCAAGATGATGTTGGCCTCATAAAATGAATTAGGGAGGATTCCCTCTTTTTCTATTGATTGGAATAGTTTCAAAAGGAATGGTACCAGCTCTTCCTTGTACCTCTGGTAGAATTCGGTTGTGAATCCATCTGGTCCTGGACTTTTTTTGGTTGGTAGGCTATTAATTATTGCCTCAATTTCAGAGCCTGTTATTGGTCTATTCAGAGATTCAACTTCTTCCTGGTTTAGTCTTGGGAGGGTGTATGTGTCCAGGAATTTATCCAATTCTTCTAGATTTTCTAGTTTATTTGCGTAGAGGTGTTTATAGCATTCTCTGATGGTAGTTTGTATTTCTGTGGGATTGGTGGTGATATCCCCTTTATCATTTTTTATTGCATCTATTTGATTCTTCTCTTTTCTTCTTTATTAGTCTTGCTAGCGGTCTATCCTATCTATTTTGTTGATCTTTTTCAAAAAACCAGCCCCTAGATTCATTGACTTTTTGAAGGTTTTTTTGTGTCTCTATCTCTTTCAGTTCTGCTCTGATCTTAGTTATTTCTTGCCTTCTGCTAGCTTTTGAATGTGTTTGCTCTTGCTTCTCTAGTTCTTTTAATTGTGATGTTAGGGTGTTGTTTTTAGATATCTCCTGCTGTCTCTTGTGGGCATTTAGTGCTATATATTTCCCTCTACACACTGCTTTGAGTGTGTCCCAGAGATTCTGGTATGTTGTGTCTTTGTTCTCACTGGTTTCAAAAAACATCTTTATTTTTGCCTTCATTTCGTTATTTACCCAGTAGTCACTCAGGAGCAAGTTGTTCAGTTTCCATGTAGTTGTGTGGTTTTTAGTCATTTTCTTAGTCCTGAGTTCTAATTTGATTGCACTGTGGTCTGAGAGACAGTTTGTTATAATTTCTGTTCTTTTACATTTGCTGAGGAGTGCTTTACTTCCAAATATGTGGTCAATTTTGGAATAAGTGTGATTGATGCTGAGAAGAATGTATATTCTGTTGATTTGGGGTGGAGAGTTCGGTAGATGACTATAAGGTCCGCTTGGTGCAGAGCTGAGTTCAATTTCTGGATATGCTTGTTAACTTTCTGTTTTGTTGATCTGTCTAATGTTGACAGTGGGGTGTTTGTCTCCCATTATTATTGTGTGGGAGTCTAAGTCTCTTTGTAGGTCTCTAAGGACTTGCTTTATGAATTTGGGTGCTCCTGTATTGGTTGCATATATATTTAGGACAGTTAGCTCTTCTTGTTGAATTAATCCCTTTACCATTATTTAATGGCCTTCTTTGTCTCTTTTGATCTTTGATGGTTTAAAGTCTGTTTTATCAGAGACTAGGATTGCAACCCCTGCTTTTTTTTTTCCATTTGCTTGGTAGATCTTCCTCCTTCCCTTATTTTGAGCCTACGTATGTCTCTGCACATAAGATGGGTCTCCTGAATACAGCACACTGATGGGTCTTGACTCTTTATCTAGTTTGCCAGTATGTGTCTTTTAATTGGAGCATTTAGCCCATTTACATTTAAGGTTAATATGTTATGTGTGAATTTCATCCTGTCATTATGATGTTAGCTGGTTATTTTGCTCATTATTTGATGCAGTTTATTCCTAGCATTGATGATCTTCACAATTTGGCATGTTTTTGCAGTGGCTGGTACCGGTTGTTCCTTTCCATGTTTAGTGCTTCCTTCAGGAGCTCTTGTAAGGCAGGCTCAGTGGTGACAAAATCTCTCAGCATTTTTCTGTAAAGGATCTTATTTCTCCTTCACTTATGAAGCTTAGTTTGGCTGGATATGAAATTCTGGGTTGAAAATTCTTTTCTTTAAGAATGTTGAATATTGGCCCCCATTCTCTTCTGGCTTTTAGAGTTTCTGCTGAGAGATCCGCTGTTAGTCTGATGGGCTTCCCTTTGTGGGTAACCCAACCTTTCTCTCTGGCTGCACTTAACATTTTTTCCTTCATTTCAACTTTGGTGAATCTGACAATTATGTGCCTTGGAGTTGCTCTTCTTGAGGAGTATCTTTATAGTGGTTTCTGTATTTCCTGAATTTGAATGTTGGCCTGCCTTGCTAGGTTGGGGAAGTTCTCCTGGATAATATCCTGAAGAGTGTTTTCCAAC
Source organism: Homo sapiens (assembly GCF_000001405.40). Classification (NCBI taxonomy): domain Eukaryota; kingdom Metazoa; phylum Chordata; class Mammalia; order Primates; family Hominidae; genus Homo; species Homo sapiens. Next base: position 14,599,341 of record NC_000011.10, read on the forward strand.
TTGGCTCCATTCTCCCCGTCACTTTCAAGTACACCAATCAGACATAGATGTGGTCTTTTCACATAGTCCCATATTTCTTGGAGGCTTTGTTCATTTCTTTTTACTCTTTTTTCTCTAATCTTGTTTTCTCACTTTATTTCATTAATTTGATCTTCAGTAACTGATACCCTTTCTTCCACTTGATCACATTGGCTATTGAAGCTTGTGCATGCATCACGAAGTTCTCGTACCATGGTTTTCAGCTCCATCAGGTCATTTAAGGTCTTCTCTCTGCTGTTTATTCTAGTTAGCCATTTGTCTAATCTTTTTTCAAGGTTTTTAGCTTCCTCGAGATGGGTTTGAACATCCTCCTTTACCTCGGAGAAGTCTGTTATTACCGACCTTCTGAAGCCTACTTCTGTCCACTCATCAAAGTCATTCTCTGCCCAGCTTTGTTCCGTTGCTGGCTAGGAGCTGTGTTCCTTTGGAGGAGAAAAGGCACTGTGAGTTTTAGAATTTTCAGCTTTTCTGCTCTGGTTTCTCCCCATCTTTGTGGTTTTATCTACCTTTGGTCTTTGATGTTGGTGACCTACAGATGGGGTTTTGGTGTAGATGACCTTTTTGTTGATGTTGATACTATTCCTTTCTGTTTGTTAGTTTTCCTCCTAACAGTCAAGTCCCTCAGCTGCAGGTCTGTTGGAGTTTGCTGGAGTTCCACTCCAGACCCTATTTGCCTGGGTGTCACCAGCAGAGGCTGCAGAACAGCATACATTGCTGTCTGGTCCTTCCTCTGGAAGCTTCGTCCCAGAGAGGCAGCCACCTATATGAGGTGTCTGTTGGCCACTACTGGGAGGTGTCTCCCAGTTAGGTTACACGGAGGTTAGGGATCCACTTGAGGAGGCAGTCTGTCCGTTCTCAGAGCTCAAACGCTATGCTGGGAGAACCACTGCTCTCTTCAGAGCTATGAGACAGGGACGTTTAAGTCTGCAGAAGTTGTCCGTTGCCTTATGTTCAGCTATGCCCTGCCCACAGAGGTGAAGTCTAGAGGCAGTAGGCCTTGTTAAGCTGTTGTGGGCTCCGCTCAGTTCGAGTTTCCCACCGCTTTTTTACCTACTCAAGCCTCAGCAATGGTGGATGCCCCTCCCCGAGCCAGGCTGCTGTCTCGCAGATCAATCTCAGACTGCTGAGCTAGCAGTGAGCAAGGCTCTGTGGGTGTGGGAGCCGCCGAGCCAGGCACGGAAGAGAATCACCTTGTCTGCTGGTTGCTAAGACCTTGGGAACAGCACTGTATTTGAGCGGGAGTGTCCCATTTTCCCAGGTAGTCTGTCATGGCTTCCCTTGGCTAGGAAAGGGAAATCCCCTGACCCCTTGTGCTTCCCAGGTGAGGTTATGCCCCACCCTGTTTCTGCTCGCCCTCTGTGGGCTGCACCCACTGTTCAACCAGTCCCAGTGAGATGCACCAGGTACCTCAGTTGGAAATGCAGAAATCACCCATCTTCTGCGTCGATCCTGCTGGGAGCTGCAGACAGGAGCTGTTCCTATTTGGCCATCTTGGAATGCTCCAACATTTCTTTATTTCTGGCTTTCACATTGGCATTCTTTCCCACTTTTGTGTAGTTCCAATTTTTTGTTTAGTATTCTTATGTGTTTTTTTTAAAACCAAATATCTTGGAAGCACTGTTAAAGAAATTAAAGTTTAGACAGGGAAACAAATCACTCATTCCCAGTAAATAGCATTATGTCATGCATTATTCCATTTTAGAAATTCAGCTTTGACTCCCTATTTCAGGTGACTGCCAGTTGGCTATTTCAGGAGTAAGGAGCCAAACATCATTTACACAAGCAACATGCACGGGGTCTTGCAACACAAATGGGTCAGTGCTAACTCAAGGGTGCTGCCTAAACTGGGGGGAGTGGGACTTGTGTTGGAAACAAACATGAGAGGAGTAGCTGACAGATCAATGGTGTAATACTGGAGTAAAAATCCCCAAACTACTACAGACAAGGATTTTAGGGATTCTTTCCTGTTCCTAAACTAAGTTCTAGCCTCCTGGATGCCCAGCTACATAACTATCCCTGGGTCTGGGATGAAATTTGCACTTGAAACCCACCAAAGGCTGCCGTTCTTCCACCTCAAAACACAAATCTAGCTACCTGCATTATTGCCTGAAAGCCTCTAGATATGGCCTGGAGAAGATGTAAACTCTCTCCGACTCAGTCTCTTGAGCTGGTAACTCTGGGTGAATGGAGGCTTAATGTAAATAGAACAAGGGGTTCTTCGTGATCACATAATCCTGTCTACATGCTCACTTTGGGGAAAATCAGGATGTCATGGGCTTCAGAATCAGAGTTTAAAAGATTTATAGATGCCTTAAGAAGCAAAAGTGAACACCCTTACTCCCAACTCCATGAACTTGCTCAGGTAACTTGTCCGAGGCCATATATCTAGTAAGTGAAAGAATGAGATTAAAATCCAAGTTGTCTAACTCTCAATACCTATGTACATAACAATTTTGCTAAATGAGAATTCTGTCAAGGTCCATGCCAAATAACCTCATGCATGAGAAAATCTTGTGAAGGGCTTACTGTCAGAAAAAGGTAAGGATATCAATGTTTACCCGCACCCTTCACCATTCTCCACCTTTAACGTCTACCCTAAATTTAGTCAATCCTCTCATTCTTTACATAGAGCCCTCATTGGTTCCTCACTATAGATTCATGGCTTCATACTTCACACCCAGCATAGCACACATGCATAAGTGGGTCCTAGCTCCGGCTCAGTAGAACCATCTATAATGGCACATCTATTTTTTAGATCCCTCCCATTAGAGCAAGAGGATCCAGCAGGATGGAGAAACTCATGAACACTAAATTACAATTGGAGAGGGAATTTCAGTTATGTGATAGAGACCGTTTCCCAGAACTAGACACCTGGGCAAAACTGTCTTGGCCATGAAAAGGCTGAGCTATCACCAAGCTTTTTGGGAGTAGCAAGGAAAACTGTCTCATTTATCACCACCTCTTTGGGACATTTGTTTGGGAGAAAAGAGTGGACTTTGTTTTATATTATCTTCCTTGACCTGGTACATTCATTGGGTGGAGAGCTCTGGGCCAGGCTTTCCAGCTCCTTTTAGACTTCCAGAGGTATGAAAAAAAAATCATAGTAATAGAAACTGATTTCTATATATGTATATGTATATATATTATTTTTCTTGTAATTTTACAGTCTACAAAGTGTATGAAATTTGACCTTTTTTTGATGGGAGGAGTAGAAAGTCATGCTCATAATCTTGGAGTAGCCTTTTGGAAGGTACTAAAAATGGCTGTTGGCGGTGATAAAGTTTAAATAAATAAACTTGGATGTGCAAGACAAGAGGCTGCAGATACTGGTCTAAAGTGCAGGTAAATATATAGAGAAAGGCAGAACCCAGCCTGCATTGAGTACTAACTGAATTTACACTGAAAGCAGGAACAAAGATGGTGAGTGTTTCTCATGGATTAGGTGTGGGCTCAGCAGACCTGGAGCCATTTCAGATTTCACGTGAGTTCCGCTCAGAAAGATCAAGTGACCCCAATACAGGATGGGTTCACCTGATTTCCATGGCTGTGCGGGGAGACATAAGTAACCAGTTGAAGGTCAATGTTTCACCCACACTATAGATGTGGGGGTTTGATGTGGGGGCTTCCAATGTACCCATGAAAGCAACTGTGAGAAGAATCATCAGCTTGGAACATCAGCCAGAAAGAGCTGGCTTTAAATATTTGCCACAGCTAGAGGTAACCAACGCAAAATTACATTGGTGCCAGTCAGGTAAGACATTTCCTGCTCCCTCTTATTCCTCTCACTGTTTTAACCCTGGAGGATCCAGAGGCAGCCTGATGGTGAGTAAGGAAGGAGAAGTAATTCACCAGGTAGGTAAAGAGAGATGAAGCCAGCTAAGCACCCCTCTTCCACTGTAAGCACTTTGTTAAGGGGAGAAATTTTAAATGAAATTTGGAACTTTGACTCTCACACTTAAATTACTGAACTTTTAATTAACAAAAGAGGACTATCCATATGACGAGATGTAATCAGATGACTTTATTATCTAGGAGTGATCTGCTCTAGATTTCTTTCAAGCAAAGGACCACTTCCTCCTCAAAATGGGCAATGAGGAGAGATGGAAAAGTTGTTTTTTATTGCACCCGATGAGTCCACTGACTCAAAGTGCTTAGGTGTGTGTCACAGTGTTTTGTGCTGAATTTTCCTGTTATTTGCAAGGGTTCTAATACCTTACAAAATATTCCATGCACAGACTAAACATCAAATATTCCTAGCTAATTATTCAAGTAAGACAAAGATGGAAATTATTAGGCTTACTAAAAGCAGCAAATATTTAGCTTCAGTAGATTCTTATTGGACTTAAGCTGGTTGACTGTTTAATTACAAATTCAAGAAACAAATTAAGTATTTATACAAAATGCAGAAATGTAGTGACAGGGAAAACAGATCTATAAAATTATGAATTGGAAATCAGTATCAAGAAATATTCCAGGAATTCAAATACAAAGAGAAGTTTTAATTCCATAGATCTGGTGACAGGGATACAGCTTGTGGCTTGATTCCTTTACAAGAGAAAAAAGACTGATGCTTAACTCTCTTTTGAGAAAGTTAGCATATAGTCTTCTGTTGGATCCCTACAAAATACTCTGAAAATCATTCTTAGCAAACTCTTCCCACCATTAAAATACATTTCTTCTAACTACTAAATGTCCTTTCCAGTAAGCTGAGAGAGGTAGAGTTTGAAGTAAATATTCATATTCATTCTTAGCTCACTGCAGCCTCCACCTCCTGGGTTCAAGTGATTATCCTGCCTCAGCCTCCTGAGTAGCTGGGATTACAGGCATATGCCACCACGCCCGGCTAATTTTTTTGTATTTTTAGTAGAGACAGGGTTTCACTATGTTGCCCAGGCTGGTCTTGAACCACTGACCTCAAATGATCCACCCACCTCGGCCTCCCAAAGTGTTGGGATTACAGATGTGAGCCACTGTGCCCAGCCTAATTCTACTTTCTTGACTGTTATATTCTGTAGAATATATGTGACATCTCTATATTCAGGCCTTTCTAGGGCCCCAATGCAAAGATAAAAATATTTGGGGCACATGCAATTTTAGTCCATTCCTTGTAATATGCTAGAGGTCACATGAGAAAAAAAGGTAGTTAGAAGTTAGATTTTTCTTGAAATCACCTCTTTTTAAAAATTAATTATTTTCAACTTTTTTGAGTTAGAGGTACATGTACAGGTTTGTACCTGAATATATTATGTGATGCTGAGGTTTGGGGTATGAATAATCCCATCATCCAGGTAAGGAGTATAGTACCTAATAGTTTTTCAACCCTTGCCCCCTTCCCTCCCTCCTTCCTCTGGTAATTCCCAGAGTCTACTGCTGCCGTCTTTATGTCCATAAGTACCCAATGTTTAGCTCCTACTTATAAGTGAGAACATGTGGTAATTGGTTTTCTCTTCTTGTGTTAATTTGCTTAGGATAATGACCTCTAATTGCTGCAAAGAACATGAGTTCATCCTTTTATGGCTGTGTAGTATTCCATGGGTTATTATATGTACCACATTTTCTTTATCCAATCCACCACTGATGAGCATCTAGGTTGATTCCATGTCTTTGCTATTGTGAATAGTGCTGTGATGAACATGAGAATACATATGCATTTTTGGTAGAAGAATTTATTTTCTTTTGGATATATACCTAGTAATGGGATTGCTAGGTTGAGTAATAGTTGTTTTAAGTTCTTTGAAAAATCTCCAACTGCTTTCCACAGTGGCTGAACTAATTCGCATTCCCATCAACAGTGTATAAGTGCTCCCTTTTCTCTGAAGCCTTGCCAACAGCTGTTGTTTTTTGACTTTTAATAATAGCCATTATGACTGGTGTGAGATGGTATATCACTGCAGTTTTGATTTGCATTTCTCTGAGGATAGCGATGTGGAGCATCTTTTCATGTTTCCCAGCCACTTCTGTGTCCTCTTTTGGGAAGTGGTCTGTTCATGTCTTTTTTGTCCATTAATTTTTTTATTTTTTTGAGACAGAGTCTCACTCTGTCACCCAGGTTGGAATACAACGGCGTGATCTTGGCTCACTGCAGCCTCAATCGCCCAGGCTCAAGTGATCCTCCCATCTCAGCCTCCCAAGTAGCTAGGACTACAGGCATGCAACACCATGCCTGGCGCTAACTTTGTTTATTTTTTATAGAGACGGGGTCTCACTATGTTGCCCAGGCTGGTCTCAAACTCCTGGAATCAAGCAATTCTCCTGCCTCAGCCTCCCAAAGTGCTGGGATTATAGGCATGAGCTACTGTGCCTGGCTTCTTTTGCCTATTTTTAATTAGGGTTATTTGTTTTTTGCTTGTTCAATTGTTTAAGTTCCACATAGATTCTGGATATCAGACTTCTATTGGATGCATACTTTGCAAATATGAAAATATTCACGTTTTCTCCCAACGTGTAGGTTGTATGTTTACTCTGTTGATAGTTTCTTTTGCTATGCAGAATCTCTTTAGTTTAATTAGGTGTCACTTGTCAATGTTTGCTTTTGCTGTAATTGCTTTTTAGAACGTCATAAATTCTTTCCCAAGGCCAATGTCTAGAATGGCATTTCCTTGATTTTCTTCTAGAATTCTTCTAGTTTCTGGTCTTACATTTAAATTTTTAATCCATCTTGAGTTAATTTCTGTATATGGTAAAATGTAGGGGCTCAGTTTCATTGCCCTGCATATGGCTAGCCAGCTATCTCAGCACAATTTATTGAATAGAGAGTCCTTTCCTCATTGCTTATTTTTGTCAACTTTGTTGAAGATTAGATGGCTATAAGCGTGCAGCTTTATTTCTGGATTCTCTCTTCTGTTCCATTGGTCTATGTGTTTCTGTACCAGTACCATGCTGTTTTGGTTACTGTAGCTTTATAGTATAGTCTGAAGTTGGGAAATGAAATCACCTCTTTTCAGGATGATCACCTGGGCCCAGGGAGGTCAAGGCTGCAGTGAGCTGTGTTCACACTGCTGCACTCCAGTCTAAGCTACAGAGTGAGACCCTGTCTGAATGAAAAAGAAAAAAAGAAAAAAAAAAAAAGAATCTGTTTTGAAATATTTGTCAAGACCCTCAGGGAGAGATTTCAAATGTAACAATTTAATAGTTTAAAAACCTTAAAAATCCAGGATAAATAAATGCAGGCCTACAGGACCAAACCTTATCAAAACTACTGATGTATTCAGTAATTGGATGTTTCTAATTCATGTGCATCAAAAGCCTTTATCATGAAACAGAGCTATAAAAAGAAATGGCAACATTAAAAAGCAGAGAGGCTAAGGACTTTTTCTTGATTTTTAATTCTGACATTTATTAGCTGTATAATCTTGTAGAAGTTGATACACCTGTTTTCTGCTAGGTAAAAAGGGAATATAGTATCTTCTCTCCACTGGAATTCTGTATCAATTATAAGGCAAAAAGGAAAAAATAAATAGCAGTCACAATATCACCTGATAAGCTGCTAAAGGCCAGAATTGAGGATGTGGCTTAGATGTGTGGGAATAATAGGCTTACTGACACATAGCCCCAGGCATACAGACCAGCTGGACCTGCTGGTCTCCCTGTGCAGGAGCCTGCCCCTGTAAAATATATGATATAGAGGAACAGAATAGAGTGCATACTCTCTGTGGATATTATGTTAAAATGAAGGAGGAAGGAGCTGAGATGAGCATTGTAAAATTCTTCTTCCAAACTTATCAATAAGGAAAGTCACCAGTGTTTCCCTGGGGAGGAGTGAGAGAGGTTGGCAGAGAGCCGACAGGAGTATTGTGCCAGTGAAGCTCTTTCCACAAGGAAAGAAACACTGGAGTAGAGGAAAAGTTTTAGCTCTGAACATTTCCCAGACTCTAATTCTTTTAATACATTGGGCTTGACCATTTAGCCTATATTCCATCAAGCTGTAGCTATCCTCTTGTGGAGAAGAGATCAGCAGACTATCAAGATAATTCTATTCTTACTTTCACAAGGCTGTTCTCCTAACACTAATTGTGATGCTCTGTGGGTCCTCCTGGTACTGTCCAGGGTTGCTTCTGACCCCAGAATGCTCTGAAATAGGCCAGAGTAATACATTAGATAAATTAACTTGTAGGCAACATTGTACCCCTGGCTGAAAATCAATTTCCCACCCCAGATGATGTCTAGCCAAGTTGTCCTATTATATAGTATGTAACTTTGGGTCCACTGAGAAGCAGACGCCAAGAAAGGATGAGAAATGGAAGAGATTTATTGGCAGGGGGAGCAGGTGAAGGCAGGGAATGCCTCCAAAGCATGGTGTAGGTCTGACATCTGTGCAAGAAGAGAGGGAAGGAAGGACAACTGGGTAGGAAGAATCTTAGACTGCAATGCAGCAGTTCTTAGAAAGGTTAAACCTGGCTGATGGAAAATCCTTCAGCCAAAGTTCCTTGTTGGAAGAGTTCTATTTCACTGGAATGGGCATGTTTTAGTACCCTAGTCATCTTCAGTCATTGGTAGAAGCAGCTAGCAGGAAGTGTGGCCTCAGTGTGAACATGATGATGGGTCCAGAGGCCATCAGTCCATTATGATCCTCACAGCAGGAAGTGTGAGCAGTGGATTTTCATGGATGTAACATGTATATAGCCCATCAGAAGTTCTACAATGGCACTGAATGACAGCATAAAAATACCCCAATAATAGTGTATATAACAAGGCAGGCACAGTGGCTCATGCCTGTAATCCTAGTACTTTGGGAGGCTGAGGTGGAAGGATCACTGAGGCCAGGAGTTTGAGACCAACTTGGGCAACATGGTGAGACTTCATCTCTACAAAAAATTTAAAAATTGGCCAAGCTTGCTGGCATGTGCCTGTAGTTCCAGCTGCCTGGGAGACTGAGGCAGGAGGATCTCTTCAGCTCAGGTGTTGGAGGCTGCAGTGAGCTATGAGCCTGGGTGCACTTAAGCCTGGGTCATACAGCGAGACCCTGTCTCTATTATATATATATATATAAAATGGACACAGGAAGGGGAACATCACACACCAGGGACTGTTGTGGGGTAGGGGGAGCGGGGAGGGTTAGCATTAGGAGATATACCTAATGCTAAATGACGAGTTAATGGGTGAAGCACACCAACATGGCACATGTATACATATATAACAAACCTGAACGTTGTGCACATGTACCCTAAAACTTAAAGTATAATAATAATAAAATTTAAAAAAGGCAAAAAAAAATTTTATATATATAAAATATGATTATATATGTTAAAAATATATAATTATATGAATATAAAGCAAGATCCTGTCTGTATTTTATACATATAAAACATATATGATTATATATGTTAAAATATATAATTATATATAATATAAAAGTATACATATTATGTATAAAATATATAAAATAATAAGATGCTTCACATCTGAATATAGACTTCTTCCCATTATCAAATTCCAGGGAGAAATTACAGTAAAAAATATTAGATTCCCTTGCAAGTTAAGTCTAAATAAGTTAAAACCCAAAGAGATTAAAGCCCTAAATCAAATTCTTTTGACTTTATGAGTTAAAGTTTAAAAAAATTAAAGTACAAAACTTGTCTTTCCTCATTTCTTACTCTACTCAGTCCTGGTCAAGAGAAGGCAGATGTGGTGTTCGTTTCCCTCAGTAGCGCAGTTCCTAGAATGGATGCAGTTCCTTCAAGAACTCAGAATTTGTTTTCATGATCCCCACTTAATAAAATAAAGTCCAAAGAATTCCTAGAACATACTGAATTATAAGAGTTCTAGCTCAGTCACTATGCAATTTGGAAAGCAAGCTAATCCCTAGATTGTAATGTTGATACTATAGGAAAATTATGGTTCCAGATCACATCACTTGGTGAGTCCAAAGACCATATCAAAGTTATCTGCATAACGATAGGTGGATGGAGATAATCCAGGCTTGTCTCATCAGGATTCATTCATTCATTCATACTGCAAATAATTACTGAATACCTACTATGTATCAGGAGATATTCTAGCAGCTAATAAAACAGACAAAGATTCTTGCCTTCATGGAGCAAAATTGCATTCTTTTGGGGAAGACCTTTTTTAAATAAGATAATTAAATATTTAACATATTAGTGACATGATAAGGAGAAAAAAATAAAAGAATGGAGTTATGAGATGTTGAGAGGGGATTAGAATTTTAGCTAGGAGAGCCAGGGAGACTATTTTGAATAAAAACCTAGAGGATGTTAAAGAGCAAGCCATGTGCCTATGTAGTGAATGATCATTTTAGGGTGGAGGAAATAGCAAATGCAAAAACAGGAGGCAGGAGTATTCCTGGAGTGTTTACAAAACAGCAAGGAATCCTATGTGGCTGGAGTGCAGTGAGCAAGGTGAAGAGTGATGAGATGAGATCAGGGGGATACAGAGGGCAGACCATGTAGTGTTCATTCTGATGAGATAGGAAGCCAGTGCAGGGTACAGAACAAGGTACTGACTTGAATTAACACGATCACCTGGATGCTTTGCTGAGAAGAGACTCTAAAGGGTAAGTGCAGCAGCAGGAAGACCATTTAGGAAACTGTTGCAATAATCTAAAGAAGACATGATTGTGGCTTGGACCAATGTGATAGCAGGGGAGGTGACAAATGGTTGGGTTTCTGGATACAGTTTGGTGGCAGTCACAGCCAATTTTCAGGAGTCAGGAAATTGTGAGCTTAAACTCAGTTGGGAGAAGTCAGCCATCAAGAAGTTAATCTTTTACTTCCAATATCAGAGGAAGAGCCACTTCTGCATACTATCTGCTTTCTCAGAGAGCGGCATTTGCAACACCTCTGGGTTCTACAAAAGTTTAAAAATCTTCACATGATGGCAGCCCCAATTAATGTTTTACTCAAAGTGCCTTTCCTTTATAACATATTCAAATCCTCTTAATTTTATTTTCCCATTGAGTCTCATGTTTCTGGCACCCCATGCTGATAAGAGTGGGGCTGTGTCTAGTGACACAGCCTCCGAAGATGTCTTATGAACAGGTATCTCAATCCTGTGCCACAGAGGCTATTGCCTGTACCTCTTGCTATAGCCTAAGACCTGCCTCCTGCTTCCTACTATTGTAATCACCCTCAGCAGAGACGTGAATTAAAGCTGCTTTGGAAACATGTACTCCTTTCAGTCTAGTGAGTGTCTACACCTATGTCATGTACTACATAAGACCTTATCTTGTCTTCACTTTGAATGTCACAAGCCTTGAGTGGCATTTCTTTCAGTTACATTTTTTTTCTCTGCAGGAAAGGGTTAAGCCTCTAGTGTTATATATCCCTCCTTTGTCCCATGACTATTTTTCAGAAAGGTTCATCTGATTTTATGATAATTCACCTTGTAACTTAGGTTAATCCCTTTCTTTTTGTGCCTATGACAAGGCTGGTATGATTTGCTGGATTTGAGCATCTTCTTTCCTTTGCTTTCTTACACAGACATTTTTCTTTTTTTCTCTTTTTGTTTTCTAGCCTAGAGATGCGTTTTTCTCACATGCTCCTCTAGGTTTTGTTTTGTGGGGGCTCACATAGTGAGATGTGAAATCTATGCATTCTGTGTTTTATCAAAAAGCAAAGATATTCTCACCTTCACCTTGCTGAGCTGCATAACATTTCCAGGAGACAGTCACCTAGTAGACCAACATACAACATAGGTCTGGATTTGACTTGTCATTGTCTTTTCCCAGCCTTGGAGGGCCAAGGCCTTTACCACTCTGCTACTGGCCTTGCTGAGAGCTGACCATGAATACATGCTTTTTGCAGGGTGGAATACCTGAAAGACAATGGAGAAGGTAAAAGGAACATGAGTTATATTAGATCTTCATCAGACATCCTGTTCCTCATCTCAAACTCACCAAACTCTCTTCTCCTCTCCTGGGGGTAAGTAGATACAGGCCAGGAGAGTTACTCTAATGGATGTTCCCCACGTGGAGGGAAATATCAAAAGTGAGGAATAAGTGCCTCCCCAGGAAAGTATATAAAATACTTAGCACAGTCCTTAAAATGAGGTTAGTGGTCAATAAATGTTAACAATTATATAGCAAAAGAATTGAAAAATTGAGATGAAAATTAGCTATGTTCTGTGCATAGCTAAAGTGGAAAAGTATAAATAGTAGAGCTAGGGCAACAAAACAAATTCTACAATGAAGGATTTTTTGTTTCTCAGTTTTTAGAGTAAAACTCTATGCCTTAAACTGTCCTTAAAATCATCTATGAATACAGCCTGTCTCCGATATGGAACCGGCCTCTTGACAAATGAATACAATTAGGTCAGGTGTGCATTTTTTTGTTGGATCCCAGGACCACAGAATTGGGTTAATCCTAATCTTTGGTAATGACACATACTCCTCACTAGATTGTTCCTTCCTTTCCTCCTTCCCACCCTCCCTTCCATGCTCTCTCTCTCTTCTCTCCTTCTCTCCCTTTCTGCTCTGCCATCTTCCCAACTTTGTCTCTTTTCAAGGGAGTCTTGTAACATTGATACCTTATTTTGAGTGGAATAGAACTTTTGGATTCTCCAGCCTCTATCCCCTTCCTTTCCCAGGCAATTGTCTTTATTTGTGCTGAGTTTGGAGTTGGAATAAACACTGAAAGTGACAGACTTGCCACATCTGGAGGAAAAAACAGCTGTTTTTTGGTTTCCCCCAAAATTGTAAGTGCATCTCTAAAGCTGAAAGGAAGTGCATGGTTTTGACTCAAACTCTGCCCTGTTTGCCAGCCCCAGGGAGTCTTGGTTGAGCTAGGAGGAATGTAACAAAACCTGACAACAGACAAGTATGATGTGGTGTGAAGTTTTATTATGAAACTTATGTGTAGTTCTGCTTTTCACCCAGTTGTGTCATAGGAAAACAAAACATTCATTTCAGTTTTTGCTAACCATGGTGTTTAGAATAGCAGAAAAATATAATTTGTATTTAAATATTATGTAGTGTAACACACAATTCTCATAAGATGTTGAAATTGTAGTATGTATTGATTCATAAGTCAGTTTTAAACTATTTCCTTACTTTCCTTCAATTGAAAGTATGATCATATATGTATTATCGTGTACAATATATCTATATAAAATATATACATTTAAAACAGGAAAGAGACATTTAATTATCATATAAGCAGTTTATCTGCATTAAAGAAACATTAGATAAAGCAGAAAATTAGAAAAAAAATGTATGGAGCAGTTTCTTAATTCATTCTACTAGCAACTGATATTGTGCTAGGTGAAAAGAAAAATACATAGATGACTAGGACATAGACTGTACCCTCTAGGAAAGAGATATAAATAAAATATTTTTTAAATATTCAACAGAAATTTAAAATTTGTCAAGCATTTTTAGTATCCTCTGTATCTTCCTGCTACCTTTAACTTAGTCATTTAGAGTAGGCTATGTTTACCCAGAGATCATATGATCTGTGGGTGACTGGGCCTGGTCATAATTTAACTTGAGGTCCAGTCCTCTTTAGACCATGTGCCTATACTTCCTTCCTTAGAAAGGGCAGGAGTTAGGAAGAAATCTTTCCATTTATTTTGTGGGCCGGGCGGGCTGGGCAGATGAGTGATAAAAGATGCAGTGTCAATGGTGCCCATTGAAGACAAGGAACTACATTAAGATGGAGATAGGGAAGGAACATGGTTATGCAGTGTATTAATGACTCATTCCAAATTTCACTGGATGGACAACCACCAAAGCAGAACATTTTTTCTAAAGTTATTTTGAATAGAGGATTTTAACAAATAAAGTCTGTAATAAAGTTAATAATGTAAAATACAGTAATAAAGTCAATAATTTTAAATAGGTTTATTAAGTCACATATTGGTCATGTATAAAGTTAGGAGTTAAAAATCAATTTTTTTTTAAAAATTGAGATGGAGTCTTGCTCCAGGGAGGCAGAGGTTGCAGTGAGCCGAGATGGTGCCCAGGCTGGACTGCAGTGGCACCATCTCGGCTCACTGCAACCTCTGCCTCCCAGGTTCAAGTGATTCTCATGTCTCAGATTCCCAAGTAGCTGGGATTACAGGTGTGCACCAACATGCCCAGCTAAATTTTTTGTATTTTTAGTAGAGACGGGGTTTCACCATGTTGGCCAGTCTGATCTCAAACTTCTGACCTCAGGTGATCTGCCCACCTCGGCCTCCCAAAGTGCTGGGATTATAGGCGTGAGCACTGTGCCCAGCCAAAAATCAACTGGTTCTACTGTGCCTCATTATGTGGTATTAAGGACAGACTTCCATTGGTTTCAGATAATCAGAACTATATTTCTGAGATTTCAAAATAATTATGTAGGAAATTACACAAAAGAAGTAAAGTAGTGAAACCCTATACCTGTGCTCATTTTATACAGCAAAGAACTGGAAGAACAGTATTTCAGTTCTTTTTAAGTAAGGTGGTTGAGGCCTCTGGACACAAAGGAGAAACAGGCAGTTGTCTAAATAATTCTGGCATCTTCCACAAATGAAACAAAAGTAGACCATTTGTAATTCTCTTGATTACAGTTTTTCATACATTTATATATGAATATCACATTTATAACAAAATCAAAATTACTTTATCACACTCTGCTGCTTTCATTTATCCTTCTACCTATCCATTCATCCAGTAAATATTTATATTGAACTTACTATGAGAAAAGAACTCTGCTTGTCACAGTATTATCAAATGTCTCAGTTGAAGAACAATTGCATGTCACTGGGATATGGGTTTAAATAATAAAATGAAGCTTTCATGGAAAATTTGGATATTATTTACAAAATAACCAAGTGTTAAATATAACAAGCAAACAGTACTCAGTTTTAAAAACTGAGGGTTGTTTGTTTTTTTAAAAAATACTCCTAAACTACCATGCAATTCTGAGTTAGGAGTTTCTATTATTAACAAACAGATGAAAAACTCTCCCCTGGTAAGAAGTGTCATCAGTGGATTTATTTCTAACTCTGTGGTTTATTTCATTATATGATGAGTAACATTTTTTCCTTTGTTACAGAGGTTGAGAAAAATTTGGTGAATATGTTTCATATAAGCTGAAAAAAAAAACCCCAAATAATGAATTGTTCTTCTTCAGACTGTATATCTGGCTCCTAGATCTCTCTTCAGAGCCTGGCCTTCTACTGTTCATTGCCAACTAGATATTTCTGTTAGTGATCCATAGGCATAATAAACTCAGTACGCAGAAAGATGAAATCCATGCAGTCTCACACAAAGCTACTCTGCTTGAATTTTCTCTCCTAATTAATAGTACCACCATCGATCTAGTTTCTCAAGCTAGAAATTTGATTCTCATCTAGAGCCTGCCTTTTTCTGCATTCCTCATAGTTACTAGGTCATCCAGTTCTGTTCATTAAATCTTCAGAAAATGCCTAGAATCTTTGCTTCCTTATCACTGCCACTGCTTTAGTTCCATTCACCTTTATCTTGCCTGGACTATGGCAAAGATCCCCAAAATGATCTTCCTGCCTTTAGTCTTTCAGTACTCTAGTCCATCCTTTACACTGCCATTGGAGGGATCTTTTTCTAACTTAAACTATGCTCATGTCACTCTCTTTCTCTGAAAGTTTCTGAGCGGATCCTCATTAACTACAGGATCGAGTCCAGTCATTTTAGCATGGCACTTAAGAGCCTTTATAATCTGATCCTAACTTTTCTTTTCAGACCCATCTCTCCAAAAGCATCATGTGCTTCTGCCAAATGGGATTGCTTGTCTGAATATATAGCCCATGCAAGTTCTTTTGTATATCTATGAGATATTGACAATGCTATCCTTTTGCCTAAAATGTCTTATTCACTTCTCTATTTGGTAAACCCCTACTTATCCTTCAGTGCCTATCTCAAATATAACCTCCTTTAAAAGGTCTTTTATGAAATCTTAAGAAAGTGTTAGTCCCTTCGCTTCTGTGCTGGGTTGTTCTTTGCTGGCCACTTGAGATCCCCTCTCCAGCATTCTCTACTTGCCCTGCGTCCTCAGAGGTTGACCTCTTTGGATGACAGTAACAGGTTTCCTTGTCCTCTGACTTTCTGGTAGATTTGAACAGTGGGACACGCTGAAAGAAACTCAGAGGACAGAAGAGTACAATTGTAATATTTTCCTACATCCCTCTCTTCCAGGCCTTGGATTGGCAGGGGCTGCATTACCTGAAACAGAGTTCCTGTGAGGTAGCTCTCTCCTATAGCTTGCTTTCTGAAGTTTGGTAATAGCTCTTTCCCTTTGTTTCTTCAGGCCTAGGTGTAGGAGCAATTTTCACTGTTGATGCTTCACTGTCCTTAACTGCCTATACCTTTGTAAATAAATTCCTTATTAAACTCTCTTTAATCACTCCTTTTCAGTATGCCATCTGTTTCCTGTCCTGACTGGTCCACTTCTGTGGTACCATTTAGATCTCTTTTTAACTGTACTTAATACTTTGTATTCCAATTGTTTTAGCCTACCTGTTTGTTTCCCTCATTGAACTCCTGAAAGGCAGATCTGAATCCAGGGAAAGAATCATTGTGACTAGGTGGGAAAGAGCCTTCTCTTCCTAGGAGGGTTTTGCAAAGACCGCAGTAGGACACGCAGAGGCCAGAGCAAGAGGGGATCTCTAGAATGTGCAGATAACCTGAGGGACATGGGATTAATCTTTGAGAATCAAGTAAAGAGCTGCCTGCCTGCCTTACCCATGGAAATCAGAGGCATCAACCTCAAACCAATTTGGGCTGAAGTCTGAGATGCTTGGCCTGGCATCTGGCACCTACTGATACAATCTTCCAAATTTCATCCAGTAAAGAGCCAAGAACTATAAACAAAAGGGCAACGACTGTAAGAACTGTGTAAGATTTCTTAAACTTCCCTAACTATTGGAGGTGAGAGTTGGAGGATCCCAACAGTTTTTTTTTTTTTTTTTTTTGAGACAGAGTCTTGCTCTGTCACCCAGGCTGGAGTGCATGGTGCCATCTTGGCTCACTGCAACCTTCACCTACCAGGCTCAAACTATTCTTGTGCCTCAGCCTCTGAGTAGCTGTGATTACAGGCAAGCACTACCATGCCCGGCTAATTTTTATACTTTTAGTAGGGATGGAGGTCTCACCATGTTGGCTAGGCTGGTCTCGAACTCCTGACCCAAATGATCTGCCTGCCTCGGCCTTCCAAAGTGCTAAGACTACAGGTGTGAACCACTGTGCCCGATCAGATCCCAATAAATATTAATAACACTTTTTCCTGCTTGAGTTTTCAACAAATTGAGAAATAAGATTACAATAGATAAAGGTTAAAATAATAATAATAGTAATGATAGCTCAAACTTCTGGAGAAGTTATTTTGTAACAGGCACTGTTCTATGTGCTTTAGATATGTTAAATCACTTAATCCTCACATCATCCTGTGAGTAGATACTATTAGCCCTATTTTGTAGGTGGAGAAATTGAAGCCCCAGGGAGGTTAAGCAACTGACCCAAAGTCTCATGGCTATTATTAAGTAGCAAACCCAGGGTATGAACCAGTTTGGCTCCAGAGTCTATGCACCTAACCACTACATTATATTGCCTCTTGAGAAATAACACATTTAGTACAGATTAAACTGATGGTGGAGAATGTCGTTTGTATCTATGAACAAAAGGGATTCCTAATAGTGAACCCCTAGTCACAGACAGTGCTGGACTTCTCTAGGCTTCCTTACATGAAGCCAGTCTGTGAAAAACACAGGGCATGGAAGAACAGAAGTTATCTTCTTTTCAGGCTGCCTGCTGAGAGTGGGTGTGGAGGGAGAAAATAAGGGGCTTGTGTTGCATGCCCACTTTCTTTTTTCATACTAATCAATCAGATTAAGTAATTTCTCCTTCTCTGGGAAGGAAAGAGTTGAGGGGTGGACAAAGTTTAGGGAATACCACACTAGTGGAATCTTCTCCATCTGGAAGGAAACACCAAAAATTGGGAAGGGATATTTCCCCCAATGTAGCATCCCTATATTTATTACTGTTAATTTCTTTTTTTAGTTCTCAATATCAATGCTACATTGTACTATAATCATTTGCTTGTCTGTTTCTACTTCCCCCTTCCTTCCTCAACCATGTGATTCTTAACAGCAGAAATCTTTTTCTATTAATCTCTGTTTCTCCAGTGACTGGCACAGGGTAAGCACTCAATAATTGCTTGTTAAATGAAAGAGTGAATAGACATTTCTCTCTAATTCTGAGAGAATACAGAAGTAAGAATTTAATACACACTAAGACTGTTAGCTCAGAAATAGGTTAGCTGCTTCAGAAAATCAGCTACTTGGTTTGAGTTCATCTTCAGCCTCTTTATTGTCCTTTTTTTTTGAAATATATATATACATATATATACGTATATATATATATGTGTGTGTGTGTGTGTGTGTGTGTATATGGGGTTAACAAGTGAGCTGGACAAGCTGAAAGCTTCTTACTGTTACCGCTGCTGTGACTCATGGCTTTACTGAAACTGGAATCAGGAGAGGTGTAAGGAACAACACAGCCTGGGAGCTTGGCACATACCTTGATTATTCCTTGCCTAGGAGAGAGAAGTACAGTGTGGAGGACATGGGCTTTGGTGTCAACCTGGTTTTGAAAATCTATTTTGCAACTTACTAGCTGATGACTTTGGCCAGATTATGTTTGTAGCATAGAAACTATGTTCTAGTAGTTTTTAGGCAATTTCCTTCTGTGAGGACATCATTTGCTTTTCAGAAAGATTCCCATTTGACCGCTTTTATGGAATTACTCATGCTCTAGCCTATGGCCTCCTTTTCCATTTTTGAAATATGCCTGCTTTATCTTCCAGACATCAGATTCTGCTGTCTGATAGCATGTAATTATCGAGAAATGTGATTATTCCTCTTACTTCTTTAATTTATCCTGCTTTTCTAGCTTGTGATTGTATCTCAATTAACTATTTCCTTAGTTACTGATTGACTTAATGGAATCCAGCTTCATTGACATAATTTGTGAACTTTGGCTACCACTAACATCTGTTTGAACCACAGTAGCCTGTCAAATTGCCCTGATATGTTTATTGCCTCTTCTAGAACTGCTGAAGTTTACTATCAATGGTCACTTCAAAAATGAATCAGTTATTTTAGCCTCTCAGTAGAGTTATCCAAATGTAATACATGTTTCCTTGAACAATCAAGCCTGTATGTTTTGTACCTGGTAACACATATTTCTGGGAATACTATATGGAATTATCCAAATCCTAAGCATCTAAAGGAATTGTCATTTATAAACCAGGACACAAAAATTAGTATTTTAAAGATGTCACCAAGGCCTGGTTTTCCAAAACTGAACTCCTACTGCATTACATTATAGACAAATGACAACTTGTTGTTAACTGGCTTCCATTTATTATTCCTTTCATGGTCCTACTATTCCAATGAGTTAAGTTCATACTGTTTTTCAAAGTTTGATTCACAAATTCAGAAACTATTCCCTGAAGGATACTAAACAGTAAGTAACAGTGACATTTGCTCACATTTGTGTATGATTTTACAGTTTATAAAGTATTTTTGCATCCATTTTCTCACTGGATTTAAGTTCTGTAACAGATGATCTTATACAGGCATATCTTTAAGCTACTAGAATAATAATTCTTGGGTTGATATTTTTGACATGCTGGTATATTTCTGCCTCCACAGCCATTGTGCATTCATTCATTATTCCTTCATCTAGCATGTATTGAATCTCCCTTTGTATTAAGCACTGTGCTAGAAATTCTGGAAAAAAGATGAATAAACATGGCCCTTACATTTAAGCCAGGGGGAAAGACTTAAAATTAATCAACAAAAATATGATTTAAAAATACTGTAATATAGGCTGGGCATGGCAGCTCACGCCTGTGATCCCAGCACTTTGGGAGGCGGAGGCAAGCAGATTGCTTGAGCTCAGGAGTTCAAGACCAGCCCGGGCAACATGGCGAAAACTTGCCTCTACAAAAATAAAAAAAATTAGCTGAGTGTGGTGGTGCACACCTGTGGTCCCAGCTACTTGGTAAACTGAAGTAGGGGAGCCAGGAGATCGACACTTCAGTGAGTTGAGATAGTGCCACTGAACTCCAACCTGGGTGACAGAGAGAGATCCTGTCTCAAAAAAAAAATCTGTAATATAGATTTATACCACATAAAGAGCTAAAAGAATACACGAAGAGGAGAGGTTAATTCTGGCTTAAACCTAGGGTGACTCAGCTTCAAAGAAGAGGTAATTATAAAGAAAAACAAGTAAAAGCCTGAAGAAATTAAGATTAATTTAAATTCATTTAAGTGTTTTTTATATCATATAATAGATTGCTTTCCTTGAGTGTGTGGAGACAGTATAACAGGAGCAAGAGTTGTGATGTCTAACGGGCAAAATAGGGTGTCATAATTTCAAAGAGGTTAGAAATCACTCTCTTAGTACCCTCAAAGTTTAAACACTGGATTACTCAGACCTTGTTATGTGTAATTTCTAGGTGATGAGTACTGGGAAAAATTTGTGCCAAATCAGCATAACTAAAGGGCTTTAATAGCAATCACTTACTTATCTTTATTGTAATAATCATGATAAGGTGACTATATGGCATCAGAACCTAGATAAGTATTTCCCATTTCATAAGTTAGGGCATTTTAAGTTGTATTTTTTAAGGATATTGAGCAAACACTTTTAATTCTCGTGTACCTAACAGTAAGGACAACAGTGATTTGCTTTCTTCTTGGTTATAAACACTCGTGTGTGTGTGCGTGTGTGTGTGTGTGTATGTGTATGTGTATGTTTAAAGGATGTTTTGAGCATTATAACATACCCCAAAGCTCTACCTGAGTTCTTTTTAAAAAGACAATTACAACAGAAGAAGAACAAACAGGATTTCCTCTATAACTAATATTGACTTAACTTTATAGGGTCCTAAGCCTGAACTCCTCTGTTTATTCATGAAACAGATCCAGGCTATTGGTCCATTTGAATTTATTTCCAAACTTCACAGTTCAGACTGTACAGCCAGTTTAACTCTTGGCTTTTCAGGTGACTTCACTTGCAAGGGTTATAGAAAAGGCCACAGCAGTGTTGGGATGTTGCAAAAGAAACCCATGCCCTGGCCCATAGCCCAGTAGACTAGAGTCCCTCAGCAAAAGAGAGTTTCCACTGTTTATACTTGGGAATTATCCCTGGTTTAGCCTTTGTCTCAAACCATCTGGATGTTAAAAGTGCTAATAAGCAACTGACTTACTGGAGGAATAAATTCAATCTAGTGATTCTATTCTGGAAGGCTCTGTAAAGACAGAGATACTGGCAATAAAGCAGCAAAGCAATTTCCCAAGTTTTGAGGTCGTCTAGACCTAGTTGTGAGATATTGATAACAGAGTGGCCACTGGAAATTCTTCATAGTGGCTCAACTTTTTTTGTAGATGAAAGAATTCATGTTTAGATCTTGTCCAACAACCCACTTCCTAGCTTTCTTAAAAGTAGCAAGTGTGGATTCTTTCCTAGAGACCCTGAAATTATTTCACAGCTCTCATTGTGAAAATTGTTGGGAAAGTTTTATGAGACTTGGGGTTTCCTGAGAGTTATCAAGATCATTTTAAATTTGACCACAAAGCTAATGTCAGAGAATAGCAGCTTTAAGGCCTCTCAAATCACAGTATTATACAAGAAAAAATATTCTTTTTTCTTCTAATGAAGAGTAGGGGTGTGTATGTCCTGTTATTATACCTTTTCATTTTCCTGTATTAGCTGTTACATTGACCTATGTCAGAGATGAAAACTGTGAGTGTACTTTTAATTAATTTTTATATGGAAATAGTCATTTAGGTAATGGAAAACACCATTTTTGTGAAATGGCTAGTGGGCATAATTGCACTCATTCATTTTATTTCAAGATCATGTTTTGCTTTATTAGTAAAAAGCATTTGTCAAAAATTTTAACTTTGAGATTTTTCTGAAATTATCTTTCTTTTCTTTTCTTTTTTTTTTTAATTTGAGACCCCTCCGTCACCCAGCTGGAGTGCAGTAGCACCATCATAGCTCACTGCAGCCTCAACCTCTTGGGCTCAGCCTCCAGAGTAGCTGGGACTACAGGCATGCGCCACCACCCCCAGCTAATTTTCAATGTTTTGTTTTGTTTTTTTTGTAGAGATGGGGTCCCATTATGTTGCCCAGGCTGGTCTCAAACTGCTGGGCTTAAGCTGTCCTCCCACCTTGGCCTCCTAAAGAGCTGGGATTACAGGCATGAGCCACCACATTTGGCCCTCAAAATTATCCTAAATATAGCAATGCTAGTAATGAATTGGCACATAGTAACCACCTTTTTCTCTCCACTAGCTATGAAAGTGTCTGTTTCTATAAGTAATTCTTTCTTTCCAGCTTTACAATCAGTTTTCTTTTGAGTTTTCCTTGGAAACCTCACATTCTCAGAAAAATATTGCAGACTCTTTCACTTTAAAGGCCAACACATGTCTCTCATGTTTCATTTAAACTTATGGTCAAGGAGTTAGCTTAATGTCAATCTCTCTATCATATCTGATGGTTCTCTGCGGCCTGGAAAAATACAATTGATAAGATTTACTGAATGCTTTTTATGTGCCAGACACTATTGTAAACACTTTCCATTTAGTAACTCATTTAATCCTCATAACCCTATGAGCTAGGGTCATCAGCTAAATCAACCTGTTAGTAGGCATCTTCTTGAATGTCATACTGAATTTATTAATCCATTCATAAAATACATATAGAATACCTGCTAGGTCCTAGATGCTCTAGACAGAAAAGTATGTAAGACTGGGTACCTATGCAGACTTTCAGGAGTTCGGAGTCAAGCAATTAGTAGCCCCAATTGCAGTTGCTTTGCCGGACACTGTGTGATTAATAGAACAGATTAATGAGGTCTCAGGCACATGGTATGTGGCAACTGATATGATAAATACATTCTTTTCTATTCCAATTAGAAGAGAGGATCAGAAACAGTTCACATTCCTGTGGGTTAGATAATAATTTTCAATTACACTTTTGACTTAGAGCTATGTTAATGTTCCTGCCTTCTGTCATAATATACTCTGAAGAAATCTGGACTGCCTGAACATTCGTCTGATACATTACATTGATGACATTATGCTGATTGTTTAGAATGAGCAAGAAGGCACTAGTATGCTAAAGGCCTTGGTAAGACACAGTGTTCCAGAGGGTTGGAAATAAATCCTATGAAGATTCAGGGATTTGAAACTTCAATGAAGTGTTTTAGGAATGCAATGGTCATAAACATGACAAGATATCCCCTTCAAAGTAAAAGAAAATTGCTGCATCTTGCGTGTGCCACCACAAAGAAGGAAATGAAGTGGCTGGTAGGCCTCTTTGGGTTCTGGAGGCGGCGTATTCCAAACCTATGAATACTGCTAGATTGAGTGACATAGAAAGTTGCCAGCTTTGAGTGAAGAGGTCCAGGCTGCACTGCAAACAGAGCTGCCACTTGGGGCATACAATCCAGCACATCTCATGGTGTAGGTGACAGTGGTGGGAAAACATGCAGTGTCTTACGGCAAGTATCATTGGGAGAATAACAACATAGGGCCCTGGAATTCTGGGGCAAGGCTATGCCATTTGTAGCATAGAATTATATGTCTTTTGAGAAAAAGCTCTTGGTGAATTACTGGGACTGGTAGAGGCAGAGTGCTTCACCATGGGGCACAAAGTGACCATGGGTCTAGAACTGCACATTACAAGTTTGGTTCTGCTGGATATGTTAAATCACAAGGCTGTATAGGTCCAGCAGTAGTCTACTTTAATATGGAAAATTACATCAAGGATTGAGCCTGAGAAGGACAAAGGACATGGCAAATTGCATGCGCAGGTAGCTCAGACCAGCATGTCATTCACAACAGCTGAAATAACACCCTTCCCTAGCTTGTTCCTATGGCCATATGGGGGCCCCGTAAGACCAACTGAAGTAGAAGGAAAGCTTAAGCTTGATTTTTGGGTGGGTCTGTTCTGTATGTGAGTACAAGCTCAAAATGGACCATGGCTGCATTACAACCACATTCAAGGATAGCCTTGAAAGACAGTGGAGAGGGAAAATCTTCCCAGTGCGTGGATCTGTAAAAAGTGCACCTAGTCATTGACTTCTTGTGGAATGAGAAGTGGCCCAGTATATATAGACTTGGGAAATAGCCAATGTCCTGGCTGTCTGGTCGGGGCCTGGAAAGAAAATAATTGAAAGATTTTAGAGAAGGAGTTCTGGGGTAGAGGTATGCAGGTAAACATGAAGAGTTTAGTGTGACATATTATGGCCCAATAGAAAGCATCTACCATGGAAGAGATTGTGAACAGTGAAGCAGATATAATAACCAGACCAGTTTATATAAGCCAGTCTTTGTTGTTGGCTACCCTGAAACTGACATTTTGGCATAAGAAAAAAGTGGCCATGCTGCCAGAGACAGGCTATGCATGGGCCCAGGAGCATGGACCTCCCATCACCAAAGCTGACCTAGCTTCTGCTGCTTCTGAATGTCCAACCTGTCAGCAACAGAGATCAATGCTGTTATATCACTATTTATTAATGAGACCAACTGGCCACTTGGTGGTAAGTCAACTACAAGGGCTAGAGGGTTGTTTTCACCTATTCTGGGTACAGGCTTGTCTTTCCTGATTGTAGTACCTTAGCCAGCACCATAATCCAGGGGCTTAAAGAATGTCTGATCTATGGGTATAGAATACCACACAAAAAACATTTGAACAGGTGACCCATTTCACAGTAAAGGAGATGCAGGATTGAACTCATGACCATGGGAGCTCTAGCTATATCTTCTACAACAAAATCATTTAGAAGTAGCCAACTTCACAGAACACTGGAACAGCTATCTAAAGGCACAGCTGAAACGTCAGCTCAGAAGCAACACTCTCAAAGGAGGCAGTGCCATCCTTTGCAGAGAGAAGCTCAGGATTATTCTTCTTCCTTTAGCTGGTCGTATGGGAACCCTTTCCTCTAGCCCCATTTTAGCCAAAGGTACCAACTGGGAAAGGGATGCTGTTGCAACTGTGGTAGATGACATGGGGATCTGAGCTAACTCAGAGACCTCTATATGGTACCATGTCATCAGCAGGAGGAACACAATGGCCATCGATGGGTGTAATCAGGACTAGCCCTATCTACCATCACTCCCAATAACTCTCAATGGGGGATTTTGGGCTCCCCATATGTGCAACTCTGGGCTCTGCAGGGCTGGAGGTCCCGAGAGGGAGTGCACTCTTGCCAGGGGACAGTGAGTGTCTCATTGA
The DNA here is from genome assembly GCF_000001405.40 of Homo sapiens. NCBI lineage: Eukaryota > Metazoa > Chordata > Mammalia > Primates > Hominidae > Homo > Homo sapiens. The sequence goes on from NC_000011.10 coordinate 14,624,590, forward strand.
ACTATATGTTATAGATACTGCCAGGGCAGTTTGGACACCTCATGTCCAGAGACCTGCAGGCAAGAATAGGGTCACATCTTGGCAGGGGTAATCAACCCTGATCATTGGGAGAAGGTAGTGCTGCTTATAGACAATAAGGATAGGAATATGTATGCAACTCCTATGTCATCTACTTGGAAGCCTGCTGGTACTCCTTTGGCCCACTGTAGCTGTGAAAGGACATGTACAACGACCCTGACTTGAAAAGGGTATGACTGCCAAGAGCTCAGACCCATCAGGAATGAAGGTTTGGGTCACACCACAAGGTAAGCTACCATTACTTGCCAAGGTGATAGCTGAGGGTTGAGAGGACTTGGAATGGATAATAGAGGTGGGAGAAGTTAAGTACCTTGTTGCAGTCTCAAGCCCAACTGCAGCAATGGGGCTCCAGTTCATCTCACTAACTTCCTTCTAAGTTTTCCCTCAGGAAGAAAAGCCCATAGGAAACATGGAGGATGTGTTCCCTAAATTTGCATAGAGAAGCAGATCTGTCCAGAGAAAGAGGTGGACTGTGGCAATCAAGAAAATTTGTCATTCAGCCTGGGTGTGGTAACTCATGCCTGTAATCCCAGCATTTTGGAAGGCCAAGGCAGGCAGATCACCTGAAGTCAGGAGTTTGAGACCAGTCTGGCCAACATGGTGAAACCCTATCTCTACCAAAAATACAAAATTAGCTGGGTTTGGTGGTGTGTGCTTGTAATCCTAGCTACTTGGGAGGCTGAGGTAGGAGAATCACTTGAACCCGGGAGGCAAAGTTTGCAGTGAGCTGAGATTGTGCCACTGCACTCCAGCCTGGGCAAAAAGAGTGAAACTCCATCTCAAAAAAGAAAATTTGTCACTCAAATCTTCTGCTATAGGGAACATAATTGACTACTGGACCATTACTCTTCTGGATCCACCCCTGTTTCAGTACTGAGGCAATACTTCTTTTGGGCTTCTCCTAGTCAGTAACAGCAAGGGTATAATGTAGGCCCATTCCTGTGAGATGAGGGACTCCTTTTAATAGGAGACTTTGGCTTGAGGACCTCACATTGGCCTGGTTGACACTTTCTTAGAATGATGCTGTAGTATAAGGCTCTTTCTACCTAATCCTCCTTCCTTTCCCCACTTTCCCTATTGTGAGACTTGCATCACAGTCTGAAGGCTCTCTCCACTTCCTCTGGCTATCTTCCATTTATCTTTCATAGGCACTTTCCACAATAAGTCACTTGCACGTCTAATTCTGTTTTGGCATTTGTTTCTCAGAGGATACAAACTAACACAGTGCCACCAGGGAATAAGACCTTAGCTAACGATAAAATGGTAGGGTATGAAGAAGACAGACTTAGAATCTACCTCCTGTACTGGATCTACAGAAATGTAGTATACAATGTTGACTGTGTTCTATGAACTGTTTTCTGCAAATGCCAATTCAAAAAACGTTATTTTTGCTAACTTAAAGAGGAAGTGCTGGAAAATAAAATGAAAGTAAAGGAATCACTTCCTCTATCTCTAACTGTTCTTTCACTTTTTTTTTTTCCCTATTTACAGTTTTTATTATTACTTAAGTGATAATCTTTTGTACAGTCTGGCAGTCTACAAATTTATAACACTTGGCATTTGAGCAAAACACTACTAGAAAATCACTCAAGTGTGCCCTGAAGGAGCAAAAGCATAATCTTAATTCATATAAATGAGACCATTTTGTTACTGCCTAGTCAATTGTTTGAAAAGAGAACTGAACATTAGGAATCTTGTACCTATTCTTATCTTATCTATGCTATTACCGTTTTGGCACATCTCTTAAATTCTTGAAACCGTATCTTATGTAACTAGAAAATCAAGTAAAGGTATTTACTCTCTAGAGCTAAAGAAAGACATATCCTTAGATGGGTCTCTTATATATTAATCATACTTCATGATGTGTGTGCATGCACATCATGAAGTGTGTGATGTCTGATGTAGAAAAAATCAGCATAAGATTTGGAGTAAAGAGACCTGAACTCAGCTCTACAACTTGTAAGAAACCTGGGCAAGTCCTATTGCCTTATTGAGTTTTGGTTACCCTGTAGGCTGTTGCAAAGTTCAAGTGTAACAGAGCACGTGAAAAGGCTTTGTAAATTATAAAATGCCATATAAATGTGAATTTTTATGATAGCGATGATAATTAGGGATCTTTTTTAGGACAGCTCCTGATATATGACAGATGTAAATAGCTTAGGATAAGCAGGAAGTTAATTTAACTCACTGTATTACTCTACTAGGGCTTCCATAACAAAACACCATAGATTGGGTAGCTTAAACAACAGAACTTTATTTGATCACAGTTCTGGAGGCTAGAAAGTCTAGAAGTTCAAGATCAAGGTGCTGGCACGGTTGGTTTCTTCTGAGGCTTCTCTCCTTAGCTTTCAGATAGCCCCCTTCTTGCTGTGTCTTCATAAGTTTTTTTTCTCCATCCCTGGTGTCTCTTCCTCTTCTTATAAGGACATAAGTCATATTGGATTAGTGCCCCACCATTAGGACTTCATTTAACCTTAATTACCTCTTTAAAGGCTCCATTTCCTAATACAGACACACTGGGGTTAGGGTTTCAAAATTCAAATTTTGAATGAACACAGTTTCATCCATAACACTCATCATTAAGTATGTTCAAATCCATTCCAGGGTCTATTCGAAACTATGCTGGTCTACCTCAGGATAATGTGGTTCCTAGACCTCCTGCCTCAGGGTTACTTGAGGTGCTTGGTAGAAATGCAGATTCCTCAGTCCCATCTCGGGTTTAATGAATCAGAATCTCTGGGGTTAGCATTCAGCAACTGCATTTTTATCATCTGGGTAAAAGTTATCTGGATGGTTCTTGTGTACCAAAGTTTAACAATTACTGTTATAACGGAAAGCACATAGAGCTTTGGAGTTCCATGGCCTGGGTTCAAATCCTGGCTCCACCAACTACTAGATGTGTAATCTTTGACAAATTACTTAATCTTTCTGCCCTACAAATTACTTAATCTCAATTGTCCCATGTGTTGTAAAAATGAGGATTATTATTTCTACTGGCAGATTGTTGTGAGGATGAGAATAAGAGGCTTAGAGGACCTCACATGCTGTAGTTGCTTCATAATATTTTTATTGTTATCATTCTCATACTTTATATTCTGATAAAACAATGATTTCATGAACACTTTCATTTTTATGCCTTTTTTCTTCCTTGCAATGCCATCCTCTCTTATATCTAAATCCTACCCATCCTTTAAGACAGATTTTAAATCTCATCTACTTTATGTCACCCATCCTGATCCTCATTGCAATTTGGCTATCTTTTAGGACAGGGATCCTCAACCCCCACACTGGTACTGGTCCATGGCCTGTTAGGAACCAGGCTGCACAACAGGAGGTGAGTGGCAGATGAGTGAGCCTTACCGCTTGAGCTCCACCTCCTGTCAGATCAGCAGAGGCATTAGATTCTCATAGGAACATGAATCCTTTTGTGAACTGCGCATGCAAGGGATCTAGGTTGCATGCTCCATCTAATGCCTGATGATCTGAGATGGAATAGTTTTTCTTTTTTTTTTATTATACTTTAAGTTTTAGGGTACACGTGCACATTGTGCAGGTTAGTTACATATGTATACATGTGCCATGCTGGTGCGCTGCACCCACTAACTTGTCATCTAGCATTAGGTATATCTCCCAACTAGTCGCTCCCCCCTCCCCCCACCCCACAACAGTCCCCAGAGTGTGATATTCCCCTTCCTGTGTCCATGTGATCTCATTGTTCAATTCCCACCTATGAGTGAGAATATGCGGTGTTTGGTTTTTTGTTCTTGCGATAGTTTACTGAGGATGATGATTTCCAATTTCATCCATGTCCCTACAAAGGACATGAACTCATCCTTTTTTATGGCTGCATAGTATTCCATGGTGTATATGTGCCACATTTTCTTCATCCAGTCTATCATTGTTGGACATTTGGGTTGGTTCCAAGTCTTTGCTATTGCGAATAATGCCGCAATAAACATACGTGTGCATGTGTCTTTATAGCAGCATGATTTATAGTCCTTTGGGTATATACCCAGTAATGGGATGGCTGGGTCAAATGGTATTTCTAGTTCTAGATCCCTGAGGAATCGCCACACTGACTTCCACAATGGTTGAACTAGTTTACAGTCCCACCAACAGTGTAAAAGTGTTCCTATTTCTCCACATCCTCTCCAGCACCTGTTGTTTCCTGACTTTTTAATGACTGCCATTCTAACTGGTGTGAGATGGTATCTCATTGTGGTTTTGATTTGCATTTCTCGGATGGCCAGTGATGATGAGCATTTTTTCATGTGTTTTTTGGCTGCATAAATGTCTTCTTTTGAGAAGTGTCTGTTCATGTCCTTCGCCCACTTGTTGATGGGGTTGTTTGTTTTTTTCTTGTAAATTTGTTTGAGTTCATTGTAGATTCTGGATATTAGCCCTTTGTCAGATGAGTAGGTTGCGAAAATTTTCTCCCATTTTGTAGGTTGTCTGTTCACTCTGATGGTAGTTTCTTTTGCTGTGCAGAAGCTCTTGAGTTTAATTAGATCCCATTTGTCAATTTTGGCTTCTGTTGCCATTGCTTTTGGTGTTTTAGACATGAAGTCCTTGCCCATGCCTATGTCCTGAATGGTATTGCCTAGGTTTTCTTCTAGGGTTTTTATGGTTTTAGGTCTAACGTTTAAGTCTTTAATCCATCTTGAATTGATTTTTATATAAGGTGTAAGGAAGGGATCCAGTTTCAGCTTTCTACATATGGCTAGCCAGTTTTTCCAGCACCATTTATTAAATAGGGAATCCTTTCCCCATTGCTTGTTTTTCTCAGGTTTGTCAAAGATCAGATAGTTGTAGATATGCGGTGTTATTTCTGAGGGCTCTGTTCTGTTCCATTGATCTATATCTCTGTTTTGGTACCAGTACCATGCTGTTTTGGTTAGTGTAGCCTTGTAGTATAGTTTGAAGTCAGGTAGTGTGATGCCTCCAGCTTTGTTCTTTTGGCTTAGGATTGACTTGGTGATGCGGGCTCTTTTTTGGTTCCGTATGAACTTTAAAGTAGTTTTTTCCAATTCTGGGAAGAAAGTCATTGGTAGCTTGATGGGGATGGCATTGAATCTGTAAATTACCTTGGGCAGTATGGCCATTTTCACGATATTGATTCTTCCTACCCATGAGCATGGAATGTTCTTCCATTTGTTTGTATCCTCTTTTATTTCCTTGAGCAGTGGTTTGTAGTTCTTCTTGAAGAGGTCCTTCACATCCCTTGTAAGTTGGATTGCTAGGTATTTTATTCTCTTTGAAGCAACTGTGAATGGGAGTTCACTCATGATTTGGCTCTCCGTCTGTTGTTGGTGTATAAGAATGCTTGTGATTTTTGTACATTGATTTTGTATCCTGAGACTTTGCTGAAGTTGCTTATCAGCTTAAGGAGATTTTGGGCTGAGACAATGGGGTTTTCTAGATATACAATCATGTCGTCTGCAAAAAGGGACAATTTGACTTCCTCTTTTCCTAATTGAATACCCTTTATTTCCTTCTCCTGCCTAATTGCCCTGGCCAGAACTTCCAACACTATGTTGAATAGGAGTGGTGAGAGAGGGCATCCCTGTCTTATGCCAGTTTTCAAAGGGAATGCTTCCAGTTTTTGCCCATTCAGTATGATATTGGCTGTGGGTTTCTCATAGATAGCTCTTATTATTTTGAGATACGTCCCATCAATACCTAATTTATTGAGAGTTTTTAGCATGAAGGGTTGTTGAATTTTGTCAAAGGACTTTTCTGCATCTATTGAGATAATCATCTGGTTTTTGTCTTTGGCTCTGTTTATATGCTGGATTACATTTATTGATTTGCGTATATTGAACCAGCCTTGCATCCCAGGGATGAAGCCCACTTGGTCATGGTGGATAAGCTTTTTGATGTGCTGCTGGATTCGGTTTGCCAGTATTTTATTGAGGATTTTTGCATCAATGTTCATCAAGGATATTGGTCTAAAATTCTCTTTTTTTGTTGTGTCTCTGCCTGGCTTTGGTATCAGAATGATGCTGGCCTCATAAAATGAGTTAGGGAGGATTCCCTCTTTTTCTATTGATTGGAATAGTTTCAGAAGGAATGGTACCAGTTCCTCCTTGTACCTCTGGTATAATTCGGCTGTGAATCCATCTGGTCCTGGACTCTTTTTGGTTGGTAAGCTATTGATTATTGCCACAATTTCAGCTCCTGTTATTGGTCTGTTCAGAGATTCAACTTCTTCCTGGTTTAGTCTTGGGAGAGTGTATGTGTCCAGGAATTTATCCATTTCTTCTAGATTTTCTAGTTTATTTGCGTAGAGGTGTTTGTAGTATTCCCTGAAGGTAGTTTGTATTTCTGTAGGATTGGTGGTGATATCCCCTTTATCATTTTTTATTGCGTCTATTTGATTCTTCTCTCTTTTTTTCTTTATTAGTCTTGCTAGCGGTCTATGAATTTTGTTGATCCTTTCAAAAAACCAGCTCCTGGATTCATTAATTTTTTGAAGGGTTTTTTGTGTCTCTATTTCCTTCAGTTCTGCTCTGATTTTAGTTATTTCTTGCCTTCTGCTAGCTTTTGAATGAGTTTGCTCTTGCTTTTCTAGTTCTTTTAATTGTGATGTTAGTGTGTCAATTTTCGATATTTCCTGCTTTCTCTTGTGGGCATTTAGTGCAATAAATTTCCCTCTACACACTGCTTTGAATGTGTCCCAGAGATTCTGGTATGTTGTGTCTTTGTTCTCGTTGGTTTCAAAGAACATCTTTATTTCTGCCTTCATTTTGTTATATACCCAGTAGTCATTCAGGAGCAGGTTGTTCAGTTTCCATGTAGTTGAGCGGTTTTGAGTGAGATTCTTAATCCTGAGTTCTAGTTTGATTGCACTGTGGTCTGAGAGATAGTTTGCTATAATTTCTGTTCTTTTACATTTGCTGAGGAGAGCTTTACTTCCCAGTATGTGGTCAAGTTTGGAATAGGTGTGGTGTGGTGCTGAAAAAAATGTATATTCTGTTGATTTGGGGTGGAGACTTCTGTAGATGTCTATTAGGTCCGCTTGGTGCAGAGATGAGTTCAATTCCTGGGTATCCTTGTTGACTTTCTGTCTCATTGATGTGTCTAATGTTGACATTGGGGTGTTAAAATCTCCCATTATTAATGTGTGGGAGTCTAAGTCTCTTTGTAGGTCACTCAGGACTTGCTTTATGAATCTTGGTGCTCCTGTATTGGGTGCATATATATTTAGGATAGTTAGCTCTTCTTGTTGAATTGATCCCTTTACCATTATGTAATGGCCTTCTTTGTCTCTTTTGATCTTTGTTGGTTTAAAGTCTGTTTTATCAGAGACTAGGATTGCAACCCCTGCCTTTTTTTGTTTTCCATTGGCTTGGTAGATCTTCCTCCATCCTTTTATTTTGAGCCTATGTGTGTCTCTGCACATGAGATGGGTTTCCTGAATACAGCACACTGATGGGTCTTGACTCTTTATCCAATTTGCCAGTCTGTGTCTTTTAATTGGAGCATTTAGTCCATTTACATTTAAAGTTAATATTGTTATGTGTGAATTTGATCCTGTCATTATTATGTTAGCTGGTTAATTTGCTCGTTAGTTGATGCAGTTTCTTCCTAGTCTCGATGGTCTTTACATTTTGGCATGATTTTGCAGTGGCTGGTACCGGTTGTTCCTTTCCATGTTTAGTGCTTCCTTCAGGAGCTCTTGTAAGGCAGGCCTGGTGGTGACAAAATCTCTCAGCATTTGCTTGTCTGTAAAGTATTTTATTTCTCCTTCACTTATGAAGCTTAGTTTGGCTGGATATGAAATTCTGGGTTGAAAATTCTTTTCTTTAAGAATGTTGAATATTGGCCCCCACTCTCTTCTGGCTTGTAGGGTTTCTGCCGAGAGATCCGCTGTTAGTCTGATGGGCTTCCCTTTGAGGGTAACCCGACCTTTCTCTTTGGCTGCCCTTAACATTTTTTCCTTCATTTCAGCTTTGGTGAATCTGACAATTATGTGTCTTGGAGTTGCTCTTCTCGAGGAGTATCTTTGTGGCGTTCTCTGTATTTCCTGAATCTGAACGTTGGCCTGCCTTGCTAGATTGGGGAAGTTCTCCTGGATAATATCCTGCAGAGTGTTTTCCAACTTGGTTCCATTCTCCCCATCACTTTCAGGTACACCAATCAGACGTAGATTTGGTCTTTTCATATTTCTTTTAATTCTTTTTTCTCTAGACTTCCCTTCTCACTTCATTTCATTCATTTCATCTTCCATCGCTGATACCCTTTCTTCCAGTTGATCGCATCGGCTCCTGAGGCTTCTGCATTCTTCACGTAGTTCTCGAGCCTTGGTTTTCAGCTCCATCAGCTCCTTTAAGCACTTCTCTGTATTGGTTATTCTAGTTATACATTCTTCTAAATTTTTTTCAAAGTTTTCAACTTCTTTGCCTTTGGTTTGAATGTCCTCCCATAGCTCAGAGTAATTTGATCATCTGAAGCCTTCTTCTCTCAGCTCGTCAAAGTCATTCTCCATCCAGCTTTGTTCCATTGCTGGTGAGGAACTGCGTTCCTTTGGAGGAGGAGAGGCGCTCTGCTTTTTAGAGTTTCCAGTTTTTCTGTTCTGTTTTTTCCCCATCTTTGTGGTTTTTATCTACTTTTGGTCTTTGATGATGGTGATGTACAGATGGGTTTTTGGTGTGGATGTCCTTTCTGTTTGTTAGCTTTCCTTCTAACAGACAGGACCCTCAGCTGCAGGTCTGTTGGAGTACCCTGCCGTGTGAGGTGTCAGTGTGCCCCTGCTGGGGGGTGCCTCCCAGTTAGGCTGCTCGGGGGTCAGGGGTCAGGGACCCACTTGAGGAGGCAGTCTGCCCGTTCTCAGATCTCCAGCTGCGTGCTGGGAGAACCACTGCTCTCTTCAAAGCTGTCAGACAGGGACATTTAAGTCTGCAGAGGTTCCTGCTGTCTTTTTGTTTGTCTGTGCCCTGCCCCCAGAAGTGGAGCCTACAAAGGCAGGCAGGCCTCCTTGAGCTGTGGTGGGCTCCACCCAGTTCGAGCTTCCTGGCTGCTTTGTTTACCTAATCAAGCCTGGGCAATGGCGGGCACCCCTCCCCCAGCCTAACTGCCGCCTTGCAGTTTGATCTCAGACTGCTGTGCTAGCAATCAGTGAGACTCTGTGGGCATAGGACCCTCCGAGCCAGGTGCGGGATATAATCTCGTGATGCGCCGTTTTTTAAGTCCGTCGGAAAAGCGCAGTATTAGGGTGGGAGTGACCCGATTTTCCAGGTGCCGTCTGTCACCCCTTTCTTTGACTCAGAAAGGGAACTCCCTGACCCCTTGCGCTTCCCAAGTGAGGCAATGCCTCGCCCTGCTTCGGCTCGTGCACGGTGTGCACACCCACTGACCTGCGCCCACTGTCTGGCACTCCCTAGTGAGATGAACCTGGTACCTCAGATGGAAATGCAGAAATCACCCGTCTTCTGCGTCGCTCACACTGAGAGCTGTAGACCCGGAGCTGTTCCTATTCGGCCATCTTGGCTCCTCTGATGGAATAGTTTCATCCCAAAATCATCCCCCCCGGTCTGTGGAAAATTGTCTTCCACAAAACCAGTCGTTGGTGCCAAAAAGGTTGGGACTGCTGTTTCTGGATATTCCATTTTGTATTACAGTTATTTGTGTATGTCTTGTTCCCCACTGACCATTTACAACTGATTCTATCCCAACACTTGTACACATACACGCAACACACAAATGCATGCAACACACACTTTTCGAGGGTACCTAGGACAGGGCTTAAATTAATAAATATTTGCTGAATGGAATGAAAGGGGATATGTTTTTTTGAAGGCGAAGATTCCACTTAATTCTTCGTAAAATTTAGGCTTTTTTTTTTTTTAAGTGATTTTTGTAGAGACAGGGTTTCACTATGTTGCCCAGGCTAGTCTTGAACTCCTGGCCTCAAGTTATTCTCCTAACTCAGCCTTCTGAAGTGTGGGATTACAGGCATGAGCCACCGTGCATAGCCAAAATTCAGGCTTTCTATGCCCATGATACAAGAAGTAGTAGCTCATGTTTTAGGGGCTGGTAGTATACAAGAAAATTTGAAACAGAATTTTGACAAATGTGAATGTATGCAGGGAATGAAGCTAATATATCCCTTCATTCTTATATCCCAATAAGTAAACAGAACTGGAGCCTTTAGTTATTATTATGAACATGTGGCCAGAGAAACTTACTGCACTGTGTACCTCTGGAAGAGTAAAGAGCTTGAGAGTGAGATTGATGAAGGATGAAGAAATTTTGATTGTTAGAGAAACTTGGAGCCCACAGTTTATTTTGAAACCATTTTTAGTAAAGATTTAGTCAGGTTCATTCCTATGAAGGTTTAGAAATGTCTGGTCTATTTTATAGCACAATAAAACCTCATGGTTTCCTGGTTGGCTGGTATTTGTTTAAAGAGAGTGGCTTGCTGGTCTGGACAACATTTGAGAAGCTATAATGAGAGGAAATCTGATGTAAACCGTTTCACCTGTAAAAAGGAGGGTCTCTAAGGAATAAAATCAGCCATAGCCATGAAGTTTACTGGTTAAAGAGCCATAGTTTTGATTTGTTTAAAGTGTTGTTCATGTTAGAGTGGATGTTAGTGATCCTTTCAAACATGATTACACATCCCAAAATACAGCATTAAAATCTTGAATTTATATAAGGTTTCTTGTTATTTTTCACAGTTTGCACTTACATTTAATATAGTTACCAAAGCACCAGACCATGCTAGAGAGTTGTCACTGGGAACAGTCCAAGCATAATTCTAGTGAAGATTGATGTTAGGTTAAGAACTGGAGCGCTGCAGTTAATCCTGGTTATTTAGCAGGAAAATGACATAAAATACTCTTGCTTTTGCCTGAATTATCTGACTAGACATTAATAAAATTCTGTAAATGTACAAGTCTTTATTTTGCTTTTCATTAGTAGATCTAGTTGTTTGTTTATTATTTCTGGAGCTGGTAAAAATATAGTGATTTTAAACAAAGAATGTTGAACAAGATCATTTCAATGATCTTACCATCGGAATCTTTTCAAAAGGGAGATTTCTCACTGACTTCAAAGGGGTAGGAGAAAAAAAGCAGAATAAGGTTGTATGACTCATTGAAGCCAGATAATAACTGTTTAGTTATTTTAACCTCTAAGAGCTATGCTAGACATTTATATTTGTTTCTGTATTATATAGAATCTGTAGCCTCACTGTCATATTTTTTACTCTCTTATTTGTAGGATAGCACTATGAATACAAAATAAGTGTTGGTTTATCATATCTATTTCTAGAAATGTAGGGAAGACTGTAGGTAGTATACCATTAAGGGGAATCCATTATTTTAAACTTATTTTTTTTACACAGGAGAAAAGTTGGTATATGTGTACTTTATATTGTATCAATAAACTACTCAAATTTTCTTTTTACACTAAAACTAACAAAGAAATGATGAAACTAAAGGTAAAGCTTTTTCCTGGCTAAACTTTCTAGAATGAAACTCTCTTTTCTTAATGTCAAAATAAGTGTTAATTCATTCCTCAATCCACTGCAATCTGGTTTCTGCCCCAACTGTGGCAACTGTTCCACATAAGGTTGACAATGAAACTTGTCATTGTCAGGTTTCATTGACACCCGTGGTTACTTTCCTGTCCTCATCTTTTTAGAATGTGGTATTTTATGCTTTTTTGTCCCCCTTCTGGAAACTTCCTCATTTTGGTTTGTGACACCACTCCTGTCTGATTCTCTTTCTAGCTTTGCTACTTCCTTTTCAGTCATTCTTTTGAGCAATTCTTTAGTTCCTTGTCCCTTACATGTTTGTATTCCTGAGTTCAAAAACAAATCCTCTTCTCTTCTCACACTATATACTCTCATAGGGGATATCTCTTTTTCTCCCAGGGTTCCACTTCTCCATATGTACTACAGGCTTCCAATCTATACCTCTAGCCCAGATTGTTTTCTTGAGCTTCAGACTCATACATCCAATGGCCAAGAAACATTCCCACTTGGATTCAATCTGTTCAAAAGGAAATCCATAATCTTTACTCTCAATTATTCCTCTAGTACTTCTTATCCTGTTCAATGGTTTCAAGATATTCTAGTCACCTAGGCTAGACCTGGGGAACCCTCTTCACAGTCTCCTTTTCTGCACATTCCAATTCTATGGAACTGATCAGAAAGTTTTATAGCTGTTATTAATTCAATTAATTCTTCCTTTCCAAATGGTACTACTGCCATTGCCTTACAGAACTTTATCTTTCATTTGGCCAATTATAATGGTTTCTTAAACGATTTTCCTAGCTTTGGTCTTACATTCTTTCAAACTAACCTTCATTCAATACCAGCATTGGGTTTTGAAAAACAATTAAATACAATAAAAATTGATCATGGCTTCTCCCTCCTTTAAAACTTAACAGTTCCTTACCACCTACAGAATAAAGTCCAGGTTTCTCAGAATGGCCTATAGGGATTCCCATGATTTGGCTTCCACCTATCTATCCAGTCTCATTTTCCCATTCCCATCTTCCCTCCCCCACAAATCATACCAATCTGTTTAAAGTTCCAGAAATGCCCATGATGTCTCATGCCTCCATGGCTTTGCAATACTGTTCTTTGTATGGAATACTCTCCCTCCTCCTTGTCCACCTGGGAAGCTCCTATTCTTCAATACCTAGGTTAGTATCTCTTCATCTGTGAACTACTCCATGTCCTATCACTGTACCTGGTAAGAACTCTGTTAGAGCATTTTGCACTGTACTGCATTTGTTTACTTATTTTCTCCTTTACCAAACTGAGGACAGGGACCGTGTCTTATTCATATTTGTACCTTTAGTATCTGAGTAGCATCAAGTACATGCTGAATAAATGAATACATTTGCAAACATAAATCTTTTTTTGTCTTCCCTATGTTTAATGCTAATATGAATGAAATTGGTTACGGCTTAATTTTTTTTTTCTGTTTCTCCATGTTACAACATATAGGCCCTAAATCAACATCTTTTCTGCAGAATGAGATCTAAGATATGTAGGGCCATGAAATTAAGATAATATTATGTATGCATTCCTTAAAATTTAATATATAAAACATTTCTGCATTTATAGTAATTAGAACAGAGGCATTAACATCCCTGTAGCATTTGCTTTTTGAAGAAAGAGAGCTATTTACTTGATTGTATAGTAAAAAGGCAGACTTAGTTGAATAAAATAATATTGAAAGTAAGGCTTAAAAAGAGTTGAACAGACAATATAATCTGGAGGTCTCCTTGGAAAAACTCAGAATTAACAGAGTCCTGTGAAGTCCTGAAGGGATGTGGGAGGATAAGGAAAAGGATAGATGTAAGAAAAATAAACTAATTTACATTTACTAAGCATCTACTCATTGTTAGTTACCTTACACGTGTAATTTAATTTAATCCACAGCAACTCTTTAAGAGGTAGACATTGTTATCCCCATTTCACAGATGAGGTAGGTAACATGAGACTTTAAGTAACCTCCAAGGTCATGTAGCTACAAATGGTAACTAGATCAGAATGACGCTAAAGTTTCCTTCCTTCACATCGTGCTACCTGGCCTTTCAAATGAAGTTCCCAGAGCTGCTGTGCTGCTGTGCGCAGCTTAGTAACACACACGAAGTCACATTATTTACTCCTATTTGCAATGATAATATGTAGGTGTTTCACTTAGCAGTTAATAGTAATATAACTGCAATTTATTTCTAATTCCATGCTTAATAAAAATTTTTTAAGAAAAGAATAGTCTTACACTTTTTGATGATGCTAATGAACTAGATGAATCCTTTTGAGCTCCTCTTGCAAAACTGCATGAATACATTTTAAGTTGGCTTAGTGGAGAAACACACCTCTCTCTCTCTCTCTCTCTCTCTCTCTCTCTCTCTCTCTATATATATATATATATATATATATATATATATATATATATTTTTTTTTTTTTTTTTTTTTTTTTTTTTTTGGTGCGCTCTGCTTGTTGGCTCCATTTGGAATCCAGAAATGACTGCTTTCTGGGGGAAAAGGCAGTTTGCTTTTGCTGCCTCCTGTAGATTGCTTGGCCTGGCAGTTTGTCACTTTCCTGGGCAAGTATCCAGTTTGTGGTAGTGAGGTGGTTTTGTGGCAGAACTCCACAATTAACCACAAGTTCAGTGTCAACGGTAGGCTGCCACCGTCGTGGCTGTGATCCTTCAGATCTGCTGGGATAGCCAGAGCTGAAGAAACTCCTGCTTGTCTAGGGAGGGAACAAGAAAACTTGGAAAGAGTCTGCATTGCTGTTTATTGTTCAAGTTTCAGTTTTTAGATTTATAATAAAAAATCCAGGAAATTTCTGGGTAAGCGTTATAGATTTAATACTTTTACCAATTGTTATATTTTAAAAGTATAATAGTAAATTTGTGTCAGAGATACAATTGTTGCTCTGAAAACTTGAAACGGAAAGAGGAAAATTCTTAAAAGTACTAGAATATATGCTTTCACAGCCAAAGAATTCAGGTACTGTCACTTGAGTTAAAATAAAAAATGACCCACACATCTCTGAAACATTTATTTTATGTTGAAAGTGAAATACGACATAAACATATGTGTAATTTTGTTTTTGTAAATCTAGGAAAAAGGGTTCTTTTAGTGATTTGGTGCAAATGAATGTTAAGAAAAATATTTTAAAATCACAATATGAAAAGTTTTTTCTATTATATTCTATTTTAAGAGTTTTCTATTAAAATTCATTGACTAATAAAGCCAAAAATCAAAGGAAATACAGTTAAAGTCTGATTTATTAAAATAGTTTTGAGAAATATCAACACACTTGAAAAATTCTGAGGACTTGCTGTAGGCTAAGTACTTGCTATAGGCATGAAGATTGAGCTAAGATTGAATAAGAGAGAATTCTTGTTTGAAGAATATATTGCAGAGCTAGCCATGTAAATAAGCAAATATGATAACAGAACATAAACCTTTATGTAACAAATAATAACAAACTCCAGTTCCATTAGTAGGGCCACACCATCTCTGTAGTCCCATCATACCTTACACTTAAGCCATAGGATACTTGAGTTATCCAAATGCACTATAGCTGAATTCCTCCAGATTTTTGCACTGCTTGCTTCCTTTGCCCAGATTATCTTTTCTACTTACTTTACTTAGGTAACTTATATTCACCTTTTAATATCAAGCCTAGAAATCACTTTCTCTGAGTCCTCCAGAGCATTACTCCTTACCTGCTACTCCTACTGTAGTCTGGGCTCCTGAGATCCCAGAGTACACTGAGGATTATTACCTCTGTATCACAGCTCCTGTTACAACGGGCTGTAATAGTCTTCTTACTGTCTTGCTTTCATTAGACTAAGGAACCACATCTTCACCATTATATCTTTGTCATCTAGCACAGTGTCCAGCACACCGGGCACATAATAAATACTGAATGAATGAATGCATTCATTAATGGAGATAGATTAAATGCTGGTAGAGGGGGGATGGTACGTAGGAGAAGTAAAAGAAGTTAGGGAATATAATACAGAGTTGAAAGAGAGAGGTCGGGGGAAAGAGGAGAGAGATCAGAAGACAGCCATCTGGACAGATGCTGGGGAGAGAAAGAAGGAAGACTGTAAGAGAGAGAAATGGAACTAGAAGAATGAGAAACTGAGAACAAGCTGAAACAATTACACAGTGGGGGCACCCTAGAAGAAAATGATTTTCTTCTGTTTTAATAGTCCTAACACATTGTTCTCAACAGTTCTTAATCACATATTTATTCTTTTGTGCTATTTAATAGTCTATGTGCAGACATTCTATCTCCCAGATAAAGCTGCAGCTCTGAGAAAACTCTGAAGGACCTGTTATAGTTTTAAAAAATGTTCTAAATAGCATTTAGTACAAATCTCGGCATATAGTGGGCACTAAATAGCTACTTGTTGAAAAGAACTAAAAGAATGAGTCAAAATGAGGCTCAGATTCTGAGATGAGTATTAGCTGGAAGGAACATAGGTATTGTTAACATACTTGGGCAACAGAGTCGCTACTGCACACAGAAAACAATGATCCTTTCTATGCTAGAGAAAAGCTTGTCCATTTTTGTTTTTAAATATAAGGTCGTAAATGTTAATTATTTAATTCTTTGAAAAACCTTATAAGGTTTTGCATGTATCTTCAGGGATGACTCTAGTTTTATAAATTTGGAATCTCAATGATACTGGTTAATTTACTGCCTATTTCTGAGTTTCTTTGATATTTAAAATGTGTCAGACCACTTTATCCTGAGAAATTAGAAAAAAAGAAATACCCAGGGGCTTGCATTGTCCTAAAATGACTTGGGAGCAGGGTGGTAACAGCCAGGATCCCATGTCATGGTAAACCAGGAGAGTGGAGAGATCCACTAAGGAGTGGAGAGATGATGGGTCAAAACGTGAGGGAAGGCACCTAATGTAGATGACGCCTTGATGGGTGCAGCAAACCACCACGGCACGTGTATACCTATGTAACAAACCTGTACGTTCTGCACATGTATCCCAGAACTTAAAGTATAATAATAATTAAAAAAAAAAAAGACGTGAGGGAAGGCAAAGTCAGGTAAAATAAGGATGGGGTAAAGTGCTGGGAAAAGTCAAAGGTATACTGTGACTTCAGTTTTTTTCATGACAGATAATGGTCATAAATTCTTGAACCTAAAGAACTAAGTAATTTTATTGGTTGTTTAAGTTTGGCAAGGGAATAATTAAATAATCTGACCTCTAAGAAATGTGGCCTAGTAATAATCTTTGACAAAGACTGTAAACAGAGAAGGGAGTTACTATAAACATAGCTAGCTCATTCTTTTTGTGCATATTTTTAGTTAAGTAAACTTCTGATGGTCTTTGGTCACGTCCTTACACTTTATTTTAGAATTCTCTCAGGTGCTAGGTTGGCCTTCAGAGGGATGCACTCCGACTATGGGTTATTGAAAGAGTTGGGCTTGTAGCCTTATAAAAACCTGAATGACAGCTAAAAGGCGGCTAGAGAATCTTGAAGACGATTTTGTGAAGAGGGCTTTGGATTTTATTTTTCAGAAAACAGTCATTTGACACAATCCCTTTATTTTTACTTGTCAACACTGAGACTTTGGTTTAGTTTGGTAGTATAAATAATATAAAAGGTTGCTCTTGGCTCTTGCTCTTATTATATTATTGGCAACCTGAAAGGTGAGTCTTAAGGATGCCTATGTATTTTTGGCATACAGAAATCAGAGCTTTTTAAGACTAGAAAGGATTTCAAAGGTTATCTAAATTAATTGCTTCATTTCACATTTGAGAAGAACAAGGCCAGTAAAAGTTATAGGATTGCTTAATGGCAGAGTATGAATGGCTAGGCCCAGACAAAAACTCACAAAACTGGATTTCTACTCCCTACCGTTTCCATGATCACGTGCCAATCCTACTTTAGATGATAACTTCAGATTAAATGCCCACACACATACACGCACATGCACACACACACACCTGTTAATCTGAATTTGTTCTAATTTTCAAATCAATTTATTATTTCCTATGGAATTTATAACGGGAATTTCAATAATGCTGGTGCTAGTTTTGTCACGCCCTTCTGTACAAACTCAAAATGTATCCATTTTTTACTTTAATCTTCAACTGGTGGTAATGAGTTCTATGCACATCATATAAAAAATACATTTGCTGAGTTTTGCTGAAATGAGCATTTTTTTTCTTGTCATGGGGATAAAATGACCTTTTGAATTTTTATCTTTTAGGACAAGCATTTGGGTAATACATTAGAAAAGGAAAAGCAAAGGAAAGGGAATTCTGGAACTTTTTCATTTTGGTTAAATTCTTGTGCTAATTTCTTAGTGCCTTTTGCTATGCATGTGAACTATGACCATATACGAAAATGGTCTGTTTTAGGTCATGACTGTGGGCAGAGATTAATTGGTGAAAAATGGGCCTGTTTGTGGGATTTACCACACAGTAAGGTTTCTCATCTGCCTGGAAAAATGTGGAATTAGCTCTTTGAGAAATGCAGTCCGGTCATGAGGTTGAAGCGAGAGCTTAGGGAGGGAAACACAGTTCACTCTCTAAGGCAGTTATGATTGGTTAGATTCCAGAGCAGTCCCTTTGGTGTAGTAAAGTTCTTTTCTTCTCGCTTTCAGGTCTGTGTTTCCTAATGTTGCTAGTTTCACCAGTACTTCACAGATAGCATCTTATTCGGCTTCCTTCAAGGCCTGCTGATCCAAACTGGGGAGTGGTCTTGGAGAGGATTCCTAGTTCTCTCCGCTCCCCCATCTAGAAAGTGCTGTTACAGTGAAAAAGCCTTCAATTTGCAAAGACCAATTGCGACAGCAAATCTGTGCTGTGTGGAAGGGGATACAAGTTGTGAACCGGCGGATATGTATGACAAGGGTACAAAATGGAAGGCGAGACGTTAGTTCTTCGCCTGTGAAGATGGTTCTTGAGCAACACTCAAGAACGTGCACGTGGAGTGCTACTAGAGTGCACTCCACGTGCACGTTCCTCCCTAAGAGCCACTGCAAGGATCCTGGGCCTGCTGCGTGGCCCAAGAATCCACGTTGCTTCTGAGGCTAGATCTAGCCACAGCGATTAGGGTTTCTTCGCCATGGCCTTGGTGGTGGCTGGCCCTAAACTGGTCACAGTCTGAAGACCCACCCTGAAAGGGACTAAGGTTAGAGACAGCGCCCCTCCCCTCCCACCCTTAGCTCAGCATCCCCACTAAGCACACCCCTTGGGGACCACAAACGCCCTCTTTCCCGAAGACCCCAGTAGTGACCTGTGGGATTCTGGCTGGGTGTCCGTGACTTACCCTCAAAGAGAACCTGCACGCCTGGGGTCCCAGGATGGCTGGCTTGCCCCTCCCGTCCGAAGATGACCTCGTCCTTCTCTTTCAGTCCCGGTGGGTCTTCGGACTGCCGCCGCCGCGCTTTCCTCGGCCTGGGCACGCTGGGTCGGCGTGGTCCCGGCTCGCGTCCCTGTTGGGCGGCCGCGGCGCGGGTGGCGGCGGGACAAGTCGTGAGCGCGCGCTGGGCGCGCGCCCGGCCGGGGCAGTCGCGGGGGAGGAGCGCCCGCCCGCCGCTCGCGCGCCCAACGGACCAGGCTGGGGCCGTGAGGTAACTGTTGCAGCCAGCGGAGGTGGGAGGCGACACTGAGTCTCCAGTCCCGAGAGGTGCCCGAGGGAAAAGGAGGCGGCAGCTAAACTGGTCCTGGAGAGAAGCCCCTTCCGCCCCTCTCCTCAGCCAGCATGTCCCGGACTCCGCCGCTCCTCAGTCCGCGCGGTGGGGACCCCGGGCCGTGGCGGCCGGCGCAGCCCTGACGGGTTGCGAACCAGGGGGCGCCCCGAACGCGGGGGTTGGGGTCTGGGAGCGCGAGCGGCCGCTACGGTACGAGCGGGGTGTGCTGAGTCCCGTGGCCACCCCCGGCCCCAGCCATGAGGAGGGACGAGCGAGACGCCAAAGCCATGCGGTCCCTGCAGCCGCCGGATGGGGCCGGCTCGCCCCCCGAGAGTCTGAGGAACGGCTACGTGAAGAGCTGCGTGAGCCCCTTGCGGCAGGACCCTCCGCGCGGCTTCTTCTTCCACCTCTGCCGCTTCTGCAACGTGGAGCTGCGGCCGCCGCCGGCCTCTCCCCAGCAGCCGCGGCGCTGCTCCCCCTTCTGCCGGGCGCGCCTCTCGCTGGGCGCCCTGGCTGCCTTTGTCCTCGCCCTGCTGCTGGGCGCGGAACCCGAGAGCTGGGCTGCCGGGGCCGCCTGGCTGCGGACGCTGCTGAGCGTGTGTTCGCACAGCTTGAGCCCCCTCTTCAGCATCGCCTGTGCCTTCTTCTTCCTCACCTGCTTCCTCACCCGGACCAAGCGGGGACCCGGCCCGGGCCGGAGCTGCGGCTCCTGGTGGCTGCTGGCGCTGCCCGCCTGCTGTTACCTGGGGGACTTCTTGGTGTGGCAGTGGTGGTCTTGGCCTTGGGGGGATGGCGACGCAGGGTCCGCGGCCCCGCACACGCCCCCGGAGGCGGCAGCGGGCAGGTTGCTGCTGGTGCTGAGCTGCGTAGGGCTGCTGCTGACGCTCGCGCACCCGCTGCGGCTCCGGCACTGCGTTCTGGTGCTGCTCCTGGCCAGCTTCGTCTGGTGGGTCTCCT
Organism: Homo sapiens; assembly: GCF_000001405.40. Taxonomy (NCBI): domain Eukaryota; kingdom Metazoa; phylum Chordata; class Mammalia; order Primates; family Hominidae; genus Homo; species Homo sapiens. The sequence continues at coordinate 14,644,776 of NC_000011.10, forward strand.
TCACCAGCCTCGGGTCGCTGCCCTCCGCCCTCAGGCCGCTGCTCTCCGGCCTGGTGGGGGGCGCTGGCTGCCTGCTGGCCCTGGGGTTGGATCACTTCTTTCAAATCAGGGAAGCGCCTCTTCATCCTCGACTGTCCAGTGCCGCCGAAGAAAAAGTGCCTGTGATCCGACCCCGGAGGAGGTCCAGCTGCGTGTCGTTAGGAGAAACTGCAGCCAGTTACTATGGCAGTTGCAAAATATTCAGGAGACCGTCGTTGCCTTGTATTTCCAGAGAACAGGTATGTTAGCTGGAAGGCGAGGTCTGGGACGCGAGCGGGTTCGGGTTTACCGCTGCAGTTTCCGAGTTGAATTCGCTTATTTCAAAGCATGTTAACTTTCAGAATGGAAAAAGGGTGTGTTGCGGGGGGGGGGGGGGAGGAAATAATGTTTTATTCTGGAAAGGATTCTTAAAATACAGGAAGCCTTTTAAAAATGCAGAAGCAAGTAGCTTTTGTCATTGAATAGAAATCAAATAGCCCGCTAATCACATGGCACTTTTTAAGGACTGTATATGCAATAGATGAGTTCGCAGAAGAATGAGGTGAATCATTTGTGGTTGAATAGATTGACTACTCCCGCTTTTGGCATCCTCTGATATGTGTCTTTTTGGTGCCATTTATCTGTTTGCTGTTATAATGATGCCTACCCAAAAATAACATACAGCCTTTAGAATGAGAGGATACATCTATGAGTTTTAATCAGTGTGGTTTCGTTATTGAAAATCGAGAGGAAAAATCTGAGATTTTATCGTTACAAGACATGAGCTTTGCAAATGAGAGTAATTTAGATGAAAAGACAGCAGTATAGGTGAATATAATATTTTACAGATTAATTCAATGTTCTTTGTATTTGTTGCATAATTAGGAGACTGTTTTAACAGTTTAAACTTTAAACTTGGTAATTCCTGGAAAGATGCCAAAAGCATTTCCATTTTTTCACCATAGGTTTACATATTTTTGTTTTTTTTTTAAAAGGGATTGAAATCATTAGCAAATGAGTTTACATCTTTATATAGTATTGGAAAAGCTACCTGTTGTACATCACCAAGAAACTTAATAAGTATAGTTACTATTATTGAGCATTTATGAAGTGCAAAACATTTTACACATACTGTCTCAGATCCTCACAAGAACGGTGTTTGGCTGGTGCCATTAACCTCTAGAGATGAGAAATCTAGGCATATAGAGGTAACACAGCTTCACATGTCTAGTTAAGTGGTAGTTCTGGGATTTGATTAGATTTTTGAGTTTTCAGTGCTGTGTTCTGCACGACTAACTGGTAAGTATAGTGGTTTTAAGTAGGAGAGTAAGAGCGTACACCCTAGGTTTTCTGAATTTTTGGATTAGTGATATGCTTTACACTGGGAGCCAATATGTTGGAGACAAAAGTTTCTTGTCCTTAATGCATTTGATGCATTCTTCTCTCTTCTTTTCTGTTCTCTTCCTTCACTTCTTGTCTGTCTTCTCTTCGAAATAATCTCCAAGCTACTACATTGGTTTTATGACGTGTTGAACACTGATCTGTAATGTTCCAATGACACAATACTTTGCTTCTTGATTTGGCTTCAGAGGCCACTTCTGTGGTCAACCACTTGAAAAAGTTCTGTTATGCCTTTTGTTTTCTCAGTTTACTACCAGTGATAATAGATAGTACTTTAGGAAAATGTGTGTCGGGAGAAAAATTGTTTTGAGAGGATTTATTATGGAACAAAGTGGTATCAACTATTTTCATAGAATGGAATTAATTGAATTTTGACCAAATGTGAACAAATTGCATTTTTTAACACTGGAAAATTGTTTTAGCAGTTTCATCACTTTTGTGGGCAATTTTCCTGAACTTAACAGTTACAGTTTAACATATTTTAATTGTAATTTGTTGGTGCGGTAATTCTGTCTGTCCTCTTGTAAGTGGAAAATTTCTAGGCTTCTTAATCCTAGTGTGGTGCTCTTTCCATCACAGCATAGCTATATATGTATATAGCTATACCAGGTAGCTTCAATTATTGTTTATATTAGAGGAAAATACAATTTGTGCTTCTAAAGAGGGTGTAATTTCTTAGTGCAGAAAACCCTTATTCACATTCTACTTCTAATAGGAACATTTTTGCACACTTAAAGTATATGTGAATAGTTCAGGGTTTATACATGCCTACCTAATATTCTGTCTACAAAATAATTCTATTTTGACATTACTAGAAAAGGGTATTTTTAACTTAGCAGATACTATCATAACAAGAATGTTTATTTATGCTTGTTCCAGAAGTCTAACAGTGGATTTGTGCTTTTTGTTTGCATGTATATTATGTTAAATATATTGAGAGGAAATCAGTACTTTTATGGAAGTAAAAGATCAGGAGATTTTCTGATTTTCAAAGTGTTGTATATGACAATGGTAAAAACACTTGCTTGTTTCAGAAGGTGAAGGAAGATGAAAAGATTTTAGATGGGACCTGACATAGGAGAAAATGTCCTGGATTCATAGACAGAGGATTGAGGAGTCTTGGCTTAACTGTTTAATTTTGGAAAAGTCTGTGAACCTTTCTGAATCTTAGTATCCTGTCAAATTAAGGGATCCTAGTAGATGAATTCTGTAATATCTTCTAATTCTAAAATTAAATTATATAATACCTTCTAATTCTAAAATTAAATTCTTTTAGTTTACACTTTTGGTAAGGTAGAAATTAAAATAAAATAAGATGTCACAAACTAGTAGTTCTTGAAGTTTTACTTAAATGTTGAATGTTGACCTTGCTAACCTATACTTTCCAAGGTATAATAATTGAAAAAGATGAGCAAATATCCTGTATATTTTGGATAGGACTTTAAAAAAGTATATGGGGGTTCATTTGTAGGATGGTAACAAAATTATTACATGTTCATTTCCTTAAGAATTTAAACATTTTTATTAACCTCTTTGAAAGCCACTTAAACTTCTATCAATAGAAATGTTTTTAATTGTAGAATAATAGATTTAAAGTAGTTTTTAACTTTTGGGATGTTATATTACTGTGTTGAAAAATAATGGCATGTTTGTAAAACATTTGATTTTATAATTAGATTTATAATATTTGATTTAAATGCTATATATGTATCAGTTCAGTTCTTAACTAAGGTTTTTTTTTTTTTTTGGCAAAGCATTTAGAGATTTGAAGCCCAAATCTAGGTGCTGTTAATGGTGTTCTGCTTTGGTGGGTTAATGGAAAGAAGCACTGAGTTTGTAGTCTTATCTGCCAAGAATCAGCAGAAACTAATAGGAAGTTTAAAAAAATCAGTCGTCTGCATAGAAGCTTTAATCAGAATTAAACAAGCTACATTTCTATGCCATTTTAATTGCATATTCTACAGTGCAATTTTCAGCTTTTCAATGAGATCACTTTGTGTTTGACTAGGTAAATACAAGGTTTTGAAAGGCATAAGTTAGTGTGTGAGATATTTTTCTATACCTTTAGTGCTAAGTGCTTTCTAAATGGTTAGGTAAATATTTAAAAATTCCGTGGCCCTAATGCCCATAAATATTACTTAAAGTTTTAATTTTATTTGAAAAAGGTATACATATGTAGTGTGAGAGCCTAAAAAAGAGAGTTTTTTTTAAAGTGTGGTTATTTACTCACCTAAGGAATTTGCAAGGCATAATTCCCTGTTAATTTCTTTAAGAATACTGTAGTATTTGTGAAATTTATTTTATGGCTTCAGTGAGTGAGTGTTTTATTCCAATTTCATGTTACTATTTTGTGGTAAAATATCAGCCTACATAATAATTTTATACTTTATTTTGTAAATATAGTATGTACTCTGCCATGAGTATTATTTTTCAAAAACACAGATTTGATAGAGTCACTCTGTTTTAAAAATCTCTTATGGCTTTTCATTGTCCACAGGATACTGTTCATGCCCTTGACCCTTGCTTGCAAAGTCCTTCATAATCTGCACTCTGCCATTTTTTGTTTTATTTTTTTAAAAAGCATTTTATTACTAATGGGACACTCCCTCTCCACATGCATTCTAGCTATTTGAGGGCTGCTTCTTGTTATTGACATTGTTGTGGGTTTTTCTCTTTTGATTTTAACATCTCCACTTGTTGAAATCTCCTTTAAGGAACAAATAAGATTAGGAAGACTTTAGGCAGTGCACTGATACTCAAATTTATGTATAAGCTGAGAACAAATTATAGCAGAATGGGCCATATTTAAAAATAAAAGTTGACAAACCATATGAAACAGTGCTGATGAGTATTTCCATTATAGTGCATTAGATAGTCACATCTCCATAATTTGTTTTTATACACTTAGTAGAAGGTAACCATAAGTAAAAGCATAAAGTTTGTTTTTCATTGTCATCAGACTCTGTCCTCCTCAGTGGCAGGCCCTTCTCTCATTCTTTCTCTTTTCCCTTTCAATTACCAAGTCAGCTTATTTCCCTAGCACACTCTTCTAAGCCTTCTGTACCCCATTCAAAGCAAAAATTTATTCTTGCCGAAAAAGCCTATTTCAGTATAAATGTTGGTATAGATATATAAAATATAGGACAGGTTCAGAGTTTATCTAATCTAATTGAAATCTGCTCATTATATATTGTACAAGGAAAATAAATTGAACTCCAGAGAGATAAAAATACTGGCTGAGGGTTATTCTGTGAGATATTTGGAAAACGGGGACTAGAACCTAGGTCTTTACTCCTAGTCCACTTTTACTTTCCACAAGGAGCATATATACTTCCCATCATAGCCTTCCAAGGCTGTACTTAATTTTGCCAGGTATCTCCAATTATGTGAAAAAAGGCAGTGTCTCTGGTTAAAGGAGGTAGGCAAGAAGTGAGAGAGAGTCAGTTAAGAGGGACTCTTGAAAATCCTATAGTTTGTAATGACCTTGATGACAAACTTCTGATACAGTTATTTCAGAGTAATTTGTAAGGATGCAGCTGGTCGCAAACTCATGTACCTACATAACATTTATTTTATATGTTGAAGACAGAGGGGAGGGTCAAAAGGAGAGTAGGAAGAATGGAAGTGAACTGACTATTGCCTGCTTCGCTTAAAGGCATTCAGTTTAAACAAAAGAAACTGAAAAACTGTTAGCTAAACAACATTTTGGAAGAACTGGGTTCTGTCTGTGGGTGGTTCCTGACAGTTTATAACATTGACTTGTTGTTCATCTTGTTATTTACAAGCTGATCTGCACTTATTTAGGTTGTTGTTATAAGCCTGTTCTTAGAACTTGGGGCAGAAGAGTGTATCTCCCACTTTTTTTTTTTTCTTTTACAACCAACAACTTTCCTTCTGGCATTGATTTACCTAGCAGATAACTTTACAGATTTCTCCTCCTCCATCTGCTACAGCACGTTCTTTGGCCACCTCTTCCTTACATTTCATACAACTTGCATTCAGCAATGTTTTTTTTTTTTTTTTTTGAGACAGGGTCTCACTCTGTTGCCCAGGCTAGGGTGCAGTGATGTGCAATCTTGCCTCACTGCAAACTCTGCCTTGCAGGCTCAAGTAATCCTCCCACCTCAGCCTCCTGACTAGGTGGGACTGCAGTGCGTGCCATCATGCCCAGCTAATTTTTGTATCTTTTTTTTGTAGAGAAGGGGTTTCGCTGTGTTGCCCAGGCATGTCTCAAACTCCTGGGCTCTAGCCATCTGCCCACCTTGGCCAAAGATGTCCACATTTGAGAATATGTTACCTTATGTGGCAAAATGGACTTTGGAGATGGGTTTAAGGATTTTGAGATGAAGATATTATCCAGGATTATCTGAGTGGGTGCAGTGTAATCATGAGGGTCCTTAAAAAGTAGAAGAGAGAGGCAGAAGAGATTAGAGAAGATTTGACAGTGGAAGCAGGGTTGGAGTAATACAGTGTGATACACATCCACCCTTGGGAGGCTGAGGCCGGAGAATGGCTTGAACCCGGGAGGCGGAGCTTGCAGTGAGCCGAGATTACTCAACCCATCTTTGCTAGCTTTGGTGATGAAAGAAGGGGACCCTGAGCCAAGGAAAGCAGGCAGCCTCTAAGAAGATGAAAAAGGTAAGGAAGTAGATTTTTTCCCTAGAGCTCCCAGAAAGTATTGAAGCCCCACCAGCACCTTGGTTTAGCTTAGTGAGACCTATATCAGACTTCTGACTTGCAGACCTACGAGATACATTTGTGTTATTTTATGCCTTTGAATTTGCGATAATTTGTTACAGGAGCATACTAGTTTGCTAGGGCTGCCATGACAAAGTAGCACAAACTAGGTGGCTTGAACAGCAGAAATGAATTGTCTCAAGTTCTGGAGGCCAGAAGTCCAAGATCAAGTTATCTCCAGGGTTGGTTCCTTTTGAAGGCTGTGAGGGAGAATCTGTTCCATGTCTTTCTCCTAGCTTCTGGTGGTTTACTGGCAATCTTTGGCTTGCAGATGCATCACGCTGATCTCATTCTTCATCTTCGCATGGCATTCTCCCTGTATGTTCACATAGTCTTTCCCTGTACCTGTCTTTGTTTCCAAATTTTCTAATCTTCTAAGGATCCAGGTCATATTGGATTGGGGTCCACCCTGATTATCCCCGTAGAGACCTTATTTCCTAATAAGATTACATTCTGAGGTACTGAGGATTAGGACTCAACATATTTTTTTGGGGCGATACAATTCAGCCCATGTAGGTAGAAACAGAAAACTAAAGCTACGTAAAATTGAATTGTTTTTCAAAATGGATGCTGAATATAAATTGATACATTTATATTTTTGCTATCAGTGAGTAAGAATGCCCCTGGATCCACATTCTTATCAACCAGTGCTTCCTATTTACTGACTTTTAAGTTTGGCTAGTCTAGTGGGTATGAAATGGCATTTCTTTGTGATTGTAATCTGCATTTTTCTAATTTCTAGATTTATATGTATGTTGTGATGTAGAGATTCAATCTCATTTTTTATCCAAATGGATATCCAGTCATGCCAACACACTATATTGAAAAGTTTATTTATTCTCCATTCATCAGTGCTGCCTCTGTCCTATATCAAATTTCAATATATGTATGACTGTATCTGGGCTCTATTATGTTTGATTTGTTAGTTTATGCATCTTGTGTTAATACCACACTATCTTAGTTATAATAGCTTTCTAATAAGACTTAATATCCTGTATTGATAGTGTCCATTGATGTGCAAAAGTTTTCAATTTTGATGAAGTTTATCTACTTTTTCTTTTGTTGCCTATGATTTTGGTGTCATATCAAATAAATCACTGCAAATTCAATGTAATGAAGCTCTCATTCTGTGTTTTCTTTGAGGAGTTTTATAAAAGTTTTAGTTCTAATATTTAGGTCTTTGATTCATTTTGAGTTAATTTTTGTATACAAAATTTTGTATAATTACAGTGTAAGGTAATGGTCCAACTTTATTCTTTTGCCTGTGGATGTTACATTTTTCTAAGACCATTTGTTGAAAAAAACTGTTAATAACCTTTCAACAAAGTGTTGGCTTCTTTGTTGAAAATTATTTGACAGTACATGTGAGGATTTATTGCTAGGCTCTCTGTTCTATGTCATAGGTCTATACGTCTGTGTTTCTGTCAGTACCACACTGTTTTGATTATTGTATCTTTTAGTAAGTTTTGAAATCATGAAGTTTGAGACCTCAAACTTTGTTCTTTTTCAAGATTATTTTGGCTATTTGAGTGTCCTTTGAGATTCCAATATGAATTTTAGGATGAATTTTTCTGTTTCTGCAAAAAATGTCATTGGGGTTTATTTTTTATTGTGGTAAAAACCATAAAATTTACTCTGTTCTTTATTTTTAAGTGTACAGTTCAGTGGTGTTAAGTATATTCACATTGTTGTGAAACAGATCTCCCTATCTTTTCCATCTTGCAGAACTGACACTCTATACTCATTAAATAACAACTACCCTTCCGCTGTCCCCTGATAATCACCGTTTGACTTTATGTTTCAATGAATTTGAGGACTTTAGATACCTCATATAAGTGGAATCATACAGTATTTTTTTGTGACTTGCTTATTTCACTTAGTATAATCATCTTTGGGATTTTGATAGAGATTGCCTTGAATCTGTAGATTGCTTTTAGTAGCACTGGCATCTTAACAATAATAGGTTTTCTAATCCATGAAAATGGGATATCTTTTGATTTATTTGTATATTAATTTATTTCAGCAATATTTCATAGTTTTCAGTGTATGAGTCTTTCACCTCCATGGTTAAGTTTATTCCTGAGCATTTTATTCTTTTCAATGCTGTTGCAGATAGAACTGTTTTCTTAATTTCCTTTTTGAATTATTTATAGTATATAACTCTATGCAACTGATTTGTATGTGTTGATTTTTATATACTGCAGCTTTGCTGAATTTGTTTGTTCTAATGGTTTTTTTTGGTGGAATCTTCAGGGTCTTAACTTAGTTTTTGATCCCTAAAATTAGTGCTGCATATGTAGACTCAGAAACCTCACGTAAAAATTTAAATTGGCCTCAGGTTGGCAATGTTCCAAGGCAATGGTTAGAAGCAAATTCAGATTCTCCAAGGCCTCAAATAATTCCTACAGATAAAATCCCAAGGAAATTCAGCAGTGCCTAGTCAAAAATCCACAAATCAGGCAAGGTAATAAGGCACTATGAATAAGAACCTAAGAAAAAGTACACAACAAAAACACATCCGCCCTCGGGAGGCTGAGGCAGGAGAATGGCTTGAACCCGGGAGGCAAAGCTTGCAGTGAGCCGACATCATGCCACTACACTCCAGCCTGGGCGACAGAGCAAGACTCCGTCTCAAAAAAAAACCAAAAAAACCAACAAAAAAACCACACCCACCAAAGCTTCGGATTATATAAGAAATATAAAAACACGTTTATTATGATGAAAGAAATAAAATAGAAACCTGAAAAAAATGATTGGGGGACAGGTGATTAAAAAAACTGTCGCTGGCCGAGTGTGGTGGTTCATGCTTGTAATCTCAGCACTTTGGGAGGCCGAGGTGGGTGGATGGCTTGAATCCAGAAGTTCGAGACCAGCCTGGGCAACATGGCAAAACCCTGTCTCTACAAGATACAAAATATTAGCTAGGCATGGTGGCGAATGCCTATAGTCGCAGCTACCTGGGAGGCTAATGTGGGAGCATCACCTGAGCTGGGGAGGTCGAGGCTGCAGTGAGCTCTGATTGTACCACTGCACTGCTGCCTGAGTGACAGAGTGAGACTCTGTCTCAAGAAAAATCCCCCAAAACCCCAAAACACACACACACAAAGTTATATAGGTCAGAAGAGTTGGAGAATAAGAAGTAAAGTATAACTTGGACTTAATTGAAGTTCGAAAAGGGGATAATAAAATGGAGAGGAAGAAATATTAGAAAAAAATGTCTGTAAAATAGCATTTTAAAGAACTGATGAAAAATGCCAAGTTTTTGTCCAGAAAGCTCACTGAATCTCAAGCAGAATAAATTAAAAGAAACCCATACATTATTGCAAAATTACAGAACCTTAAATAAAAAGATAACTACTAAAAGAACTCAGAAAAGAGAAATGGCCTTCAAAAGAATGAATGGCAGTTTTACTGAAAGGTGACTTATTAGTAGCCACAGTGGAATCCATAAAGCAGTGGAATATCATCCGACAGGTGCTGAGAGAAAATAAGTGTCAAACTAGAAATCAGTGCCCCGCAAAACTATCTCCCTAGGAAAAGTGCAAGCTAAAACAATTTTAGAAAAGGAAAAATTGAGGGAGTTTTTACCACTGAAAGTACATACTCAGGCAGAAGAAATGAATGAGATCAAGAAGGTATACTAATGATAAATATAGGTAAAACTAAACAAACACTGTTATTATAAGACATTATTAACAATGTCTTCTAAGAGAACAGACTAGAACTAAAGTGCTAGAAAACAATAGCATTTACATTGGAAAGAAGAAATTAGAAGAGTATGTTAAAAAGTTATATTTCAAGGGGAGGGCTAAGAGTTTGACTTTAAATCTTGTTTATATATACACAGCAGCTGTCTACACACACACACACACACACACACACACACACACACACACACACAGAGCTAGTGCAACTGCTGAAAGAGTAGATATTGTGTGAATGGCTTCCAAACAAATAGAGGTGACAAAAGAATTGAGGGAAAAAAGGAGACCAAATAATTAATATCAGAGAAAAAAGGAGGTCAAAAAAGGAAACCTAGGCGAACAGGACAAATACTTAAAGCATGTAAAAAGATGATAGAAATAAATCTAGATACTACCACGAATCACAATAAATATAGAAGCAAAAACTTTGTTAAAAGAATATAAAGATTGTCCACTTGGATTTTCTGACTGTATACTCTTTGCAAACATAAGAATTTATCAAGGTTGGAAATAAAAGAATGGAAAAAGGACACAAGACACTATAATAAAACTGGTAATATTAATATCAGAAAAACTGGGAAAACACTTTGCTAGAGAAAAAGATGATCATTATGTAATTATAAAAGACTGAATTCACCAAGAAGATAAAATTTAAAATTGTAGATACCTAATAACATAAATGTCTATGTCTATATATATACATACACATATATACACACACATATAATTATTTCCAAATTCACCTACAGTAGAAAGCATTCCTTTTGTATATTTTATTTATACCTTTAATTCATTCCTATCACATTAATATACTCTTCTTATACTGTCTTAATTACCTTTCAGTTATTAGCCCCCTTTTTTGAGCATCTCAGTGTGCTAGGTGCTGTGGGGGAAATATAAAGATCAATAAGATATGGTTCTATCCCTAAGGAGTTTATATCTAGTAGACTCAGATGTGCAGACTAGCTCACCATGAGACACAATTGTGTAACTGCTGTGTTCCAGTCGAGCACCTCATTGTGGAAGGCAAATAGTGATCAGTTTTTCGGGGGAGTGTATTGGAAGTCTTTATAGAGGAGGCATTTGAAGGACATATTATATAAGACTTGATTAAGTAGAGACAGGCGTTGAGACTGGTAAACCATGTGATGGTAAAATTCATGACATTGTTGTGGAAATCAGAATGGAAAGCTAGTAAAGTGAGGAGTGTAGAGTTAGTGTGGGAATGTTACTGGAAAAGACTGGAAGATTGGTTGAGAGTAATGTATGGAAGATATTGAATGCCATCCTAAACTTTTTGATTTATTCAGTGGAAGATGTTGGAAGATTTTCAGAAGAGAAGAGACATTTTCTTTATTTAGTTTAGAGAGATTATTGACAATGGGAAAAGTAGATCAGAGAATGAAAATATTGGGAGCAGGGAGCCCGTTATAATCATTTATATGAGAGACTGAGAACAGTGGGAGTGGAAAAGCCCTGGTGATTGGAAAAAAGGAGGTATGAAGATGCTTAAAGTCTTAGTGACTGAAAGTTTACTGGTGTCATTAGCTAATGTAGGGAACATTGGAAGATGAGCTGGTTTGGGAGAAATGCTAAAGAGCTTGACTATTGATTAATGCATGTTCCAGTTTTCACATGTGAATGGTTGATACCTCTTTTACATCTCTAAATGGGATGTAAACTCCCTGAGTGTAAGAACTAAGCATTTCTGTTTTGTATTTATCATTTACATTTTGGAGTTCACAATGGATATCTGTTATTATATTTATACTTATTGTCATTTCTTATAATGTTTCCATGTTAACCTTTAGTGAAGAAAAGAACTGTGGGTGGAGATGGATCCCAATTTCCTACTGTCTTTGGTATTTTCCTTAATAGACAGTTATTGCACAGTGGTGAAGCTAGACTGCTTGAGTTTAAATGTCATCTCTACCACTTACAGAATGTTGGACAAGTTGTTTAACTTCTCTGTACCCCAGTTTCTCTGTGTATAAATTAGGGGTAATCACAGTACCTATCTTATTGATGTGAAATAGATGTGATATGAAATGTTGTGAGGATTAATAACCTGTAAGTTCTTGGAACAGTGTCTGGCACCTGGCAAGTTTTCAACAGATTAGTTGTTATGGCTGTTACTATTAATAGTTGAAATTCTCATCCTTGAATTATTTAATAGTTTATGCCAAGTTTCTCTAAATCAATGGTAAAACGAATTGAAATTTAGATCTATGAGACAATCCGTTTTTATTGTCTCGATACTTCTCTTGGGACTGGTATTAAGCAAAAAAGCAAATCCTTTCCATAAGGGATTATATAGGGGAAATTCTTTCAACAGTGGTCAGTATTTAGGACAACAAAGAAAAGATACAAGGAGTAATTTAAAAAGTGATTAAAAGGGGGGTAATTTGGATTTATTTTCTTTTAAAGTTTCAGAGTTAAAGATTAAGAACCTTTGGTCTTCCAGAAGAAAAATGTGTCAGCTGCTACAGTCATAATTTACTGTCCCATAAGCTTTTTGTTCCAGTTTGTCACTTTGGAGTTGGGAGTACACTGGGAAGTCAAACAAATGTCTTTACCCATAATTCTTCCTTCACAGTTCACTGTCTGTTAAGCATGTTGATAACTATGCAGCACCTCCCCAGGAATGGTAAGAGGGAGATAAGAGATACGGAAACAGAAAGAAGAGAAACTGTATGTAAAAAAGTGACTCTTCCAACCCTCTTTTTCACTCCAGTCAGTATTAGTCACTTTACTTTACTGCTTCAATGTAACACTTTGTTCCACTTTTCAGAAAAAGTCTCCTGAAGAGCTTCTACCAGTTAGATAGTAATCGTTAAAAGCAGACAAAAATAAATATGGATAGGAATTTTTACCAATATATGGGAAAATATTTTTCTTTACGGGAAAATACTTACATACACATTACTAAATACCAGTGTTTATCATTATGTAAGTCATTTTTTGTTTGTTTTTGTTGTAAAAATATGCACCATCTACAAATAACTTTAATACCTGAAAACTCATTTCTTCAGCAGCATTACTGGGCATTCTGCTAGGAGCTATAAAGGCTATGAAAAAGAATCACATAATGTCATTATTCTTAGGAGTTTAATGTAAGATAAAAAGTGAAGATTATATTTTAAATAATAAAACAGGCAGTGCAATTAATATTGTAGTGTTTGAGAGGTCTCAAAAAATAACACCCAAATTCCCTGCCCAAATTTTGAGAAGAGAGTGACAGATGAGATATCAGAATACTACCTGTATTCCTGATAAAGCTGTTATTCGAAGGCATGGCTTGTATCAGTAGATAGTTTTGCTTTCTAATACCAAACCCCAGAGTTAAACAGACTTCCCTGGTCATTAGCAGAATAGGACCAGGAACATTTTCCCTGTTTGCCTGGAGAGCCTATCCATGGAGAAGCATTGGAGAACTTCTGCTTCCATCTAGTGGGTAGGCTTCCAAGAGCAAAAAAAGGGGTAGAATTATGCTTACATGATTCTTTAGTCTAAACTTACCAGTCAGGTAAGTCACTATCCTCCTTCTAGGGGATAAATAAGTGAAAGGGTAGAGAGAGTCCAAAAATATTTAGCAACAGTTCTTCCTCATAGAAGCCATAGGATTGAGAAAAAGGCATTGCCTCTCTCAACACGATAATAGAAAAAGCTATTTGAAATTCTGACATCTTTTAGACAACATATATTTTAATTTTTGCTTGTCGCCTTTCTTTTTTTTTTGAGATGGAGTCCTGCTCTTGTCGCCCAGGCTGAAGTGCAATGGCACTATCTCGGCTCACTGCAACCTCCGTCTCCTGGGTTCAAGGATTCTCCTGCCTCACCCTCCCAAGTAGCTGGGATTACAGGCATGCGCCAACACTCCCAGCTAATTTTTGTATTTTTAGTAGAGACGGGGGTTTTGCCATGTTGGCCAGGCTGGTCTTGAACTCTTGACCTCGTGATCCGCCCGCCTCGGCCTCCCAAAGTGCTGAGATTACAGGCATGAGCCACCGCGCCAGATGTCACCTTTCTTGTAACTATAGTGTCTATATAGTTGCATGGAATGTACATAATTTAAAAACTGAGCCTAGATTCTGCCTTTGTTCATTTGTTTCTTTCTTGACAAAATCAAGTCACTTATTTCTGTGCATTTATTGTTGCACTTAATATTCTCTATCATATTTGGGTTGATAGGCCTTTCCTGTCTCTACATTTTATGTCCTTTAAATTCAGGGACAGTATCTTATTTATTTATGTGACCCTGGTGCTTGGCATATATCAAATAGTTTATTGAGTTGGATTATTGGATTAAATACTGTTTTTTTAAATCACTTCGCAGGACATTTTTTTCCTAGTTGATACATAATACTCATAATTTCATCACTGAAAGTAACTTGAAGAACAGGATGCCTAAGGAATAAGTTCTTGATGTCACAAAACCCAGCAAAAATCTTCTTCAGCAGGGGAAGCTTACTTAGGTGAATGCCTCAGTTTATAGGTGAAGCTTGGAAGAATGTTGCAAGTTGGGAGAATGGAAACTAATGCAGGACATTGTGTGCAGGAGTTGCCTCTAAAATAAAGGAGGAGCATGGAATGATAATTTGAGGTGAGGTCATAGTGAGGCAGTAGGGTTATAAACAGTTTTGACATTACTTTTTCAGATATGGCTTGCAGAGTTAAAAATTCCTAGATGTTTCAATGGTTCTCAGTTAACAAGTGTTGATAGAACATTTTCAGTGCTTAGACTGCACTTTTGATTTCTAGGGAGAACTTCATTTTTAACATAAATTTACTAATTTTAGTAGTTCACCAAGGAAGAAGATGGTAGTAAAATACTGGTCATAATTATTTAGCAAACTCTGGAAATGTGATTTTTTAAAAAAACTTTTCTTTAAGTTCAGGGGTACATGTGCAGGTTTGTAAAGGTAAACTTGTGTCATGGGAGTTTGTTGTACAGATTATTTCACCACCCAGGTATTAAGCCTAGTACCCATTAGTTATTTTTCCTCATCCTGTCCCTCCTCCCACTCCGGTAGGCCCCAGTGTGTGCTGTTCCTCCCTACGTGGTCATGTGTTCTCATCAAGTACATTTTTGTCAGGTAACTGAAGTTTATCTTTTTACAAGTAATATCTTTTTAATTCAAACACATTTTTGCTGTGACTATTTCTATTATGTTTACCCCTATTTCTGCTTACCCTGAATAGATCTTGATGAAAATAATATATTTCTCTGAAAAGTAAGGATTGTCATTTTAAAAATTAGTAAACATGTATTTGACAAAATTATTAGCAGGCACAGCAGAAGCAGTTCATACAATCTGTTTGGTAAACTGAGTGATCTCCCAGTTCTGTGTTCCCCCAAATAGTTCACCCACACATTCCATAAAAGGTTCTCTTTAGGCAGATGCAACAATACCCTGAAGGCATAATTGTTAGCTTTATAGTCAGCATTAGGCAATTAAAATCCTCCGAAATTAATTCCAGACTTGGCTGTAACCCTAAGAGCCATTCTGGAAGACAGAGGATGTAGAGTTTACGAGATCTTATGCCCTGTTTATAAGGGAGGGGAATATCCCCAAAATATTTAGGAGAGTTCACACATACTGAATGCCACTAATTTCAACGACAAGAGCTTATTTCTAATATTCCTTATATTATTGCTTCTAATATTCTTTTTTTTTTTTTTTGAGGTGGGGTCTCGCCCTGTTGCCCAGGCTGGAGTGCAATGGCATGATCTCGGCTCACTGCAACCTCTGCCTCCCAGGCTCAAGCGATCCTCCCACTTCAGCCTCTGGAGTAGCTGGGGCTACAGGCACGTGCCACCATTCCTGGCTATTTTTTTTTTGTATTTTGTAGAGATGAGGTTTTGCTGTGTTGCCCACGCTGGTCTTGAACTCCTGAGCTCTAGTCATCTGCCCACCTTGGCCTCCCAGAGTGCTGGGATTGCAGGCATGAGCCACTATTCCTGGCCCCTTCTAATATTCTAATACTAGAATATTCCTTATATTATTCTTTCTAATATTTCTTATATTTCTAATATGCCTTACATTAGTCTTTAGGGCTAATAGGAATAGCTTCTGAAGTGCTTATAATAGCTGCTTCGGGAGTGTGGCCTTTCTGATTAAATGCTAGCTGATCACCCTTAGAATATAAATTCTTGTTAAATAACATATTTACATTTAAATAGCAAGAAAGGAGAATGTAAGCATCCTGAAGATAAGAATTTTTGCCTGTTTTGACACTTCTCAAAAGAAGACATTTATGCAGCCAAAAAACACATGAAAAAATGCTCATCATCACTGGCCATCAGAGAAATGCAAATCAAAACCACAATGAGATACCATCTCACACCAGTTAGAATGGCAGTCATTAAAAAGTCAGGAAACAACAGGTGCTGGAGAGGATGTGGAGAAATAGGAACACTTTTACACTGTTGGTGGGACTATAAGTAGTTCAACCATTGTAGAAGACAGTGTGACGATTCCTCAGGGATCTAGAACTAGAAATACCATTTGACCCAGCCATCCCATTACTGGGTATGTACCCAAAGGATTATAAATCATGCTGCTATAAAGACACATGCACACATATGTTTATTGTGGCAGTATTCACAATAGCAAAGACTTGGAACCAAGCCAAATGTCCAACAATGATAGACTGGATTAAGAAAATGTGGCGGTTAAGAGGAGGATAGTCGAGATGGCCGAATAGGAACAGCTCCGGTCTACAGCTTCCAGCGTGAGCGACGCAAAAGACGGTTGATTTCTGCATTTCCATCTGAGGTACTGGGTTCATCTCACTAGGGAGTGCCAGACAGTGGGCGTAGGACAGTGGGTGCAGCGCACCGTGCACGAGCCGAAGCAGGGTGAGGCATTGCCTCACTCGGGAAGCGCAAGGGGTCAGGGAGTTCCCTTTCCTAGTCAAAGAAAGGGGTGACAGACGGCACCTGGAAAATCGGGTCACTCCCACCCTAATACTGCGCTTTTCCGACGGGCTTAAAAAACGGCGCACCACAAGATTATATCCCGCACCTGGCTCGGAGGGTCCTAGCCCACGGAGTCTCACTGATTGCTAGCACAGCAGTCTGAGATCAAACTGCAAGGCGGCAGTTAGGCTGGGGAAGGGGCGCCTGCCATTTCCGAGGCTTGCTTAGGTAAACAAAGCAGCAGGTAAGCTCGAACTGGGTGGAACCCACCACGGTTCAAGGAGGCCTGCCTGCTTCTGTAGGCTCCACCTCTGGGGGCAGGGCACAGACAAACAAAAAGACGCAGTAACCTCTGCAGACTTAAATGTCCCTGTCTGACAGCTTTGAAGAGAGCAGTGGTTCTCCCAGCACGCAGCTGGAGATCTGAGAACGGGCAGACTGCCTCCTCAAGTGGGTCCCTGACCCCTGACCCCCGAGCAGCCTAACTGGGAGGCACCCCCAAGTAGGGGCAGACTGACACTTCACACGGCCGGGTACTCCTCTGAGACAAAACTTCCAGAGGAACGATCAGACAGCAACATTCACGGTTCACAAAAATCCGCTGTTCTGCAGCCACCGCTGCTGTTACCCAGGCAAACAGGGTCTGGAGTGCACCTCTAGCAAACTCCAACAGACCTGCAGCTGAGGGTCCTGTCTGTTAGAAGGAAAACTAACAAACAGAAAGGACATCCACACCAAAAACCCATCTGTACATCACCATCATCAAAGACCAGAAGTAGATAAAACCACAAAGATGGGGAAAAAACAGAGCAGAAAAACTGGAAACTCTAAAAAGCAGAACGCCTCTCCTCCTCCAAAGGAACTCAGCTCCTCACTAGCAATGGAACAAAGCTGGACGGAGAATGACTTTGACGAGTTGAGAGAAGAAGGCTTCAGACAATGAAACTACTCTGAGCTACAGGAAGAAATTCAAACCAAAGGCAAAGAAGTTGAAAACTTTGAAAAAAATTTAGACGAATGTATAACTAGAATAACCAATACAGAGAAGTGCTTAAAGGAGCTGATGGAGCTGAAAGCCAAGGCTCGAGAACTACGTGAAGAATGCAGAAGCCTTAGGAGCTGATGCGATCAACTGGAAGA
The DNA here is from genome assembly GCF_000001405.40 of Homo sapiens. Lineage (NCBI taxonomy): Eukaryota > Metazoa > Chordata > Mammalia > Primates > Hominidae > Homo > Homo sapiens. The sequence goes on from NC_000011.10 coordinate 14,662,698, forward strand.
AAGGGTATCAGTGATGGAAGATGAAATGAATGAACTGAAGCGAGAAGGGAAGTTTAGAGAAAAGAGAATAACAAGAAACGAACAAAGCCTCCAAGAAATATGGGACTATGTGAAAAGACCAAATCTGCGTCTGATTGGTGTACCTGAAAGTGACGGGGAGAATGGAACCAAGTTGGAAAACACTCTGCAGGATATTATCTAGGAGAACTTCCCCAATCTAGCAAGGTAGGCCAACATTCAGATTCAGGAAATACAGAGAACGCCACAAAGATACTCCTCGAGAAGAGCAACTCCAAGACACATAATTGTCAGATTCACCAAAGTTGAAATGAAGGAAAAAATGTTAAGGGCAGCCAGAGAGAAAGGTCGGGTTACCCACAAAGGGAAGCCCATCAGACTAACAGCGGATCTCTCAGCAGAAACTCTACAAGCCAGAAGAGAGTGGGGGCCAATATTCAACATTCTTAAAGAAAAGAATTTTCAACCCAGAATTTCATATCCATCCAAACTAAGCTTCATAAGTGAAGGAGAAATAAAATACTTTACAGACAAGCAAATGCTGAGAGATTTTGTCACCACCAGGCCTGCCCTAAAAGAGCTCCTGAAGGAAGCACTAAACATGGAAAGGAACAACCGGTACCAGCCCCTGCAAAATCATGCCAAATTGTAAAGACCATCAAGGCTAGGAAGAAACTGCATCAACTAACGAGCAAAATAACCAGCTAACATCATAATGACAGGATCAAATTCACACATAACAATATTAACTTTAAATGTAAATGGGCTAAATGCTCCAATTAAAAGACACTCCTCACTTCAAAAAACCTGTCTCACGTGCAGAGACACACATAGGCTCAAAATAAAAGGAAGGAGGAAGATCTACCAAGCCAATGGAAAACAAAAAAAGGCAGGGGTTGCAATCCTAGTCTCTGATAAAACAGACTTTAAACCAACAAAGATCAAAAGAGACAAAGAAGGCCATTACATAAGGGTAAAGGGATCAATTCAACAAGAAGAGCTAACTATCCTAAATATATATGCACCCAATACAGGAGCACCCAGATTCAGAAAGCAAGTCCTGAGTAACCTACAAAGAGACTTAGACTCCCACACAATAATAATGGGAGACTTTAACACCCCACTGTCAACATTAGATCAACAAGACAGAAAGTTAACAAGGATACCCAGGAATTGAACTCATCTCTGCACCAAGCGGACCTAATAGACATCTACAGAACTCTCCACCCCAAATCAACAGAATATACATTTTTTTCAGCACCACACCACACCTATTCCAAAATTGACCACATAGTTGGAAGTAAAGCTCTCCTCAGCAAATGTAAACAAGCAGAAATTATAACAAGCTGTCTCTCAGACCACAGTGCAATCAAACTAGAGCTCAGGATTAAGAATCTCACTCAAAACCGCTCAACTATATGGAAACTGAACAACCTGCTCCTGAACGACTACTGGGTAAATAATGAAATGAAGGCAGAAATAAAGATGTTCTTTGAAACCAACGAGAACAAAGACACAACATATCAGAATCTCTGGGACACATTCAAAGCAGTGTGTAGAGGGAAATTTATAGCAGTAAATGCCCACAAGAGAAAGTAGGAAAGATCCAAAATTGACACCCTAATATCACAATTAAAAGAACTAGAAAAGCAAGAGCAAACACATTCAAAAGCTAGCAGAAGGCAAGAAATAACTAAAATCAGAGCAGAACTGAAGGAAATAGAGTCACAAAAAACACTTCAAAAAATCAATGAATCCAGGAGCTGGTTTTTTGAAAGGATCAAGAAAATTGATAGACCGCTAACAAGACTAATAAAGAAGAAAAGAGAGAAGAATCAAATAGACACAATAAAAAATGATAAAGGGGATATCACCACCAATCCCACAGAAATACAAACTACCGTCAGAGGATACTACAAACAGCTCTAAGCAAATAAACTAGAAAATCTAGAAGAAAGGGATAAATTCCTCGACACATACACCCTCCCAAGACTAAACCAGGAAGAAGTTGACTCTCTGAATAGACCAATAACAGGCTCTGAAATTGTGGCAATAATCAATAGCTTACCAACCAAAAAGAGTCCAGGACCAGATGGATTCACAGCCGAATTATACCAGAGGTACAAGGAGGAGCTGGTACCATTCCTCCTGAAACTATTCCAATCAATAGAAAAAGAGGGAATCCTCCCTAACTCATTTTATGAGACCAGCATCATCCTGATACCAAAGCCGGGCAGAGACACAACAAAAAAAGAGAATTTTAGACCAATATCCTTGATGAACATTGATGCAAAAATCCTCAATAAAATACTGGCAATCCGAATCCAGCAGCACATCAAAAAGCTTATCCAACATGATCAAGTGGGCTTCATCCCTGGGATGCAAGGCTGGTTCAATATCCGCAAATCAATAAATGTAATCCAGCATATAAACAGAACCAAAGACAAAAACCACATGATTATCTCAATAGATGCAGAAAAGTCCTTTGACAAAATTCAACAACCCTTCATGCTAAAAGCTCTCAATAAATTAAGTATTGATGGGACATATCTCAAAATAATAAGAGCTATCTATGACAGACCCACAGCCAATATCATACTGAATGGGCAAAAACTGGAAGCATTCCCTTTGAAAACTGGCACAAGACAGGGATGCTGTCTCTCACCACTCCTATTCCACATACTGTTGGAAGTTCTAGCCAGGGCAATTAGGCAGGAGAAGGAAATAAAGGGTATTCAATTAGGAAAAGAGGAAGTCAAATTGTCCCTGTTTGCAGATGACATGATTGTATACCTAGAAAACCCCATTGTCTCAGCCCAAAATCTCCTTAAGCTGATAAGCAACTTCAGCAAAGTCTCAGGATACAAAGTCAATGTACAAAAATCACAAGCATTCTTATACACCAATAACAGACAAACAGAGAGCCAAATCATGAGTGAACTCCCATTCACAATTGCTTCATTCACAATTTGATTCCTGGAATAAAATACCTAGGAATCCAACTTACAAAGGACATGAAGGATCTCTTCAAGGAGAACTACAAACCACTGCTCAATGAAATAAAAGAGGATACAAATAAATGGAAGAACATTCCATGCTCATGGGTAGGAAGAATCAATATCGTGAAAATGGCCATACTGCCCAAGGTAATTTATAGATTCAATGCCATCCCCATCAAGCTACCAATGACTTTCTTCACAGAATTGGAAAAAGCTACTTTAAAGTTCATATGGAATGAAAAAAGAGCCCGCATCGCCAAGTCAATCCAACACCAAAAGAACAAAGCTGGAGGCATCACACTACCTGACTTCAAACTATACTACAAGGCTACACTAACCAAAACAGCATGGTACTGGTACCAAAACAGAGATATAGATCAATGGAACAGAACAGAGCCCTCAGAAATAACGCCGCATATCTACAACTATCTGATCTTTGACAAACCTGAGAAAAACAAGCAATGGGGAAAGGATTCCCTATTTAATAAATGGTGCTGGGAAAACTGGCTAGCCATATGTAGAAAGCTGAAACTGGATCCCTTCCTTACACCTTATACAAAAATTAATTCAAGATGGATTAAAGACTTAAACGTTAGACCTAAAACCATAAAAACCCTAGAAGAAAACCTAGGCATTACCGTTCAGGACATAGGCATGGGCAAGGACTTCATGTCTAAAACACCAAAAGCAATGGCAACAGAAGCCAAAATTGACAAATGGGATCTAATTAAACTCAAGAGCTTCTGCACAGCAAAAGAAACTACCATCAGAGTGAACAGGCAACCTACAAAATGGGAGAAAATTTTCGCAACCTACTCATCTGACAAAGGGCTAATATCCAGAATCTACAATGAACTCAAACAAATTTACAAGAAAAAAACACACAACCCCATCAACAAGTGGGTGAAGGACATGAACAGACACTTCTCAAAAGAAGACATTTATGCAGCCAAAAAACACATGAAAAAATGCTCATCATCACTGGCCATCAGAGAAATGCAAATCAAAACCACAATGAGATACCATCTCACACCAGTTAGAATGACAATCATTAAAAAGTCAGGAAACCACAGGTGCTGGAGAGGATGTGGAGAAATAGGAACACTTTTACACTGTTGGTGGGACTGTAAACTAGTTCGACCATTGTGGAAGACAGTGTGGCAATTCCTCAGGGATCTAGAACTAGAAATACCATTTGACCCAGCCATCCCATTACTGGGTATATACCCAAAGGACTATAAATCATGCTGCTATAAAGACACATGCACACGTATGTTTATTGCGGCATTATTCACAATAGCAAAGACTTGGAACCAACCCAAATGTCCAACAATGATAGACTGGATGAAGAAAATATGGCACATATACACCATGGAATACTATGCAGCCGTAAAAAATGAGGAGTTCATGTCCTTTGTAGGGACATGGATGAAATTGGAAATCATCATTCCCAGTAAACTATCGCAAGGACAAAAAACCAAACACCACATATTCTCACTCATAGGTGGGAATTGAACAATGAGAACACATGGACACAGGAAGGGGAACATCACACTCTGGGGACTGTTGTGGGGTGGGGGGAGTGGGGAGGGATAGCATTAGGAGATACACCTAATGCTAAATGACGAGTTAATGAGTGCAGCACACCAGCATGGCACATGTATACACATGTAACTAACCTGCACATTGTGCACATGTACCCTAAAACTTAAAGTATAATAATAATAATAAAATTAAATTAAATTAAAAAAAAGAAAATGTGGCACACATACACCATGGAATACTATGCAGCCATAAAAAAGGATGAGTTCATGGCCTTCGTAGGGACATGGATGAAGCTGGAAACCATCATTCTCAGCAAACTGTCGCAAGGACAAAAAACCAAACACTGCATGTTCTCACTGATAGGTGGGAATTGAACAATGAGAACACATGGACACAGGAAGGGGAACATGACACAACGGGGACTGTTGTGGGGTTGGGGGAGGGTGGAGGGATAGCATTAGGAGATATACCTAATGCTAAATGACAAGTTAATGGGTGCAGCACAGCAACATGGCACATATATACATATGTAACAAACTTGCACGTTGTGCACATGTACCCTAAAACTTAAAGTATAATAATAATAATAATAATAATAATAAAAGAATTTTTGTCTGTTTTGTTCACTGCCATGTCCAAAATAATGCCTGGTAAGAGCTCAAATAGCTATTGAATGGGTAAATATCACACTGACTTTGCTGAAGTATTTAAATAATTTTCAGACATTATAAAAAGAAATACATTTTGGCCAAAAGCTTAATTAATGCAAGAGTAAAAAAAAAAAAGGTTTGAAGCATACAATCCTATTTCAGGGGGCTCAAGAGTTTAAAAGGAAGAAAGGGGGAGACATCCAGGTAAGAGGACACGTATGCTGTCTTTCCAATATTGGACATTATCTACTTTTTCTGAGACAGTATCGACGCTTTGAGCATGACACATCTTTTTGTAACAGAGTCCTACTTAAGCTCAATATTTAATTGGTACTTAGAGCCAAGAAATACATGTGGGCCTACATTTTTTTGCATGTATTTTGTGTTATAGCCTCTATACAATCTAAGGACACTTGGTTCTTTCTCTCAAAATCCTTTCCTCACTTTTGAGTAATTTACTTTTGAATTTATAAATACCTCACCTTATTATTCATCATATTATTTGCATTATGTTAAACCCTGGTCAACCCTTAAAATGTTAAAGGAAAGACATTACTATATTTTTTAATGAATACACTAAACTTTTAAGTACAAATATATTTGTCATCAGCCTCTGCAAAGCCATCAGATGTTTGAAAAAAAATTTTAAGCATGAAGCAAAGAGTCTAGTTTTAAGAACTTAGCTGTGAATGGATGATATCCTACCCATTTAATAGAGTTCTCCAAATGAACAGAAAGTATACAATGAAAGGAAGGTCCCTTAGACATTTGAAGTTTTTCTGCAGCACAATCCTGTCTGTCTGCTTTATTCAAGAATTTGTAGTCATTTTCAGAATTCATTCCAGAAACCAGCTTATTCGTTTAGATATCAGCACACTGGTCTTGGCAAAAGATAACACAAAAGTAAACACTACTATGTCAAAAAGGATGAAAAGCCAGCGATCCAACCAGTAGAATTGTTTTGGAAGCTGTTTGTCTCGGACTGAGATCACACATTAAGCCTTGGCTGTTGCCTTCCATTCTTGCACAAGCCTCCCTGCTCCTGGGGACCCTCTGTAAGAGTGAGCGTCCTAATGAAAATAGATGGCACACTCAAATGGCTAAAGTAGGGAGAGTTTATGAAGGAATGATTTATAAAAGAGTGGGAAGTGTTAAGAGAACATGGTATGAGTATCTGATGAGCAACAGCAGATAGCCGTTATCACCTTTAGACATACAAGGGCAGAATAGGGAGCTGTTAAGACTCAGAGAGTAGCTGTATAGAGATTCATTTGAAAGAAGCCGTGGCTCTGGTAGTAGAGGAGCATCACTAACCAGAGGTGATTTTACATGAGAGCAGGGGTGGAGGTGGGTGGGAGAGTGGGGGAGAATAACTACCCCAGGCTCACTTCCTGTCTTTCTGTCTTCTGCTCTTGTATTCCATTGGTTGACTCCACCCCAAAGACAGAGGGCAAGGGGGGCTTTGGATATAAACAAGAGTCTCCTGGGGCACTGAACAGGGTGGAGGAGAATGAAGAATGGATCTGGAGGGGCAAATGAAATATTCGTAACACTACCTTTTTTTAAATTATACTTTTAAGTTCTAGGGTACAAGTGCACAACGTGCAGGTTTGTTACATATGTATACATGTGCCATGTTGGGTGTGCTGCACGCATTAACTCGTCATTTACATTAAGTATTCCTCATGCTATCCCTCCCCCCTCCCCTCACCCCACGACAGGCCCCATTGTGTGATGTTCCCCACCCTGTGTCCAAGTGTTCTCACTATCCAATTCCCACCTATGAGTGAGAATATGCGGTGTTTGGTTTTCTGTCCTTGCGATAGCACTACCATTTTTTTAAGGACACAGTATCTGCAGTATCGGAGGAAGGTCCTTTTAGGAAGAATCATGTAAACAAAGGGTAGAGGAGTATTGAAATAAAGAGTATGTTGAGAAAATGGAAAATATTTCAGATAGTTTGGAGTGTGTGCTTAAGAAGAATAGGCATAAAAATGAAAGCATAGGTTAGTATTTGTAGACAAATGTTAATCTTTATATTGCATATCCTCTTATTTATTACTAAGTCTTGTATTATAAATGTTTTTATAAATACCTGAGAATCAATAGTGCCTTCATCATTAGGTGGGAGATAGTTGGTCGAGTTTTGTGCCTTAGCATAGTTATCTGGGTGATTTACACATAGCGGCTTAGTGCAAATAGTACAAAGATCAGAAGTCATTTAGAGAGTGGGGCTTTCAGTTAAGAATATAGGCTCTGGATTTGCACCATCTGTGTTTAATTTCTGACTCCAGCACTTTCCAGCTTGATGACCTTAGGCAAGTTATCTAATACCGGCTCAGTTTTCTCATTTTCAAAATAGGTACAGTCATAATAGTTTTATTTTAGAGTAGTTGTGAGGATTGAGTAATTCACATATTTAGCCCAGAGCCTAGCAGATACTGTTAATAAATGTTACCTATTTTTTGTTTTTTAGTTTAGGAGGGTATTATAGGTATCTTTGAATATTTGAAAGGCTGCCCCATGAAATAGGGATTAAACTTGTCTTCATGAGAACCTCCAGTATCAGAATCAGGAGTAATGTGTATAAGTAACAGGCAAACAGATTTGGGATTAATACGAGAAAATCTTTTAATAGTTATAGAGTTGCTTGAATTAGAATAGGTTAGCTCATGAGATAATGATTTACATACCAAGGGAAGTTTTCAGGAAAACATCAAGGGGATGTTTTAAAGTATTAATGTCTCAAAATGAGAAAATTAGATAAAAGCTTTAGGATATCTTCCAACCATAATAGTCTATTACTTTATCCTAAAAAATTTGTGAAAATCAAATTTTACGTAAGAGGAAATGTGTTTGATTTCCTTTTCCACATCTCTGTCTGTTCCTGTTGACAATTTCTGTTCCTAACTACCTTCCAACAATCCAGCTTACATGTCATCTATCTTTGTTTAATGATACGTATAATTTTTTTTTTTTTCAAGAGACAGAGTCTCACCATGTTCCCCAGACTGGGCGCAAACTCCTGGGTAGGTAATACTCTTGCATCAGTCTCCTGAGCAGTTGGTACTACAAGTGCACACCACCATGCCCAGCATATTTAACAATATTTATTGAGCACATACAAATGTGCCAGGTATTGCGCTGGATACTGTGATTAGTACAGTGAACAAGACACATCAGTCTCCTGCCCTAATGGAGCTTTAAGAAATTTTAGCAGAGGGAAATAGAAAGTAAAAACACAGTGAAATAAATTTCAGGTAGTTTTAAGTACTGTGATGCATGAAGAAAATAAAACAGAATAATAGTATAAAGGGATACTAGGGCTTTGGATGGTGGAGGTGAAGATGGTGCTTTAGGTATGGTAGGAAGGGAAAGCCTCTCTGAAGAGGTGACATTTTAACCAGCATATAAATGTTGAGAAGGAGCTGGTTGTGCTGAGGGAAGCACACTCTAGGCAGAAGAACCAGCAAAGGCCCTGTGGTGGGAAAGATCTTGACATGCTTGTTAGAAAGCAAACTGGGTGGCTAGAGAGTGGTGGGAGTGGTAAGAACAGTGTGGATCACATAAGGCCTTATACACCTTGTTAACATTTACATTTCACTCCAATTGCATTCTAATGGCAAGTCATGAGACAATTTTATGGTATAATTTATGTTTAAAAAAGATTATTCTTGCTTGTTTATGGGCTATTGACGGAATAGCTAGAGTGGAAGCAGGAAGATAGGAGGCTGTTGGAGTTATCCAAGTGAGACATAATAGTGACTTGGACTATCTCAGATGACTTTCTCCCCCATTTATCCCTGGATAGAATGTCCTTTAAAAAATATTTTATAGGCCAGGCATGGTGGCTCATCCCTGTAATCCTAGCTCTTTGGGAGGCCGAGATGGGAGGATTGCATGAGGCCAGGAGTTTGAGACCAGTTTGGGCAACATAGCAAGACTCTGTTTTTACAAATAATTAAAAAATTAGCCAGGCATGGTAGTGTGTGCCTGTGTTCCTAGCTACTTAGGGGGCTGAGGTGGGAGGCTAGGAATTTGAGGCTGCAGTGAGCTGTGATTGTGGTACTGTACTCCAGCCTGGGTGACAGAGTGAGACCTTGTCTTGAAAAAAAAAAAATATATATATATATATACATATATATATGTATATATATATTTTATAGTGTTTACCAGATACTAGTGTTAAAGTATCTTTATATTATATTTTAATTAGGTATACAATTGGCTTTCTCATTAGATTCTGAGTTTCTTAAGCACAAGGACAATGTCTTATCCCTTTTCTTATTATTTTAGGTAGCATTATAGCACTGTTATTAATTTTGCACTTAATGCATTGCTATTAAGTGAATTCATGAAACTTCTATCTGAACACAGGGCTTTTTATAGCTATTACAAATGGCACAGTTAAATACGTAAGTGCAATAAGGTAAGCTAGATTTGAGATGGAATTAAAAAAATACTTTCCCATACTTTACACACAGAATGTAGTTTGTATACAGTTTAGGAAAACCTACTAAGAAGGGAAAATCACAATGTTTTATTAGGGGTGAAACACAAATCAGAAAGGCTTAGGGAAATAAAACCAAGAACTAGTTTTGTTGGTCTATTTGTTATGATAAAGGCTAAACTAATGTTAACAAGAGACAAATATAGTGGCTCAAGTAAGAAAGAAGTTTATTTATCATATAACAACAGGTCACACATTCAGGCTGCTGGGTCTTTCACGGGCTCCTTCCTTTATGTTGCTCTGCCACCTCTTAGGGTCTTGTCTTAATCTGCACGGTCAAGCTAGGACATTGTCACACTTATCTTCCAGTCAGTGGGGAAGGGGAAAGAGAGAGTCCACAGAGTCCAGATAAATAATTTTATTTTAAACAAGTGAGGTGAAAGTTGCATGTATCATCTTGCTCATATTCCACTGGTACTTAGTCATATGGTCTTACTCAGCTACTAGAGAGATGGAGAAATGTAGTTTTTAGCTGGGGAGTCATAGCAAAAACTTTACTTTTTTTTTTTTTTTGAAATTTAAAGAAAAAATCTATTGAAGATCTGAAAAACAATTCCTAAAAGATAGACTTTTCCAGAAAACACTAGCTACACAATGTATTGTGTCTATCATGTTAAAACATGCATTAGACACAAATACAAAAACCATGAAACAAGCCACCATTCTTCAACAATTTGAGCAAAGATAAAATGCCTAAGTAACAACATGGATGACTTGCAAAGGATGGGCTCTTTACTTTAAGCACCATAAAAAAAAAAAGCACAAATGGATGAGTGTGTTCAGTTATATACACTGAATTGAACCTTTGGCACTAGGAATCAGAGTATTTTGTCATATAGCATTAACATGTATTATAAAAGTGCGTAGTGTCAAAGGAATAGAACCACCAACATTCAAAAGCAGCTTTGTCAACTAGGCAGTAAAACACTCTACAGCATATCCTCTGTTGTCCATCATTGAATACACTGGTAGTGACTTTGAAATTAAAAAAAAAAAGAAAAAGGATCTATTACCCCTTTTATTTTCTTTGTTTAAAACAAAACAGAAAAAAACATCAGTTGTTACACACTAACATCTTCAAAGCACATCGTTTGTACAAGAGATAGACTAAGAACAAAAATGTGTTTACAGAGATCCAAACATAAGTGAGTGAGAGCGCCTCTCACATGGCTCTCAGGACGGTTCTCAGGAGGAGCCACTTCATAATCTCTGGCACTAAACAAAGTTGTAGAATTCTTTGCCAGGTACTTCAGGAAATCATGAAGATAATTCAGTAATTAAGCAAGGCTCTTCTCATCCAGAGGTGTATAGGCCAACATTGCTCCAATTCGTACAAGTAATCTCAGGAGATGTGGCACTCCATACACCTGGGACATGGGTGCCTTGGGGTGATCTGCAAGAATTTCGGCATACTGTGGTCTCTCAAATTTGTAGAGTAGTTGGGTGCCCAACATTACGTTGAAGTATTCTTTTATCCCTGCCACAACTTCATTAACCGCATACTCCTTATTATCTGTGTTTCCACCAGATTTCTTGTAATTTGCGTAATCCTCAAGAATGGAATCCACATTTCTTCTTGGCAGGAAGTTAAAAGAGCTGTTTTCGTCTGGTAATTAAGTCCCAGTCATCAACAAGCCACAGTTTTAGCTCTTCAGGAAGCTTTACTTTAACTTCAACTCTGTTCATGAATGTTTCCTCATTTTCAACAGTAGGATCTACCCGGGTCCTTTTCTTCCGAGGAGGCCAAGGAGTCTCACTGGTACTGCCACCATCTCCATTTCCAGGGGTTTTCTGTTTGTTCTTTTTTGTTTTCACTTCAACATTTTTCTGTTGGAGACCAGATGTCTTCTTTCCTGGGGCAGCCCCTATCGTCTTCCCCTCTGCATACTGCTCCTGATTGGCTTTTTGAAGTTCTTATTCTTTCTGCAAATTAGTGTCCTTGTATTTGAGTACTCTGCTCTCTGGAACCCACTCATCCCAATTTTTATTCCAACCACTGTAATGTATAAAGTATTTCACTTGTTTGTCCTTAATGGCAACCTTTACACACTTTGTTTCATGAAGAAGAGGCCCATGAAAGCACAGCACTCACTCAACCTCCTGGAATTTAGGCTTTGGGTCCTGTTTTGAAGCCATTTATAAGTGATTTGCTGTCTCCTCCTTCTCCTACCACCCCCAACTAAAACTTTACTAACTTTGATTTTCAGCTAACAATCTTCTAAAGTTGCTGTTATTTGAACTACTTAAAGTGAATATGAGGGTAACAACTAATTAATTTCTGCTTCTTACCCTCATAGGAAAAATATTGAACTTCTATGTAGCACTTACACTTAGGGAGAGACATCTTGATCCTGATTGCAACTGGGATGGAAAACTGATTTTATTACTATTCTAAGAAAAGTTTTTATTTGTATTTTTATTAAAAATGAAGTTATGTTCAAATGAAAGAGAGTATGTATGAGTCTTGAAAATTGTTACTTTAGGTAAGGCAGGACTACTAATTTTTTTATTATTTTTATAAAGAAACAACTCTTGCTCACCAAAGGGCTTGTAGAAATGGTGGGCTGGTTGCCCTCATGGCAGGTATAAAGGATACGGATGTATAATATTTCTATTAAGGCAGTTTGGGATAAGGGATTACTTATTGCTTTTAATGTATATCTTCCTTGTTATCACATATTAGGTTGATATAATTCTTCATCAGGTAGAACTGAAGTTCTCAGAGTTGGAGTTGAGGATGAAAAGCTGCTTTAGAACCTTTTAGGCCTTAAGTCAGTGTTTCTGTTTTCAGGACTGTCTCCTAAAGAGAGGTAACTTTTTTTTCTGTTGGATGGTAAATTATCACCTATTTCTCTATTTCTTAAGAGCAGACATAATCTTTGGGGTCGTTCCTTTATAATCTTGATTCAGTATTTTTTCTTTCTTATCAATATTGTTATTCATTTTATTTTTTGCTTATTTAAAAAAAATTCAGATAATTTACATATAATAAAATGCATGGGCCTAAATGTTGAGTTGAAGTTTTGATGGTTATATACACTTATGTAATCATGAACCAAAACAAGATACAGAATCTTTCCTTGAACTTCTTTCCGGTCTGTTCCATCCAGCTCCTCAGAGACAGCCACTTACTGATTTCTATTGCCATGTATTTGTTTTAACTGTTTTTTAACCTCTTTAAATAAAATTATACAGTATGCATTCTTTTGTGTTGAGCATCTTTCACTTCATATACTGTCCTGTAATGCATTCATATTGTTTTGTATATCAGTCGTGAATATATTCAATGAATATGTTCCCTGAATGAATATATTTTATGAATACATCACAATTTATTTATTATTCTGTCACAATTTGTTTATACATTCTTATGTTGATGAATATTTAGGTTTCCAGTTTTTGCCTTATGAATTAGGCTGCTCTGAGCATTCTTGTGCAAGTCTTTTTTGTGGAGACATGTATTCATTTCTGTTGGGTAAATACCTAAGAGTGAAATTAAGTCAGAGTAGATGTGTATTTAACATTAAAAGAAACTGACATACACTTTTTCAAAGTGGTTGTACCATTTACACTCCTACCAGCAATATATGAGAGTTCCAGTTGCCCTACATCCTCACTAACATTTGATGTTGCCATTCTTTTATTTTAGCCATATAGTACCTGTGATGTTGAATGCCTTTTTATGTTCTTATTGACCATTTATGTATCTTCTTTTGTGAAATGTTCAAGTCTTTTGCTAATTTTAAAATTGGATTGTTCATTTTCAAAAAATTACTGGTTTGTAGTTGTTTTAGACAGTCATGCGTTGCTTAACAGTGAGGATATGTTCTGAGAAATGTGTTAGGTGATTTCGTCATTGTGCAAACATCACAGAGTACTTACACAAACCTAGATGTTACAGCCTACTCCACACCTAGGCTATATGTTATAGCCTATTGCTTCTAAGATACAAACCTGTACAGCATGTTACTGTACTGAATGCTGTAGGCAGTTGTAACACAATGCTAAGTATTTGTATATCTAAGCATATTTAAACATAGAAAAAGTACGGTAAAAATATGTACACCTGTATAGGGCACTTACCATGAATGGAGCTTGCAGGACTGGAAATTGCATTTGGTAAGTCAGTGAGTGAGAGGTGAGTGAATGGAAGGTCTAGGACATTACTGTACACTATTATGGACTTTATAAACACTGAACACTTAGGCTTTTTAGTTTTCCAATTACTTTATAAAAAAGTAACCGCGTCACAATGTCATGACAGCTGCAACTGAAAGTTCATTATGTGGCATGTCACTATATTATGGATGTGAGTCCTTTGCCATATGTATGTGTTATGAATATTTTCTCTCAATCTGTTGCTTACCTCTTCATTTTCCAAATGTCTTTGGATAAGCAGACATTTTAATTTTGTTTAAGTCTAATGCACTAATTTTTTTCCTTTACATTTAGTGCTTTTTTTATACCTTAAGAAATTTTTGCTTAAGCATCTCTAAGGTACTCTGTTTTCTTCTAGAAGTTTTATGGTGTATGATCTAACTTGAAGTAATTTTTTGGGTATGAGGTAAGGTAGGGGGTCAAAGTTTGCTTTTTCCATGTAGATAACCAGTTGTTCCAGCACTGTTTTGTTGAAAAGACTTGACACCCTTGTCTAAAATAAATTGGTAGTATATTTGTTGGCTTACATATAGGAAGCTAGCCTTAGTTTTTAATTTTTTTTCTGATTTAAATTCTAAAAAAAATGAAAACCAGGGATAGAACCTATAATGGGTAAGATGGCACTTATCTTGTTGTATTTTAGAGTTTTCTGGTGGTGTCATTTTCAGAATACATTTTGTGTTCCTCAGAATAAAGGAAATGAAGCTTATTTCTTTTATTCTCAAGCCAAATCACTCTCTGAGGATTGAGGAAGTAATCCAGGGTTTGATATGGGGCTCATGGCATAAGGTTAGGTAGCCTGTTATCTTTAACTTTCTAGATTACTTCATAAAAATAACTTGCGTATATGTAATGATATCTTTCTATGTTTTAGATGTTGTTCAAAGCACTGAATTGTAAACATATTCTCAATATTTCCCTCGAATCTTAAGTATTTACCTTTTATTTTTTTTAATTTAAAATAAAAAATTAACAGAGTAAAATAGATGTTTTTTGGTGTATGGTTCTATGAATTTTACCATGAGTATAGATTTTGTATATCCACTACAACATTCAGGACATAGAGTTGTCCCATTACTTCCAGAAGTTCCCTTGTGCTTTCTATCCCTTTGTAGTTATATCTTCCTTCTATCCCTAATCCCTGGTAACTACTAGTCTCTTTTCCTTCACTGTAGTTTTATCTTCTTGATGTCATAAGTGAAATCACACAGCATGTAACCTTTTGAGACTGGCTACTTTTATTTAGCATAATGCCTTTGAGATTCATCCGAGTTGTTGCATGAACCAGTTTATATTTTATTGTTAAGTAGTAGTCCATTGATTGGATGTACCTGTTTATCCATTCATTCATCCTTTTTATTTGGGGGGACAGAGTTTTGGTCTGTTGCCCAGGCTTGAGTGAGTGCGGTGACACGATCTCGGCTCACTGCAACCTCCGCCTCCCAGGTTCAAGTGATTCTCATGCCACAGCCTCCGGAGTAGCTGGGATTACAGGCATGCACCACCACGCCTGGCTGATTTTTGTATTTTTAGTAGAGATGGGGCTTTGCCATGTTGGCTAGGCTGGTTTTGAACTGGCCTCAAGTTATTCACTTGTCTTAGCCTCCCGGACTGCTGGGATTATAGGCATGAGCCACTGCACCTGGCCTATCCATTCATTCTTTGAAGAATATTTAGGTTTTTTTTTTCTAGTTGTGTTGATTAGGAATAGAACTGCTGTAAACATTCACGTACAAGTTTTTGTGTGAACATTAGTTTTTATTCCTCTAGTGTAATACCTGAGAGTGGGATTGCTGGGTCATTTGTTAAGTGTATGTTTAACTTTATAAGAAATTGCCACTGTTTTCCAGAGTGTTTATGCCATTTTGCAGTTTTACTGGCAGTGTATGAAAATTCTAGTAGTTCCACATCCTGACCAGCACTTGGTATTGTTAGTATTTTTAATTTTTGTCATTCTAGGTGTGTAGTGGTATTGCATCATGATTTAAATTTGCATTTCGTTAATGGGTAATGATTTTGAGCATCTGTTTTTTATGGGTTTATTTACATTATATATCATCTTTGGTTAAGTGGATATAAGTCTTTTGTTGGATTTGTGATTTGCAAATATTTTCTTCCAGTTTGTAGCTTGTTTCTTCATTCTATGAACAATGTCTTTCAGAGAACCGAAGATTTTAATTGTAATGAAGTTCAGTTTTTCAATTTTTTGTTTTATAAGTTCTTTTGATGTAATATTTAAGAACTTTTTAACCACAGGACATGTATATTTTTTCTTATGTTTTCTTATAAATCTTATAAAAATTTAGTAGCTTTATGTTTTACCTTAAGACCTGTGATGCATTTTGAGTTGATTTTTGTATAAAGTGTTAAGTTTAGGTTTATTTTCTCCTACATACAGAATTTCCAATTCTAACATCATTTGTTGTGTACTCTCCTTTGTTTATCGAATGGCTTTGGCACCTTTGTCAAGAATTAATTTGCTATATTTATGCAGATTTATTTCCGGGTTATTGATTCTGTCACATTGATCAATGTGTCATTCCCTCTGCCAATACCACACTGTCTTGATTACTAGAAAATTGTGTAGTGTGAATCTTCTTATCTTTTTTTTTTCAATATTGTTTGACCTTTGCAGAAACATTTTAGAATCAGCTTGTTTATATCTATGAAAAATTTGGCTGGGATTTCCATTATAATCACATTAAATTAGTAGAATCAATTTGGGTAGAATTGACATTTTTTAGGCTCTTGAGCCCCTATGTGTGGGCCCACTCCCACTCTGTGGAGTGTACTTTCATTTTCAATAAATCTCCACCTTTGTTGCTTCATTCTTTTCTTGCTTTGTTTGTGCATTTTGTCCAATTCTTTGTTCAAGACACCAAGAACCTAGACGCCCTCCACCGGTAACATATTTTGGCAAGCCAGCCAGGATGTAAAATAAGTTTGGGATTTATTTTTTTCCTTTTCCTTTCTGCTCCACGCAGTGGAATCTCTTCTTCACTCGGGACCCTTGGTGGGCAGCGCCTAAACACAGAGGCAACTGCAGATTTCTGGCTGGGATCACTCTGAAGGACTCTCTTCTGTCTTTTCTGCTTGTGGTTCCTGATCCCTACATGTGGAGCAGCTCAGGGCGAACTCACATGTGTTTCAGGCAACTTAAATCTTCTTTTCTTACACTAAATTTTTCCCTTACTCTACTCGACTGGCTAAGGACAAAAGAAACCCACCTAGCCTCCAGTTCCTATCACTACAGTTCACGGAATGGAGCAAAGTCCACTTTGCTCCATCACTCTAGTGGAACAGGAAGCATGCTGTTCCACTAGAGTGGGACCAAATGCTCCTCCTTTGCTCCATCACTGTAGTGGACCAGGAAGCATGGGAAAAGATGGCCTTATCAAATTTTAAGGATTCTGAAAGTCAGGGATTATACCTAGGAACCAAAGGGAAGCTCATAGTAGTAGGCCATTGCCTCTGGAGGGAAAACATGCAAAGCGGCACTGGTGCCCACGTAACGTCAGAGACGTCTGATACTCTTAAGACTGGACCCCAAAGAGGGATGCCCCAGGGGATCCTTTGGACCTCAACCTCTCTGAAGGGAACACCCTTGGCAGAGGTCCTAAGGCCTAGTACTAAGCCCTCCTTAGAATTTTATCTCACAGTTGCAATACTGTTTGGCCCCAGTATTGTTTGGAATCAAGTGTGTTGTTGAATGGGAAAGTGAGATGGAGTTGCATGTATCCAGGCTTTGATGCTGCTGTTCCAAGCAGGGTCAGGCCTGGTTATATGTGATGTTCTCCTTTGGTGCTGTTTGGCCCCAGTGTTCTTTGGAGTCTGGGGAGGTTTGACCTTTACAAATTAAACTGCCATGGAAACTGCTTTACCTGAAATTTTGGTTCACTGCCTTCATTGGATTAACTACTGGGGCAAACAAAAGTAGAACCGGCAAGTTTGTATTGCTGTCTCATGGCTAGAGTTCCAAGGTAAAAGCTATTGAATCTTCATTTGTATGTGTATATACATGTCTAGATGTGTTTATTTGTATGTACACTTATTGTTATACATTCTGTCTACAAAACTGACATACACGTAAAAGAGTACTCATAAATAAGTCTAAGTACTTTTCAAGTTCATGTGACTTAAGTATAACTTTACTAAACAAGCTGGTTTTAAAATGATTGGTAAAATAAAAATAGAAATGACTTCAAAAAAAAAAAAGGAATGGACATTTTTTACTGTTGAGTCTTCCAATCCATGGACATGATATATCTCTTTATTTACTTAGGTCTTCTTTGATTTTATTCATCAGTGTTTCGTAATTTTTAGCATATAAACCCTGTTGACTTTTTGTTTGATTTACATGTAAGTACAGATCCTCCTCAACTTATGATGATGGGGTTATGTATCCAGATAAACCCATCGTAAGTTGAAAATATTGTAAGCCAAAAACATATTTTTGGCTTACAGTATTCTCACCAGTCAAAACCAGACTTTCAATTTATGGTATTTTCACCAGTGAAAAGCACACTTTTGACTTAATATTTTCAAACCAGTGAAAAGCACATTTTTGACTTAATATTTTTATCAGTTGAAAGCACACTTTCAAATTGTGATATTTTCAACTTATAGTGCATTTATCTAGACATAACCTCATTGTAAGTCGAGGAGCATACTGAATGTATATTGCTTTTGTACCACTGTGATACGGTTTGGCTGTGTTCCCACCCAAATCTCATCTTGAATGGTGGCTCCCACAATTCCCATGTGTCATTACTTCCAGTGGGAAGTAATTGAATTGTGGGGGAGGGTCTTTCCTGTGCTGTTCTCGTGATAGTGAATAAGTCTCATGAGATCTGATGGTTTTGTAAGGGAGAGTTTCCCTGTACAAATTCTCTCTTGCCATGAGTGTGAGGACTTCCCTGCCATGTGGAACTGTGAGTCAATTAAACCTCTTTCCTTTATAAATTACCCAGTCTCAGGTATGTCTTTATTAGCAGCGTGAGAACAGACTAATATACATTGTAAAGCTGAAAAATTGTAAGTTGTACCATCATAGGTTGAGGACTGTCTGTATTTATTTCTTAGAGCTGTTGTAAATGGTATTTAACAAGAATTGGTTTCCAGTTGCTCTTTGCTAGTATATAGAAATACAATTGAGTTTTGTGTGTTGGCTTTGTATTCTGTGATGTTGCTGAATTCACTTATTAGTTCTAGAAGCATTTTTCATAGAGTTCTTGAGATTTTTCTATGTACAGTTGACCCTTGAATAATGCAGCAAGGTGGAAGTTAGGGGTGCTGACCCCTGAAGCAGTTGAAAATCTACAAATAACTTTTGACTCCCCCAAACCTAACTACTGATAGCCTGCTGTTGACTGGAAGCCTTACCATCAACATAAACAGTCAATTAGCACATATTTTTATGTTATATATGTTATATACTATATTCTTACAATAAAGTAAGCTAGAGAAAAGAAAATGTTATTAAGAGAATCACAAGGAAGAGAAAATATGTTTACTGTTTAATTCATGGAAGTGGATTATCATAAAGGTCTTCATCCTCACTGTCTTCACATTGAGTAGGTTGGGGAGGCGGAGGAAGAGGAACAGTTAGTCTGTCTCAGGGGTGGCAGAGGCAGAGGAAAATCCACATATAAGTGGACCTGTGCAGTTCAAACCTGTGTTCAAGGGTCGACTGTAAATGATAACGTTGTCTGTCAATAGGACAGTTTGATTTCTTTCTTTCTAATCTGTATACTTTTTATTTGTTATTTTCCTGCTTTATTGTACTGGCTAGGACTTCCAGTACCATGATGAATAAGAGAGATGTGATATTATATTTTTTCCTTGGTTCCAATCTAGGAAACCATTAAATATGATGTTGGCTGTAGTTTTGTTTAAATGCCCTTTATTATGTTGGGGAGGTTCCTTTCAGTTCTTAGTTTGCTGAGAGTTTTTATCATGAATGAATGTTGAATGCTGTCAAATGCCTTTTTTTGCATCAATATGATCATGTGGGTTTGTTTTTAAACTGTTAATATGATGGATTATATTGGTCAATTTAAAAAATATTGAACAGCTTTGCATTCCTAGTATAAATCCCACTTGATTGTGATATATTCTTATACATTGCTGGATTTGATTTGTTGATATTTTATTAAGGATTTTTGTTGTTGCTATGTTCATGAGGGACATAGGCCTGTAGTTTTTTGTTGTTTTTTTTTTAATACCTTTTTTGGTATTGGGGTAATGGTGACTCTCAAAACGAATTGGGAAGTTTTCCCTCCTCTATTTTCAGAAATGAGTGTATAGACCTGGTTTTATTTCTTCTTTTTTAAATATTTTTCTTTTATTGATACATAGTATTGATTTTTTTTTTTTTTGAGACGGAGTTTGGCTCTTGTTGTCCAGGCTGGAGTGCAATGGCATGATCTCAGCTCACCACAACCTCCGCCTCCCAGGTTCAAGTGATTCTCCTGCCTCAGCCTCCCAAGTAGCTGGGATTACAGGCATGCGCCACAACGCCTGGCTAATTTTTTTCTGTTTTTAGTAGAGACAGGGTTTCTCCATGTTGATCAGGCTGGTCTTGAACTCCTGACCTCAGGTGATCCGCCTGCCTTGGCCTCCCAGAGTGCTGGGATTACAGGCGTGAGCCACCGTGCCTGGCCTGATTTTTTTCTTTTAATGTTGGGTTGAATTTGCTAGTGAAACCATCTGGGTCTCAATTTTTTTTTTCTTTTTGTTTTTTTGGAAAGCTTTAAACTATGTGTTGAACTTATTTAATAGTTATAGAATTACTCAGAATATCTATCTCATCATTGGTGAGCTTTGGTAGTTTGAATTTTTCAAGTAATCGATTCATTTCATCTAAGTTACTGAATTTATGTGTAAAGTGTTATTTGTAGTGTTATTTTATTATCCTTTTAATATCTATGGAGTCTATAATGATATTCCTCTTTTATTCTTGTTATTGGTAATTTATGTCTATCTTTTTTTCTTTATCAGTTTTGTTTGAGGTTTATAAATTTTTAAATCTTTTCAAAGAACAAGATTTGGTTTCATTAATTTTCTCTATTATTTTTCTGTTATCACTCTTATTGATGGGGAGCTGATCATTATTTCTTTTTTTTCTGCTTGCTTTAGGTTTATTTTGTTCTTCTTTTCCTAATTTGTTAAGATAAAAGCTTAGATGATTGATTTTAGAGTTTTATTCTTTTCTAATATAAGCATTAGCTTCTTTGAGTTTCCCTCTAAGCACTATGCTAGCTGTGTGCCATAAATTTTGATACATTGCATTTTAGTTTTTATTTGGTTCAGACTATCTTCTAATTTCTCATTAAACTTCCTCTTTGAATGCTGGCTTATTTAGAAGTTATTTAATTTCTAGTGTTTGGAGTATTTCTGCCATCTTTTTGTTACCTATTTCTGGTTCAATTTCATTATGATCAGAGAACATACTTTGTATGATTTCAATTCTCTGCATATATTTGATGTCTAGATATGAGATTTTATCTGTGGTACTTATCCTGGATAGATTTACTAGGTTGTAGATTATGTCAGTCTTCAGTTTTGCTAGAAAATGCCAAATTGTTTTTCAAAGTTTGAAAGTATCAGGGGAACCCACCCCCCGTATTTCAACGTAGGTTCTTTATATTTTCTGTAAGTGTCGGCCAGTTGAGAAATAAAGAGAAAGTACAAAGAGAGGAATTTTACAGCTGGGCCTCTGGGGATGACATCACGTATCGGTAGGACCATGATGCCTACCTGAGCCTTAAAGCCAGCAGGTTGTATTAAGATTTCAAAAGGAGAGGGGGTACAAGAACAGGGAGTAGGTCACAAGATCACATGCTTCAAAGGGCAAAAAGGAGAACAAAGATCACATGCTTCTGAGGAAACAGTACAAGGGCAAATTCAGAACTACTGATTAGGGTCTTTGTTCAGCTGTGCACGTATTATCTTGATAAACATCTTAAACAACAGAAAACAGGGTTGAAGAGCAGAGAACTGGTCTGACCTCAAATTCACCAGGGTGGGGTTTTTCCCCACCCTAGTAAGCCTGAGGGTACTGTAGGGAACCAGGGCATATTTCAGTCCTTATCTCAACCGCATAAGACACTTGCAGAGCAGCGTTTATAGACCTCCCCCCAGGGATGCATTCCTTTCCCAGAGTCTTCATTATTAATATTCCTTGCTAGGAAAATAATTTAGTGATATCTTCCCTACTTGCACATCTGTTTATAGGCTCTCTGCAGGAAGAAAAATATGGCTCTATTCTGCCTGAACTTGCAGGCAGTCAGACCTTATGGTTGTCTTCCCATGTTCCCTAAAATTGCTGTTACTCTGTTTTTTTTTCAAGGTGCACTGATTTCATACTGTTCAAACACACATGTTTTATAATCAATTTGTACAGTTAACACAATAGTGGTCCTGAGGTGACGTACATCCTCAGCTTACGAAGATGACAGGATTAAGAGATTAAAGTAAGACAGGCATAAGAAATTATAAAAGTATTAATTTTGGGAACTGATAAATGTCCATATTAAAATGAAATCTTCACAATTTATGTTCAGAGATTGCAGTAAAGACAGGCGTAAGAAATTATAAAAGTATTAATTTTGGGAACTGATATATGTCCATATTAAAATGAAATCTTCACAATTTATGTTCCTCTGCCGCAGCTCCAGCCGGTCCCTCCGTTCAGTGTCCCTGACTTCCCGCAACATGAAAGTAGTTGTACGAATCTATTGCACCACTCCCCCTGCCCCAGAATGGGATATGAATGTTCTATATCCTCCCTAAACCTACTATGTATTTGATTTATTCATTATTCTAGTCTTGGAAGACAATTAATCACTAAGGGAACATTTTTCTCATCTTTTTTTTTTTTTTTTTTTTTTTTTTTAAGACAGAGTCTTGCTCTGTTACCTGGGCTGGAGTGCAGTGGCACAATCTCGGCTCCCTGAAACCTCCATCTCCTGGGTTCAAGTGCTTTTTCTCCCTCAGCTTCCCAAGTAGCTGGGATTACAGACGTGCACCACCATGCCTGGCTAATTTTTGTATTTTTAGTAGAGACAGGGTTTCACCATGTTGGCTAGGCTGGTCTTGAACTCCTGACCTCAGGTGATCCACGCGCCTTGACCTCCCAAAGTGCTAGGATTACAGGCATGAGCCACTGCACCTGGCCTCATCTTTCGTGAGTTAAGTTTTATATCATCCTTGATAATTTAGGGTATCACAGTAAGCATACTGAAGTTGAAAACTCAAGTAGGTTTTGGTTATCATTCCAAACGACTTGAAGTTTCTCATTGGTCATGGAGTTTTGGCTGTGAAACAGGACCTGGGGCTGCCTCTAGCCAGAGTGATTCTACCTATGCCACAGGTGGACAGGTAAGCCCTTTTATGGTTGCTGAAATAAGTCCATATCCTAGAGATGAGATTAGATTTTCACCAATATCTACTTCCAGTCTTCATGCTTTAAATGTTGAAGTTCTTCAGTTTTGTACAGGTAAAAGAAATTCTTCACCTAATTCTAAGTTTTTACCTAACTTCTTCAACCAGTCTTTTCATTGCCTGATGGAATTCTGCCTGGGTTTTAAATTCTTTTAAATTTAAAAATTTTTTTACGTTCTTCCTATCTGACAAAGACACAAGTCTTCCATTCGAATTCTACAAATCTCTTATACCTTTATCTGAGTCTATATTTTCAACCCTTATGTGCTAATGACAAATATTTAATTCCATCCTTAAAGGATAGTTGATTGTGGGCATCTACTGTATTTCATAACCTTTGTAATACAAGTTATATAATTTTTAGTGCTTAAACTATACTTTAAAGAAAATAATAACAGTGATTAGTAGAACTTAGCCTTGAATTAATTTGAGACTGTTGAAATAGTGGTGAACTTTTAAGACGCAGAGGAAAGTTTTTCCTTTGGGGATAAGTTATTTTAACCTGAGACATTTTAAATGACAGGAAAACATCTAGCTTTCTTTTTTTATGAGTGATTAAAATTTAAAGAGGAAAGTAAAGACTGAATTGGCTTTATACTTACTTTAAATTTTAAATTACCTTACCATCTATTTAACTTAAAAATAAGCCACTTTTATTATTCAGTTAACAAACTGAATATCATTCTTTGTTTTTATTTTTATTTTTTTTAAAGACAGAGTCTCGCTGTGTCGCCCAAGCTGGAGTGCAGTGGCATGATCTTAGCTCACTGCAAGCTCTGCCTCCTGGGTTCATGCCATTCTCCTGTCTCAGCATCCCTAGTAGCTGGGACTACAGGCGCCCGCCACCATGGCTGGCTAATTTTTTGTATTTTTATTAGAGACGGTGTTTCACCGTGTTAGCCAGGATGGTCTGGATCTCCTGACCTTGTGATCCACCTGCCTCGGCCTTCCAAAGTGCTGGGATTACAGGCGTGAGCCACCACGCCTGGCCATTCTTTTATTAAAATATTTTTTATAGTAAAAATGCAGGTGTATTATGTTATATTTATTCGTTTTGGTAATATGGTTTTATTAAACTTGACGAAAATGCCTTCCAACTATCCATGTGTTACTCAGAGGTATGAGAATGAATTAGCCGAACAATTTGAACAAAAGTTAAGATAATAGACATTTAGAATGCTTCTTGCTAGAATGAAGTTCTGATTTGTGAAGAATATTACTTTATCAGGTAGGGAAGATATATAAAGGCAGAAAAATTATTAAATTGTGACTTCCTAAATGTCTACTTAAAAACATTTATGGTAAATTTATAATGTTATATTGAATTGATTTGAATTATTTGAATCTTAAAATATAGTGTGGGAGCTTTTTTCTAAAGTATATATTATTAAAAGCTGAGAAATATTTAAGTGGTTGAAAGCCAGTGGGAAATATGAAGCAAACTGCTAATGCAACTGGGGAGACAATAGAACTATGTTTATTTAATATTAAGCATTAAACTTATGAAGATTTTACTGGAAATTTGATTGGTTTTTCTGTCACCCAAGGGTATTTTAAGCCTGTTTTATGCATTATACCTGGGCTGTACCAAGAGCAGATGGCAAGTTCCCAGGGGAACTTTCCAACTGACCCATAATTTGAGATAAGATGATAGTTTACAGAGCTACAAAAATAGTCTTGGGGTTTGCCACTGTTTTTGTTTTAGTTGCCTATCAGATCTTTTGTCACCTTTTCTCTCACAGATCATATGGATGACATACAGTTCTGTTTATTTGTCAATATCTAATTGATTAGCATAAAGTTATAAGATTATAATTCAAGAGGTGAAATGGATGCTAATTGGAACTCCTATTAGGAATTTGCTCATCAACATACAATTTCTTTTTTTGAATAATCAAAATATATACTTTTCATTATATAGATTCAGAAAGGTTCTGAAAACATAGGAGATATTTTCTTTTAAAGCTGCACTCAGAATTTTATTTCTGTGATACTCAGGTGAAAGTATGTAGTTTCCCTTTTCATTTAATTTTATTAAAATTGAATTAAAATTTTCTTTCTTTTTCTTTCTTTCTTTCTCTCTCTCTCTCTTTCTCTCTCTCTCTCTCTCTCTCTCTCTCTCCCTCCCTCCCTCCATCCCTCTCTCTCTCTCTCCCTCTCCCCCTCTCCCTCTTCTCTCTCTCGGAGAGAACATGAGTATTTTCAGGAAATTAGAGATTTGAATTTGAAATATTTTTTGTATATCAAGAAATCCATCAATCTTTGTTTAACTATGGAATCTTCAGAACATCAGAGTTGCATGTTTTTAAGCTTAGAGAAAAATGGACACACTGAATCTTAGCAACTGAAAGCAAATAGACATACGTCAGTATCTGTGTATAGTGCTGACACTTATGTCAGCACTTTATCCTATTTGCTTGGGAACTCTTGTTTAGTAGTGTGTTTACAATGAGGCCTTTCAGTGGAGAGGGCTACATGACTGAATGTGTGTGTACTCTGTATTGTCTGAGTACATTCTATGTGTAAACTTTAAGATATGTTTATAGACATATTTGTTATTGACATTTAGTCTTGTATTTATTTTATTTCTCAGAAGTATTTTATTTGTTCATTTTTGATAACTAGCACTCAGCCATTCACTTTTTATTTCTAATTTTGGTGTCTTTGTGTAGGTCACTGAGTGTGATTCCAGATAAGTTATTACAGCTAGATCTATGTGGCTCATCAGCCACATATTTGGTTTTTTTGTTGTTGTTGTTGTTTGTTTGTTTTGAGACAGTCTTCTCTGTCACCTAGGCTGCAGTGCAGTGGCATGATCTTGGCTCACTGCAACCTCTGCCTCCTGGGTTCACGCGATTCTTCTGCCTTAGCCTCCCCAGTAGCTGAGATTATAGGTGCCCACCACCATGCCTGGCTAATTTTTGTATTTTTAGTAGAGGTGAAGTTTCGCCATGCTGGCCAGGCTGGTCTCGAACTCCTGACCTCAGGTGATCCACCATCCTCGGCCTCCCAAAGTGCTGGGATTACAGGCCTGAGCCACTGTATGCGTCCCACATATTTGTTTTAGAGAGGGAAGTTCGTGCAATTAAAGGTGGAATAATCTGGATTTGTCATAAGTCCTATGATTTCATTGTGCTTTAGTTTTCTGAACAGATACGATGAAAATTATCTACTAAGAGTTTAAAATATATCGCTGAGGGTTAAAATAAAGTTCAAAGTACTCCCAAGTATTATGGGAATTTGTCTGTTTCTTGGGAAGCAGGGTAGACGTTATCTAGGTGGAAAAGACGAGTGGGCAATTTGAAATGTTAGACTAGGAGCTTGGAAAGAGAGAATAAGGCTAGAGTTATACTCTAGAAGTTACTCAGTATATTTTATTGAAGGCCTAATATATGTCCTTTAAGATTGAAGCCCTGGAATTCATGCAGACCACAAGACTAGCATCTCCTTTGCTTGTGGAATTGATAGTCTAGTTACTAGATTCTAGAGGGAGGATTATTTGCTTTGAAGGTCATAGGTGAAGCTTGGGAATGGATGAGACTGAAAAAAAAGAGTGTAGATATGATTAAAACAATTAAGGACACAGTGACTTTGGGAAATACATTATGTAGGTTTTTAGGAGAAAGACAAGGACTGTGGGGGAAGTACCTATGTTTGGTGATTGGCATGATGAAGAGTCAGTGAAGAAAAGAGGTTCAGAGTGTCAGGGATTTGGGGGATTTATCATTAAGCTAATTAAATTTAAGCTCCAGGTTTGTCACTTACATAAAATCCTTTCAAGTCTGTAGGAGGAAGGTTTTCACATGGGCATATGTTTCTGTAGGATTTCCAAAAGTAAGGCATTTCAATATTGCCATTTCTTTCATTCTGACTTACCCTCATGTCATATGGCATTAGAGTGGCTGCAGGCATTTTTGGGATCCAGCTAAGGGGAAGTTGAATAGGATTTACATTTAGTTTGGGAGGCATGTATTTATGTGGTCATGTCACTTCTGAATATAGACTAGCTGTTCTGGTATAGGAAGGATATCAAGGAATACTGGTGTTACTCACTGTGTTAACACTTAGTGTTATGACACAAAGATGGAAGGCTAGAGATCACCTGGTGATATGGACGTGTCCTATAATGCATCACATTAGAAGTACGTGGTAGGATAAGAGAAACAAAATTTGAAATACACGGGGCCAGAAGCTAGTCTGGGAAAAATTCTTCCAAATCGAATGGTTTATAAATGAAAGAAAATATATGAGTTTCTCTAAATTTGACAATACTAAAAGTTTATGACATTACCAGTAGTAGTTTGTGAACAGTTTGTGAAGACTATTTTGTAAAATATAAATAACAATTTAGTCTTTTGAAAATTAAAAAGATATTTATAGAAAACCTTACATATAATTGCCATATGAAGAGGTGATAACAAAAGTTATGCAAAAAATATGTAGAAGTATACTAGAAGTGTGTCAGGGAGTTTATTGATAACATTATTGTTATTTTTTCTGGATTCTTGTGATGTTTATGATGCTGTGACTTTTTTTTCTCATTCTCAGTAAGTATTCACCTTTGTATCTAATTTTGTATTTGTAATTTTGCTTCCTTTTTTTTTTTTTTTTAAAGAAGGCCCCCTAAATTCTAGAAGGTTCAGGCCCAACAATACCTGGGAGGCACAGAATCATGGAAGTTAAGAGGAGACAAATCACGGATGGAGAATATGTACTCTTTTAAATGATGCATTGGGGTAGCTAAGGAAGGCAGTTGCATTTGGCAATTCAGGGATTATTGATAATCTTCACTAATGAGTATGAATTTGGGAGTGGGAAGTGGAGGTTGTGTACTTTTTAAAGAAAGTGGCAGTAGAGTCCAAGAACAGTAGCTTTTGAGGAAAGCAAGGTCCAGGGAAGTTTTTTTGTATGTGTGCATGCTTCAAAGGTAGGTGGACATCTAAATACGTTAAAGGAAGGGAAAACATGCAAATAGCACAGAAGGAAAAATTAAAGGCAATAGCAAGAGAGGTTAAAGCAGTGTAGAAATAGTGACGAGAGCAGGGAGGAAAAAGGAAATGAGGTCAAGACATAGGAGTGTTCTAAATAGTAGAATTCAGTAAAGGTGATTTAATTGTTACTGTATTAGCACTGTGCTAGTGCTGAGTGCAATAATTGATTTTCATAATGCTGTAATTTTTCTGCAAATCAACATTTTATGCTTAGTTCATTAAGATTTATTATACAATTTATAAAGACTTACAATCACATAATTTATAAAGATTTTCATTTGGATGTTTAAAATGAAATGTTTCATGACATAGTTGGAAGATAATTATCTTAATTATCTAATTAGTTGAATATGTTAAAATTAATCTTCCAGAATTTTTTGACTTATTAAGTGATTGCCCCAAATCAGCTTAGAGATATTATCAAGTATTTTGCTAGTAAGTTATGTAAACTAATTAATAGAAAATACATGAAATAATCTTATTTTCTCTTAGTTTTATAGATGGTATGGAAAAAGGTACAGAATTGTCAGGTAGGATATTTATTATTATTTTTTCCATTTAACTCATCAAAATGTATTGAATGTTTATTATATGCCAGGAGCAGGTCTAGGTGCTGGAGATAGAGCAGTGAACAACACAAAATTTCTGCCTTCATGGAATTTACATTTTAGTGGAAGAGACAGAATATAAGCAAATAAGCATGTACGTATATATTGTCAGATAGTAATGTGTGTTACAAAGAAAAATAAGGGAGAGTAAGGCGACAGAGAGTTGTATAGGATGATATTTCAGATAGTGTGGTAAGGAAAGCCAGGTAGGACACTTATATGTTGCTTTTTGTCAGTGTATTTAGAAAACTATTTTATGCAAGTCAAATTGTGTTTACTAAGATCAAATCATTTACAATTTAATAGGAGCAACATCTGCTTACCTGAGTTTTCCCTTCTGAAATTATTGATTTATAATAGTACCAGGCTAGGTGTGGTGGCTCATGCCTGTAATCCCAGTACTTTGGGAGGCTGAGGTGGGAGAATTGCTTGGGTGCAGGAGTTTGAGACCAGCCTGGGCAAGATGCTGAGACCCCCATCTCTACAAAAATAAATAATTAAAAATCAGCCAGGCATGGTGGCATGTATCTGTAGTCCCAACTACTTGAGAGGCTGAGGCAGGAGGATCCTTTGAGCCCAGGAATTTGAGGCTGCAGTAAGCTATGACCATGCCATTGCACTCCAGCCTGGGTGACAAAGCAAGACCCTATCTCTAAAAATGATATATATAATAATAATAGTATCTACACCATAGGTTTGTTGCATGGTTTAAATAAGATTTTGTATGACTGTTTTGGTGCAGTGCTCTTACTCTTCACTTTATATGAAGTATGCCTGTAAAAGGGAATAAAACTTAGTATGTTTCGCAGATACTGTGTTTTTCACAAATTGGAGGTTTGTGGCAGCGCTGTGTTGAGCAAGTCTGTTGGCACCATTTTTCTTACAGCATATGCTCACTTTGTATCTTCGTATCACATTTTGGTAATTCTTGCGAAAAATTTTTAATTTTTTATTAGTATATCTATTATGACTATTTGTGATCAGCGATCTTTGATGTTACTACTGTAATTGTTTTGGGGCAACACGAATCACTGCACCCAGAGAAGAGAGCTAACTTAATTGATAAATGTGTGGGTTCTGACTGCTCTACCAGCTGGCTCTTCCCCTATCTTTCTCCCCTGTCCTTGGACCTCCCTATTCCCTGAGACACTGCAATAATGAAAATGGGCCGATTAATAATCCTACAGTGGCCTCTCAGTGCTCAAGAGAAAGCAATAGTTGCACATTTCTTACCTTAAATAGAAAGCCAGAATGATTGGACCTTAGTGAGGAAGGCATGTGGAAAGCTGACATACACCAAAATGCTAGGCTTCTTGAGCCAAACAGTTAGTCAAGCTGTGAATGCAAAGGAAAAGTTCTTGAAGGAAATTAAAAGCGCTTCTCCAGTGAACACAAAAATGGAAGTGACCAGCTTTACTGCTGATACGGAGAAGTTCGAGTGGTCTGGATAGAAAATCAAACCAGTCAGAACATTTCCTTAAACCAAAGCCTATCCCAGATCCAGGCCCTAACTCTCTTCAATTCTGTGAAGGCTGAGAGAAGTAAGGAAGCTGCAGGAGAAAAGTTTGAAGCTAGCGGAGGTTAGTTCATGAGGTTTTAGCAACTATCTCCATAACATAAAAGTGCAAGGTGAAGCAGCAAGTGCTGATGGAGAAGCTGCAGCAAGTTATCTAGAACATCTAGCTAAGGTAAGTGGAAGGTGGCTGCACTAAACAACAGATTTTCAACGTAGGTAAATCAGCCTTCTATTGGAAGAAGATGCTAGGACTTTCTAGCTAGAGAGAAGAGGTCAATGCCTGGTTTCAAAGCTTTGAAGCCTAGGCTGACTGTCTTGTTAGAGACTAATGCAGCTGATAACTTTAAGTTGATGCCAGTGCTCATTTCCCATTCTGAAAATCCTAGGGCCCTTAAGAATTATGGTAAATCTACTCTACTTGAGCCCTGTAAGCAGAACAACAAAGCCTAGATGACAGCACATCTGTTGGTAGCATAGTTTACTGAATATTTTAAGTCCACTGTTGAGATCTACTGCTCAAAAAAATATATTCCTTTCAAAATATTACTGCTCATTGACAGTGCAGCTAGTCGTCGTCCAAGAGCTCTGATGGAGATGTACAAGGAGATAAATGTTGTTTTCATGCCTGCAAACATAACATCCATTCTGCAGCCCATGGATCAAGGAGTAATTTTGACTTTCAAATCTTATTATTTCAGAATTACATCTTATAAGGCTATAGCTGCCATAGATTGATGGATGTGTGCAAAGTAATTGAAAAACCTGGAAAGGATTGACCATTCTAGATGCCCTTAAGAACATTTGTGATTCATGGGAGGAGATCAGAATATTGACATTAACAGGAATTTGGAAGAAGTTGATTCCAGCCCTCATGAGTGACTTTGAGGGGTTCAAGATGTTAGTGGAGGAAGTAACTGCAGATGTGATGGAAATAGCAAGGGAATAAATAGAGCCTGAAGATGTGACTGAATTACTTCAGTGTCATGAAAAAACTTGAACATATGAGTAGTTACTTTTTATGGATGAGCAAAGAAAGTGGATTCTTGAGATGGAATCTACTTCTGATAAAGATGCTGTGAACATTGTTGAAATGACAACAATGGGTTTACATAAACTTAGTGGATAAAGCAGTGGCAGCATTTGAGAAAATTGACTCCAATTTTAAAAGAAGTTCTAGTATGGATAAAATGAAGCATTGGATGCTCCAGAGAAGTTCTTCCCGAAAGGAAGAGTCAATTGATGTGGCACACTTCACTGTTGTCTTGTTTTAAGAAATTGCCACAGGCCACCCTGCCTTCAGCAACCACCACCCTGATAAGTCAGCAGCCATCAGTATTGAGGCAAGACCTCCCACCAGCAAAAGAACTACAGTTTGCTGAAGGCTTAGATGATCATTAACATTTTTTAGCAATAGAGTATTTTTAGATTAAGGTATGTACATTGTTCTTTAAGACATAATGCTACTTAGCACTTTACTACAGTATAGTGTAAATATACTTACAGTATAGTGTAAATATACTTTTTATGCACTGGGAAACCAAAAAATTCATGTGACATGCTTTATTCTGATACTCACTTTATTTCAGTGGTCCAGAACCACATTTACAGTATCTCCAAGGTATGCTTGCATTTCTTGTCTGCTTTTATGTGAACCAAATAAGTTATAATCCTCTATTAAATACCTTTCTTTTCTGTAGATACCTCCAAATTACAGAATGAAGCTTCTGTGTTTTTTCAACTTGGAGATTAAATAATGGTTTTAAATTGAGGCACATGCATATACTGTAAGGTATATTAGTCTCAGATATACTACTCAGTGAATATTTTCTTAGATACATACCTATATAGTCGCCACACAGATCCAAGTATGCCGTATTCCCAGCACACCAGAAGAAATCTTTGTTCACCCTTTGAGTCATTACTACCTTCTGTAGGTATCCACTGTTCTGACTTCCATTTCCATCAATTTGTTTTCTCGTTTTTCAATTTCATATTTCTGACTTCTATTTCCATTTCTATTTTATGAAAATTCAAAAAAGGCAAAACAATTTTATTTATTTATGGTTTGTTATCTTTTTTATCTGGCTTCATTTGCTGAAAACAACTCCTACAAAATTCATCCACATTGTTACGTTATCACCAGTTTGTTGGGTTTCAGTTCTGTGTAGTGTTCCATAGTTTGAATGGACCACAATTTATTTATTCATTTTCTAGTTTATGGACGTTTGGATTATTTTTATTTTGAGGGAGTAGTTATGGATAAAGCTTGTGTGAGCATTTTTATACATCATTTTGGTAGACATATGTACTAATTTTGTTGGCTATATACAAGGAGTGGGTTTACTGAGTCATAGGGTAGGTATATGTATTTTTAAAATAATTATTTTATTTTTTTTAAGTTCTGGGGTACATGTTCAGGATGTGCAGGTTACATAGATAAACATGTGCCATGGTAGTTTACTGGACCTGTTAACCCATCACCTAGGTATTAAGCCCAGCATGTTTTAGCTCTTTTCCCTAATGCTCTGCTTCCCCACCCTCCCCCAACAGGCCCCAGCAAGTATTGTTCCCCTCCCTGTGTCCATGTGTTCTCACTGTTTGGCTCCCACTTATAAGTAAGAACATGCAGTGTTTGGTTTTCTCTTCCTGCGTTAGTTTGCTAGAATAATGGCTTCCAGCTTCATCCATGTCCCTACAAAGGACATGATCTCATTCCTTTTAATGGCTGCATACTATTCCATCATGTGTATGCACCATTTTCTTTATCCAGTCTATCATTGATGGGCATTTGGGTTGATTCCATGTCTTTGCTATTGTGAATCGTGCTGCAGTGAACATATGTGTGCATGTATAATATACTGATTTATATTCCTTTGAGTATATACTAAGTAATGGGATTGCTGGGTCAAATGGTATTTCCGGTTCTAAATCTTGGCGGAATTGCCACGCTGTCTTCCACAATGGTTGAACTAATTTACATTCTCATCAACCATGTAAAAGTGTTCCTGTTTCTCCACAACCTTGCCAGCATTTGTTGTTTCTTGACTTTTTAAATAACCACCATTCTGTCTGGCGTGAGATGGTATCTCATTGTGGTTTTGATTTGCATTTCTCTAATGATCAGTGATGTTGAGCTGTTTTTCGTATGTCTGTTGGCTACATGTATGTCTTTTTTTGAGAAGTGTCTGTTCATATCCTTTGTAGGGTAGGTATACGTTTAACTTCAGTAGAAACTCCAAGCAGTTTCCCAAGTTGTACCAGTGTATTCACCCAAAAGCATTAGGTGAGAGTTTCATTTGCTTCACATTCTCAAGAACACTTCCAGTGAGTGAAGTCTTTCGCCATTCTGGGAGGTGTATATTTGTGTATCATTGTCATTTTAATTTGCATTTCTATGGTGCTGATGATGCGCGAGTGCTTCTATATATGTTGACTGGCCATTTGGATATTGATATTCTCTTTTGTGAAATTTCTCTTTAGATCTTTACCCCTTTAAAAAATTGGATTGTTTGCCTTATTTATTATTGATTTATAGTAATTCTTTATATTATGTATTTTATATACAAAACTTTTGTGGGATATATGTATTGGGAATATCTTCTCCTGGTCTGTGGCTTATCTCTTACTGTTTTAATCTTAATGGTGTCTTTTAGAGAACAAAAGTTCCTAGTTTTCATGAAGTCCAACTTATTTTTTTCTTTAGTAGTTTAGTGCTTTTGAATATTAATTTACAAAATCTTTGCCTACAGGAAGATCACAAAGATATTGTCCTACATTTTGTTCTAGAAGTTTTATAGATTTATCTTTCACTTTTTTTTTAGGCAGGGTCTTGCTCTGTCACTCAGGTTGGAGTGCAGTGGTGCAAATATAGCTCAGTGCAACCTTGACCTCCTGGGCTCAAGTGAGCCTCCTGCCTCCGCCTCCCTTGTAATTGGGACCACTGTGCATGCCACCATGTCCAGCAATTTTTTGATTTATTTTTATAGAGGTAGGGTCTTACCATGTTGCCCAGCCTGGCCTCACACTCCTGGGCTCAAAGGATCCTCCCGCCTTGACCTTCCAAGGTGCAGAGTCTATAGCTGTGAGCCACCACACCTGGCTACCTTTCACTTTTAGATATGTGATCTAGAATTAATTTTTGTTCATGGTGTGCAATTGGGATTAAGGTTTTTGTTTGTTTGTTTGTTTTACTGGTTTACAGTGCTCTAGCACCATTAATTGAAAAGATTGTCTTTTCCCTTCAGACTTTCAGTGGTCTTTTTCATAAACTAAGTGACTGTTTATATGTGGATCTGTTTTTGGACTCTGTTCCATTGGTCTATTTATGCATTCTTTGGTTGTTGTCAGACTCTCCAATATAATAAATTTTGAAGTCTGGTAGTGTCAGTTCTCAACTTTGTTCTTAAAGATTGCCTTGGCTAGTCTAGGACCTTTGCATTTGTATGTAATTTTTAGGATCCTTAGGTCAATTTCCACAAAAAAACTTAATGGAATTTTGATTTGGTTTGCATTGTATCTATAGATTAATTTGGGGAGGATTGGCATCATAGCAATATTGAGTCTTTTGAACCATGAGCATGATATATTTCTCCATTTATTTACATCTTAAAATTTTTTTCTCAATTTTTAGTTTTCAGTTGTAGATGTCTTTATTCATTGGTATTTTATTTTCTTATGTTATTGTATAAGTGGTGTTTCATAAATTTCATGTTTGATTGTTGTTGTTAGAAATAGAAATAGAAAAATCTTGAGCTTGTATTAAACAACCTTACTAAATTTGCTTATTCGTTGTAGTTGGTATATAATCATGTTACCTGTTTTCTTTTTGATCTTTATACTTTCCCACCCTTTTATTGCCTGTTTTCCTGACTATAACCTTTAGTATAATGTTGAATAGAAGTGATGATAGTGGACAATCTTCTTTTCTCTTTAACCTTTGGGGAAGTATTGAACATTTTACCAATCTAATAAATAGATTGGTATTAGTGGTAGGTTTGTGTGTATGTGTGTGTATATTATTATTACTATTATTTTTGGTAATAGCTACCTTTTATCAGATTAAGGAAGTTCCCTTCCATTCCTAGGTTACCAAGAGCTTTTTTTAAAAAAACGATAAATGAATGTTAAATTCTATCAAATACTTTTTCTGCATCTATTGAGATGATCCTAGAATTTCTCTGCTTAATTTTGTTAATGTAGTGAATTACTTTTTAAAAAAATTTTAATTTCTTTTTAAAGATGGGTCTCACTTCACTGTGCCTGGATATTACTTAGGTTTATTTTTGAATGTTGAACCAACACTGTATTCTTGGAATAAACCCCACTTGATTATGTATATTATGTATATTATCCTTATATATTGCTGGGTTTTCTTTGCTAAATTATCATTTTTATTTTTAAAAGTTTTCATCTGTGTTCATGAGAGATGTTAGCCTATAATTTTCTTTTCTTGTGTCCATATCATGTATGCATATTATTAGGCTTATGCTGGCCTCACACAGTGCTTAGGAAGTGTTTTCTTCTCTTTCTATTGGCTAGAAAAATAGTACAAGATTGATTTCTGTTATTTTTAATCTGTATGATAATCTCTTTTTCTCTTTTTAAAATTTGTGAAATAGTCATCAAAATAGAGTATGGTTGTCTTCTTTTGCAGCTGAAGAAACTGAAGCTTATAGAATTTAAGTACTATTAGATAGCTGGTGGTTACTGCTCTGTATTGAAAACCAGTTCTGTTTTACTTCAAAGCCTTTGCTATACAGTATACATGGAGGAAAATGAGTGACCAGGTGATCATATGGGGATCTTAAGAAATACCAGAAGTTGTTCTTTTGGAAACTTGTAAGCTTCTTTTAAAATCTTACTTCCTGTCGGTCTAAGAAGGGCACTCTTGATGAATGCTTCTTAGTTGTTTGTGAGGGTTGTGGCTTAAAGTAGCTAAGCTTTATAATTCTGTTGGCTCTGTCAAATGAAAAGTCTATCCATTCCAAAACTGAACAAATAAGTTTTATTTCTGTGTGAGAACAAATGGTTACTTGGAATTTACTGGGATTTTTCTTTTTCCAAATCCACATAGTACTGGCAACATCTTTTTTTTCTTTGATGTTAAGATATTTCCAACATTGATTCTTTACAGTATATGATAGGTCAAGGGATTCCATTCATCATATACTGATAGGTCCAAGGATGAGGGAAAAACTTCATACAAGGGAAATATAAGGTGAGTTTTAAGATGAATCTAGTACCTTATTTTCCCACAAGTCCAAACATTATTACTTTTTTATATAAGAAAAATGTTTAGCTGTTGTTTCATGTGGAAACATCTTTTCTTCCTTTAAGTGATATAGAATACTTGAAAAACTATTCCTTGTTTTCGTTACCAAAGAATTTAGGTTTTCTAACAATTGTTTCCTAATGACTTCTCATTCTGTAGCTATTTACATTTTTTTCTTGAAGATTTTATTGGAAATGTTTGGCGTCTTTATGAGTTTTCAGCAAGTTTTGATGTCGTTTAATCACTAAAGTTTATACTATGCCAGTGATGTTATTTTATTTGCTTAATATGAAAAACCTCAATAAGTTTGTCTCATTTCCAGTTAACTTAATTAGAACATTTGGCTCCCTCTGAAACTGCTTCTCATTTTTAAAGCAGAAGGTGTTATTTAGTGAAACCTACAAAAGAATAATGTTAGAGAAAATTGTACTTTTTAGCTGAAAAATGTTCTGTGTTAATAAATTTTAGAGCTAGAAACTTTTTCGAGAGCTCAGTTAATCCTTCTGGGACTTTTGAAATTGCTATCTCAGTGGCAGTATTTCTTGACAAATACAGTATTGAGTGCTTTTAATGATCTTTTGTTAATTATATATGGCTCCGACAGTAGAGATTTGAGTTTGGCTTAAATGAATAAATACTATTTTTACCCATGGTCACCTTAAAAATTGGAGTTAAAGTGTTGGCCTGCTGGTCTTTTTCCTTCTCTTTAGTTTTGCTAGTAATAGTAAGTTTTATTTGCCATTGTATAGGCTTAATTGGTTAACATGTGGCTGCTAATATTTAGTAAGGTTAATTTTTAGTATGAAAATTAAGAGTTTCATTTTGGTTTTTATATAAAGTGAAGCTATGTATTAATAGATTTGGTAGTTAATTATGCTGAATAACAAAAGTCTAATATTTGGATGATCAGTATATTAGTAGAATTAGAAATACTTGCTCTTGAAGTTGTTTAAAAATTGAGATAGAAAAAGAGGAAGTTGATTTTATTAATGCTGTAAAACTGTCAAAAATAAGTATTTAGAAAGGCATATTTGAGTGCTAAATTACTTATGAACTGACAACTGTTAATTCTTTGCTTAAAATTAAAATCAAAGTATAATGCCATTAAAACAAGTATAGAAAAGGCATGCCAGTTTCCCCCATATTTAGGGTATTATTTTTCAAAACATTTGCTGAATTAAAAAAAGGTTACTTAAATTTCAAATGTGTGTTTTCCTCTAAATGAAAATTTTCCCTTTTTCCTCAGTGTTTTTCTGATGTTCAAGTGGCAGTAGGTGTGGGAAGCCGTTGCAAGCAGTATCTCCCAAGAGTGAGCTTATTCTCCTATTGTAGATATCAGGATATCATTGCTTTCCTTTTCTGCACTGTATCATGTTTTAGTTATTTTATGGAAATCTATCAGAGTGGAAGAGCAAAAGGTCAGTTGGAAGAGAAAAAAGATGAAACTGAAACTAAAAGTGGTTAAATATACTTACATTAGGTATCAATTACTACTTGTATATTATCCATGTTACATTTTAAATTTGCATTGGCTTTTTTGTTGTTCTTTAGGTACCTTGCTAGGATTATTGATTTTGTTCATTATGAGCAGATCTGAGTGCCTATCATGTACATAATATTTCTGTGACCAGTTCATTCATTGTGCTCAAGTGATAATAACCAATTTTAATATTAATTCTGTAAAACATATAGCGCTTAATATTCCTCACATATGGAGCTTAATCTTCCCCCACAAATTTTATTTTGTATATTTTAATTGCAAAAATAAAGGATTTATTCATATTGTAGCTAGTTTGCATCAGCATGAATTAATAAGTTTCACTATTTTTCTTGTTAGCATTTTTAAGTTTTATTGAATTAGATGGGTAAATGAATAGTAATTATATTATCTGCAGTGTAATTATCTTTGATTTCAGTTATTCACACCATCTCTTTACAAGTGATAATCAAAAATTATTTCAAAGTTTGAAAATTTTTAACATAAAATTTCTGCTCAATTTTTATACTTTTTAAATTTCCTTCAAGTAATATATGCACATAGTTAACAATAAGATAGTACCAAAAGACTTAAGGTGAAAAATAGCAGTCTTCTTTCTATTTCTGTTCCACTCTACAGTCCTGCACTCCAAAAGCAATTACTCCTAATTTTTTCCCCATTTCTTAAGGTATTTACCTACATAATTTAAAATAATATGGCTCTTCTACTAATTTTTTGGCTTAAGCAGTTTTCTTATGATAATTGAAGAGTTAGCTCTTTTATTATGCCTCTCTCCATTCTTTCTCCATTCTCTTGCTATAGTTATGTCATGAATTTAAAATCTATTTTTGGTATTTATATTACTTGATTATGGAAATACTGTTTATTTGTGAACTAAGTAGTTCACTTTTTTTTTTTAAAGCATCCAGTGTTACTATTAATAAGTAGAAAGCCATTCTGATTTCTCTCTGGAAGCGTTCAAGATTTCCTTTACCCCTGGTGCTCACAAGTTTTGTGATGCTGTGCTTTGATAAGTGTCTTTTTTTCAACCTTTGTGCTGATATTTGATGGGTCTTTTTACTTTTTAATTTTTGGGGAAAAATTCATGTGTGTGTTTTTTTTTCTCTTCCCTTTTTTTGATTCTTTCTGGGCTTCCTGTTAGTTGAAAATTCTGTTCCCTAGGTTAATTTGCCTAATTTTTAAAGTGTTTTTCTCCTATAGTTTATCTCTTAGGCTTTTTGTCTTATTTTTCTAGTTGTCCTTCACTTCATCTTTCTGTCCGTCTACTGAATTATAAAAATTGTATTATCATAGTTTTAATTTCTTAGAGGGGTTCCTTATTCTCTGTTCCCATTTTAATATTATGTCTTTGATTCATGGGTACAACATCTATTCTTATTTTTCTGAGATTATTAATAAGAGTTTATTGATGTCATTCCTCCTACTTCCTAATTTCTTTTGGCACATTTTGGTCTTTGCTTTTCTGTTGCAAGCTTTTGTCAGATTCTTCAAGTCTTAGTTCTTGCAAAAGCAGAATCTAAAATACCCTATCTTTGGTTTATTTGGAAGGTGATTCCAGGAATTATAATGAGAGAATAAGGAGGTGAGACAGGGAAGAGAAGAAGTCCAGTAAAAGGTGTATTGATTTTGTGGGTTATCGTTTGGAGCAGCTGGAGCTCAATACTGCTGGAGACTTTCAGAGAGACTGTGTAGAACTGCACTGTCTAATACTAATCACTAGCTACATATGGCTATTAAAATTAAAATTAAAATGAATGAAATTAAGTAAAATTAGAGATTCAGTTTGCATTCACACCAGCCACACTTTAAGTGCAGATGTAGAACATTAGACAGTGCAGATATAGAACACTCCAATTCAGTCCAGTCCAGTGCAGATATAGGACATTTCCATCATGGTTTATAACATACCTTAGAATTGTACCATGGAGGTTCAGGAAAACTGACCTATTTATCTACCATCATCTGTCCCTTATTGATTAAGAGTTGCTCCTAGAGTTACTGACTCCCTGTCACTTATGGCCTGCGCCACACAGGGGCTGTGTCATTTCTGCTACCTTACTCATTTCCACTGGGTACCTAGTAACACCAAATGCAGAGTTTCTCTAGTTCATTTTTTTCTAGAGATCCAAATCCTGGTCTTCTGTCAGTCTGAGGCAAGTAGTCACTTGACTGAATGTGGTGGAGGGAAGATAGTCTTTTATAAGTATGCAGATTTTTAACCAAATTGCTCATATTTTTTTGGGGAAATCTTACCCCAGTATCCCATGGCAACTGTTACATTCGAGTTCCAAGCCTTTGGAGGATTCCATGGAGTAAATTGACTTCTTATTCTTGTCCTTTACCACAGGCATTCTGATTGCAGTTTTCCCTGATCTGCAAATTACTACCACTCTGTAGCTTAAGAAAAATTATGATATATAGTATTTCAAACATGTGGAGAAGTATAAAGAAAAAATATGCTTGCAATTCATATAGTGCTGGGATAAATTCAACTAAGCCCTGTAGGGTTGTCTTTTTTTTTTTAATACCAGGAATCTTTTGTTTAAATTTTAGGAGACTTGTCACCACTCAGTGATATCAAGGCTGCTGGGGTTATTATGTCCTTTTTCTTCTCCTTTGCTGTGTTTAGGTGGCTACTAGTTTATTGAGAAATTTTTGGTCTATTTGCATAAGAGATCTTAGCATATTATAATGTTCTTTCTATGTAACATTTGTCTGCATTTGGTTTTGATGTCCAGGTAACACTAGATTTATGAAAAAAGTTTGTGTTACCTCTTTTTCCGTTATGTGGAACAGTTTGTACAAAATTAATATTAGTTGTTCCTTAAATGCTTGGTTGAACTACCCAGTTTAGGCCCGGTTGTTTGTGTGTGTGTGTGTGTGTGAGACATTCCTTCTTACTAGTTTAATATTTTTCTTTTTAAAACACCTTAAATGTAGTTTT
Source organism: Homo sapiens (assembly GCF_000001405.40). Taxonomy (NCBI): domain Eukaryota; kingdom Metazoa; phylum Chordata; class Mammalia; order Primates; family Hominidae; genus Homo; species Homo sapiens. The sequence continues at coordinate 14,703,850 of NC_000011.10, forward strand.
TTCAGTTAGAGTCTGTTAGTGGTAAGTTCTTTTTGTGTTTCTGGAAGTTTCTTTGTTTAACTCTCACTCTTGGATGATAGTTTAGCTGGGTATAGAATTCTGACAAGTCTGTTTTGAGTTTTTTCTTCCTTAAATCTTTTGAAAATTTTCTAAGTTTTTTCTTATTTTCAGTTTGGCTTGATGACCATGTGGCTTGATATGTGGCCTGAATCTTACTTAAATATTAGGTCTATAGATTTAACAAGTGAAAACTAATTTTTATAATTCATTTCCTAGTTTTTATTTAGATACCAGCAATATTCATGATAAAAAGTACCATATAGTCTCAGATATCTTTAATTTTAATGGTTAGAATTATGTTAAAATATTAAACCAGCATGTCTGAATCATGACTACATAATAAAGCCTATTGATTTAATTGGTTTGAGGTGGGAGTCCAAGCCTGTATTTTCTTTCAGTGTGCTCAAATAATTCTAATGTGCAGCCAGAGGTTAAAGAACATGAAGTTACAAATTGAGCTGTAAATTCAGAGATATTCTAATACAAATCTCAACTGTCTTTTTCTTTTTGTTTTGTTTTTATTTAAAAAGTTGGCAGCCTAAATTCAAAATGTATGTGGAAAGACAGATCAATAGTCAAAGCAATAAAAAAGAAGTACATCATTGGATTTATAGTTCCTGATTTTGAGATTTACTTAAAGACAATGTGGTATTAGTGATAGAATGGATATTATGGACAATAGACCCACACATACATATTCAGTTGGTTTTTGGCAAAGGTGGTAGGGCATTTCAAAGGAGGAAGTAATAATATTTACAACAAATGTGCTGGAAAAACTGTATAATACGTATGTAATAAAATGTATACTGACTCTTACCTCACATCATGCAGGAAAGGTGAACTTAAAATGTGTCATAGACCTAAATTTAAAACTAAAAAAAGCTGTAAGACATCTAGAAGAAAACATAGAACACAGAAAACACAAACCATAAAAGAAAAAAATTCATAAACTGGACCTTGTCAAAATTAAAACCTTTTGTTCTTTAAAAGTTATCAATAAGAAAATTAAAAGATAAGGGTTAACATAGGAAAAATATTTATAATACATATATTTGAGAAACGACTTATATATTGGATATATAAAGAACTCTTACAACTCAATGAAAAGAAAATAATTGACTCAATTTAAAATAGGCAGAATATTTCAGCACTGCTACTACATTCTAGAAGATTTGAACATGTACCATTTTCATTCCTTGGAAAATAGTTTGGCAGTTTAGCATATGATACTGGAATTCTCTCCTAGGTATTTATCCAAGAGAAATGAAAACAGATATCCACACAAAAATTTCGTCATGCATGTTTATAGCAGTTAATTCATAATAGCTGTAAACTGGGAACACCCAAATATTCATTGCAGATGAATGGTTAAACAAATTGTGCTCTATCCCTACCAGTAGAAGGGAATGAACTATGAACACACACATGGATAAGTCTTAAAACATTAACAAAAACATGACGCTAAATGGAGGAAGCCACATACAATATATTCTGTATAATATCATTTATATGAGATTTTAGAAATCAAAAACTAATTTATGGTGTCAGAAAGCAGATCAGTGACTTGGGGTAGTGGTAGGAGAGTTTGACTGCAGAGGCACATGAGGTATCTTTTGTTGGTGATGGAAATGTTTTGTATTTTAATTTTGTTGGTTGTCACACAGTTGTACAACATTTGTTAAAAATAATCAAACTGCACATTTTAAATGGGTGTATGCATATTTTATTCAACAAGTTTGACGAAGGAACTTAGGAACACTAAGTTGGACAATCTCATGAGCTTTTTTTGTGATTTCAAATCCATGTTAGTGGTTAAGCTACAATGTTTATTGTTGAATGTGGGTATTTACTATGGAGGAAGTGTGTGTATGGTCTTAGCTCATTTACAAATAAAATATTTTAACCTTTAATTGAATATTGATATAGCATGATGTTAACTTTATGTTACAGTTACTTTCTGCTGTGTATTACTGGGAATGTCTTTCGGTACTTATATAGAAATAAGGTAAAAAAGCTATACAATTAAAAATGTGGCAATAGTCACTTCAAATCTTTTATGTGTGCCTACTAAAGCAAACAAAATACTAAACTTGTTTTATATGTGTTCAATAAACTGCTGAACAAGAAAAGGATGCAATGGCCATGTTGTTAGACTGTTGGAGTAAGTGTAATAGCAATAACCTACCTTCCTTTTTACCTTCCTTTCTCCCCCTCTCCTTCCCTTTGTTTCTCCCTCCCTCCTTCACTCCCTTCTCTCCCTCTTCTACCTATCCTTATTTCCCTTTGCTGGTGACAGTGCAAGTTGAATTTGTACACTGATCTAGATTCAGATTAGTATAATAAATTTTTAAAAATATCAAGTTGAATGAAGAAGGAAAATTAAAATTATACAGTACCTGAAACTAAAAGGCTAAATAAATGGATTCATCTTTTAAAAAAAGTTACATTTTCTGAGCATCTATAATTCAGTTAAGAAGGTGACTGAAAATTGCAGTTTACTGGATGATCTTGGGAAAATTACTCACTGTGTTTCTCAGTTTTCTCATTTGTAAGACAACAATAATATGTTGAAAGGATTAAATGAGGTAATGTATTTAAAGTGCGGGCACATAGTAACTACTCAATAATTATTTGCCTGTCATCATCATGGTCATATTCAAAGTGAAATTTCTTCCACATCTGACCTTGGCTATTTTAATATATGTGTTACTAAGCAATATAATGTATTTTAAAGAAAAATACGGTGATATGCCACTTTCAAAGAAACAAAAAAGATGTGCATTATAAATTTTAGATCATAGGTGAAATTGTACTTATTATCAATTCATTAGGTGCATACAATACACATTTAGATAGGAGCATTGTTAATTCATTTTTAGAGTTTTTGACCACTTTCATACATTTCAAAATGGCTTTGAAGACATAACTGCAGTTTTCATATTTTTCATACTTTAGCATTTTGGTACATGCCATATTAGAATGTATCTTAGACATCTGATAAGTGTCAAGATTTCCCCCTTACTCTGTTATCTAGCAAATATTGAGTACCTGGTATGTACCAGGTGCTGGGGATATAACAGTGAAGACAATCTAGATGCCTCTGTCATGGAACTTAGATTTCATTGTTTGGGGAGATACTGGGGAGGAAAGATTGGACAAGACAACACATAAAATAACAAGATAACTTCAGATAGTAATAAGTGATGAGAAGAAGAAAATGGGATGATGGGGTAGAACATGCCTGGAAGGACTAATTTGGGTTGTGTGGTTATAGAAAGCCTTTGTGAGATGACATTTGAGCGAAGACCTGAGATGAAGAGTCCTGAAAATCTGGGGATGGATTTTCTAGTCAGTGGGGACAGGAGTTCAACTGCATCTTAGACCTGATGAACTTGGTATATTTGAATTCTTACAAAAGATGAATATTGCTAAAGGATGGTAATTAGGTAGAAGACTAATAAAGTAGAGGAGGGTGGAAAGATAGCCAGGACCTATCTTTCACAGATAGCCTTGGGCATCATTTCTTACTGAGTCTGTGAAGCTTGATGCCGTAAGCAAAGAGAAATATGGAAAATAAGTGGTTGGTATTAACGGTGTGGCTTTTAGGAAACAGGCAAAATATCCTGGAAGATTTTTATTGGGGATTTGGAAGTATAATAAAATAAATAATCATTAACTTTGTATGCCGTGGGGAGAAACCAGGTCTGATTATTGACTTCTCTTTAGGGAAACATCAGTTTGTAAAATGTGTTTTGAAAGCAGCAGAGGAGGTAATATGGGCATACTACTCTTTCCCTCCCATTAATTCTTTAGACTTCTTCTTTGATATTTTACTGAGAGTGTGGGGTTTTCCCCCTGTATATATGATATTTGTGATGAAGAAAGGCAAATAATTTAGCTAGAGTTCAACACTTTGTTTCCTACTCTTTGGTCAAAACATAAATAGTATTTGGATACCTTATAGTAACATACAAGGAGAAGTGACTAGAGAGAGCTTGTTTGGTTAAGATCACTCATTTAAGTAGATTAGAAAAGTATACCTATGGAGAAGCATCCCTTGGAAGGTAAGACTAGGTTATTTTATTTAGCCTTCTTCTTGGTTGCAATGGTTTGGATGCTTGTCCTCTTCAAACCTCATGTTGAAATTTGATCTTCAGTGTTAGAGGAAGGGCCTAAAGGGAGATATTTGGGTCATAGGGATGAGTCCCTCACAAATAGATTAATGACTTCCATTGGGGGTGAGTGAGTTCTCCATTAATTCCTGGAGGAGCTTGTTGTTAAAAAGAGCCTGGTACTTCCTTCCATCTCTCTCTTGCTTCTTTTTTTGTCATGTGGTCTATGCACACTGGCTTCCCTTCACCTTACCCCATGAGAGGAAACAACCTGAGGCCCTCCCTAGATGCAGATGTCCATTCTTGAACTTTCCAGTCATCAGAATCATGAGCCAAATAAATCCTTTTTCTTTATAAACTACCCAGCCTCAGGTATTCCTTTATAGCAACAAAAAATGGAATAAGACATTGGCTAAGTCCTATTATAAATATATATAAGTATTTAAATGTGTTTTTTACATATGGGGACAGCTTAGAGTCTCAAATATTAGACGTACCTAAATGTAATACATGGCTTCTAGACTGGATTCTATAAGCAGTACTATAAAGAATGTTATTGGATCAGCTGACAAAATTGTACTAGTACAGTAAATCTGATGCAGGTATTTAGTGATGTTGATTTTTCTGGAGTCGATAACTATAGTGTGGTTATGTAAGAGAATATTCCTCATCTTAGGAAATTTACATTGAAGAATTTAGGACTAAAAAGCATGATGTAAGCAACTTACTCTAAAAAAGTTCAGGGGTGAATTATATATATATATAGAGAGAGAGAATGTAGGTGTATGTTAATAATAAAACAAATAGGACAAAATTTTAACAATAGATGGATCTGGATAAAGGACATATAGGAGTTCTATGCACTAATCTTATTTTTGCACCTCTTCTGTAAGTTTAAAATTATGTCTAAATAAAATACTAAAAATGGGTTAAAGTTATTTTTTGTTTAAAAATAATTTCAAAATGTAGCTATATCTCATTGTCAGAAATACTATCAATTCTATGTTGAGTTTATCAAGCAAAATTCCAATGTTAGTACAATGATCAAGTGTTAAATATTGGGTTACAAACTAATATTTTTTGAATCTAGAGGTAGAAAAGATTAGTGTGGATTGGATGTTAGAACTGTGAAAAAAAAGTGCAGAGTGGTGAGGTAGTTAAGAGAAACTGGAAAGAATGAGCTGGTTGAGAATTCAGAATTGGAGAAGGTAAATTTAGTAGTTACCCATGTAAATGCTACCATTGTAGAGCAATGTTTTGTAGTCTTTTGCAGTCTTCCTGAGGATACTTACCATGTTTTATTGAATTTTAACGTGCACATTTTTTTTCACATTAAAAAAATCTCTGAAATCAGGGTGTACCTTATAATCAGTGGCATCTGATAATCACATCGGTGTGGATTAAAGTCAGTTTTTCCATATAAGATTTGTGGTTTTGCCTGTAACCTGGGGGCACTACCAGTAACCTGGAGGCACTACCACTTTTCTTCTGCCAGTAACCTGGGGACAGTACCAACCTGAAACTATTTTAAATTATCTTTTGTGTTTGAGTACTTGGACCACCCTAGTGTGAATTCGGATTACAGATTTGTGTGTGTTCTGGCTGGTGGTTCAAATTTGGAGAGGAGATAGCACCTCTCTCCCCCGCACCACTAGTGCCAAGATTGAGAAGACAAATTCCTGTGCTGTTGCTTTCCTTGTAATAGGTTTATTTCCCCTTTACTCTTATACGTTTTTTGTCACAGTCTTCTTATGAGGGTTCCTGTTAGACTATTGGATATTTTTTGTTGTTTTCAGTTATATATGAAAATAATGGTGATAAAAATACTTTTTTTCCTGCTTAACTTTGGTGTCCTTGCTTTTTGGATATATGTTCTTAATTGTATTATTCCTATTCATGGTTTCACAGATATCTTTAATCTCACCCTATCCAAAGGAATTCTAAAGGTAAAATAACACCCTACATTGATAGCTTGGTCCATTAAGTCATTTGTCTTGGGGAAAAGTTGTAGCATAAAGTCATAGTCAGTTTTTGGTTAGGAGGACCTTATAGAAGAGATGAATGAGCATACATACACCCTGGAGTTAGTCCAAGTTTTGGATTCTCTGAAGCTTACCTCTGTAACTTAATCTTTCTGAACTTTAGTTTCCTCATCTAGAGAATGGTTTGTGATATTACTGCTCTGTTAATGTTATTGTGCTCCTTCAATGAGATAGTGTATATAAAGGTCTAGTGTGGGCTCTGGCAGAGATGTGGTGCTGAATAGATGATTTATTTTTTTGATTGATTGTGATTGCCATTATTTTTGGTTTCCTAGGACATCCTCTTCCACCCAGTCCCTCTTCTTATGGAAATATATCTTGTCCAACCATCCCCTCCCACCAACCACGAGAGAGGTGGGCACATTATTCATCCTGGCCAATTTAGATTAATCCTCTAAATATAATGGTAGGTTCACGTCTGAGTGGGCATGTGACCAAAGTCCATCAGAGTCTTTTCCCATCAGGATTGATATACAGGGAATGGGGGAAGAAAACCTCTCTACCGGAATTACAAAGGTTGGATTTAGATCCAAAGCCACTGGCAACTACCATCTAATTCCATATGGAGAAGTCTGCTTAAATAATGAAGCTAAGGAGAAGCTATCAAGGATAAGAGATGGAGGTTGAGGGTTGGGGAGGGCGAAAAAGAGAGGGAGGAGAGAGACAGAGACTGAGGGAGATCCAGTTCCATTTTTTTAGGCTATCCTTCCTATAGCTCTTCTTTCAGAGATATGCCAGTCTCCTTTCCAGCTTTGTGAACTAGTAAATGCTTTTTTTAAAAAAATGTGGTTTAAGTTGGATTTCTGTCACTTGCAGTGAAGAGTTCTGATGAATATGATAATGGTGTTATTTGCCCAAAGAACTTTTCTTGCTCAAAGAACTGCCTATATTGCTTTCTTGCTAACTTGTTAAAGACTAGTATATAATAGGCTATTACATAGAGGATGAATGCCTGGAAAAAGAAATAAAAATTATGATTTTTTTAAGGAAGATCTCTGAGTTTAAGATTTTTTCCATGTCACATTATTATTTCTAGTGATGCTATAGGGATACCGTATTGCAAGTAAACATCTATAGATGTACAAAGAAAATTTGCAGTCTTAATTTTAATTAGAAACCATTTACCACATTTAGAAGCTCTGATTAAAGATATAATGGATAAAAGGGATAAAATTACATTTGCAGTTATTTGTTTTTAATCTTTAATGTCCCTTCTTATATGACTCTCAGATAGAGTGAGCAGGGCCCAACTTGTCTGAAGCTTAAGAGGTGACCCAGAATATAATTGAGAGGACTAGAAAGGTATATTAGACTATTCTTGCATTGCTATAAAGAAATATCTGAGATGGAGTAATTTATAAGAAAAGAAGTTTAATTGGCTTACAGTTCTGCAGGCTGTACAGGAAGCATAGTGCTGGCATCTGCTTCTGGGGAGGCCTCAGGAAGTTTTACTCATGGCGGAAGGTGAAGTGGGAGCAGGCACATCATATGGCCAGAGCAGGAGCAAGAGAGTCTGGTGCGGGAGGTGCCGGACTTTGCAACAATCATATCTCAAGAGAACTCACTCATTATTGCAAGGATAGCACCAAGCCATGAGGAACCCGCCCCCATGACCTAAACCCCTCCCACCAGGTCCCACCTCCAACATTGGGGATTACAATTCAACATGAGATTTGTAGGGGACATCCAAACTATATCAAAGGGCAATGGATCAGTGTCAGCATTCACTGCTGGTAAAAACAGTATTTGTATTCTTAATTTGGTTAGTCTGGATAGGAGCCAAAGATTCACAGCATGGCCGTATTCACTTGGAAGTTTGCAATTTGATTAAGGTTTGAGAACATGTCAGGGAAGGAAAGAATTTCCTTTAAAATCATCCTGCACACTGAATACCTAAAGTAGTACAAATAATTTGTTATGGCCTGAGAAGCTAAGAAAAAATTTAGTCATTCTTCTAAGTCCAAGAATGGCTGTAGGGGATAGTACATGAGTGACTATCCTGTCTACTTCTGTTTTCTGTTTTATTTTGTATATTTTTTAGAAACAGGATCTTTCTCTGTCCCCCACACTGGAGTGCGGTAATGCGATCATAGCTCACTGTAACCTCCAACTCCTGGGCTCAAGCTGTCCTCCTGCCTCAGCCTCCCAAGTAGCTAGGACTACAGACGTGTGCCACCACACCTAGCTAATTTTTTATTTTTTGTAGAGACAGGGTCTTACTATATTGGCTAGGCTGCTCTTGAACTCCTGGCCTCAAGCAATTCTCTTGTCTTGGGCTCCCAAAGCACTGAGATTATAGGAGTGAGCCACCACGCCCAATCCTGTTTTCTTTTTTGAGGTGCGTTAAATATTTACATTTTACCTGGAGTTTGGAAAAGTAGTTTATTTGGACGTACAAGCTTGTTTTTTTTTTTTTTTTTTTTTTTTTTGAGATGGAGTCTTGTCCTGTTGCCTGTGCTGGAGTGCAGTGGCATGATCTTGGCTCACTACAGTCTCCGCCTCGCAGGTTCAAGTGATTCTCCTGCCTCAGCCTCCCGAGTAGCTCGGCTTACAGGTGCACAGCACCACACCCAGCTAATTTTTGTATTTTTAATAGTGACAGGGTTTAACTATGTTGGGCAGGCTGGTCTTGGACTCCTGACCTCAAGTGATCCTCCTGCCTTGGCCTCCCAAAGTGTTGGGATTACAGGCATGAGCCACTGCGCCTGGCCAAGGTGTGTTTTTAAAGTAGAAGTTAATTCTGTGGATTGATTTAACCAATTTTCTTTGCAAGCAATTGTATAGGAGAATTAAATACAAATCCTCCTACTGATGTCAGATTTAGATAATGCCTTAATATGATGTAATATCTTAAATAGTGAACTGTTTGGTTATACCTTGTGCCATGATTTCCTTAATATATCTCATAAAGTTGTACAAAGAATAAGATTGAGATGCTTTACTGTTAGGCACATAGACATTTATGTAACATTCATTTTAAAAAATTTGAATACCAATTATGTGTAAGGTACTAGGATAAACACAAAGGATACAAGAAGTCTTTGCCTTAGGCCAATACATTCTGATAGAGTGTTAAAATAGTTACACAAGTATCTGTTACTCAAAGCATTAATTACATAGGTGTTATATATATTAAGTATATAAACATTATGTATATTAAGTGCCTTGTGCTGAGTATCAACTAAGTGTTTTAAGATCAGAGTCCATTTGGGGTTTGTGATGGTTAATTTTATGTGTGAACCTCACTGGATCACGGGATGACCAGATATTTGGTCAAATATTATTCTGAGTTTCTATGAGAGTGTTTTTGGATGAGATAGATGGATTATGAGTAGAGCAAAAAGGCAGACTCTCCCACATATAAGAGAGAATTCTTTCCTACCTGACTGCCTTCAAACTGGGACATTGGCTTTTTACCTGCCTTTGAACTTGAACTGAAACATTGGCCCTTCCTGGGTCCCAAGCTTGCTGGCCTTCAGATGGAAACTATACTGCCAGCTTTCTTGGTTCTTAATGCTTCAGACTTGGACTGAAACTAAACCATTGGTTCTCCAACTTGCTCCCACAACTCTGCACATGTTAGGTCAGCCTCCACAATCATGTGAACTACTTCCTTATAATAAAAAATCTTTACACACACACACACACACACACACACACACACTCACACACATACTATTGTTTCTGTTTCCCTGGAGAACTGTAATTAATAAAGGGTGACTTGGAAAGGCATCACAGAGGAGGTGGAATTTAAGCCAGAGGCTAAACTATCGTATAAGCAGGATTTCAGTAGATAAAGATGGTGAAGAAAAACACTACAGGCAGAGGAAATAGGGTATGTGATGGAAGCAGTCTCAAGTAGTATAATTTGGCTAGAGTTCAAGATGTTTCTACTGTTTTTTTGCATTTCAGAAGAGTTGTGGGAGAACACCAGTTTTACCACAACCTGGCTAGTACTTGGTGGTAGTGTGGTAGTGGCAGTGGCAGTGCGCGTGTGACTTTTTTTTTAAAAAATGACTGTAGCAGGTTGATTGATGATTGGTTAAAGAGGAAGTCTGCTTTCTCAGCATTCTGGTTAATCTAACCTGAGATCATTTTTCATTACTCTATCATGCTCCAGTCCAGGGGAGGGGAGGGTTATAGTCAGAAAAAAAGACCGTATAAATGTGTATATATATGTGTGTGTCTTGCTATTTGTATTGGTTCTCATAGTTTGCAAAGTGAATATGATGACATTCTTCCCTTGGCCCTATTTTTAGCTTGCTTTTCTCTTAGTGGACCTAAGTTATGAAATAGCAAAGGTTTATATAGCTTTGAAATTCATGTTTTTAGCTGGGCGTGGTGGCAGTGCCTGTCGTCCCAGCTACTCAGGGTATTGAGGCAGGAGGATCATTTGAGCCTGGGAGCTCCAGGCTGCAGTGAGCCATGCCTACACCTCTGCATTCCAGCCTGGGTGACCCAGCTAAACCCTGTCTCAAAAAAAAAAAAAAAAAAAAGAAATACATGTTTTATACCCTCAGATTTAATTGCTTATTTTACATATTTGACCATCCATTTCCTGGGATGACTGATGCCCCAAGATGGTGCCAATGTGGAATGGCAGTACTGTTTAGTAGGACTTTCTCCAGTGTCCAGTGTGGTATCCACCAGCCACACATAGCTATTGAGTCCTTGACATATGGCTAGTGTGGCTGAAAAATGGAATTTTAAGTTTTATTTAATTTTAATTGATTTAAATTTAAATTGTAACATATAGCTAGTGGTTACTGTATGAGACATTGCAGTTCTGGAGCTTAAGAAGTTTTGGCTTGTTTCTAGCTCTCTGGTGTTGAGAAGGGCTGACCAAGCAGTATTTTCACTCATATTTAAAATATAATATCTTAAATATTCTTAAATATTCTATTGGTGATTACACAGCAAATGAATTTTGATATTGCCAATTCTTCAGTAAAATTAGGTATTTATTAATTAATTGTTTATGTTCTGCCTCATTCCAAATAAAGATTGTATGTGAATGATAGGAAATGATCTATTAAAGGTACAATTATTAAAATAATGATAAAAGAAAAAGAGCCATGTAACAAATGAAGTGAGAAGAGAAGCAAGAAAAGGGGAAAAATCAGGTAGCGTGATGCCTCCAGCTTTTTTCTTTTGGCTTAGGATTGACTTGGCGATGCGGGCTCCTTTTTGGTTCCATATGAACTTTAAAGTAGTTTTTTCCAATTCTGTGAAGAAAGTCATTGGTAGCTTGATGGGGATGGCATTGGATCTATAAATTACCTTGGGCAGTATGGCCATTTTCACGATATTGATTCTTCCTACCCATGAGCATGGAATGTTCTTCCATTTGTTTGTATCCTCTTTTATTTCCTTGAGCAGTGGTTTGTAGTTCTCCTTGAAGAGGTCCTTCACGTCCCTTGTAAGTTGGATTCCTAGGTATTTTATTGTCTTTGAAGCAATTGTGAATGGCAGTTCACTCATGATTTGGCTCTCTGTTTGTGTGTTATTGGTGTATAAGAATGCTTGTGTCTTTTGCACATTGATTTTGTATCCTGAGACTTTGCTGAAGTTGCCTATCAGCTTAAGATTTTGGGCTGAGACGATGGGGTTTTCTAAATATACAATCATGTTATCTGCAAACAGAGACTATTTGACTTCCTCTTTTCCTAATTGAACACCCTTTATTTCCTTCTCCTGCCTGATTGCCCTGGCCAGAACTTCCAACGCTATGTTGAATAGGAGTGGTGAGAGAGGGCATTGCGACACTATTAACAGTAGCAAAGACTTGGAACCAAGCCAAATGTCCAACAATGATAGACTGGATTAAGAAAATGTGGCACATAGTGGGAGGAGCCAAGATGGCCGAATAGGAACAGCTCCGGTCTACAGCTCCCAGCGTGAGCGACGCAGAAGACAGGTGATTTCTGCATTTCCATCTGAGGTACCGGGTTCATCTCACTAGGGAGTGCCAGACAGTGGGCGCAGGCCAGTGGGTGTGCGCACCGTGCGCGAGCCGAAGCAGGGCGAGGCATTGCCTCACCTGGGAAGCGCAAGGGGTCAGGGAGTTCCCTTTCCGAGTCAAAGAAAGGGGTGACGGACGCACCTGGAAAATCGGGTCACTCCCACCCGAATACTGCGCTTTTCAGACCAGCTTAAAAAACGGCGCACCACGAGACTATATCCCACACCTGGCTTGGAGGGTGCTACGCCCACGGAATCTCGCTGATTGCTAGCACAGCAGTCTGAGATCAAACTGCAAGGCGGCAGCGAGGCTGGGGGAGGGGAGCCCGCCATTGCCCAGGCTTGCTTAGGTAAACAAAGCAGCCAGGAAGCTCGAACTGGGTGGAGCCCACCACAGCTCAAGGAGGCCTGCCTGCCTCTGTAGGCTCCACCTCTGGGGGCAGGGCACAGACAAACAAAAAGACAGCAGGAACCTCTGCAGACTTAAATGTCCCTGTCTGACAGCTTTGAAGAGAGCAGTGGTTCTCCCAGCACGCAGCTGGAGATCTGAGAACGGGCAGACTACCTCCTCAAGTGGGTCCCTGACCCCTGACCCCCGAGCAGCCTAACTGGGAGGCACCCCCCAGCAGGGGCACACTGACACCTCACACGGCAGGGTATTCCAACAGACCTGCAGCTGAGGGTCCTGTCTGTTAGAAGGAAAACTAACAAACAGAAAGGACATCCACACCAAAAACCCATCTGTACATCACCATCATCAAAGACCAAAAGTAGATAAAACCACAAAGATGGGGAAAAAACAGAACAGAAAAACTGGAAACTCTAAAACGCAGAGCGCCTCTCCTCCTCCAAAGGAACGCAGTTCCTCACCAGCAACGGAACAAAGCTGGATGGAGAATGACTTTGACGAGCTGAGAGAAGAAGGTTTCAGACGATCAAATTACTCTGAGCTACGGGAGGACATTCAAACCAAAGGCAAAGAAGTTGAAAACTTTGAAAAAAATTTAGAAGAATGTATAACTAGAATAACCAATACAGAGAAGTGCTTAAAGGAGCTGATGGAGCTGAAAACCAAGGCTCGAGAACTACGTGAAGAATGCAGAAGCCTCAGGAGCCGATGCGATCAACTGGAAGAAAGGGTATCAGCAATGGAAGATGAAATGAATGAAATGAAGCGAGAAGGGAAGTTTAGAGAAAAAAGAATAAAAAGAAATGAGCAAAGCCTCCAAGAAATATGGGACTATGTGAAAAGACCAAATCTACGTCTGATTGGTGTACCTGAAAGTGAGGGGGAGAATGGAACCAAGTTGGAAAACACTCTGCAGGATATTATCCAGGAGAACTTCCCCAATCTAGCAAGGCAGGCCAACATTCAGATTCAGGAAATACAGAGAACGCCACAAAGATACTCCTCGAGAAGAGCAACTCCAAGACACATAATTGTCAGATTCACCAAAGTTGAAATGAAGGAAAAAATGTTAAGGGCAGCCAGAGAGAAAGGTCGGGTTACCCTCAAAGGGAAGCCCATCAGACTAACAGCGGATCTCTCGGTAGAAACCCTACAAGCCAGAAGAGAGTGGGGGCCAATATTCAACATTCTTAAAGAAAAGAATTTTCAACCCAGAATTTCATATCCAGCCAAAGTAAGCTTCATAAGTGAAGGAGAAATAAAATACTTTACAGACAAGCAAATGCTGAGAGATTTTGTCACCACCAGGCCTGCCCTAAAAGAGCTCCTGAAGGAAGCGCTAAACATGGAAAGGAACAACCGGTACCAGCCACTGCAAAATCATGCCAAAATGTAAAGACCATCGAGACTAGGAAGAAACTGCATCAACTAATGAGCAAAATCACCAGCTAACATCATAATGACAGGATCAAATTCACACATAACAATATTAACTTTAAATGTAAATGGACTAAATGCTCCAATTAAAAGACACAGACTGGCAAGTTGGATAAAGAGTCAAGACCCATCAGTGTGCTGTATTCAGGAAACCCATCTCATGTGCAGAGACACACATAGGCTGAAAATAAAAGGATGGAGGAAGATCTACCAAGCCAATGGAAAACAAAAAAAGGCAGGGGTTGCAATCCTAGTCTCTGATAAAACAGACTTTAAACCAACAAAGATCAAAAGAGACAAAGAAGGCCATTACATAATGGTAAAGGGATCAATTCAACAAGAGGAGCTAACTATCCTAAATATATATGCACCCAATACAGGAGCACCCAGATTCATAAAGCAAGTCCTGAGTGACCTACAAAGAGACTTAGACTCCCACACATTAATAATGGGAGACTTTAACACCCCACTGTCAACATTAGACAGATCAACGAGACAGAAAGTCAACAAGGATACCCAGGAATTGAACTCATCTCTGCACCAAGTGGACCTAATAGACATCTACAGAACTCTCCACCCCAAATCAACAGAATATACGTTTTTTTCAGCACCACACCACACCTATTCCAAAATTGACCACATAGTTGGAAGTAAAGCTCTCCTCAGCAAATGTAAAAGAACAGAAATTATAGCAAACTATCTCTCAGACCACAGTGCAATCAAACTAGAACTCAGGATTAAGAATCTCACTCAAAACCGCTCAACTACATGGAAACTGAACAACCTGCTCCTGAATGACTACTGGGTACATAATGAAATGAAGGCAGAAATAAAGATGTTCTTTGAAACCAACGAGAACAAACACACAACATACCAGAATCTCTGGGACGCATTCAAAGCAGTGTGTAGAGGGAAATTTATAGCACTAAATGCCCACAAGAGAAAGCAGGAAAGATCCAAAATTGACACCCTAACATCACAATTAAAAGAACTAGAAAAGCAAGAGCAAACACATTCAAAAGCTAGCAGAAGGCAAGAAATAACTAAAATCAGAGCAGAACTGAAGGAAATAGAGACACAAAAAACCCTTCAAAAAATCAATGAATCCAGGAGCTGGTTTTTTGAAAGGATCAACAAAATTGATAGACTGCTAGCAAGACTAATAAAGAAAAAAAGAGAGGAGAATCAAATAGACACAATAAAAAATGATAAAGGGGATATCACCACCGATCCCACAGAAATACAAACTACCATCAGAGAATACTACAAACACCTCTACGCAAATAAACTAGAAAATCTAGAAGAAATGGATACATTCCTTGACACATACACTCTCCCAAGACTAAACCAGGAAGAAGTTGAATCTCTGAATAGACCAATAACAGGAGCTGAAATTGTGGCAATAATCTATAGTTTACCAACCAAAAAGAGTCCAGGACCAGATGGATTCACAGCCGAATTCTACCAGAGGTACAAGGAGGAACTGGTACCATTCCTTCTGAAACTATTCCAATCAATAGAAAAAGAGGGAATCCTCCCTAACTCATTTTATGAGGCCAGCATCATTCTGATACCAAAGCTGGGCAGAGACACAACCAAAAAAGAGAATTTTAGACCAATATCCTTGATGAACATTGATGCAAAAATCCTCAATAAAATACTGGCAAACCGAATCCAGCAGCACATCAAAAAGCTTATCCACCATGATCAAGTGGGCTTCATCCCTGGGATGCAAGGCTGGTTCAATATACGCAAATCAATAAATGTAATCCAGCATATAAACAGAGCCAAAGACAAAAACCACATGATTATCTCAATAGATGCAGAAAAAGCCTTTGACAAAATTCAACAACCCTTCATGCTAAAAACTCTCAATAAATTAGGTATTGATGGGACGTATTTCAAAATAATAAGAGCTATCTATGAGAAACCCACAGCCAATATCATACTGAATGGGCAAAAACTGGAAGCATTCCCTTTGAAAACTGGCACAAGACAGGGATGCCCTCTCTCACCGCTCCTATTCAACATAGTGTTGGAAGTTCTGGCCAGGGCAATCAGGCAGGAGAAGGAAATAAAGGGTATTCAATTAGGAAAAGAGGAAGTCAAATTGTCCCTGTTTGCAGACGACATGATTGTTTATCTAGAAAACCCCATCGTCTCAGCCCAAAATCTCCTTAAGCTGATAAGCAACTTCAGCAAAGTCTCAGGATACAAAATCAATGTACAAAAATCACAAGCATTCTTATACACCAACAACAGACAAACAGAGAGCCAAATCATGAGTGAACTCCCATTCACAATTGCTTCAAAGAGAATAAAATACCTAGGAATCCAACTTACAAGGGATGTGAAGGACCTCTTCAAGGAGAACTACAAACCACTGCTCAAGGAAATAAAAGAGGATACAAACAAATGGAAGAACATTCCATGCTCATGGGTAGGAAGAATCAATATCGTGAAAATGGCCATACTGCCCAAGGTAATTTACAGATTCAATGCCATCCCCATCAAGCTACCAATGACTTTCTTCACAGAATTGGAAAAAACTACTTTAAAGTTCATATGGAACCAAAAAAGAGCCCACATCGCCAAGTCAATCCTAAGCCAAAAGAACAAAGCTGGAGGCATCACACTACCTGACTTCAAACTATACTACAAGCCTACAGTAACCAAAACAGCATGGTACTGGTACCAAAACAGAGATATAGATCAATGGAACAGAACAGAGCCCTCAGAAATAACGCCGCATACCTACAACTATCTGATCTTTGACAAACCTGAGAAAAACAAGCAATGGGGAAAGGATTCCCTATTTAATAAATGGTGCTGGGAAAACTGGCTAGCCATATGTAGAAAGCTGAAACTGGATCCCTTCCTTACACCTTATACAAAAATCAATTCAAGATGGATTAAAGATTTAAACGTTAGACCTAAAACCATAAAAACCCTAGAAGAAAACCTAGGCATTACCATTCAGGACATAGGCGTGGGCAAGGACTTCATGTCCAAAACACCAAAAGCAATGGCAACAAAAGCCAAAATTGACAAATGGGATCTAATTAAACTCAAGAGCTTCTGCACAGCAAAAGAGACTACCATCAGAGTGAACAGGCAACCTACAACCTGGGAGAAAATTTTCGCAACCTACTCATCTGACAAAGGGCTAATATCCAGAATCTACAATGAACTCAAACAAATTTACAAGAAAAAAACAAACAACCCCATCAAAAAGTGGGCAAAGGACATGAACAGACACTTCTCAAAAGAAGACATTTATGCAGCCAAAAAATACATGAAAAAATGCTCATCATCACTGGCCATCAGAGAAATGCAAATCAAAACACTATGAGATACCATCTCACACCAGTTAGAATGGCAATCATTAAAAAGTCAGGAAACAGCAGGTGCTGGAGAGGATGTGGAGAAATAGGAACACTTTTACACTGTTGGTGGGACTGTAAACTAGTACAACCATTGTGGAAGTCAGTGTGGCGATTCCTCAGGGATCTAGAACTAGAAATACCATTTGACCCAGCCATCCCATTACTGGGTATATACCCAAAGGACTATAAATCATGCTGCTATAAAGACACATGCACACGTATGTTTATTGTGGCATTATTCACAATAGCAAAGACTTGGAACCGACCCAAATGTCCAACAATGATAGACTGGATGAAGAAAATGTGGCACATATACACCATGGAATACTATGCAGCCATAAAAAAGGATGAGTTCATGTCCTTTCTAGGGACATGGATGAAATTGGAAACCATCATTCTCAGTAAACTATCGCAAGAACAAAAAACCAAACACCGCATATTCTCACTCATAGGTGGGAATTGAACAATGAGATCACATGGTCACAGGAAGGGGAATATCACACTCTGTGGACTGTGGTGCGGGTGGGGGCAGGGGGGAGGGGTAGCATTGGGAGATATACCTAATGCTAGATGACGAGTTAGTGGGTGCAGCACACCAGCATGGCACATGTATACATATGTAACTAACCTGCGCAATGTGCACATGTACCCTAAAACTTAAAGTATAATTAAAAAAAAAAAAAAAGAAAATGTGGCACATATACACCATGGAATACTGTGCAGCCGTAAAAAATGATGAGTTCATGTCCTTTGTAGGGACATGGATGAAGCTGGAAACCAGTCTCAGCAAACTATCGCCAGGACAAAAAACAAAACACCGCATGTTCTCACTCATAGGTGGGAATTAAACAATGAGAACACATGGACACAGGAAGGGGAACATCACACACCAGGGCCTGTTGTGGAATAGGGGGACGGGGGAGGGAATAGCATTAGGAGATATGCCTAATGTTAAATGACGAGTTAATGGGTGCAGCACACCAACATGGCACATGTATACATATGTAACAAACCTGCACGTTGTGCACATGTACCTTAAAACTTAAAGTATAATTAAAAAAAAAAGAAAAGGGGAAAAATCTAGGAAAGTCTAGTCGAGGGTAGCAAAAAATCCATCTGTGTCAACTGGCAGATAGAGTAAAAAAAATAAATCCAATAAAAAAATAACATTTTTATGTAATGAGACATGCCATTGAGTCAAGAGAGAAACTTTTTCCAAAGACGAAACAAGGAGAAATTTATTCCGTTTTGTAAGATTTGTTGAGTAGTATAGTGGACGGCATCGTTTAATAGCAATTTTACAAATAATAGAGACATTTTTATCATATATTTACATCAAATCTTGGTAAAAAGTTTTTTGAAGAGCTAAAGCCTGCCAATAACCATGTGAGCGAGCTGAGAAGCAGATTCTGCAGAGCTAGTTTAGTCTTGAGATGACTGCAGTCCTGGCTGACAGTTTGATTATAACCTCATGAGAGAACTTGAACCAGAGGCACTCAGCTAAGCCACTTTCAGATTCTTGACCCACAGAAACTGAGATAAAAAATGTTTGTTGTTTTAAGCTGCTTAGTTTTGGGGTAATTTTTTTATGTAGAAGAAGCTAACTATGTTATGATATTTTTTTTAGAATGGAGGTGCTTGGTGTTAAATGATAAATAGATACAGCTTTCTAAACCTTCAAATCTTATTTATGAAAGTACATTTATAGCCTTATATGTTTGAGGGTGTAAATATAGTTAGGAAAAATGTTGAAATTAAGTATTTTCACTAGCCATCCTAAATGGCATCTGGCCATTTGAATGAATGAAAAATAGCTAATAACAATAGATAACATGTATTGAACTCTTTCTCTGTTTCAGAAACTATCCTAAGCATGTTATGGACATTGTATCATTTAGTCCTTACAGAATTGTATTGAGTACTTCAGACTTTAAAACCAAATCACTTTGACTCCAATTTAGCCATTGTACTAACCATACTGTGATCAGGTAACTTCTGAGGTATAGAAATTCATGTGTTAAACATCTGAGGGATTCTTAAATTTTGATGGATGCTGGAGATATAGTGGTGAGCAAAGGGAGACAGAACCTCAGATCTCATGCCACTTACAACATTTTGAAGTACATAGACATTAATACAATAAATACATATTTACAGACTGAGGTCAGTACTATGAAGATGAGTTCTGAGATCCTTTAATAAAAGCAAGTTTCTGGTCCAGGCACAGTGGCTCATGCCTGTAATTCTAGCAATTTTGGAGGCTAAGGTGGGAGGATCGCCTGAGGCCAGGAGTTTGAGACCAGCCTGGGCAATATAGTGAGACCCTGCTGCTACACAAATTTAAAAAAAAACCCATTAGCTGGGAATGATGATGCACACCTCTAGTCCTAGCTACTCAGGAGGCTGAGGCAGGAGGATCGTTTGGGCCCAGGAGTTTAAGGCTACAAGTGAGCTATGATTGGGCCACTGTACTCCAGCCTGGGCAATAGAGTGAGACTCCATCTCAAAAAAAAAAACAAAAACCAGTAAAAGCAAGTTTTTATTGTTGAAGAGCAATGGTATGCTTACAAACTGAAAGAAGGGCAACAAGGTTATAGCACAGAAAACAAAAAGAAGAGTGGTGTGAGATTAGGCTGGAAAGATATGCATGGGCCAGACTAGCAAGGCCTTGGAAGGTGATGTTTTATTCTACTTCCTAAGGGAAGCTATCGAAAAGTTTTTAACAGATATTATGTTAAGGTTTTCTTTTTGGAAATATCATTGTAGTTAAAATATGGACATTGTAGACATGCCATAGTGGCTATGGGGAGACTCTTAGGAAGCTGTTGAAATAACCAAACAAAAAAGATGGACTAAGGTATTGGCAAAAGTTTTTTCAGAAATGGAGAGAAATAGACTTGAAAGATGGTTACAGGATAAAATCAACAGGACTTGGTGAGAAAATTGATTACCAGGGGGTTGGGGAGAAGGCATTGTTAAGAATGGTGAAAAGATTTCCTACTTGCCTATCTGTGTGTATGATGATGCTATTTATTAAGGGTACAGAACATTAATAGGAAGGGGGACACATTTGGTGGTAAAACTCATTAGTTAGCTTTTGCCGAATTTGAGATATGTTTGAGACATCCAAGTTTGGAATGTTGAGAAAGATGTACAGGTTGAACATCCCTAATCTGAAAATCCAAAATCAGAAATGCTCCAAAATCTGAAGCTTTTTGAATGCCTATAAGATGCTTGAAGGTCATGCTCAAAGGAAATGCTCATTTGGAGCATTTCAGATTTTGGATATTTGGATTAGCGTTGCTCAGCCAGTGTAATGGAATTATGTTATTCTAAATTCTGAAATATGAAACACTTCTGATCTCAAGCATTTCAGATCAGGATACTCAACCTGTATTAGATTGGATCACACAGAACTCCAGGCCAGAGATAAGAATGTTCAAGGAATGGGCAAATATATGGTAATTGATGTAATGGTTAAGAATGCCTTGTGAGAGGGAGTGAGAAGAGAAGAAGGCCTAGAAGTTGAGGAACTCCAATATTAACTGGCCAAACTGAAGAGGATAACCTACAAAGGATATAGTAGAAGGATTCTTTCACTCATTTATTTATTTATTCAACAGATATTTATCAAGTGCCTATTATATACCAGGCACAAATATGGAATCCAGGGATATAGCAGGGATAAGATAGTCAAGATCTTTGCTGTCATGGAACCTAAACTGTAGTAGAAAGTACGTAAATAAACATAAATACTTTAGATAGGTACAGGTACTAAAAGGAAATAGAAAAGGATTATGTGACTGAGGAAGGGAAGACTAGAAGAGGAACAAGGCTTTTGAGGAAAATCAAGAACTTCCTTCTTTTTAGCCATGCTACTTTTGAGGTATCTATATCCAAATCCAAGTGATTAATAGGGGCTGCTGCATGCTAGTAAATAGCACCACCATTCACCCAAATTGGCAGGCTCAAACTTCCAGCAGCTTTTTTCTTTCTTTCGTTCTTTCTTTCTCTTTCTTTTTCTTTCTTTCTTTTTCTTTCTTTCTTTCTTTCTCTTTCTTTCTTTCTTTCTTTTTCTTTCTTTCTTTCTTTCTTCTTTCTCCTCTCTCTTTCTCCTTTCTTCCTTCCTTCCTTCCTTGCTTCCTTCTTTCTCTTTTTCTTTTCCCTTCCTTCCTTCCTTCCCTCCCTCCACCCCTCCCTCCTTTCCTCCCTCTGTCCCCCTTTCCCTTTCCCTCCCCCTCCCCCTTCCCTTCCCCCTCCTTCTCCCCTTCCCTTCCCCTCCCCTCCCCTCTCCCTCCTCCTGCCTATTCTCTCCCCTCTCCCTCCCTCCCCCTTCCCTCCCCTCCCCTCTCCTGTTCTCTCCTCTCCTTTCCTTTCCTTTTTCTCTCTCTCTTTCTTATACTCCATATTCAGTCCATTAGCAGCTCCTGACTACTCCATCTTTAACATTTGTGCTCAATATGATTACTTCAATTATATGCACTATTTCTTTACTCTAAGCCACCATTTTCTCTTGCCTAGACTATTGGAGTAACCTCTGTTCTGATCTCCCAGCTTCCAATCTTGTCCCCATATAATCTGGTATTCACATTGCAGCCCGAATGATCTTTTAAAAACCAAAATTCTTTGATCATATGCTCCAGTTGTTTCCTATAATATCGACACAGTTTACCATGGCAATAATGCTCTATATGATCTAGTCACTTTTTTGACTGCATTTTGGAATGCTCTTTCCCTCTACTTCAGCTTCACTGGCCAAGACTCCGCTATTCCTTGAAGATATCAGTATTATTCCAGACTTCAGGGCATTTGCATTTGCTGTTTTTTCACTTGGAATGCTCTTCCCCCATATTTTCACTTAGCTTGCTCCCTCACTTCATACCAGTCTCTGTTCAGCTGTGATCTTATGAAAGAGGTTTTCCCTGACCACCCTATATAAATAAGCCTTCTTTGACACCTGCCTATCATTCTGTATTCCCTTAGCCCATTTTTATTTTTCTTCATTTCACTTATCATCTAATATGTTCTTGTTTATTATTTTTTCTTTCCCTCTAGAATGCAAAGACCTTGTCTGTCTTATTAATGTCTGCATCCCAACAGCCAAGAATAATGCCTGGTATATAATATGTGGGTTCCATAAACATTTTTTTTTAGTGAATGAATGAATGAATATATAAGTCTGGAGCTCAGAGGAGATTTCAGTGCTGAAATGTAAATTTAGTAGTCAATAGCATATAAATGGTCATTTACACTGTAGGACTGGATGAAATTATCAAGAGATAGTATGGAGCCAAACCAGAAAAGGGACCCAGATTCAAGCCTTTCGCTGATTTTTCATTTATAAATCAGATTAGAAGGACCCAACAAGTTAGGAGGAAAACCAGGAGAGACATATCATTGAAACTAAGAGAGGAAATGTTCTAAGGACACAGCTTTGTTGGATAATGCTTACAGGCTGGATTAAGATGTGTTTGTAAATTAACCATTGGATTTGCAAAGATGAAGATTGTTTTGTGGCTTTTAAGAGTTATTTCAGTGGAGTGGTTGGGGTAGAAATCAGACTGGAGTATGACAGGTGAGGTAGGGAGAGTGAAGTAGACTCCTTTGAGAAGTCTTGCTGTGAAGAACAGAGAATTGAATGATCATTGAACGGAGGAAATGTAATCAAGGAAGGACTTAAGTATTCCCCCAGAGTTTTCTGAATTTGCAATTCATTCATCTTGATTATCTCCCCTTGAGGTCTAGCTGTCATCAGTTAACTGGAGGATTGATTCATAATCCCTTTTTGCAAGGTGGCAAAGCTTACCTTTCTCCTCAAACCTATCTACCAAAGTTCTCTTTCTTCTTTAATTTCATTAGAGTCCTTGGTAAATGATTCACATTTCTTTTTGTTATAACTCTTCAGTAAATTAAGCCTTTGCCTTTCTTGCTGATTTTACCGTATTATATAACTATCATAGATGATTTCAAATGTTAATAGTGATAGAAACTGTAATAATATAATACTAACATGTATTGATATTTACTATGTGGGGTCTTTTGAAGAAATTTACATTTTTTTAACTTAATATTCAAAACAACCATGGGAGGCAGGTGCTATTATTATCCTCAGTAGAGGATCTAAGGATCTGAGGTTCAGAGGGCTTAGGTAATTTCCTCAAGATCATATAGTTCATAAGTGGCTACAGGTATGATTGTAGAGCTTTTGCTGTTAGCCACCATGCTATTCTGTCTTTAAGTTAACAAAGTAAATGTTTCATCTTCTAATTATGTTAAACTAATATGCCTTTGGTGAATTGTTTTGGTAAAGTTAATACTTCTTTTTCTCCACTTTTATATCTGTTATGTGAATTTATGTCTTAGACTGGATTATTGGTAACTCTATTATTTTTACAATAATCAAATGTTAGGGCTAGATGGGACATTTAATTACATAATGAATGGAATAAAAATCTGCTAATCAGATAGATCTGTTTTCTAAACTGCATTTTTTCTCCTTTGTCTTTTTTGGCCTACCCTGTTGGCTGTGAACTTTATTTTAAAATTCATTTGTGCTTATAACAATAATAAGCACTATTTATTCCTTGAGTGGTTTTACAAACCTTACAAGGCTTACCATTTCCAGAGTGTCAGAGTAGCTATAGCAGGTTTACACTTAAATATACTCTTGGTTTTATGACATTCCATTTTGACAGTGATGAAGAGCATGCTTATAGGCATCGTTGAAAAGGAATGTTAGAACTGTTTATGTGATAGTTCTACAAGTTTCTTACATTTATCTATTATAGAAAGATCTATCATACATGCTTACTTTTCACAGAGTTTATAATATATGCATATGTTTTAATGGTTTGTTATAAATAATATGATTAGCTGGCAAAAGCTTTTAGCAATTTAAATTTTGGGGTTATTTTAAATTATGAATTTAAACAAGCTCTTTCATTTCAGGTGGTTGGCTAAACCCACTGTGGCTGATAGTGTTATATAAAGTTGTTTTCTAGTTTTGAAAAGCTAAAAGTTTATGTTTTTATGCTTTCTGTGAAAGTCACTAATACTTGTAACCTAATGAAAATGTTTCTACTGCTACAATTGTGGAGAAATTTTGAAAACCTAGATTTAGTCAGTATTTTTCATGCTAACATTGTAAAGAATGTCAGAGGCCATGGAGAGGATCTAAGGGAATCAGAGAAAAGGAAGAGGAAGTAACATTTTTAGAGTACATTTTATGTTCTAGGCAACTCAGTAATAGGGCAGTATATCATTTCATTCTCACAGAAGTCTTTCGAGGTATTATAATTTCCCTTTTACAGATGAGGAAACTGAGGTTGCAGAGGTTAATTATGTTGATAAAGATCATATAGATAAGTAGAACTAGGATTGAAATCTAGATCTACTTGATACTTAAGCTTCCTCTTACACTTGTTTTATGGAGTTGTTCTTGGGCCTTCTTAAACAGGTAATTATTCTATGTCATAGCAGAATTCTTGATAGAATTATGATATTTAAATTTTTATTTACTCAGCTATCATAAACATAAAAATACTATACTACTATATAAGCTTGCAGGTCTTTTGAATATAAAAACTAAACTGCATGTTGACTCATTTATCAGAGTTCTGTAGAATAATTAAAAGTAATTATAGGAGGTCTTTTTTAAGTGTATGTAGTCATTTGTATTATTTGAAAGCTTAGACAGCTTTTATAGCAGTTTGCTTCCAGACCATGCTCATTGATGCATTGAAGAGATACCCGTGAACCACCTTGTCTACTCCCATACAGCTGATTTATCTTTGTAGCAGTCCCTGAGTTAGAGAATCTTCCCTACTACCTCTGCTATAGTTTTCAGTAAATTGGGCAAGATCAAATGTTTCCTGGAGATAATTTCCTTAGCTCTTGTATTAGATCCCAACAGTAAATACATTATTGACTGATGTGAACACAGAAAGCATCTCAAACTTTTTGTTGATCAGAGCATAGCTCAGTTGTTTTAGGAATTCCAGATAAAATGACAGTAATGTATTGTGATTATTTCCTTCTTTTGAAATGAACTTGAATATACTTTTATGTTTATTTGTAAAATAACATTTCAAAGATCACATTGTGCTTATTTTTACAGTGGCCTCTGGCTGAAAGCAATAAAGTTCTGTCCTGGGTGGAACTAGGCTAGTTGCAGTTTCTCAAATTTCTTCAATGAGATGCTTTGCTTTTGTGAAAATAAGTCATATTGTCCACTGCCACCTTTGTTTACTTCTCCATTTTATCCCCTCTTGGTTACAGAAATTAGCTACTACAAATAAAATGCCAAGATTTTATAATTTTCTATGTTTAAATTTGCAAGTAAAAAGTTCTGTTGAAACATTTGTAAGATCAAACTAATGTGAGATAAATATGACTGATATTCAGAAGTTGATTAATCTAACTTTCAGTACTGTACCTATTACATAAAGTATGATTAATCTCTATGTGCAAGTATATAAACAAATTTTGAGTATAAAATCATAATCTAAAATTTTGTTTTATATTTAATGGAGTGTTCAAATACTTTGTAATAAAAACAATGGATGACTAAAATGATTGAATAAGTTATCAAATAGAGCTTTGTAAACTAGGGTTCATAGTTGCAAATAATAGAAATCAACTCTGGATATTTTAAGAACTAAAAAAAAAATTGAAACGTTACTGAGAAGCTTACAGAATCACTGAGAGGGTTGTAGAACTAGGCTCAATAAAAGGATCAGAATAGGAGAGGTTAGGCAGCAAATAGGACCACAACCAAAATCACAGCACATCAGTCTGGTGAATACATGCATGGCTACCACCAAAAATGAACACTCACTTGCCCCTCACGTTAGCCAATGAATGCTGTCTCTTCCACTGCTATCTAAGAACCTCGATGTTGCTACCATCAGTTTCCAGAATGGATTCTCTGATACTCCCCTCTGCATCATTATCTCCCAGTTTAAAGATGGGTGTTTCTGAGTAGCTGACCTAAGGTCACATACTAATACTGTAACTACAAGAATAGTTGGGAAAGTGAGGATTGGATATTTTCAGATTGTGTGGAGAACTAAGCTCTGTGGTCTATCAACACTCCTCAGGTAGGTAATTTCTAAGTGTAGGAAAGTTCAGATGTTGGGTGGCCAAAAATGTACAGATATCCACTACATTTCCTTGTGATAGCATCTAAGTTCTTTCCATTTCATTCTTTTATAAATTCTTTTAACATTATTGTTGCATAAGAGAAAAAGGCATAAATTATTTTAAAATTTTAGATTCAGAGACTTGGTTGGACACATGATATTACTCTGGATGTTCTTAGACGTTTCAGGCCATTTCAACCTTATTTTAGTTATTACTTTAACAAGTTTCTGCAAAGTTGTGGTTGTATTAATAGCAAACATACTAATAGTGCTATTTGAGCATTATCAGATATCATAAACATAGTATTCTATCCCTTCTTCTGAAAGATATATCAACATTTCCCTAGATATATCCTTATCTTTGTACTCACTTTGGAGAATGAGCTCTAAAAGTATAATGGAAGGAACAAAAACTTTAGAGCCAGATTTGGGATCAGATGTGACCTCTGTCACTCTGTCATCATCATTTGGTATCTAACATTAGCAGTTATTCTCATTTTAGATATGATAAAACTGAATCATAGAGAGGTTAAGTAGCTCAAGACTTTTAAATTAAACATGAACGATTAAACATTAAAAAGTATCCAGAAAAATTAACTTACTTTTTTTCTAAATGTAGTATAAATATTTTTAGTGCATCTCAAGTATGCAGTGACTTAGATACCCATATTCCAATTACAGATGTCTAATTTTTTAACTTACATACAGGAACAGGTAATCATGTTAGATCAGTTTGTCTCAGTTCCTTGTGTTTTATGTTTAGAATGTTGGGGATATTTTGTTCATATTCTAAATAACTATTTGTTATACCCTTCCACCATCATTTAATATGTTAAAGTTTTAAAGCATTTTACTTTGATTTTTTTTTTTTTTTTTTTTTGAGACAGAGTCTTGCTCTGTTGCCCAGGCTGGAGTGCAGTGGCACTATCTCGGCTCACTGCAAGTTCCGCGTCCCGAGTTCACGCCATTCTCCTGCCTCAGCCTCCCGAGTAGCTGGGACTGCAGGTGCCCGCCACCACACCCGGCTACTTTTTTGTATTTTTAGTAGAGACGGGGTTTCATCGTGTTAGCCAGGATGGTCTCGATCTCCTGACCTCGTGATCTGCCCACTTCAGCCTCCCAAAGTGCTGAGATTACAGGTGTGAGCCACCACGCCTGGCCTTTACTTTGATTTTTTAACCTTACAACACCCCTTGTACTTGTATAATGTCATTTTTACAGATGTGGGAAATTAGGAATATAGATTAAAAATGACATAGTTATAAGGCTATAGTTTAGTTCTCACAGAGAAACTCAGTCATATAAGTTAAGCGTTTTTGTTCCCAAATGATAGTCATAGTAGTAAAAGAAATTTTTAAATTTCACTTATTTATTCAGAAAGTGCTTACTGAGCGCCTAGTGTGTTCTGTGCACTGACTTAAGTGCTGGAGATACCTAAGTAAATCAGACGATTTCTGCTGTCATGGAGCTTATACACTTATAGAGGGAAGTAGAAAATAAATGTAAAAAATATTTTCACCTTTTGATAAGTAAGTGCTGTGGAGGAAAATTAAGCAAGGAAGGGTAAAGGGGAATTCTAGGGGTTAGGAAAGGGGAGTTATAATTTTAAACAGAATTATTGAGGAAGACATCACTAGGAAGGTGACATCTGAGCAACAAAAGACCTAAAGGAGGTATGGGAAGGAGACATGCGGATGTCTTGGAGAAGAACATTATAGGTAGAGAGAAGAGCGAAAGTCCAAGGCCCTGAGAATGCAGCATGTCTGACACGTTCAAGGTGAGGCAAGGTGCAGGTGGGGGGCAGTATGTTGAAAGCAAGGTAAGCAAAGGGAAGAGTAAAAGGAAATGAGATGAAAATAATGAAAAAGCATACGAAAGCAAGTGATTTTTTCTTGGGTCTAGATTTCATACTGGTACCTAACTTTGCTTAATTTTTCTGTTGTTAATAGGAGCTGTTAATGCCCAGTCAATATATCAGAGAATGGAGTTTGAGCAACTATAGTTTAATGAGGCAATTAAATTGAGAACCGTGGCTTTAGACTAGTTCAATATGAAGAACAGATTAAATGTACTCTGAGGAACTGCCTTTTAATTATAGATTTTTGAGATTCATTTTAGTGTCATTTTTTTCATGGTTAAACAACATGGAGAGGAAAGTAATGATCTTATAAAATAGAAGTGTTCAAGATAACTTACTAGGATGGATCATCTGTGTTTGCCAAATCAAACAGGGCAATTTAAAATACAGTTGTTCCTTGGTATACATGGGAGATTGGTTCCAGGACTCTTGAGTATATCCAAATCTGCACATACTCAGGTCCTACATTAGACCCTGCAGAACCCACGTATACAAGTTTCACATCCTGAACTTACTGTATTTTCAGCCCGTGTTTGGTTGAAGAAAAGCCATGTATATAAGTGGACTTCTACAGTTCAAACCTGTGTTGTTCAAGAGTCAACTGTGTATCAGGTTAGCATATAAACCTGTTTTGTTTTGCCTACCATAAAACACTGATCTTTAGATTGATACAATTGCTGTTTTATTCATTGGTTCATATACACCTAATGAGATTGCTATTTTAATTTTCATTGTTAAGACACACTTAAATTCCTAATACTTAAAAACGTATATGAAAAATTTATTTTCACAAATCGATATACCTATTTTTTGAACAGTAGTATGCATATTGCTTTACAAAATGACAGTGTAAAAATGGCATTCAGATTCCCGTTTCTAAGATGCTTGAACATTTTGATTTTTACTCATTAGAAGTTTAATTGTTATTAGTCAACAAGGAGAAACAATGAGGAACTTACAGAGGAGTGTCAGTTGTATTGAAAGATTAGGAGTGAATGTTTTATCTTGTAAAAAGATATCTCAGCCCCTAGGATGGTCTACAGAAATGACAATAAGCTCCGATTCTTATTTTAATTTTTTATTTTTTCTGTTTCTCTGTCTCCTGTCTTTTCCTGCGCATTCTCTCTTTTACTCCCAACCTCTCTTGTTTATTTCTTTGGATCCGTCAAAGTTGGAAATTGAACAGTATTTCTGATATATTATGTAGTATGAGTTCTGAAATCTTGGTGAATTAAATTCATGAATGCTACCATAGTGATTTTATTAAGGTGTGGCTTTTGATTACATGTTCTTCAAGCTAGGGTTATGGGAGTCAGCTAGTAGGTAGGCTTAGTTTGATTGTCCTACTTTAACATTTGTTTTTCCTTCTTGAAATAACTTTCATGAAGTTAGATACAGGCTTTTGTACAGGATCATTTTGTGGGAAATGGTGGGTCTGAAAAGTAAGCCATTGGTATTGATAAAAGCAGAGAGAAAATGAAAAAGAAAAAAGGTAGGAAAGATGTGCCTTTTAGCCAATAAATAGAAGTTTAAAAGACATGAAAGAATGAGATGTAATTTTTTTAGGAGCTCTAATTTAGCCATGAACACAGCCACCATTACTCTGCAGAAAGGGAAAAAAAGGGGATTCTGTTTCAGAATTTGCTGTATTAAAAACTATTTGAGAAAGAGAACACTTTATTGAAAATTGAAAATTATTGGCTAACATTCAGTGTGAGGGTATGTCGAAGTACCATCCGACTAAAAACAAATTAAGTGTAGTCGTGAGTCAAACATATTGTTTCTTCCAAAATTTAAATTAAATTAGTTTCATATGAGTGTTTTCTTTTTTTCTTGAGACAGGGTCTTGATCTGCTGCCCAGGCTGGAGTGCAGTGGCATGATCACAGCTCACTGTAGCTTTGGCCTCCCAGGCTCAAGTGATCCTCCCACTTCAGCCTCCTGAGTAGCTGTTACTACAGGCATATGCCACTACACTTGGCTAATTTTTAATTTTTTTGTACAATTGGGGGTCCCACTGTGTTTCCCAGGCTGGTCTGGAACTCCTGGGCTCAAGCGCCTCCAGCCTCCAGCTCCCAAAGTGCTGGGTTTACAGGCATGAGCCACTGCACCCAGCCAATTTTATGTGTTGATAACAATCTTGCTGAACTTACTGTTTCTTATAACTTATAGGTTGTTCTTCTTGGGATTACCAAGTAAATGTCCTTTGCAGTAGTGACACTTTTTCTTTCTTTTCAATCTAAGATTTTGCTTTTTTCTCTGATTGTGTAAAGTTAGCACTTCTAAAACAATACTCTCAGCATGTATTGCATGATTACATACTTTTTCTTCTTATATTAATAATATGAAGTATATTAATTGAATGCTCAATATTGAATTAATCTTGAACTTCTGGAATATGTCATATAATTCTATTCTTTTAAATGAGTTATTATGAAAAATTTTAACCATACAGAAAAGTTGAAATTTATTCGGTGGAAATCTGTATATCCTCTGTCTTAATTTAACAATTAACATTTTGCTATATCTCCTCTTTTTTTTTGTTAGACCACTTGAAGCTGTTTTTGAGAATACAGATTCCAATACAACCACAAAAACCTTACCACATCTAAGAAAATTAATACTGATTCTATCTTATGTAATATCTGTTCTTTATTTAAGTTTCCCGAAATATCCCCAAAATATCTTTTATAGCTTTCATTTTTTTCCAAACCAGGCAAGGTTTATACATTCATTGCATGCGGTTATGTCTCTTTCATCTCTTTCAATCTAGAATAGCCCACCCCATCATCTTTTCTTCTGTTGGACAGTTATACTAATATGCAGAGATGATGTCATATTTTTCACTACAGAAAAAGCACTCATAAATATGTATAAATGTATATCGATCATAATGCTTGAGAAGGAATGGGCATTGGACCCATACCTCTGCACTCTGGCTTGAAGGAAGATGAAAAGTTTCTAGATACAACAGAGGAAATGATAATATAGAGAAGTCCAGGAGGTACAAAGTCTGTGTGACAAAGATAGAAAGTAGAGGAATGTGATACAAAGGGAGAAATAAAACCTTTGAATCTTGGAGCTATATAATAAATGTTAAGATTCTTCATACTGAGGTTGTGAAGCAGGACAATAGTGAAGAGGAATACTGAAGAAATTATAGGAGTTTTAAAAATGATTACAAGATATATCCTATATAGAGAGAATATTACAATTTCTGGTGAAAACTATCAAATATAAGGGGATATTCTCCAGAACGAAAAGGTGAAAGAAAACACCTCATTGGCACTATGTAGAAGAAATGGGTTGTAATTATCCACCACTGCACCTGCCAGCCACGAATGGCTGTTTAAACTTCAGTTAAACTAGTTAAAATTACATAAAATAAAAAATCTAGTCCCTCAGTCACACTGACCACATTTCAAGTGCTCAATAGCTATACATAGCTAGTGGCTCCATATTAGAGTGTTTTCATCATCGAAAAAAGTTTAACTGGCCATCACTGCAATAGATTCAATATAAAGGTATGCTGGCTTTTAGGGTACACATTCAAGGTTTGGTAGGGAGCCTATTAAAACTGATCAAAATCCTTGATTGTTATTTAGTCTGGATGAATCACATAGGGGATAATGACAGTGAGGAAGAGAACACGGAAGCATATTTAGAGTCCTCACAAAAAATCTGGATGTGCTGGGAATAATAGGTTGTGTGTGTGTGTGTGTGTGTGTGTGTGTGTGTGTGTGACTCCTTATTGTTGATTGACACAGTGGAACAATGAAGGAAGATAGTAGAAGACAAGTAATCTAGTTTTACCTGTGCTCTTCTCTCTTGCAAGGTAGAAGGCTAAGCCTTTGATCCAGGCTGGAGGCCCTGAAACTGGGATTGATAGGATGGGCTTATTACTGTGGCCCTGAACTGAAGCCCAGTTGAGGGCGGCCTGGGAAGCAAGGCATGAACACAGCCTTGATAAACAAAATGAGTAAAGGATGCACAGTTAAGAGCCAAAAAGAGAATAGCCTGAACGTGTAGAAGGAAACTAAAGCTACAAGGGAGTTAAAAGCTGGTTGAAGTGAGTGTTTTGGGGGTTTTCTGTGAATTAATAATTTTGAAGAGGAAACAGCCCTGGTGCGTGGGGCACATTTTCGTAGAGAACACAAAGAAAAGAAAACCTCTTTGGTACATATTTTCTTTCAGTATTTTTGGGCAAGGAGAATGATGTACTTTTTACTGACAAGAGTATAACTAAAGTTGCCATTAACAGAAATAAAGCCCAGTTATCATAAAGGAACTGAAGTCCAAGATTAAAGAAGATTATAGAAAAGTACTTGATTGATTGTTCATAAACATATTCAAATATCCCAATACAGATGAATTTTGTCCTAGGGTATTGAGATAACTTACAAAGGAGATTAGCAAACAGACTATATATTTTTTTAAGACACTATAGAGAAGGAGAGAGGTTCTGGAATACTGGAGATAGATACATGCCATTCTGATTTTCAGAAGGGAGAAATGAAGGTTCCACAAACAATAAATCAATTGGTTTGACATTGACCTTAGAAAAGATTAAAGGGGTGGGTTTTGATCATCTGAGAGAGATAGTAGTGGTCACTAAGAAAAGATTAAAGAAGTGGGTTCTGAACACCCAAGAGAGGTAGTAGTGGTCATTAGGAGTTAGTATGGGCTCATGGTGCATAATTGTGACAGATTGACTTTTCAAGTCCACCATGTACTAGCTGTGCAACATTGAGTAATTTGCTTCATCTATCTGGGTCTCAGCTTTCTTATCTTTAAAATGAAAATAAAAATAATATCTATTACATAGGCTCGTAATAAAGAATAAATGAATTTACATTTGTAAAACATTTAGAACGAAATGTGATACATAAAAAGCACAATGTCAGTGATAGATAAATAGCTAGAGAGAGACCAACAGGCTGCCTTCTTTTTTTTTTTTTGAGATGGAATCTCGCTCTTTCACCCAGGCTGGACTGCAGTGGTGCAATCTTGGCTCACTGCAATCTCGGCCTCCCGGGTTCACGCTGTTCTCCTGCCTCAGCCTCCTGAGTAGCTGGGACTACAGGCAGGCGCCCTGCCACTATGCCCAGCTAATTTTTTGTGTTTTTAGTAGAGACAGGGTTTCACTGTGTTAGCCAGGATGGTCTCGATCTTCTGACCTCGTGATCCGCCAGCCTTGGCCTCCCAAAGTGCTGGGATTACAGGCGTGAGCCACTGCATCCGGCCACAGGCTGCCTTCTTTAATCAAACTTGTAGCTCCGTGAAATGAAACAGCTAATGTGCAAAGATTGTAGCAGCTCTTCTTTAAAAAAATTGAGGTGAAATTTGCATAGCCTAAAATTAACCATTTTTTTTATTATTATACTTTAAGTTTTAGGGTACACATGCACAATGTGCAGGTTAGTTACATATGTATACATGTGCCATGCTGGTGTGCTGCACCCATTAACTCCTCATTTAGCATTAGTTATATCTCCTAATGCTATCCCTTCCCCCCTCCCCCCACCCCACAACAGTCCCCAGAGTGTGATGTTCCCCTTCCTGTGTCCATGTGTTCTCATTGTTCAATTCCCATCTATGAGTGAGAACATGCGGTGTTTGGTTTTTTGTCCTTGGGGTAGTTTACTGAGAATGATGATTTCCAATTTCATCCATGTGCCTGCAAAGGACATGAACTCATCATTTTTTAAGGCTGCATAGTATTCCATGGTGTATATGTGCCACATTTTCTTAATCCAGTCTATCATTGTTGAACATTTGGGTTGGTTCCAAGTCTTTGCTATTGTGAATAGGGCCACAATAAACATACGTGTGCATGTGTCTTTATAGCAGCATGATTTATAGTCCTTTGGGTATATACCCAGTAGTGGGATGGCTGGGTCAAATGGTATTTCTAGTTCTAGATCCCTGAGGAATCGCCACACTGACTTCCACAATGGTTGAACTAATTTATACTCCCACCAACAGTGTAAAAGTGTTCCTATTTCTACACATCCTCTGCAGCATCTGTTGTTTCCTGACTTTTTAGTGATCGCCATTCTAACTGGCGTGAGATGGTATCTCATTGTGGTTTTGATTTGCATTTCTCTAATGACCAGTGATGATGAGCTTTCTGTCATATGTCTGTTGGCTGCATAAATGTCTTCTTTTGAGAAGTGTCTGTTCATATCCTTTGCCCACTTTTTGATGGGTTGTTTTTTCTTGTAAATTTGTTTAAGTTCTTTGTAGATTCTGAATATTAGCCCTTTGTTAGATGGATAGATTGCAAAAATTTTCTCCCATTCTCTAGGTTGACTTTTCACTTCTTTTGCTGTGCAGAAGCTCTTGAGTTTAATTAGATCCCATTTGTCAATTTTGGCTTTTGTTGCCATTGCTTTTTGTATTTTAGTCATGAAGTCTTTGCCCATGCCTATGTCCTGAATGGTATTGCCTAGGTTTTCTTCTAGGGTTTTTATGGTTTTAGGTCTTACGCTTAAGTCTTTAATCCATCTTGAGTTAATTTTTGTATAAGGTGTAAGAAAGGGGTCCAGTTTCAGTTTTCTCCATATGGCTAGCCAGTTTTCCCAACACCATTTATTAAACAGGATATCCTTTCCCCATTGCTTGTTTTTGCCAGGTTTGTCAAAGACCAGATGGTTGCAGATATATGGTATTATTTCTGAGGCTCCTGCTCTGTTCCATTGGTCGATATCTCTGTTTTGGTACTAGTACCATGCTGTTTTGGTTACTGTAGCCTTGTAATATAGTTTGAAGTCAGGTAGTGTGATGCCTCCAGCTTTGTTCTTTTTGCTTAGGATTGACTTGGCTATGCAGGCCCTTTTTTGGGTTTCATGTGAAATTTAAAGTAGTTTTCTCTAATTCTGTGAAGAAAGTCAATGGTAGCTTGATGGGGATAGCACTGAATCTATAAATTACCTTGGACAGTATGGCCCTTTTCACAATATTGATTCTTCCTAACCATGAGCGTGGAATGTGTTTCCATTTGTTTGTGTCCTCTCTTATTTCCTTGAGCAGTGGTTTGTAGTTTTCCTTGAAGAGGTCCTTCACATCCCTTGTAAGTTGGATTCCTAGGTATTTTATTCTCTTTGTAACAATTGTGAATGGCAGTTCACTCATGATTTGGCTCTCTGTTTGCCTCTTATTGGTATATAGGAATCCTTGTGATTTTTGCACACTGACTTTGTATCCTGAGACTTGCAGAAGTTGCTTATCAGCTTAAGGAGATTTTGGGCTGAGATGATGGGTTTTTCTAGATATGGAATCATGTCATCTACAAACAGAGACAATTTGACTTCCTTTCTTCCTATTTGAATACCCTCTATTTCTTTCTCTTGCGTGATTGCCCTGGCCAGAACTTCCAATACTTTGTTGACTAGGAGTGCTGAGAGAGGGCATCCTTGTCTTGTGCTGGTTTTCAAATGGAATGCTTCCAGTTTTTGCCCATTCAGTATGATATTGGCTCTGGGTTTGTCATAAATAGCTCTTATTATTTTGAGATACGTTCCATCGACACCTAGCTCATTGAGAGTTTTTAGCATGAAGGGGTGTTGAATTTTGTCGAAGGCCTTTTGTGCATCTGTTGAGATAATCATGTGGTTTTTGTCATTGGTTCTGCTTATGTGATGGATTACATTTATTGATTTGTGTATGTTGAACTAGCCTTGCATCCCAGGGTTGAAGCTGGCTTGATTGTGGTGGATAAGCTTTTTGATGTCCTGCTGGATTCGGTTTGCCAGTATTTTATTGAGAATTTTTGCATCGATGTTCATTAGGTATATTGGCCAAATTTTCTTGTTTTGTTGTGTCTCTGCCAGGTTTTGGTATCTGGATGATGCTAAACTCATAAAATGAGTTAGGGAGGATTTCCTTTTTTTCTATTGATTGGAATAGTTTCAGAAGGAATGGCACCAACTCATCTTTGTATCTCTGGTAGAATTGGGCTGTGAATCTGTCTGGTCCTGGACTTTTTTTGGTTGGTAGGCTATTAATTACTGCTTCAATTTCAGAACTTGTTATTGGTCTATTCAAGGATTTGACTTCTTCCTGGTTTAGACTTGGGAGGGTGTATGTGTCCGGGAATTTATCCATTTCTTCTAGATTTTCTAGTTTATTTGCATAGAGATGTTTATAGTACTCTCTGATGGTAGTTTGTATTTCCATGGGATCAGGGGTGATATCCCCTGTATCATTTTTTATTGAGTCTATTTGATTCTTCTCTCTTTTCATCTTTATTAGTCTGGCTAGCGGTCTGTCTATTTTGGTAATGTTTTCAAAAAACCAGCTCCTGGATTCACTGATTTTTTGAAAGATTTTTTGTGTCTCTATCTCCTTCAGTTCTGCTCTGATCTTAGTTATTTCTGGTCTTCTGCTAGCATTTGAATTTGTTTGCTCTTGCTTCTCTAGTACTTTTAATTGTGATGTTAGTGCATCGATTGTAGATCTTTTCTGCTTTCTCTTGTAGGCATTTAGTCTGTAAATTCCTCTCTAAACACTGCTTTGGTTCTGTGCCAGAGATTCTGATATGTAGTGTCTTTGTTCTCATTGGTTTCAAAGAATTTATTCATTTCTGCCTTAATTTCCTTATTTACACAGTAGTCATTCAGGAGCAGGTTGTTCAGTTTCCATGTAGTTGTGCGGTTTTGAGTGAGTTTCTTAATCCTAAGTTCTAATTTGATTGCACTGTGGCCTGAGAAACTGTTTGTTATGATTTCCATTCTTATTCATTTTCTGCAGAGTGTTTTACTTCCAATTATATGGTCAATTTTAGAATAAATGCGATGTGGTGCTGAGAAGAATGTATATTCCGTTGATTTGGGGTGGGGAGTTCTGTAGATGTGTATTAGGTCTGCTTGGTCCAGAGCTGAGTTCAAGTCTTGAATTTCCTTGTTGATTTTCTATCGTATTGATCTGTCTAATATTGTCAGTGGGGTGTTACAGTCTCCCACTATTACTGTGTCGGAGTCTAAGTCTCTTTGTAGGCCTCTAAGACTTGGTATTATGAATCTGGGTGCTCGTGTATTGGCTGCATATATATTTAGGATAGTTAGCTCTTTTTGTTGCATTGATCTGTTTACCATTATGTAATGCCCTTCTTTGTGTCTTTTGAGCTTTGTTGGTTTAAAGTCCGTTTTATCAGAGACTAGGATTGCATTTTTTTTGCTTTCCATTTGCTTGGTAAATATTCTGCTATCTTTTTTTGAGCCTATGTGTTTTTGCATATGAGATGGGTCTCCTGAATACAGCACATCAATGGGTCTTGACTCTTTATTCAATTTGCCAGTCCATGTCTTTTACTTGGGGCATTTAGCCCATTTACATTTAAGGTTAATATTGTTAAGTGTGAATTTGATCCTGTCATTATGATGCTAGCTGGTTGTTTTGCCTGTTAGTTGATGCAGTTTCTTCATAGTGTCGATGGTCTTTACAATTTGGTATGTTTTTGCAGTGGCTGGTACTGGTTGTTCCTTTCCATGTTTAGTGCTTCCTTTAGGAGCTCTTGTAAGGCAGGCCTGGTGATGACAAAATCTCTCAGCATTTGCTTGTCTGTAAAGGATTTTATTTTTCCTTTGTTTATCAAGCTTTAGTTTGACTGGATATGAAATTCTGAGTTGAAAATTCTTTTCTTTAAGAATGTTGAATATTGGCCCCTACTTTCTTCTGGCTTGTAGAGTTTCTGCCGAGAGATCCGCTGTTAGTCTGATGGGCTTCCCTTTGTGAGTAACCCAACCTTTCTCTCTGGCTGCCTTATCATTTTTTCCTTCATTTCAGCCTTGGTGAATCTGACAATTATGTGTCTTGGGGTTGTGCTTCTTGAGGAGTATCTTTGTGGTGTTCTCTGTATTTCCTGAATTTGAATGTTGGCCTGCCTTATTAGGTTCAGGAAGTTCTCCTGGATAATATCCTGAAGAGTGTTTTCCAACTTGGTTCCATTCTCCCTGTCACTTTCAGGTGCACAAATCAAACGCAATTTGGTCTTTTCACATAGTCCCATATTTCTTGGAGGCTTTGTTCGTTCCTTTTCATTCTGTTTTCTCTAATCTTCTTGCTTTATTTCATCAAGTTGATCTTCAATCTCTGATATCCTTTCTTCCACTTGATGAGTTCAGCTATCGATACTTGTGTATGCTTCATGAAGTTCTTGTGCTGTGTTTTTCAGCTCCACCAGATCATTTATGTTCTTCTCTAAACTGGTTATTCTAGTTAGCAATTCATCTAACCTTTTTTCTAGGTTCTTAGCTTCCTTGCTTTGGGTTAGGACATGCTCCTTTAGCTCAGAATCGTTTGTTATTACCCACCTTCTGAAGCCTACTTCTGTCTGTCAAACTCATTCTCCGTCCAATTTTGTTCCCTTGCTGGTGAGGAGTTGTGATCCTTTAGAGGAGAAGAGGCGTTGTGTTTTTTGGAATTTTCAGCCTTTTTGTGCTGGTTTCTCCCCATCTTTGTGGATTTATCTACCTTTGGTCTTTAATGTTGGTGACCTCTGGATGGGGTCTTTGAGTGGACATGCGATTTCTTTCTGCTTGTTAGTTTTCCTTCTGACAGTCAGGCCCCTATGCTGCAGGTCTGCTGGAGTTTGCTGGAGGTCCACTCCAGACCCTGTTTGCCTGAATGTCACCAGGAGAGGCTGCAGAACAGTAAAGATTGCTGACTGTTCCTTCCTCTGGAAGCTTTGTCCCAGAGGGGCTCTCACTAGATGCCAGCCAGAGCTCTCCTGTATGAGGTGTCTGTCAACTCCTGCTGAGAGATTTCTCCGAGTCAGGAGGCACGGGGGTCAGGGACCCACTTGAGGAGGCAGTCTGTCCCTTAGCAGAGCTTGAGCGCTGTGTTGGGAGATCTGCTGTTCTCTTCAGACCTGGCAGACAGGAACGTTTGTTTGCTGAAGTTGCACCCACAGCTGCCCCTTCCCCCAGGTGGTCCCAGGGAGATGGGAGTTGTATCTCTAAGCCCCTGACTGGGGCTGCTGCCTTTATTTCAGAGATACCCTGCCCAGAGAGGTGGAATCTAGAGAGGAAGTCTGGCTATAGTGGCTTTGCCAAGATGAAGTGGGCTCCACCCAGTTTGAACTTCCCAGCAGCTTTATTTATGCTGTGAGGGGAAAACCGCCTACTCAAGTCTCAGTAATGGCAGACACCCCTTCCCCCACCAAGTTGGAGCATCACAGGTTGACTTCAGACTGCTGTGCTGGCAGCAAGAATTTCAAGCCAATGGATCCCAGCTTGTTGGGCTCCATCAGGGTGGGATCCACTGAGCTAGACCACTGGGCTCCCTGGCTTCAACTCCCTTTCCAGGGTAGTGAACAGTTTTGTCTTGCTGGTGTTCCATGTGCCACTGGGGTATGAAAAGAAACTCCTGCAGCTAGCTCGGTGTCTGCCCAAATGGCTGCCCAGTTTTGTGCTTGAAACCCAGGACCCTGGTGGCGTAGGTACCAGAGGGATTTTCCTGGTCTGCAGGTTGCAAAGACTGTGGGAAATGCGTACTATCTGGGCCGCAATGCACCATTCCTCACGGCACAGTCCCTCATGGCTTCCCTTGGCTAGGGGAGGGAGTTCCTCAACCCCTTGCACTTCCTGGGTGAGGAGATGCCCCACCCTGCATCTGCTCGCCCTCTGTGGGCTGGACCCACTGTCTAACCAGTCCCATTGAGATGAGCTGGGTACCTCAGTTGGAAATACAGAAATCACTCACCTTCTGCATTGATCTCTCTGGGAGCTGCAGACCAGAGCTGTTGCTATTCGACCATCTTGCCAGCCACTATCAAAGAGATTAGTTTTATATTGTTGAGTGTTCTTAGCACCTTTGTTGAAAATCAGTTGACCACAGATATATAGGTTTATTTCTCAATTCTCAGTTTTATTCCATTGATCTACATGTCTGTCTTTATGCCATTACCATGATGTTTTGATTACTGTAGCTTTTATAATCAGTTATGCAACCAGCTATGTGAGTCTTATACTGTTTCTTTTTTCCTTTCTATTCTTTTTTCTTTGATTTGGTTATTCAATGTTCTTAAAATTCTGTATGAATTGTAGGATCAGTTTTTTCATTTCTGCAAAAAAAGTCATTGGGATTTTGATAGGAATTGCATTGCATTTTTAGTTTGCTTTGGGTGATATTGCCATTTTCACAATATTGTCTTCCAAGTCCATGAATGTGAATGTTTTTCCATTTAGTTAGGTCTTCTTTACTTTCTTTCAGCAATGTTTTGTAGTTTTCATTGTCAAAGTTTTGTACTGCCTTGATTAAGTTTATTACCAAGTATTTTATTATTTTTGATGCCATTGTAAATTCTGTTGTAAAGATGGATTATTTCATCTATATCTCCCATCTCAGTTCTTTCTCTTAAGATCCCAATGTGCATACACAGAGAATAAAATAAATTGAGTAGTAGATTTAGTTCTAAGCATCCTGAAAGGCTGGCAAAAAGGAAATGAGATAGGGAAGCAGGGTCAGTGTATGTGACTTTCTAATAAAAGAGAAGAACTTTTTTCTGGAACTCAACTCTAGGAGAAAATTATTATGAGAACTTTTGCATTAGGGACATGAAATAACATTATAAGGATAATTTTAATGTTTTATAGGAAACATATTTTTAATATTGACAATGAATAAAAGCCCAGGGGATAGGGTTATAATTTAGCTCAGTCATATAGTATAATTGTTCTTTAAGTGTTTATCCTTTTTGTTAATTTATAAGCTCTGTGAAAATAGCTTTTTTGTTTTTTTGTTTTTATTTTATAGAGACAGGGTCTCTCTATGTTGCCCAGGCTGGTCTTGAACTCCTGAGATCAAGCGATCCTCCCACCTCGGCCTCCCAAAGCACTGGGATTATAGGCGTGAGCCACTGCACCAGCCGAAGGTAGCTTTTTTGGAGGGAGACTGTGTTTTGTTCTTTTCACATTCCCTAGAGCAAGTGCCTCACAAGCTGTTTACAAAAATAATTTTTTTCTGAATTCTGTAATTAAATATCTGTGAAATTTATAAACTGACTTTGAAATTTTAGTGGTTCTTTAAAATGTTATTTCTTGATTCAGAGAAAGAATACTGTATCTGGATAATCACTTATTTTTAAGGTTTTGGTTTTTTGCTTGAGTCTTGTTTGTGATCTAACTATATTGATTAAGTTATTATACATACACACACACAGCAGATCTAATATGGCATTTTTTTTTAACCACGTACTTTTCTTGTTCCTGTTGTGGATCAACCATTATTTCTTTGTATTTAGCTACATAAAAAAAACTATCAAGAAATATATAAAAATGTACTTTTAGAAGTATTGATTTCTGCTCACCATCATTTGTCAACTTTGATGTTAGACAGCTACTAGTTAGCTGGAATTCAGTGCCAAATGAAGTCAGAGGTGGATAGGAATCTTTTATTATGTATATTTTTTTTATTTTCCTTCTCCTTTTATTTTTCCTCCTTTCCTCGCTATACTTTTTCCCTTCACCATTTTTTTTCCACCCTCCCTGCCTGTGCCCATCTAAAGTACATACAAGGATTGTTTAGCCTGTTTGACAGGAAAAGGAAAAGAATTAATGTATATTGGCTGGATTCTCTTGGAATTTTGTGAGATCAGGGACCTGAATCTGAATCAGGTAACATCCATGATAGTTATTCCACATCCCCATTTGCTATCTGATTCAGATTCAGGTCCCTAATAACATAGCATCCATGATAGTTATTCCATATCCCCATGTTCTATGTTATGTTGTCCAGCTCTTCCCTTCAGGACTGAAAGATTTATTTCCCCAGCTGCTAGGAAGATTGTCCACTGACAGGTCTCATCAGGAAGCCCTCTCATAAAATTGTTGAAATGTCTAACGAGAGCCTGTCTTGGCCAGGTGCCACCGCACTCATGCCTGTAATCCCCTCACTTTGGGAGGCCAAGGCGGATGGATCACTTAAGGTCAGGAGTTCGTGACCAGCCTGGCCAACATGGTGAAACCCTGTCTCTACTAAAAATACAAAAATTAGCTGGGCGTGGTGGCATTCACCTGCAATTCCAGCTACTCGGGAGGCTGAGGCACAAGAACCCAGGAGGCGGAGGTTGCAGTGAGCCGAGATCGCACCAGTGCACTCCAGCCTGGGTGATGGAGTGACACTCTATCTCAAAATAAAATAAAATAAAAAATAATAAAATAAAGCTGTCTTTAAAAAGCTAATGCCCTTTTTCTAGGGCAGCTCACATTAAATGAGTTGTTGATTTGATGCTGTAAAGGCTTCACCCTCTCTCAACCCAATTTAGGACAACTCTGAAGGGATGTCTTAGTTGCCCTTTTCTAGTTACTAGACTAGGATGTTTTAAAAGCTGAGGATATAAACTTACCTAAATGTTTTTGTATTCTTTTGCTAATGAGAAATAATCTTTCACTGGTGTCATGTTTTGAGATATTTGAAAGCTATCCTTAGGCTCATTTAGCTGTCACTTAAAATATTAAGCATTACATAAGGTTAAAAAAATGGAATAGTGGCAAGAGTATGACCCAGAAAGCATGAGTGAGGCTGAAAAGAATACGAGGATCCTTTCGATGGTAATTTTGGAAGATCCTATTTGAAATAGTGATCTTAATTATGTAGAATTTCATTTCCATCTCTATGGCTTTAGTCACTGTTACAGGACATTTTTGCATCACTATAAAGGAATACCTGAGACTGGTAATTTATAAAGAAAAGAGGTTTAGTTGGCTCATAGTTCTTCAGGCTGTACAGGAAGTGTGGTGCCAGCATCTGCTCCTGGCGAGTGCCTCAGTAAGCTTACAACCATGGTGGAAGGCAAAGGCGGAGGAGGTGTGTCATGTGGCGAGAGCCAGAGCAAGGGTTGGGGGAGGTGCCATGCTCTTTTAAACAACACAATCTTTAAAACAACATAATCTTTTAAACAACACAGTCATCACCAAGGGGATGATGCTAACCCATTCATGAAGGATCCAGCCCCATGATCTAGTCACCTCCCAGCAGGCCCCACCTTCAACTTTGGGAATCACATTTCAGCATGAGATTTGGAGGGATAAACATCCAAACCATATCAGTCACTCTGTTTTGTTTCAGAGTGAATGATACTTACAGAATCATAGTATTGTAAAGCCCTTTGATTTGCCACTTTTGACTAGACTTACACAACATAACACAAATATCAAAGCCTCAACATTGTAAAAAATAATATAACATGAAAGTGAGTGAGTACTAGGAAGAGTAAGTGCTGTCATGTCTTTCTCCCATAGAGAAGACAGTCAGAAGATAGCCTAAACAGAATCTGTTATTCATTGTGGTTGACTCCAGGGGATAGGGACAAAGGGAAGTGTATAGTTTTCATTTTAAGCCTTTATGTGCTGTATAAAGTTTTTAAAGAAGCATATCGTGTGCATAATCCCTAAAAAATCAAGCAACCAAAATGTAGTGGTGATGGTGGGATGTGTGTGTATTGGGGGAGGGAAGGAGGGGAGAATGGCTTAAAAATTAATTCATTTAAAATATTTCTTATTTTTTAACTTCCATATTTTGAATCAAATGATTTGCAAAAATAATGGATTGTTTTATAAACGCATGTAATATACATATTTAAGTAGCAGGTGTTTCATAAATACCTTGTTATAGAAGTGCACACATTTCTGTGTTTCAGAATTCAAAAGCCCCTTTGAAGAAATAGTCACTATTTGACTTACCACATACGTAATGACAAGAAATTTACAAGTATAATTAGATTTTTAGTGATTAAATTGTGCATATAATAATTTTACCAACATAGTATAGCATTTCCTTTAGCATTTATTATATTGTAAATGAGTGTTATAAGCGAGTTATAACCTAAATTCTTTAATGTAACCTAGTTCTTTAACATAATCTAAATGGTTTAACATAGGCATAGGCCTATAATATTAGTAAGAATAGATCATATGGTTTAGAATTATTTTAAAATGTTGAGGATTACTTCAGATCTTATTACTGTAATTCCCTATTTGTGATGGGTAGCCGTTCTGTGACCTATTAATTGTTCTCTTGGATATGTAGCTGTTTATGTTTCAGATTGGCTGCAGCTGTTTTGATTTGAGGCAGATGGCCTGAAGAAGCAGCATTCATAAAT
The DNA here is from genome assembly GCF_000001405.40 of Homo sapiens. Taxonomy (NCBI): domain Eukaryota; kingdom Metazoa; phylum Chordata; class Mammalia; order Primates; family Hominidae; genus Homo; species Homo sapiens. The sequence continues at coordinate 14,748,356 of NC_000011.10, forward strand.
TAAATCACAATTTTTTTTCTATGTATTTTTAAATCATTCTCAGAAACCTGAAGTCTTTTCAGTACAGAGTTAATTTCAAATTCATAATATTCTTTGAATTTTCACATAATATATTAACTTGATTTTTGTATAACAATATTCTTTTCATTTTTGTGAAATACATAATTGCTAACTTATTTTAACATAGACATGAGCTAAAGAGACCCTAATTATATTTTTACACAAACCTTATACAATTATTTAAATTCTGACCCAAATAGCAGAATGGTTATTACACTGATTCTTTAATCATTTCAAAATAGGAACAATTATTTCCAATGGAATTCTCACTTTCTAACTTATTTAGTTCTCTTTTTCATTCATTATGGTTTTGGAAAGTATCTGAGACAGCTACATTTATTAACTACACTATAGTTAAGGTAAAAAGATAATGGTCTTTCTCGTCATTGTTGAAATACCCATACTAAAATGATACTATTAAAAAAAGAGCTAACTTCCTTTTAAGGAGTGGTCTATAGCCTTTCTCTTTTCTTTCTTTTTTTTTTTTTTTTGAGACAGAGTTTCGCTCTTTTGCCCAGGCTGGAGTGCAGTGGCGCAGTCTTGGCTCACTGCAGCTTCCGCCGCCTGGGTTCATGTGATTCTCATGCTTCAGCCTCCCAAGTAGCTGGGATTACAGGTATGTACCACCATGCCTGTCTAATTTTTGTCTTTTTAGTAGATTCGGGGTTTTGCCATGTTGCTCAGGCTGGTGTCAAACTCTTGGCCTCAAGTGATGCACCTGCCTCGGCTTCCCAAAGTGCTGGGATTACAAGCGTGAGCCATCCACGCCTGGCCAAGAACTTTCTATTTTTGTATAAAACTTTTTTTTTAAACATAGATTGGTACATATGTAAATGAAAAGTAATATTCATGTAGAAAGAGAAGTGAAGATCATCTAGTCTGGCCTTTCAGTGCTTGAATTTCCTTAAACACATTAACTAAATAGTAAGCTAGCTTATGCAGGTACTGATCCAATGATGAGTAACTCTATACCTCTGAAGATAATACATTCCATCTTTGGATAGCATTGACTAGTGAAAAGCAAATAGTTATACTGAATCAAAGTCAGCTTCCTTGTCTTTCTTTTTGTTTTTAACCTGTTGGCCCTAGATTCTTTGGGGCTACACAGAACGGTTTAAGCAGTCTTCCTTATGACAATCATAAAATATTTGAGGACAGCTTTTATGACTCCACAATCTCTCTTACCATTCCTGAAGTTTCTTCTCTAAATAAATACTTTTGGTTCCTTCAGCCATTCTTCATATGTCACAAAGGCCTTCTCTGTTATTCAGAATATACTGCAGATGGTCTCTACTAGGAGCAGAATCCATGAATAGGATTCAGGAAACCCATGGATTTTGATATTAGTCAGGGTTGTCCAGAAAAATAGAACCAATAGGAGGATATTTACACATGCACATCCTCCTATATCCCATAAATATATATATATTTATTTATATATATTTAAAATTTATATATTTATAGATTTAAAATAAATATATCCCATATATATATATATGTATCTTTGTGGAAGCTGAGAAGTCCCAAGATCTGCATTTAGCAAGCTGGAGACCTTGGAGAGCCAGTAGTGTAAGTTCCAATCTGAAAGCTGGTCAGCTTGAGACCCAAGAAGAGAGGATGTTTCAGTCCAGTTCTAAAGCTGGAAAACACCAGTGTTGTAGCTCAAGCTGTCAGGCAGGAAGAATTCCTCCTATTCAGCCTTTTGGTTCTATTTAATTGATTGAATGAGGTCCACCAGCAGTAGGGAAAGCAATCTGCTTTACTCAGTGTACTGCTTCAAATGTTAATCTCATCCAGAAATACCCTCCTAGATACATACAGAATAGAATAATGTTTGGCCAAATGTATGGGCACCTTGAAACTCAGTCAAGTTAACACATAAAATTAACTATCACAAATATGAAAAATTTGTATCCTTATATTTACTAACTTCTGAATGAGAGTTTATGATTATTTCAAATCATAAATTTGAAAATTTATGATTGTAAGCAACAGACCACTATAGCAAAACTGTGGCTTCACAACAGTAGAAATCACAGATAACTTTATATCCACTATAGTTGTTGCAGATATTTGGAAATATTGACATTCATTGGTTCTTAATGTGAATATTATATATAATTTCCTAATTATAAGAACATATATTATTGAATCATGTTTATTTTAATAATATTTATAATGTAGATATGATATAAATTTTATTGACTGATTGGTTTTCTCTGTTTTCTTATGCATTAAATTTTATGCTTTTAAGAATATTATTTTGAAAAGGATCCATAGGCTTTACTAGACTGCAAAAGGGGTCCATTGTTCAAGAAGTGGTTAAGAACCTTTGGTCTATACTTTTTCTAAAAGTGTAATTTTAGAAAGGAATACATTTTATGGGTGTGGCCCATTAACACTGACATAGGAGTAGAGATTATTATCTCCCTGCATCTACATAAAATAAACCAAGATCTCATTCATTTTTTTTAGGCAGCCAGACTGATCACACTAGTTGGAATTAGTCCATCTTTTGATTCTAGCCTGGTCTTTTCAGAATCACTCTGTTAGTGTGTTCCCTGTTCTACGTTTCTGTCATTTACAAATACAATAGGCATGTTGTCTATATCACAGATTACCAAACCTGGCTGCTCATCAGAATCATCTGAGGAGTTTTAAAAAATAGATTTTTAGTTCCTCCCTCACATTTAGTCAGAAACATTGTGCACCTGGTGATTATGCAAGCTGCCTGGCACTGTTCTGTGAATTCATATTTGGAAATCCCATTTTTTATATAATTTATGTCATTTATAGTAATATTTTTAAAAATGTTATAGAAGTTAGAATTTTGTAGTGTTGCACTTGCTAAGTCTTTCCAGGTTGACCTGCAGCACCCTGGAGGTTCCAATGATTATTACTTTATATCATTACTGTAATTCATTCTTTTCTGTTTTGAATCAGTTTGTTTCAAGAAATTGAGTGCATCTACCTAATTTCTCTGATACGCCATCTAATAATAAATCTTGGCAAAAAAGGAAATTGTCACTCATTTTTCTAGTGAGTTGATATAAACTTATACTAATCACTACCTCTTCACCTGATTTGTCATAAATTATTCCTTAAAACTTGTTTGTAATCAGTTGATATCAGCCGTATTGTTTTGGTTTAAGTTTCCCTAAAAGTCAAGCATGAAACAAGGACAGTAGTTTATTTGGGAAGTGATCCCACAAAGTGGGAATAAGGAAGTGGTCAAGAGTGAGACAGGGAAGAAGGAAATGCCAATATAAGACTATAGTATTGTAGTGGTAGTTTTGACAGCAGAAACTAGATTCTGCTGTGACATCCTGAAAAGTGTTCAGAAAGCTTCCTAGACTTTCTATCTGAAAGATAGGCAACGAGATTTATCTATCAGCTCTTGTTCTTTATTGGTCAAAGATTCCCTCCATCCCTTAACCTGGGAAAGTTAACTCACCCATATTTCCAGGCTGCCCTTGCTAACAGGCTGAGTGGGACATTGTAGTGCCAGTGAAAATCCTGGGACAGAAAGTGGAAAGATGGTGAATGCATCTTTGAAGTGGCAGTCTGTTAATGTGAGGTAAATCTTTTCAGGAAGGTTCACCACAAGTATGACAAAAAGTGGACTGAGGGACTGTGACATGGGTTATCAGTGGTACTTGCTACACTCATCTTCTGTATTCTAAGAAATCTACTTTTTTATTTTTATAAATCAATTACATTTGTTTGTTTCTAAGAGTCTTTAAAGGTTACCAATAACCTCATGTGCTAGTTCTCTCAGTATCCTGTGACTATAATTCATTCTGACTAAGAACTTGGAGTGACTTACCTGTCTTGGGCTTTAGTTCTGGCATTACAATGTTTGTTCAGACCTTTTCAGTTTCTGACAGAGAAAACTGGGACAATCTAGGAGTTAAAGAGTTTTACTTTCTCTTTAGTGGTATTATACTATCTTCTGAAATAAGGCTTTGTTGTTGTTGTTGTTCTATCTTGGTTTAATCTATCAAAGAAAAGAAAAAGAAAGAAAATTCCTTTTGTTGTCTCTTGAACTTTGCAAGCCATAGGTAATTTTGAGGTTTGGGTTTTTTGAGTTCACTGGTTAAATTCTTTAATTTCTTTTCCCAGCTCTCTTCTAAAGTTCCTCCCTCCTTCAAGTTTTATGCTATGGAGTCATGGCTGTCTTTTCTGTGAGAACGTTGAAATGTTTTATTAAATTTTAAGGAGATCCATTGAATATATCTAGACTTTTTCTTTATTTGTGGCCATCACAAACTCTGAGCTGACATGGTCACTCCTTGCATTTTCTCCTTGATTCTGATAAGCCCTGGAATCCTTCATTTAGGTATTACTTGTCTTTGTACAAGTCAAAGGCTACTGTTATTCAGTCACTTTTGTCCTCCTGCCCCATTCTTAATCTTTTTTCTTTTGCCTTACCCCTCTTTTCCACTTCTTCTAAAAGTTATCTAGTATTCTAGTATAATCTGTTGACTTTTGCTTTCTAAACTATCTACTGTTTGCTCTCATTTATTCCATTGCTTTGGGATGCTTATTCAGTGACCATAGCTAAACTGATAAACTACTTAGTCTTCAGGTATTAAGGAATGATAGTGTGTGGAAGTGGTAAGATAACATATTTGTGTTTTGTCAGGAGTCTAGGATCCCTGTTTTTCCCCTTTGTTTCCCTATTCACCATCCATTGGATCATAGGAAAAATTAACTGTTAATGTAAGTGAAAAGTAACTTAGTTCTTTGGAGGGAGAGATATAAAAGTTTTGACTCAGGTGATTTTACAATTACAAGCATATTTTCAGTATAGATCTTTTTGAGTGCCTTCCATGAACCACATACTTTATTAGTCACCGAGGATAAAGAAGGCCAGGAATATTGTTATCAAAGAATCTAATAAAAGAGATGGAGATGTAAACAAATACTTGAATTTTAATGTCGAAGTTAAATTGAATGCCCTAAATGATGGATATATTTTTTTATGAAATATCTTCTGTAATAACATGATGTTCTGATAATTCTTGGGTTTATAAATTGAATCATTTGGTGTGTGAAGTTGACATATTATTCTCAGATGCCAATTCTGATTTCTCCATGCTGAAAATTACGATGGTAAGAATCCAATAGCTTTGATTTCCTTAGGTAAATATTAGGCTAAACATCCAGTGCTGTATCTTCAGTATTTTCTACCAGGCAGAAGAATTGTTATTTTTATGCCTCTGTGTTTAAATGATAGAAGTAAGATACTTTAATTGAAAAGAGAATAAAAAACAAAGTATCCCTTTTAGAGGATGAAAGGGGAGCAGGAACTCCCCAGGTTTTTAAATATTTTAGTACATAAAATATACACAACAACTTAAAATTGTTACTTTTCTGGGAAAACTGAAGCACATGCAGGAGATTTTAAAAACTCCACTTGATGTTAGATGATTAAATAGTGTTTTGCTTTGGAAATTGAAAAGCAAGACTTGTTATAAAAATAGTTCATTCCATACCAATAAAATCTTATTGGCTTGTTTATTTTTATTTTGTAATAAGATAGAGTGAATGTGGAAGCTTGTGTTTTAAGAACTTCTTGTCCTGTTTAGATTATGTTAAATAACATACAACATTTTTTAAAACAGCTTTTATAAACAACTAAGACTTTAGACAAAGGAATATGAGTATGTGATGAGGCTTGACCCAATTAGGTAGGCAAAAACTTTAAAAAATATTTCATGGCATAGAGGGAGAATTAGTTCACTTTTTATTAATTACTTGTTCTTTTCTGAGTTACATGTATATTTATGGGAATTAAATATTTAAATAATTGGGTAATTTAATGTGATAATCTAATTTTACCAGCCAGTTTCTTTAGCATTTTAATTTTCACTGTTCCTTAACTCTATATAAATAAACAAATCAAGAGAACTCATTATTATTAATATCAATAATACTAACAAATCATGCTAACATTTCTTGAGATCAATCTCTAGAGTAATATGTAAGCTCTCATGTGTATTATCTCACTTGATGTCTCAATAACCTGAGTGTGTAGATATTATTATTGCTATGTTATAAACGACATTACTTAAAAGAACTCTGTAGTAAATCCTTTGGAAAAATAAATAGTGTTTTGGAATGTGAGCATGCATTCCTCAATTTATCTATTTTATACATATATACTTTTGTATATGACAACGTTTTGTTAAATATGCTATTTCTAGCCAGGTGCAGTGGTGGGTGCCTTTAGTCCCAGCTACTCAGGAGGCTGAGGTGGGTGGATCGCTTGAGCCCAGGAGTTCAAGTCCAGCCTGGGCAACATTGCAAGGCTCCATCTCTTTTAAAACAAACAAACAAACAAAAACAGCTATTTTTAGGTCTCTTCATCCTTTATTATTTTTATGAATGTCGCCATTATCTTTTGTGTCTGCTCAGATTTGAACTCTATAGGCTCTTTTGGCTTTGCTCCCCTTCTTCTCTTTCATGCCCTCTTCAAACCAGGAAGTTGCACAGTCTTGGAAGGACAATCTCTGTAATATTTCTCCCATTATCTGTTGTACTTTTTGAGCTCAGGACTGAGATTGAAATTTTTCTGAATGAGAAGAACCACCCTCAACCACGATTACTGAACACTGAGTGACTTTGGAAGTTAACTTTTGCTGCAGACTTGATAAATCCATCCTAAAGTTACAAGGAATAACAGTTTAAATGCAAAAATCATGTTATAGTAAAAGTCATTTTGATGACAATGAATGTTGTTTGAGTCACAAGTAATGTCAAGCCACTGTATATGTCACATCTTGTCAAAAGTTAAAACAAGAAGTTAGATGTCCATTCCCACACAAATTTATGGCAGATACATTTTCTAGATAAAATTATAGTTCTAGCAGCAGTTTTCAAACTAAAATACAAGTTAGGGATTTTCCGTATTTCAAAATCTGTTTAACTGTGCAATCAAGGAACTTCCAGGTAACTGTCAACTGGAAATGATTATTTACAGTGTAATGACCTGCTAAAAGTCAGGAGAAGAATCTAATAGAATTTTATAAATACCTTGTAAGTGAGGAATATACTTAAATAAAATAACGTGCCTGTGGACTGGTATCAATATTTGGCAGTGCTTGTCTGCGTGAAAAGACATTTTCAAAAATGAAATATGTAAAATCTCATTACAGATGAACATTAACAGATAAACGTTGATTTTGATGATAGAGAACACCAGCTTTGAGTCCCAATTAAAATGAAATACTCTTTCCCCAAAAGAATTCCATTCTTCTCATTGGAAGACCCACATTACAAAACATTATATTCACATTATTATATTTTGAATTTTGTCGATAAAAACTTTATGGAAATATATTTGTATTGTACTAGGTACCTACATAATAACCTTGATTTTGTCTCTTGGGCATTAAAGTCTAAAATATTTACTATCTGACCCTTATATACAAAGTTTGCTAACTGTGAGCTAAACAATTATTCATTCTTTTAAGTGAGCTCATACCTATCAAACACAGAGAAATAAGTCTCTACTGGTAGAGTTTCAACTATTAGTGTTGAAAAAATAATTCTACATCATTCCCAGAACAGACTTTAGATGATTATTTACTCCAACTTAACCCATTTTACAATTATTTTACAATTAAGAATCCTTATTTTACAATTAAGAATCCAAGGTTTAATGGAAGCTAAACATTGGTATAACTGAAAATGGAACTGAGATATTCTCATTTTCCATCTAGTGTTCTTTCTAGTGAACTTTATTTATATGCAAGTGTTTCTGCTGGATACTAAGAATGATAAAAAAGAAATATGAGAAATGGTGTCTATATCAAGATATATTATAATCTAGTTGGGGAGTGTATCAGTCAGGGTCCCAGCAAGAATAATACACTCCAATGGACTAGTTGAGGGTCATTTAATGACAGACTATTTATAAAAGGGTGGAGAGAGTTTTGGGAAATAGGCTTTTGCCATCGAAGCCTAAAGAGACAAGGGGTGGCTATAGGAGAGGCCCCTCAAGAGGAGCTGTGGCTTTTGGTGGAGGAATCCAACTACTGTCAACCCACGCTGTCCAGAAAGGAGGTGATACCCCACCTACAAATACCTTGACCTCATTCTCCTCCTGCCCTTTCATCTCCTGCTGGTGCCTCCCGTAGTCCTAATCCTGCCAAAAGCCACATGGCAAATAACCTTTGGATGGAGTCCAAAAAGGTTAGTCTCCTAAGGAAAACTGCGAGTTAGAGAGTGGATCTGAAGGGACAAATGGAGAATATCCACCTCAGAGAGCAGGATTACTTGTATGGTAATAGCACATGGTAACATATTCTAAGTGCATGAGCAATCTGGACTACATATACTTAATAGCATACTGACACACAAGATATCATTTTAAGTGCTTATTTTTTTTTTTTATTATACTTTAAGTTTTAGGGTGCATGTGCACATTGTGCAGGTTAGTTACATATGTATACATGTGCCATGCTGGTGTGCTGCACCCACTAACTCGTCATCTAGCATTAGGTATATCTCCCAATGCTATCCCTCCCCCCTCCCCCCACCCCACCACAGTCCCCAGAGTGTGATATTCCCCTTCCTGTGTCCATGTGATCTCATTGTTCAATTCCCACCTATGAGTGAGAATATGTGGTGTTTGGTTTTTTGCTCTTGCAATAGTTTACTGAGAATGATGATTTCCAGTATCATCCATGTCCCTACAAAGGACACGAACTCATCATTTTTTATGGCTGCATAGTACTCCATGGTGTATATGTGCCACATTTTCTTAATCCAGTCTATCATTGTTGGACATTTGGGTCGGTTCCAAGTCTTTGCTATTGTGAATAATGCCGCAATAAACATACGTGTGCATGTGTCTTTATAGCAGCATGATTTATAGTCCTTTGGGTATATACCCAGTAATGGGATGGCTGGGTCAAATGGTATTTCTAGTTCTAGATCCCTGAGGAATCGCCACACTGACTTCCACAATGGTTGAACTAGTTTACAGTCCCACCAACAGTGTAAAAGTGTTCCTATTTCTCCACATCCTCTCTAGCACCTGCTGTTTCCTGACTTTTTAATGACTGCCATTCTAACTGGTGTGAGATGGTATCTCATTGTGGTTTTGATTTGCATTTCTCTGATGGCCAGTGATGATGAGCATTTTTTCATGTGTTTTTTGGCTGCATAAATGTCTTCTTTTGAGAAGTGTCTGTTCATGTCCTTCACCCACTTGTTGATGGGGTTGTGTGTTTTTTTCTTGTAAATTTGTTTGAGTTCATTGTAGATTCTGGATATTAGCCCTTTTTCAGATGAGTAGGTTGCGAAAATTTTCTCCCATTTTGTAGGGTGCCTGTTCACTCTGATGGTAGTTTCTTTTGCTGTGCAGAAGCTCTTGAGTTTAATTAGATCCCATTTGTCAATTTTGGCTTTTGTTGCCATTGCTTTTGGTGTTTTGGACATGAAGTCCTTGCCCATGCCTATGTCCTGAATGGTAATGCCTAGGTTTTCTTCTAGGGTTTTTATGGTTTTAGGTCTAACGTTTAAATCTTTAATCCATCTTGAATTGATTTTTGTATAAGGTGTAAGGAAGGGATCCGGTTTCAGCTTTCTACATATGGCTAGCCAATTTTCCCAGCACCATTTATTAAATAGGGAATCCTTTCCCCATTGCTTGTTTTTGTCAGGTTTGTCAAAGATCAGATAGTTGTAGATATGTGGCGTTATTTCTGAGGACTCTGTTCTTTTCCATTGATCTATATCTCTGATTTGGTACCAGTACCATGCTGTTTTGGTTAGTGTAGCCTTGTAGTATAGTTTGAAGTCAGGTAGTGTGATGCCTCCAGCTTTGTTCTTTTGGCTTAGGATTGACTTGGCGATGCGGGCTCTTTTTTGGTTCCATATGAACTTTAAAGTAGTTTTTTCCAATTCTGTGAAGAAAGTCATTGGTAGCTTGATGGGGATGGCATTGAATCTGTAAATTACCTTGGGCAGTATGGCCATTTTCACGATATTGATTCTTCCTACCCATGAGCATGGAATGTTCTTCCATTTGTTTGTATCCTCTTTTATTTCCTTGAGCAGTGGTTTGTAGTTCTTCTTGAAGAGGTCCTTCACATCCCTTGTAAGTTGGATTCCTAGGTATTTTATTGTCTTTGAAGCAATTGTGAATGGGAGTTCACTCATGATTTGGCTCTCTGTTTGTCTGTTGTTGGTGTATAAGAATGCTTGTGATTTTTGTACATTGATTTTGTATCCTGAGACTTTGCTGAAGTTGCTTATCAGCTTAAGGAGATTTTGGGCTGAGACGATGGGGTTTTCTAGATATACAATCATGTCGTCTGCAAACAGGGACAATCCTTCTCCTGCCTAATTGTCCTGGCCAGAACTTCCAACACTATGTTGAATAGGAGTGGTGAGAGAGGGCATCCCTGTCTTGTGCCAGTTTTCAAAGGGAATGCTTCCAGTTTTTGCCCATTCAGTATGATATTGGCTGTGGGTTTCTCATAGATAGCTCTTATTATTTTGAGATACGTCCCATCAATACCTAATTTATTGAGAGTTTTTAGCATGAAGGGTTGTTGAATTTTGTCAAAGGCTTTTTCTGCATCTATTGAGATAGTCATGTGGTTTTTGTCTTTGGCTCTGTTTATATGCTGGATTACATTTATTGATTTGCGTATATTGAACCAGCCTTGCATCCCAGGGATGAAGCCCACTTGATCATGGTGGATAAGCTTTTTGATGTGCTGCTGGATTCGTTTTTTCCAGTATTTTATTGAGGATTTTTGCATCAATGTTCGTCAAGGATATTGGTCTAAAATTCTCTTTTTTGGTTGTGTCTCTGCCCGGCTTTGGTATCAGAATGATGCTGGCCTCATAAAATGAGTTAGGGAGGATTCCCTCTTTTTCTATTGACTGGAATAGTTTCAGAAGGAATGGTACCAGTTCCTCCTTGTACCTCTGGTACATTTTTTAAAGTACATTCTTTATCTGCACAACAAGTTTAAATCTGCACCACATTCCTTTTTACACTGACATCTGGAACAAAGTTCAGTCTAATTGTAGTTCAGTAGTAGTTCAGTTCTAAATTGGTAGGCCACTTCTGCTGCTGCATAAAGTTGTTCCACTGTCTATCAGAAGTAGTTTTTTTTTTTTTTTTTTTGAGACAGAGTCTTGCTTTGTCGCCTGGTTGGAGTGCAGTGGCGTGGTCTCGGCTCACTGAAACCTCCGCCTCCTGGGTTCAAGTGATTCTTCTGCCTCAGCTTCTAGAGTAGCTGGGACTACAGGTGTGTGCCACCACGCCCAGCTAATTTTTGTATTTTTAGTAGATACAGGGTTTCACCATGTTGGCCCAGATGGTCTCTATCTTGTGACCTTGTGATCTGCCCGCCTTGGCCTCCCAAAGTGCTGGGATTACAGATGTGAGCCACCGTGCCCGGCTACAGATATTGTTTTAAGTGGTTTAGAGCTCAGCTTCAGGAGGAGGCTAAGTAGTAAGAAGCCCAGAAGTTAAATAATGCATTGCTATTGTTTATCAGTTGAAAATTCATTATTTTGAGATTTTTATAAACTGGTCGTTTTTATAGGATGAAAGAGACTTACATAATAGAGATTCTCAACCTAAAAATAAATTGTGAGTATTGCAATATAATATTGTTGTTAAAGTTATAGATTTTGTAGTTAGAGAAACCACAGTATGATTCTGGCTCTGCTACTGCCTTGCCCTGTAAGTCTGGGCAAGTTGCTTAGACTTGCTCAGCCACAGTTTATTTAAAAGTGAGGACAGCCACAAGGTTGTTTCAAGTTTTAAGTGAGATAATGGCATATAGTAAGCCCTTAATAGATGTTAGCTATTATTAGTAGTGTTCATAGATTCTATAACCAAAATTTCAAATTTATAATGGAACAAGTGATATTTATAGGTTAAATCATTCTACAGATATTTATTAAACAATGATTATGTGCTGCGTACTCACTGTGCTAGATGCTATAATCAAAGTAGGAACAAATCAGACCTCGACCTCCTGGAGACTGAAGGTGCATAATTTGCATCTGATTTATATTAATAATTGATGAATTAGTAAACAGTTCCTGTACTGACATATGTGCTGCCAGCCTAATGGGTTACTTAGTTATCCTCATTGACCATCAGCATACCAAAAAGACTAGGATAGTTTAAAATTGTTTTTCTTCAAAATCAAGTTTAATGGGGTTCTTATTTAATATTTCAAAGTACATAATATATTCACATGGTTCAAAATGCAAAAAGTGGAAACAGTCATAAGTTGACAATTCTCTTTCGCATTGCTTAGTTCTCAACTTACCCCACAAAAGTAACCACTGTTCTCAGTGTGTATACATATTCTTTTGGAACATTAAAAAAATTGACATCACAGTTGTACATATTTCTGTGGTACATGTGATATTTTAATACTTGTATACATTGTGTAACAATCAAATCAGGGTAATTGGGATATCCATCACCTCCAACATTTATCTTTTCTTTGTGTTGGGAACATTACAGTTCTTCTCTCTAGCTATTTTGAAATATACAATAAATTGTTCTTAACTGTAATTTTCCTGTTATCCTATACTAGAACTTATTCCTTCTAGGATTTTTTTTTAGTTGTCTTGTGTTCAAGAATTAGCACAATTTATCATTGTGCTAGACTCTTTAATCACAGTAAAACACTAGACTTGTGTATTTGCTTCCTAATAAACGAGCAGCGCTATTAATATAGAAAAAAGACCGTTGAATTAAAAATAGAAGTCTTTAAAAATTCTAGTAGTACATTCATCATTGAAAGACTTTAATTATCATCTGATTTTCCTTTCTATGCCATTTGGAATTATAAATGGTAATTTTTTCTTTGTGTGGCACTACCAAAAAGTGCAATGTTTGGGAAAATAAGTTATTTCACATTGAACAGTAGTTAGACATTGTGCTCAGTTTAGATAGGATTACTTGAAGCTTGGTTTTGATTTGTCAGTTTCTTTAGCTTATACCTGCCATTTTGTAGTAACAGTCAATTCAGTATTATATTATTCTCAGATTTTATTATTTTATGCTATTTTTTACATGAACAATTAGTATTTAATGGTCCTTTGTAAAGTTTTTTCTCAAAATGTAGTGTTAATTTGTCTGCATGTTTAAAGTTTATTGGAAAAGTTATTTTGCCTATTCAGAGCGTAAAACTTTTAGTACATTTTGTTTTATAAGTATAGGATACCATGATGATCCCTGGGGAATCTGATTTTTTTTAACAGACAAGAGGTTCCCAGTTTTCATTTTTAAATCAAGTTGCTATGGGGCTAGCATCTTTGTTTGCTTAATTTTAATCACAATTACCATGACAAAACTTATTTATTTAGCTAATGCCTAACAGTGTCAAATGTATACTGCTGGAAACTGGACTAATTTCTATCTGACTAATAAAAATCCCAAATAAAAATGGTACATTTTTATTTTAAATGGAAAAAGATTAGTTTCTGAATATAAATTGAGTTTTTAAGTTTTTCTTTTTGGTTAATTAAAGTCTACTCTGATGCTTTTTTGTTAATTTTCTTTAATATCCATATCTCCTAAATTTAATATGCAGTTCTAAAATAAAGACAAGTCAGCTGGGTGTGGTGGTTCATGCCTGTAATCCCAGCACTTTGGGAAACTGAGCCTGGCAGATCGCTTGAGCCCAGGAGTTTAAGACCAGTTTGGGCAACATGGTGAGACCCTGTCTCTACGGATTTTATACTTTTTTTTTTTTTGAAATGGGATCTCACTGTATTGCCCAGGCTGGTTTTGAACTCCTGGGCTCAAATACTCCTCCTGCCTGGTACTACAGGCATTCACCACCCCACCCAGCTGATTTTGTACTTCTTGACAGGAAAAGAAAAATGAACAAGAAATTCCTTAATGCATATTTTAAGTGCTGCTTTAAAATTTTATCAGTACAGCTTTAGAACATCACGCTAGATAATAGTGTTGTACTGTTATTTCCTTTTTAATTTATTAAGAAAAAGGAAGATGCAGGGGAATGAATCTTTATTGAACTTTCCTGGCCTGTTCAAGGAATAGTAAATAAACCAACTTAGCTGGAGGGGAGTGGAGAGGGCCTTGTAGGCCATTGTTAAAACCTTAGGCTTTTACTCAGGTTGAGATGAGAAGTCACTGGAGAGTGTTGAACAAAGAAGTGACATTATGTGACTTAAGCTTTAAGAGGGTTGCTTTGCTCTGTTGAGAATAGATTCTACCTGGGCAAGAAAGGAAGCAAAGAATATTTAGGAGGCTTTGGTAATGATTTGGGCAAGAGAGCATGATGGCTTAGGCTAGAGTGGGAGCAATGAAGATATGATAAATGTTTATATTCTGTACATATTATGAAAGTAGAGATAACAGGATTTTCCAGTGTGATGTGTGAGAAAGAGGGGAGTTATATTTTTGGCCTAAGCCAAGGTAATGATGGGATTCCCACTAACTGAGATGAGGGAAGACTATGGGGAGGAAGGTCAGTTCAGTTTTGGACATGTTAAGTTCAAGGTATCTATTAGACAGCCAACTGGAGATGTTGAGTAGGCTATTGGATATATAATTCTTCAGCTCAGAGAAGAAGATACATATACATTTGTGAGTCATTAGCTTATTGAAGGTATTTACACCCACAAAGCTAAGTGAAATAGAAAAGAGAAGAGGTCCAAGGGCAGTGGGGGTCACAGCAATGTTAAAACATCAAAATGGTAAGTAAGACTCAGAGAGGAGACTGAGAAATAGTGTCCAGTGAATTAGAAAGAAATCTGGAGAATGTAATACTCCAGAAGCCAAGTGAGAAAAATAATTTCAGGGAGGAAAGAGTGTTAGATTGTGTCAAATGATGATGGATCAGAAGTATGAAGAGTGAGACTTGACCATTGGTTTTAACAACATTAGAGACCTCATCAAGAACAGATTTAATGAAAAAGTGCCAAAACCTGATTAGAGTCAACTTACCAGAGAATGAAAGGAGAAGAACTAGAAACAACCAATAAAGACAACTCTTTTGAAGAATTTTACAGAGAAATGAGATAGTGGCCGGGTGAAAGTATGATCATGATAAAGGGGTGTGTGTGTGTAATGAATGTGAGATGTGAGAAACTGCAGCATGTTTATAATCTAATTGGAATGATTTAGTAGAGAAAAAATGATGATGAGAGAGAGAATTGCTGCTGAAATATCTTCAGGTAGGGAAGAGGGAATCGAATCTACTACATTTATGGAAAAGTAGCTGTAGGCTGGAGCACAGACAGTTCATCTGTTGTGACAGAATGAAATGCCAGGTATATGGATACAGATATTAGAAGGTAATATGATGATTTGATAAATAAAAACAAGGTCTAGGTAGATACTTTCCATTTTTGAAAGAAATGTGTTATAAAAATTATTACCATTTTAGCATAGTGGAAAGGAATGAAATTGGAGGGAGATAAACCTGGGTTTAGATTTTAGCTCTGCCAATTACTAGCTGACATGTGGCAGAACTTAGTTACAATGCCCCTGTATTATTTAGGGACCCAGCAAGAAATAAAATTCACTAAAAAGTGGTTCAAATAAAAACACTTTAATGAAGAGTCTACTTTGAGAGAATGAACAGAGTTAAGGAATGGGCAAGATATGGTAAGGCAACTAGAAACTAGCAATTATGGAAAGCTGTTACCTCACCTGGGGCTGAAGAGGCAAGAGTGGACATGGTGTTTTTAGTTTAGTGATTGCCAAAGGTATGAAGGAAGGACCAGCTAGTAAGAGCTATAGTTGTGGAGGAACACAGCTGTTGCCAGAGACAATGGTACATAGGTAAGGAAGCAGCAGAGAAGAAATAACCTTGATCTCTCTCTACTCCTCAACTCTATTTTTCTGCTATTGACCTCCATTGGCTAAATGTAAGCAGAAACCAGCTGCAAGGCTTCTTAGGTGTTGCAGAATATAGGGTTCACTCTCCCTAGGGTCCAGAGAAGGGCAAAAGATGGATGTGGAGACAAATGCTGAGTAATCAGTAGAATCACTAAGCCTCAACTTCTCCATATATAAAATGAGGCTACCGCAAAGTTGCTGTGATGTTACATGTACTGCCAAGCACTGCTACATTGCTAGCATATAGTACTGTTTATTAAATGACAAATATAAGATGCTACAGCATAATGGTTGGTCCTTAAAGCTTTGGAATTAGGCAGATCTAGATTTAAGTTCTGTCCGTCACTTACTAATCATGAGATTTTGGGAAGTCTTTGTTTTGTCATCTGTAAAATGGGGAAATAAGGCTTACCACAGAGAATTCTAATAAAGATGAAAAGGGACAGTGTATATTAAGTGCCTAATATAGTGCTGGTACACAGCATGCAGTTTAAGTTACCATGACCATCATAATATTATATGACTAGAAAGAATAGTAAATGACATCAGTTTCCAAGTAATACTAGTCTCCTACCCCTCCCCCTCCCCCCACACTTTTTTTTTCTGCTTCTCAGTTTTTCTGAATAGGGTTATTTCTTTGTTACATAGGGTTCAAGGTTAATATCTTTGCACTTTAAACAATTAGGAAATATAGCTTTAGTTAGTTTAACTTTTTGGCTATTCATTTATTTTGTTTTTGATTTATGTTCGCTAAACACACACAAAGAGTTAAGTGGATTTTTTTATTAGGCCTAAGTTGGAAGGCATAGAAAAAGTTGGAAACACTGAATTCAGTCAGTTTCATTAGCATAGATTTATATATGAAGCTCAAGTAAAATGTCATCAAGAAATGGGAGAATATAGGATGCTGTAACAGTTAATTCAGAGCCGTACTATAATAAGTATTCTTTTTAAATTTCACATAAATATAACAGTTCTGTAAGCTTGATTTGAGGGCACATACATGTTTTTCTTTTTGGCTACATAGAGAACAATGAAATAAAGCCTCATTGACGTAATTGAACCTGATAACATCTCCTGGTTGTACTGCTGATGTTTCACTGTGGTTTTGGTGGTTTTGTAGAGCTCCGTAGAGCGTGTTAGACTTAAAAACATATTCAAACAGAAACTTTTATCAGGATTCAACTTTTTAACCATAAAGAAAAAATGAATGTAAATAAAGGTGCAGTCTTGGGTACACCTAGATCAACTTAAAAATGTTTAATAGTATATATTACTTAGAGAAATTACTGTTCCTTAATTAGTTTTGAACAAATAACCACAGTATGAAAAGAAATAATAATTTCTGGTATTGTATTATATATTAGCACAGAAGGAAAGAGGTAAATATAATAATGGAAGCTCCTAAAAACAGCAAGTTAAAATTTTATGCTTTCATTAAATGATGTCTTATAGTTTGATAGAACTACATGTTTAAAACATACCATAGCACTATAACTTTTTGTTTTAAACTGGGATTAAAAATTTAATTTTATTTATTTTATATATATATTTATAAAATTCTTATATTTAAGTTATTTACAAGATCTACTTTGGTATTGGGTTTAGATGCCTAAAACTTTGCTGACTTGGAAACAATGTGTATCAGAGCATTTACTGTCTACTTGGAAGTAAAATTTTAAAAGAGCTACATTTTATTATATAGGAGGAATGAGTGCTTGAACCAGTATTTCTTAAAAGTTTTAATATACATGTACCGCCAACTATGCATTCCGTATGCGTGGTAGCTACCCACCAACTTAAGGTAAATGTATAAAAAAGAATTAATCACAATTTTTGAAAACTAAAAAATTAAAATATTTTATATCAGTGTATATTTACAATATTAAAGGTATCTCTGTTTAGCTCAATGTTGAGTAAATAGGCTGCTTGTTGTAGGTTCATTGTATATCGTCATATTCTTTTCTCATCTCTATTTCTCTTAACTTGGAAAAATCCAACCAAAATTATAATTTATGAGGACAGTCAGCAGGGGTTTTTTGGCTGTTGGTTCTGAATACTCAGGTTAAACATGGACTCCAGAATTAAGAGATTGCTCACTGAAGACTCTTTCAAGGCTGAGTCACTTGCTAAGTTGATGGACATTATCATACTTGAAAGTTTAAGAAATAGAGGCTTTTGCATTTTATTGAAAAAAGCTCTTTTTGCTCTTTATATTTTATATTTACTTTTAAATATTTTATTTGCTCAGTTTTTCCAAAGCACACTGAAAAGATGTATACTCTGTATCCAAAAATTGAGTGCATTTACATTTATGCTATTTCTTTAACATTGAACTCAGCATAATGTATTTTAACCACCAGCCTCTTTCTGTGAAAACAAACAAACAAACAAAAAAAAAACAGGGTATATAGATTTGCAGTTAGTGTAGTACTCATTGCTTAGCAAGGCTTTTTCTTGATGTGCAGACAACTGATTTTTTCTCTCAGGACTGATTTCATCACATATTTCCCAGTCTATATCATAGTTTACAAAACAAATATTAAGTAGGAAAAAAAATCATGTTTTGTAGTATGAATTTTTCAGAGGTAAACACAAAAACTTGTCTGCTATTCTTCCTCAAGTGTATTACACATATACCAAGAGCTGATTTGGCTTTGCACTTCAGTGCATTTATCAAGCAGTAAAGTAAAATATCTGGTTTTTCTTTCAGCATAATATTTATCGTTTGTGTGGCTGAGAGTTTTATAAATCTCTCAGCAATAGTCTATCTTTTTTATATGCTTTTGCTAGGAGGAGCACAGAATCTGAATGGTGCCTGTGTAGTTTTTGTCTCTTTTAGGAACAAAAATCTTCAGTTTCATATATGAAAGCATTTTGTGCTTGTTCTAGAAAGATTCTGTTCATTTACCAAAGAGGTTTTTATGTTTTGTTTGAAAACTTTCCATAGCTTCATGTCATTATTTGATAAAGTTTCAAAGTAGACAACATCCAGAAGAATATAGGGTAAATGAATTACCAGTCAGAAAGAAATCCAGCTTTTAGATAGTTGCTATTGTATGTGCTAGTAAAATTTTTGTTTTTATCTCTTTGTGTGGTATTATCACATGCACAGATTTATATTGTTTGCATTAGAGTCCTATTCTTGATTTAGGTTCAACATTTATTCCGAGCTATTTATGTTACCCTATTTTTATCAATATCTTAGGCTTTAAAAACCAATTTTGAGCCATTTATTTATTGATTGGGGAGTATAATGCAACACAATGAAAATAATGCAAATTTAAAAGATATAAATAATATTCAAATGATGTGAAAATACTTCAGGTAAGATGATTTGTTCTCTTTTAGAATAATGCAGGTCTTAGAGAACCTTTTCAGCTTTTAAGAATATAAGTTTTTAAGATAATAATGAGATTTCTGCGGAAATCAAAATTAACCTTATAGTTCACAATTATGAAATATATGCAAACTAAGTTGTTTCCTTTTTCCCTCTAAATATTCTGGGACAATGAGGAACAACTAGTGATTGACAGATCATAATTTGATAAATAATGGCTAATATTCTATTACAATTTCCTAGTTTAAAATTTTATGTTTTTAAAAATATCATATATATATTTTTTTCGTGTATACATATATGTAATCTAATACTACGGAGACACTTAGCAGTATTTTCATTAAGTATTTGCTCTTTGCATATTTCTCACTTTATTCTGTCATTAGTTCTCCCACTGTTCAGGATCATTCCTATCAAGTACAAGCATGCTTTAGAACCTACCATGTTAAAAAAAAAAGTATTATTCCCACATTTTTTTCTGATGATTGCTTCATTTCATTCTTGCCTTTACAGCACAGTTTTTCAAAAGAGTTTTCTCTAGTCACTTTGTCTACTTCCTTACCTTCCTAAATTCATCTTAACTTTTACTAAAGCTGAACAAATATTTATGAAATATGTGTAAAGTACAGAGACTAAAGAAACAGACACCATCAACCCACCATTACTGGTGTTTTTGAACATTACCATTAACATTGAAGTTCCCTGTATGTCACTCCTGGATCTGGTTCACTTCTTTTTCTTTTAGAGATAATCACCATCCTGAATTTCTTTACAGTTTACCATAAGTATTTCTAATAAGCATATCGCAATGTGTATTTCATGTTAAATGAGTGAAGGTATACTGTATGTATCTGTCTGTGACTTGTTTTTCTTGTTCAACATTATGTTTCTGAGATCCATCCATATACGATGTAGCTGTATGTACTTCATTCATTTTCACTCCTATACTCCATTGTATGAATACATCAAAATTTTTCTATTTTATTGTTGATGAACATTTGGGTTGTATCTAGTTTTTTGCTACCCTAAGCTGCACAGCTATGTGCATTCTTCCTGTCTCCTTCTGTCAAACTGTAGCAAAGGACCAAGCTTTTGGGTTTTTCCCTGATCTGTTGTGGATTGATGCTTTTGTAAAATACACTAAAAATGTCTCACCATTGTCAAATTGCTATAAAAATATATAAACCTTTACTCTGAATTTCTGTATTTATCTTATTATGGACCACACTTTGAATACTGCTCTAAGATGTGTACCTAGCTGTGGAATTCCTGGGTCATTCATCTTCTATTACTTATGGAGAAAATTGTTTTCTCAAAATCACTAATGTGCTACTTGCTCAAATTACGCAGAAGGCAGTCTGCTAGCTCTTTGTGGCTTTCTGTGTATCTGCTTTCAATTCCTAATATGAAGGGGATTTCACAGTAAGACCTGCTGCTTTAGGGTAACATAGTTTTCATCCTAGAGAAAGTGACTGCAAATAAGATTGGGCTTTGCTTAAGAATTGATTCAAAGCCAATCTAGCAAGCACAAGTGAGAGAAAACTATGATAATGGGATAAAGGGCCAGGAAGAGTGAATTTATTGAGGGAGATGGTCTGTAATATTGTAATACTACAATATTGTAATGTACAATATTGAGGGAGATGGTCTGCAATATTGTAAAAATATAATATTGAAATATTGTAATACAAAATGCTACAGTAGAGAGATCTAAAGAGAGCAAGCAGAGAAAAAAGAAGCATTGTACATAGTAAGATTTTTAGAGACCTTTAAGAGTCCAGTTAAAATAGGGCATACATTCCTTCTCATATTAGCAGCCTTCCTTCTGCATAGGCAGCCTTTAATTGTCTAAATGCATTAGAGAACTTTCACAAAATATAAGCTAAGATGAGATTGCTCTTATAAGCAAGCAGCAGGACTACTTTTTATCAGTGTTTCTCCACCGTATTTTGATTACAACTCCGAATCCAGGGATATATATATATATATATTTATATTGTATATACATATGTAAAATATATGTACATATATTAAATATTATATATACATATATTATATATATGTTTCCATAATCATCTCCCCCTTCATGTAATTTTCATACCAAAGATGTACAGTATATCTGTTTGTATACTGTAGCCTTTGGAGGGCTACGAACCATTTTAATTTTCAAGATTTTTTTTTTTTTTTTGCCCCAAGAACCAGCTACCACTTGCTTGGAAGTGATAGCACCACTGTTGAGAGTATATCACATGAATACAAACATGGCTCTTGGCATTAGAGTACAAATATTTAAAAAGGTAATGTTTATTTAATCATGTAGGTCAATGAAGTGGGGAAGGCAGACTACTCAATGTTAAGAAACCATCCTAATGAAAAGTATACTTGAGTTAGCCAGAAATCAACTTCTACTTAGAGTTGTGAGTCAGGGAAATAAGGTATACAAGTATTTGTCTCTGTTTGATGGTATTATTGTGGGAAAAGTGTAGAAATGTGGATCAGATGATAGTACAGTTAAAAAAGTTAGCAGACCAAGAATGCCAATTAGTTCATTGATGCCTATCTCATAGGTGATTTTTAGTGATATATCGTATGGCTCTGTTTTCACTCCTGTCTATTCTAGACATCTATTCGTGAACTTAAGAAAACATCAGATTTATAGATGTTATGATAATGGGAGGAATGGAGAATAGGGTAGTTGACATTCTCAATCTCCAAAGAAGCTGACAGGCTAAAATAAGGGCAGAAGTAAAGTATTGCAGTTGGGTCTAAAAAGCCATATTTATAAGAATAGCATGGAGGAAAATGGATCATAACAATATCATGTATAAAAGAAACTTAGGGATTTTAGGTTATGTTAATCTTAAGGAGCATTTTAGGAAGCTATTAACATCTTAATTTGCAATAATTAGTGTCTCTTGAATCTAGATTATATGCTGATTAAATCACAACCTGAAATAATTATATCAGGACCACATTTAGGACCATATAAAATACTGCTTAAATTTAATGAGTCTGTTATATATATGGTATACTTTGCATGCAGTTATATCAGAGCCATTTTGTGGGCACTGGTTCACAAGTCTTCTGAGTGATTGTACTGTGTCTGAATTTTCTTTGGGAAGAAATAGATTTTTCCTCAGTGGTAAGAAAGAAATTACGTTCTGCAAGGATATTGATGAGGAGATGGTGATAATGATAATTGACAGTTTTTTGAGTGATTAAACATGGGTGTATTATGTAAAATATGAGTCAGCAAACTGTAGTCCACTGACCAAATGCTGCCAGCAGACTGTTTTTGTATCACCTTTGAGCTAATAATTTTTTTTGCATTTTAAAGGGTTATAAAACAAAAACAAAAAGCAAAGAATATGCCATAGAGACCTTATGTAGCCAGCAAAGCACCAAATAAGATCTTTTGCAACCAGAAAACTTAAGCCTGAAGGACAAAAAACAACACAAATAGTTCAATATATAGAAATTATGAGATTATATTACAGATTAACTGGGCTCATATTCAATACAGGTTCAAAGCTATGTACAAAATGGCTATTAGAATGAATTATTTAAGCAAAAGAAGACCTATTTAACTCAGTAAATGTCAAAGAAATTTAGGATTGATGATAGGTAGCAGTTATAGCTTCCTAAATTAAAGTTAATTTTATCTCCTTGGGCATAGTGACTACTATATTGGGTTGGGAAGCAGCCAAAAAGCTTGTTAGGAAGAAGGGCAGGAAAAAAACTAGTCTGGGACTAAAGTTACCATTGATAAGCTAGGCTATCAAGGAGACAGACAGGAAAACAATCACTAATTATGTGCATATCAAAAGGGGTATGTGCTGCTTTTGATAAGTCTATTCTTTTATACTTAATCTAACCCCAAGGACAACAAGCTTTTCAAAATGTTTTTGACAGAAGTACCTTATTGGTAGGAAAATAGCATCACCCATCACCCATGATGAGCCTTTGGAGATGGTGGGTAGGCAGAGAATATCTGATGATATGTAATTTTTCTTTTATTTTTTGTGACTTAATGTGATTATGGATTTATATTTTCCTTTTTGTGGTAGTATTTGAAGGTTAATATGGCTTGTTTTAGTTACTTTATTGTGATAATTCTTTATTCTTTTGATTTCTCAATTATAGATTATATTAATGAAATATTCTGTCGAGATAATTTTTATTTTCACCATTCCAATATCTCTTCCAGATTTTGAGCTATATTAGATAATTATAATTGAAAATGCTGAATTTTGTCTTTACATATACTTTTTTGTTTATTTTTGGTTTGTAACCAAGTGAATTTTTTTTTCTAGATGATTCTTTGGGATTGGGACTTAAAACAATGGTATAAGCCTCATTATCAAGTAAGTATAATTAATATCTGTGATGAATATCTAAATAATATCTGTGATCACTAAATAATATCTGTGATGCAACTTTTGACACTTAAAGTTACACTCACAATATTTCTGTGCCATAAGATTTTCTTTAACTAAACTAATAAGTTAACTAGAACCTTCATTGAGGTAGATTTTTTAAAAATATATTTTAATTATAAGGGAAAAAGAAAATGATAAAAACAAAATTTATATAAATTGTTATGAAAAATATTGCTAATATAATCTGGGCTCAGAATCAACTAATATTTCTATATTAAGGATAAGATTTTTTTCTTTTCTGATGTGGACCACTGTTCTATAAAGGGGAAAAAATAGATGGAAGGCCATATCTGAGACAAAGCAAAGCAGTTGGCAACATATTTTATTAGGGAAGTAAAGATATCCAACTTTCATTTTTTGGTAAACTTTTTATCAAATTATAACATACATGCAGGAAAGTGTACAGCTCAATTTTCAGAAGTTAAACATCCCATGTAACTGGTACTGATATGAAGAAATAGAATGTTTCCAGTATCTCAGAAGCCTCACATATGCCCAATTCCAGTCATTACCTATATCCCCAAAGATAAATCCTATCCGACTTCTAATAACTAGTTTTGCTAATTTTTGAACTTTATATATACACAAATGGAATAATATGTGTACTTTTTTAGGATTAATTTTTTGAACACCTAAGTAATATATGTTTATATCAGATAAAATGAAAATAGAAGTATTTAATATAAGGAGAAAAAAGGAAAATCACTCATAAAACATCAAGCAATAACTGTGTTAACTTTTGATGTCTATCTTTATTGATCTTTCCCATTATGCTAAATTTACTTAATAATTCTAATAGCTTATTTGAAGATTCTTTGAGTCTTGACGTACACAAAAATGTTATCTATGAATAAAGACAGATTTATTTATTTATTTCAAAACCTATGCCTTTTATTTCTTTTTCTCATGTTATTGTACTTTCTAGGACCTTCAACGCAGTGTTGAATGGAAGTGGTATGAGTAGGCAGCCTTGTTTTTCTTCATGAACTCAGGGAAAAAATGTTCAACATATCACCACTAATGTTTTTTGTAGATACCCTTTAGCAGATTAAGGAAGTTTTATTCTAATTCTAGTTTACTAAGGACTTTTTTTCTCTTAAGTTATGAGTGGGTATATAATTTTATCAGATGCTTTTTCTGCATCTATTCAAATGATTCGAGATTTTTTTCTAATTATTCTACTAATGTGGTGAATTACATTGTTTATGTTTGTTAAACCATCCCTGTATTCCCAGAATAAAGTAAATTTGATCAAGATGTATTTTGTTTAAATATTTATCACTAGATTCTATTTGTTAATGTTTTGTTTAGAAATTTTGAATTTGTGTTTATGAGAGAGTGTTGGCCTATAAATTCTTACTTTTCATAATGTTCTTGGCATTATATTGGTATCACGGTTACCAAGAACCTTGATATCAAGATAAAATAAGGTGAGATATTTACCCTTTCTATTACCTCGAAAAGTTTGGGTAAGATTAAAAATTGGTATTATTTCCTCCTTTAATGTTTGGAAGAATGCTCTGGTGAAGCTATCTCACCTTGAAGAATTATTTTGTGGTCAAATTTTAAGTTATGGATTCAATTTCTTTAATAGTTTTAGTATCATTTAGATTTTCCATCTTTTCTTCTAACAATTGAGTTACTTGTGTTTTTCTAGGAATTCCTTTTTTTGTTGTTGTTCCTTCTGGCATTTGTGAGACTGCTGAAAGCCCTATTTTAATTTCAAAATAGAAATCTTTTTGAGGATTTCTACTTGGTTTATCTCTCTCTTAGCCACTGTTTATAAATTGGCAAATACCTTTAGAGGAAAAGCAGGTCTGAATTTAAGCTCACTACTTTGTTTTTCTCATCACTTTGGGATCTTGTTTGGCACCCCCTGTCTTCATAGCTCTGAACTCCAATTTCGGTCTCCCAGCCCCTTGGGACTATAGATCTCTACTCTGTTTTCTGGCCTCTTTTGTGCTTCTCATCCTCTCTGCTCTGTGCCAGTTATGAATCAGCAGAAAATTCCTAGAGGGAAAAGAGTAGCACAGAATGTTGGATTTCTTTTAATCTTTTCTCTTAATTCTGGGTTCTTGGCCTTTTATGCCCTGGCTGTTTGGTTGTGTTTTGATGCCTTGAAATGTATGCTATTTATATTTTATTTCAGCTTTTCTAGTTGTTCTAGACAGAAGAGTTGGTCTGATACAAACCAGTCCCTCTTAGCTGGAAAATTAGGCAAGCCTCTTAAGACACTCTGAACCTATTCCCTCACCTACAAATTGAGAATAATACCAGTTCCCTCAAAGGGCTAATTAATATGTGCCTGGTACTTAATACAAATGTGGGCCAATATTATATAAATTTCAATAGTAATAAATACTAATCTGAACTTGAAGTATAAGACAGGAATGAGCATTTTTTTCTTTAAAAGGCCAGAGAGTAAGTATTTTAGCATTTGCTGGAAACATATGACCATTGCTACCTTTTGCCGTCCCCAGTGCTTCTCATTGCCTCCTTTGTCCTCTTCTCCCTCCCACTCCTCTTCTTTTTCAATAACCATTTAAAACATAAAAACTATTCTTAACTTTCTGTTCAACAATCAAGATTTTGCTAAATATAAGTGAATGGAAAATAGGAATTTAAGTTCAGCTTTTAAAATTGTGGCAAATAATTTGAATATTCAATTTGATCTGCCATAAGTTATCATGTCACTCTCTTGCTCATTTCTCTCGTTTCACCCAGTGTAAAAGTCTTTGTCATGTACGTAAAAGAACTTACACAACATGGTTCCCTCCCTTACTCTCTTGTACTTCTCTGTCTTTGTCTTCTACTACTTTCTCCTTCATTTACTCTGTTCCAGCTGCACTGGCCTCCTTGTTATTCCCCAAACAAGTCAGACAGGCTTCTGACTCAGGTCTTTGCACTTGCTAGTCTCTCTGCCTGGGATGCTTATTTCCCACACTTTGTCATGTCTTTACATAAGCATTTCCTTCTTAGTGAGGCATACCCCAACTATCCTCTCTAAAATTGCATTGCGTTCTATCACATCTTTTTCCCTTAACTTACTTTATTTTCTCTTTTTAGCAGCTTGTTCAAAATCTATTATATACGACCCTTTATTACTCATATTACTTAGCTTGGAATCCAGTGTTCTCAAAAATTTGGTCCCAACATGTCTTTCCAACCTGTTTTTCATTGCTTTCTTATATAATCTGTACTTCAACAATTTCATATTCCCTGTATAGCATTATTTTACCACTTAAAAATTGTATTTTACCACTTTTATACTTTTATTTATGCTGTGTCCATTTTGTGCAGTACACTTCCCCAATACATTTTTGTTTTGTTTTATTGTAAACAAATATAAATATAATCCTACCAAATTTTTAGGGCCCAGCTCAAATGCTACCCCTTCCATAAAATTTCTGTTACCATCCAAATGGAAGGTTTCTATATCTCTTTTGAACGCTAATGCCATTTTGTCTGTATATATAATTTTTTTCTTTTTTTGAGACGAAGTTTCTCTCTTGTTGCCCAGGCTGGAGTGCAGTGGCATGATCTCGGCTCACCGCAACCTCCAGCTCCCTGGTTCAAGCGATTCTCCTGCCTCAGCCTCCGGAGTAGCTGGGATTACAGGCATGTGCCACCACACCTGGCTAATTTTGTATTTTTAGTAGAGATGGGATTTCTCCATGTTGGTCAGGCTGGTCTTGAACTCCCGACCTCAGGTGATCTGCCCACCTCGGCCTCCCAAAGTGCTGGGATTACAGGGGTAAGAGACCACACTTGGCCATTTTGTCTGTATTTTTATCTCTTCACTTTCTGTTAATAATAACAGTACTATCTTTGCCTTTAGTTATATATACTATACTTTATATGCTCTGCATGTGTTACCATATGTAACTCTCTCTTTTCCTCCTTGCTAAGTACAGTTATTAAGTCTGGAAATAATGTAAGAGGCAATCAAGTGAGAACTACAAAAAATAGAAAGAGGAAGGCAGACTGGCTAGGGACCCTAGTACAGGAAAAACAACACAGTGACAGAGTCTCTTATGACCCACACCCAACAGCAAACCTGGTCTAGGCCCCCACTCTCAACCTAGCAACATAAGGTGACACAGGTAGGCTTATTCTTTCCCCAGATTAAACAAGAGCCCTGCCAACACTAGGCAAGTCTGGTGGCTCTAGCAAGGGGGAATTGATTTGGAACCACTGGCAATCAGTGACCAGGGAGAAGCATTCTCCTTCCCTCCTGGGCATGAGACTCCCCTTCCCCACTGACAGACACTGGGTGGCCAGTGTGCCTGGCAAGGGGGATGTCCTCACAAATGCCTAGCCCAGAAAGTGATCTTTGTTCCTGTCACCTGGAGACTCCTTTCTCTCCCCTAAAGGTACCAGATGACCCAACCTGAGGAAGCTCTCTTTCCCCCTACTGTAAGGCACCAGTGTGGACTGTGGACTAGTGGGAACCCAACGGGCACCAAATGCTAGATGACGAGTTAGTGGGTGCAGCGCACCAGCATGGCACATGTATACATATGTAACTAACCTGCACAATGTGCACATGTACCCTAAAACTTAAAGTATAATTAAAAAATAATAATAATAATAGTAATAATAAAAAAAAAAGAAAAAAAAATTCAGACACACCTAAATGATTGTGAATGCTTTGAAAATTGTCATCCAAACCACAGCCCACAAAAGTAGGCCAGGACCTGTGTGATAAACCTAAATGGGGATATGCCTTCTAATGGCAAAGATTTCTGTAGGACCCAGAGTCTTGTAAGTTATAGTGAAAATATTGAGGATAAAATAAAAAATCACCCATCATACCAAAACCAAGAAAATCACAACTTGAATAAGAAAAAGGAATGACAACACTAAGATGAATCAGATTTGGAATTATCTGGCAAGGATTTTTAAAGCAAACATCATAAAAATGCTCTAACAAATAATTACAAAGTATCTTGAAACAAATGGAAAAAGAAAGAAAATATTAGCAAAAGAAATATAAATTATAAAGAAGAAACAAATGGAAAGTATAGAGCTGAAAAATACAATAATAGAAATTTAAAATTACTGGATGGGATGAATAACAGTGGAGATGACAGTAGGATAGAATCTGTGAGCTTAAGCATAGATCAATAGAATTTAGCCAATTTTACAACATAGAGGAAACAGAAACAAAATCAGCAAGCCTTAGGGACCTATTGGGAAGTAACAAAGAACCAACATTTGTATTGCTCGTGTTTGAGAAGGAGAAAGGGGGTGGCATTGAAAGAGTATCTGAAGAAGTAATGGCTGAAAACTTCCCAGATTTAGCCAAAAACTTAATCCTACAGATTCAAGAAGCTTTCTGAACCCCAAATAGTATCAACCCCCTCAAAATCTACTCTCAGACATGTCATAATTAAACTTATGAAAGCTAAAGACAAAGAAAATATCTTAAAAAGCATCCAGAGAGAAACAACACATAACCTATAGGGGAACACCAATTCAAGTAATAGCAGATTTCTCATTTAAAACCATGAAGCCCAGAAGGAAGTGGCAGAACACTTTTGAAGAGGTGGAAGAAAATGGCTGTAAAGTCTATATCCAGCAAAAGTATTCTTTAAGAATGAAGGGGAGGAGGTTCCAAGATGGCTGAATAGGAACAGCTCCAGTCTACAGCTCCCAGCATGAGTGATGCAGAAGATGGGTGATTTCTGCATTTCCAAATGAGGTACTGGGTTCATCTCTCTGGGGCTTGTCAGACATGGATGCAGGACAGTAGGTGCAACCCATGGACTGTGAGCCAAAGCAGGGTGAGGCATCACCTCACCTGGGAAGCGCAAGGGGTCGGGGAATTCTTTTTCCTAGCCAAGGGAAGCCATGACAGACGGCACCTGGAAAATCGGGCAACTCCCACTGCGCTTTTCCACCTAATACTGCGCTTTTCCAACGGTCTTAGCAAACGGCACACCAGGAGATTATGTCCTGTGCCTGGCTCGGGGGGTTCCACACCCACGGAACCTCGCTCATTGCTAGCACAGCAGTCTAAGATGGAACTGCAAAGCAGCAGCGAGGCTGGGGGAGGGGTGCCCACCATTGCTGAGGCTTGAGTAGGTAAACAAAGCAGCCCTGAAGCTCAAAATGGGTGGAGCCCACCACAGCTCAAGGAGTCCTGCCGGCCTCTGTAGACTCCACCTCTGGGGGCAGGGCATAGCTGAACGAAAGGCAGCAAAAACTTCTGCAGACTTAAATGTCCCTGTCTGACAGCGTTGAAGAGAGGAGTGGTTCTCCCAGCACGGAGTTTGAGATCTAAGAATGGACAGACTGCCTCCTCAAGAGGGTCCCTGACCCCCGAGTAGCCTAACTGGGAGGCATCTCCCAGTAGGGGCTGACTGACGCCTCATACGGCCGGGCGCCCCTCTGAGACGAAGCTTCCAGAGGAACGATCAGGCAGCAACATTTGCCTTTCTGCAATATTTGCAGTTCTGCAGTCTGCACTGGTGATATCCAGGCAAAGAGTGTCTGGAGTGGACCTCCAGCAAACTCCAACAGACCTGCAGCTGAGGTTCCTGACTGTTAGAAGGAAAACTAACAAACAGAAAGAACATTCACACCAGAACCCCGTCTGACGTCACCATCATCAAAGACCAAAGGTAGATAAAACCACAAAGATGGGGAGAAACCAGAGCAGAAAAGCTGAAAATTCTAAAAATCAGAGTGCCCCTTCTCCTCCAAAGGAACGCAGCTCCTCGCCAGCAATGGAACAAAGCTGGACGGAGAATGACTTTGACGAGTTGAGAGAAGAAGGCTTCAGATGATTGGTAATAACAAACTTCTGTGAGCTGAAGGAGAATGTTCGAACCCATCGCAAAGAAGCCAAAAACCTTGAAAAAAGATTAGACGAATGGCTAACTAAAATAAACAGTGTATAGAAGACTTTAAATGACCTGTTGGAGCTGAACACCATGGCATGAGAACTGCGTGACACATGCACAAGCTTCAGTAGCCGATTCGATCAAGTAGAAGAAAGGGTGTCAGTGATTGAAGATCAGATGAATGAAATGAAGCGAGAAGAGAAATTTAGAGAAAAAAGAAAGAAATGAGCAAAGCCTCCAAGAAATATGGGACTATATGAAAAGACCAAATCTACGTCTGATGGGTGTACCTGAAAGTGACGGGGAGAATGGAACCAAGTTGGAAAACACTCTTCAGGATATTATCCAGGAGAACTTCCCCAACCTAGCAAGGAAGGCCAACATTCAAATTCAGGAAATACAGAGAACACCACAAAGATACTCCTCGAGAAGAGCAACTCCAAAACACATAATTGTCAGATTCACCAAAGTTGAAATAAAGGAAAAAATGTTAAGGGCAGCCAGAGAGAAAGGTCGGGTTACCCACAAAGGGAAGCCCATCAGACTAACAGCGGATCTCTCGGCAGAAACTCTACAAGCCAGGAGAGAGTGGGGTCCAATATTCAGTACTCTTCAACAAAAGAATTTTCAACCCAGAATTTCATATCCATCCCAACTAAGCTTCATAAGTGAAGGAGAAATAAAATCCTTTACAGACAAGCAAATGCTGAGAGATTTTGTCACCACCAGGCCTGCCTTACAAGAGCTCCTGAAGGAAGCACTAAACATGGAAAGGAACAACTGCTACCAGCCACTGCAAAAACATGCCAAATTGTAAAGACCATCGATGCTAGGAAGAAACTGCACCAAGTAACAAGCAAAATAACCAGCTAACATCATAATGACAGGATCAAATTCACACATAACAATATTAACCTTAAATGTAAATGGATTAAATGCTCCAATTAAAAGACACAGACTGGCAAATTGGATAGAGTAAAGACCCATCAGTGTGCTGTATTCAGGAGACCCATCTCACGTGCAGAGACACGCATAGGCTCAAAATAAAGGGATGGAGGAAGATCTACCAAGCAAATGGAAAAAAAAAAAAAAAGCAGGGGTTGCAATCCTAGTCTCTGATAAAACAGACTTTAAACCAACAAAGATCAGAAGAGACAAGGCCATTATATAATGGTAAAGGGATCAATTCAACAAGAAGAGCTAACTATCCTAAATATATATGCACCCAATATAGGAGCACCCAGATTCATAAAGCAAGTCCTTAGAGACCTACAAAGAGACTTAGACTCCCACACAATAATAATGGGAGACTTTAACACCCCACTGTCAACATTAGACAGATCAGTGAGACAGAAAGTTCACAAGGATATCCAAGAAGTTAACTCAGCTCTGCACCAAGCGAACCTAATAGACATCTACAGAACACTCCACCCCAAATCAACAGAATATACATTCTTCTCAGCACCACATTGCACTTATTCCAAAATTGACCACATAGTTGGAAGTAAAGCACTCCTCAGCAAATGTAAAAGAACAGAAATTATAACAAACTGTCTCTCAGACCACAGTGCAGTCAAACTGGAACTCAGGATTAAGAAACTCACTAAAAACCACTCAAGTACATGGAAACTGAACAACCTGCTCCTGAGTGACTAATGGGTAAATAACAAAATGAAGGCAGAAATAAAGATGGTCTGTGAAACCAACGAGAACAAAGACACAACATACCAGAATCTCTGGGACACATTTAAAGTAGTGTGTAGAGGGAAATTTATAGCACTAAATGCCCACAAGAGAAAGCAGGAAAGATCTAAAATTGACACCCTAATATCACAATTAAAAGAACAAGAGAAGCAAGAGCAAACACATTCAAAAGCTAGCAGAAGGCAAGAAATAACTAAGATCAGAGCAGAACTGAAGGAGATAGAGACACAAAAAACCCTTCAAAAAATCAATGAATCCAGGAGCTGGTTTTCTGAGAAGATCAACAAAATTGATAGACTGCTAGCAAGACTAATAAAGAAGAAAAGAGAAGAATCAAATAGACGTAATGAAAAATGATAAAGGGGATATCACCACCAATCCTACAGAGATACAAACTACCATCTGAGAATACTGTAAACACCCCTAAGCAAATAAACTAGAAAATCTAGAAGAAATGGATAAATTCCTCGACACATACACCCTCCCAAGACTAAACAGGAAGAAGTTGAATTTCTGAATAGACTAATAACAGGCTGTGAAATTGAGGCAATAATTAAGAGCCTACCAACCAAAAAAAGTCCAGGACCAGACGGAGTCACAGCTGAATTCTACCAGAGGTACAAAGAGGAGCTGGTACTGTTCCTTCTGAAACTATTCCAATCAATAGAAAAAGAGGGAATCCTCCCTAACTGATTTTATGAGGCCAGCAGCATCCTGATACCAAAGCCTGCCAGAGACACAACAAAAAATAATTTTAGACCAGTATCCCTGATGAACATCGATGCAAAAATCCTGAATAAAATACTGGCAAACCGAATCCAGCAGCACATCAAAAAGCTTATCCACCATGATCAAGTGCGCTTCATCCCTGGGATGCAAGGCTGGTTCAACATACACAAATCAATAAATGTAATCCATGATATAAAGAGAACCAAAGACAAAAACCACATGATTATCTCAATAGATGCAGAAAAGGCCTTTGACAAAATTCAGCAGCCCTTCATGCTAAAAACTCTCAATAAATTAGGTATTGATGGGATGTATCTCAAAATAATAAGAGCTATGTATGACAAACCCACAGCCAATATCATACTGAATGGGCAAAAACTGGAAGCATTCCCTTTGAAAAACAGCACAAGACAGGGGTGCCTCTCTCTCACCACTCCTGTTCAACATAGTGTTGGAAGTTCTGGTCAGGGCAGTCAGGCAGGAGAAAGAAATAAAAGGTATTCAGTTAGGAAAAGAGGAAGTCAAATTGTCCCTGTTTGCAGATGACATGATTGTATATCTAGAAAACCCCATCATGTCAGCCCCAAATCTCCTTAAGCTGATAAGCAACTTCAGCAAAGTCTCAGGATACAAAAGCAATGTGCAGAAATCACAAGCATTCTTATACACCATTAACAGACAAACAGCCAAATCATGAGTGAACTCCCATTCATGATGGCTTCAAAGAGAATAAAATACCTAGGAATCCAACTTGTGAGGGATGTGAAGGACCTCTTCAAGGAGAACTACAAACCACTGCTCAACGAAGTAAAAGAGGACACAAACAAGTGACAATACTGCCCAAAGTCATTTATAGATTCAATGCCATCCCCAACAAGCTAGCATTGACTTTCTTCACAGAATTGGAAAAAACTACTTGAAAGTTCATGTGGAACCAAAAAAGAGCCCACATTGCCAAGACAATCCTAAGCCAAAAGAACAAAGCTGGAGGCATCATGCTATCTGACTTCAAACTATACTGCAAGCCTACAGTAACCAAAACAGCATGGTACTGGTACCAAAACAGAGATATAGACCAATGGAACAGAACAGAGTCCTCAGAAATAGTACCACACATCCACAACCATCCAGTCTTTGACAAACCTGATAAAAACAAGAAATAGGGAAAGGATTGCCTATTTAATAAATGGTATTGAGAAAACTGGCTAGCCATATGTAGAAAGCTTTAACTGGATCCCTTACTTACACCTTATACAAAAATTAATTCAAGATGGATTAAAGACTTAAACGTTAGACCTAAAACCGTAAAAACCCTAGAAGAAAACCTAGGCAATACCATTCAAGACATAGGCATGGGCAAGGACTTCATGGCTAAAACACCAAAAGCAATGGCAACAAAAGCCAAAGTTGACAAATGGGATCTAATTAAACTAAAGAGCTTCTGCACAGCAAAAGAAACTACCATCAGAATGAACAGGCAACCTACAGAATGGGAGAAAATTTTCGCACTCTATCCATCTGACAAAAGGGCTAATATCCAGAATCTACAAGGAACTTAAACAAATTTACAAGAAAAAAATCAAACAACCCCATCAAAAAGTGAGCAAAGGATATGAACAGACACTTCTCGAAAGAAGACATTTATGCAGCCAACAGACACTTGAATGCTCATCATCACTGGCCATCAGAGAAATGCAAATCAAAACCACAATGAGATACCATCTCACACCAGTTAGAATGGTGATCATTAAAAAGTCAGGGAACAACAGGTGCTGGAGAGGATGTAGAGAAATAGGAACACTTTTACACTGTTGGTGGGACTGTAAACTAGTTCAACCATTGTGGAAGACAGTATGGTGATTGCTGAAGGATCTGGAACTAGAAATACCATTTGACCCAGCCATCCCATTACTGGGTATATACCCAAAGGATGATAAATCATGCTGCTATAAAGACACATGCACATGTATGTTTATTGCGGCACTATTCACAATAGCAAAGACTTGGAACCAACCCAGATGTCCATCAGTGATAGACTGGATTAAGAAAAAGTGGTACATATACACCATGGAATACTATGCAGCCATAAAAATGGATGAGTTCATGTCCTTTGTAGGGACATGGATGAAGCTGGAAACCATCATTCTGAGCAAGCTATCGCAAGGACAGAAAACCAAACACCGCATGTTCTTACTCATAGGTGGGAATTGGATAGTGAGAACACTTGGACACAGGAAGGGGAACATCACACACCGGGGCTTGTAGTGGGGTGGGGGAGTGGGGAGGGATAGCTAGCATTGGGAGATATACCTGATGTAAATGAGGAGTTGATGGGTGCAGCACACCAGCATGGCACATGTATACATATGTAACAAACCTGCACATTGTGCACATGTACCCTAGAACACAAAATATAATAATAAAAAAAAAGAATGAAGGGGAAAACATTGTGAAATGAAGGAAAACAAAAGAATCTGTCAGTAAGAGATTTACCTTGCAAGAAAGACAAAAGGAAGTTCTTTAAACCAGGCGTCACCAACCAGTACCGGTCTGTGGCCTGTTAGGAACTGGGCCACATAGCCGGAGATGAGCAGTGGGCAGATGAGCATTACCACCTGAGCTCTGCCTCTTGTCAGATCAGCCACCACATTAGATTCTCATAGGAGCACAAATCCTATGGTGAACTGCACATGCAAGGGATTTGGGGTTGTACGCTCCTTATGAGAATCTAAGGCCTGATGATCTGTGGTGAACAGTTTCATTCTGAAACCATCTCCTCGCACCCCTACCCAGTCTGTGGAAAAATTGTGTTCCACGAAACCTGTCCCTGATGCCAAAAAGGTTAGGGAACCCCTGCTTTAAACAGAAAGGAAATTATAAAAGAAGGACTCTTGAAGTAACAGGAAGGAAGAAAGAACAATGAAACAGGAAGAAATAGTGGGAGAATGCAATAGACTATCCTTCTTGTGAGTTTCATGAATCATATTTGATGATTGCAACAAAAATTATAACATCATCTGATACTCAAGACAAGACAATTATACTTAAAAGTAAGCAAGGTAGAGACCTAACTAGTAGTAAGGTTTTCACACTTCACTCAAAGTGGTAAAATGTTGATACCAGTAGACGGTGATAAGTCACATATGTACATTGTATTGCCAAGGGCAACCGCTAAGAAAACTTTATATAGTAATACACTCAGAAACTCTATAAATTAATCAAGATGGAATCATAAAAATATTCTAATAACCCCAGAAAAGCAAGAAAAAACAGAGGAACAAGGAACAGAAGAAACAAACACAAAACAAATAATAAAACAGCAAACTTATGGCCTGACAGAAGTATTTACCTTAAAAGGATACAATATGAAGAAAAGTAAAAATTGACCATGAAAAAAAGATTTGTCTATGAAAATGATTTTTTTTTACATGAGGTATTCCTGTTGTCATTGGAGATATTTATGAGTAGATTCTAATTACCTTGTATTGTTAAAGTGAAAGTCACACTGTACTCTCAGTAAATTTGTGATTTGTTCTTTCCTAATTTCAACAGTTTTTAAACAGTATTGAGGAAAGGTTACTTGCAAACAAAAATTGTTTTTGTGTGTGTTCCATTTGAATATGTAAATATTATAAGGAACATTTAGAATCACAATAATCAGAGAATTCAGATTAAAACAGCAATTAGAGGTTTTTTTGCCTATCAGATAGGGATTAATTAAATTCATAGTTGCTAATTGTAATGGGATATGGAAAAATAGGTGCTGTTATATACAATTAGAAGTGTAGATTTGATCAACATATTCTAAGGCAGTTTTAGAGGAATGACCTTATTTTAACATGTTAATTTGCATTCAGCAATTCAGATTATGGGAAGCTGTGTATAGGAAATATGCTTAATTGTTCACAGTAACATATATAGACAGGTGTTTATTTTAGTGGTATTTGCAGGGGAGAAAGGCTAGAAATAGTTGGGCTATGCCCTGGTATCAGGAAATGTTTTAAAGTGAAAACTAATACATATTAACACTTCATAAGAAAAAAAATTCCGCAAAGAGCAGACATTATTTAGCTAGCTTGGTGTAATGTTCATAATATTTCTCAGTTCCAAAATGTATTGGGGATACTTTAATAAACAGTTTTGTTGTGAACTCATTAATTTGAATAATTATTAATTGCAAACATACCCAAATGTAAGTTCAAGGTACAACAACAACAACAAAAAACAAAAGTAACATTTAATTTACTGTTCTGATTACTAGTCCATTTATTTCTATGGGTAATCGAGTTGAACATCATATGTATGTTTTTTCAGAGAGTAAAAATCATCTCATGTTTACATCGGTGACATATTTCTTCTAAATTAAAAAATTTTTTTCTACCAATTTTTTAAGGCCTTGCCTGATGCTACCCTGTCTGTGAGGTTTTTGTTAATTATTCATCTTTAAGTTATCGCTATCTCTTTTGAACTATAACATATTTTTCTTTATTTTTATCTCATCATTTTCCATAATATTAATAGTAATAATACTTTTTGTGCTTTAAATCATACATTATACACTGCTTTATTTGCTTTACATATATTATCAGATTTCTCATATTAGCCCATAATAAGGTAGACATTACTATCCTGATTTTACATTGAAGAAACTAAAATATTCAGAGGTTAAGTAAATTACTCAAGGTCACACAGGTAAGATTAAAGTTTAGGTTTCAAATTCAGGTATGTTTGCTACAAAACCTTGTCACTGTGTTAGACTGCCTCTAAAGTGAGTAAGGTAAATGAAATAAATGCTTTGTATGTTTAAAATTTTGTTATAAAGGAAAGGAAATAATGAATTAATGAAATGTTCAAATTACAGACTTTAAAGTAAATACAGATTTCGTTTTATACTAGTCATAAGGTAATTCAGTGTTAGTAGTTAATACCATTAAATATAATGTGATAATCAGCTAGCGAAAAAGAAAAAAATTAAAGTTCACGGTTATTTGCTACATATATATATATATAAATTTTAAGTTAGAATTATACCATTTGTTATATCATTTATGCCATGTACAAATGAATGAAAATTTCACTTTTTTTCTTTCTAGAATTCTGGAGGTGGAAATGGAGTTGATCTTTCAGTGCTAAATGAGGCTCGCAATATGGTGTCAGATCTTCTGACTGATCCAAGCCTTCCACCACAAGTCATTTCCTCTCTACGGAGTATTAGTAGCTTAATGGGTGCTTTCTCAGGTTCCTGTAGGCCAAAGATTAATCCTCTCACACCATTTCCTGGATTTTACCCCTGTTCTGAAATAGAGGACCCAGCTGAGAAAGGGGATAGAAAACTTAACAAGGTCGAAATACAGTAATCATCTAACCCTATTTATCAAATTTAATGATATTTTCAAATTAACTGCTCCTTTAAATTCTATATAGAATACAATTTTCGTTTCAAGGATCAGACATAATATTGAGCTGCTTGGGATGTTAGAGGCAATTATAAGCTCAAATAATTATAGTTGAGTATTCAGTTTTTATTTTAAATACATTGCTGTGATTAGCACTTATAACAACTATGTATTATTATTCTTGTTAAGAAGTAGAGAACAGCAAGCAAATTTTGTTCCAGGCTTGTACAACAAACTAGTAGTCAGATCACGTTATTGCTCTATTTTATTCTTTAGAATCTAGGAATTGTTCTTGTTGAGCCAAGAAGAAATGGTCATTATCATATTCATTTTATGAATTACATAGAATTATTTTAAAATGATTTTTAAGTTTTTTGAACCCTGTTTTCCCCCTTTTACACCTACTGAAGATTACTGTAGCCCAGTAGGCATTGATTTTTATATCATTAGAATAGAGGATTAATTTCTCTTTAAAATATAAATATTTCAAAATAGGATTTTCTTTAGAAAATAATAAATACTGTTCTAAATGGGTATGCATTATCCTTGTTCAGAGTGCTTTTACTTGTTTTATTTGACTATTATCAGTATCTTTGCCAATAGCTAAAATCATAAAACTTTAAAACTAGAAACATTGTAGAAATTATTTTACTCAACCACTTTATTCCAGATAAGGAAACTAACCAAGAGAAGACAAAATTTATTTCAGTTAATTTTGTCAATTGTAATAATGCTTATAGAACTTAGAAATAGGTAAATATAGTTTTTGTAGGGATTTTGATCATCAGTTAATTTTATCAGTTGTCAGCATTAGGGTTTAGAAATGTTGAAAAGTTAAGCAAACCCAGTTAGAGGAAAAGGATTTCAGAAGTATTGATCACAATCTGGATCATTGTTATGTGATACTTTTATTTTTTTAAAGTTTATGCAGTAGCACCTACATTAGTCAAAACCCAATTAATTAGTACTTAGTTACATGACTTCCTTTTTAGCACTCTATCTTATAAGAAAGAGGTTAATCACAAGCATTCAGAGGGCATAGCAATAAACCATAAATAAAATAACTCTAATGTATTCTTGAGTTAGTTTTCACTCTATATGTTACTCTTTCTTTGCATTTTCTGTTGATATTTGATACTCAGGATAGTAATTTTTAAAAATAGTAATTCTTAAAATTTTTAATCAGAAATCATATTGATATCAGTATTTAGTGTGTAGAAAAGTGTACTGGTACATTTTAGGAATATTTTAAACATAATATTAATTAAACAGGATGCCTAAATGCCTCATTTCCTGAGCATTGTAGTTAATCAAGGAAGGTTATTTTGGGTTCTGGAATCTACTGATAGAGTAAGTCATATAAGAACCAGGAAGTAACCCTTATTCCTTTTCTTTGTGTTCTTTAAACTCGTTATTAGAACTCTATATCGAATTTGTCTCTCCTTTTGGAAAAGCATATAAAAAGCCTGTTGTTACTTCAGAAAAGGGCAAAGGCATTTATTGAAAAAACAATAGGCAAAAGGGAAAAGGAACAGACAACTTGATATAACTATCTTATACACATTAAGAACAAAGAAAGATCATATGAACCTAAATGACACTCAACAAGGATATTAACATAAAGGACTTTTTCACTGCAGGTCTAATTAACTATTAACCTTTACAAAATCAGTGTCCTTGGGAAAACTGAAATATAAGACAGATACTTATCTCTGAGATTGCTGCAGTGTCTGCTGATAGAGGAAATTCATAAGAAGCAGAAACTATTATGTAAATCTCAGTAAAACACTTATTTATAATGGTCAAAAATGGAATATTGGTAATTGAACATTTGGGTTAGTTGAGAATATTTTTTAAAATTAGGGCAAAATATTAATGCTAAAGGTGTTCTGTATTTAACTCAGTCATTTATTCAAACCCAGAATCCTGCAGTTTCTCCTGATTAACAGCTAAGTAAATTCTATAGCACTGTACTGAAAATATAAAAAATTTAGAATATAGGGCTGATCATCCCTGATCCTAAGATTGTCCTCTGAAGTTGATTTTCAGGGTAAATCTTTCATATCCACTTTTTAAATTGCCGATTGTTTCTTATGAAACAAGTAGTAAAATGTACAAAAGAAAAAGAATCTAGCTTAAATTATAGAGTTCAGACATATTTTTTAGTAGGAGGAAGAGGAATAGAATAACAAAATAGAGTGTGAAATTTGGAGTAAATTGACAGATTTTCAGAATAAAATGTTTCTTTTTTCTCTGTACATGTTAAAAATATACTTTGTATTGATACTTTCATGTGCCATCACTAATATTACATATATAGCATATTAAAGAGTGACATTTTAAACCATTGTTAAATTATTCAACAGGGACTAAATAGGAATAGTTTGCCAACTCCACAGCTGAGGAGAAGCTCAGGAACTTCAGGATTGCTACCTGTTGAACAGTCTTCAAGGTGGGATCGTAATAATGGCAAAAGACCTCACCAAGAATTTGGCATTTCAAGGTAAAATCTGCAGAGCCTTTTAAGAAACTTGAATCAAATGCATCTACTTTGTTTCTGTCAATAATGTTTCAAATAGTTCTGGAAGCAGAAAGGAATGGTTGAAGTATTTTAGGTATAGGACAACATGTGTAGTAATAATATGGTAAAATAGAGAAACTGATTATTAAAGAGAAGCTAATGTGTCTTGTCCTAAAACTTTGATAGGCTGGGTACAAAATGTGCTGGATCCCTGAGAACATGAGATAGTTTAGGGAAATCAGGATCAACTCAGGACTGGATGCTGGGGAAGTTTTTAAATCGATAGAAGTGGCCATTACAGGGTTAGCCACCAATCCAATGAATAGTATCCAAAGGTAGGTCTGCAGAATTACTGACTTCTGAAAAGAGGAGCACGTTTCCAAGGCTCATCACAATTGTTAGGTTTAAGGTAACCAGACTTTCAAATCCTGTTCCTGCTGGAGGTTGAGACAACTAATATATTCTATATTCTGTTGAGGATTTACTTGGAACTGAACAATGCTAATCTTATAAATGAAAGGCATCAGTAACTTTAAGTAAATGAGGCTGGGAAAATGCAGGAGCTGAAATCTCCCGAATGTAAATATATACATTTACCCTGATAACAAAGGATTTAATAATACAGTACTTTGTCTTTTGAAAGCCAGGAAGGATACTGATCCTTGTGTGAGTTTGTCATAAGTTTTTTCTTTACTCAGCTTTCTAATTATGTTAATATAATATTGGAATTGGCACAAATTCTGTGTTAACCATTTTCTGGTATTACTGAGCATGTTTTATACTTTTGAGCTGTATAGTTTCACATTTGAAACAGTAGATGGCAGGATTGGATCATAGCTATTTGTTAAAGTTTATGTTAACAGATAATTAGATGATTATAATTTTCTAGATTCTTAGGTGGTTTATTAATTTGAATCTTGTATAATATATTCAAGCAGGTGAACTCCTTTTTTGTAAAAGAAAAATTGAATGAAGTGATGTCTAAAACAGGAATGGATTGAAGTATGAAGAGTACTGTACAGGAAAATGAGCATTGGTCCAAAATTTGCCATGGCCTGAACATCATAGTCTTTTTTTTTTTTTTGTAAAGGAAGCAGGATATAGGGAAGTGAATGATGTTAGGAACAGAAAATGTGACAGTATTTCTTAACTATGGGTAGCATTATCTTGAGAATATAGTTGGGTTTTAAAAGGTATGATAAAAATGTTTTATATTTTAACCTTTCATACTGATGTAACAGCAATGCATTTGCAGTTAAAGAAACATTTGATACATTGAGTTAAGGTCATTTTTATCCTGCTGCCTCAGATAATTGATTACAATAGAAACATAGTTCAGAGAAAACTAATCTTTAACTCTGAAAAGTGTTTATTATATAAAGCTAAATGTAGGTAGATTCTATGTAGTGACTTAACTCATTAAAACAAAATTTATGCCTCATAAAATATTTAGAAATTTGGAGAATAAATTAATTGGTGGTATTATGTACGTCTATTTTAAAGAGACCAGGCTAGATGTATCTTTTCTAGTTTGCAGAAGCTGGAGCCTCTTGGTAATAAATGTCTATGTGTACTTTGCACATAGGTGGGTTACGATGGGAATATATGAAACATTTACAACCACTATTCCTTTTCAGATTCAAATCTCTGGATCAGTGCTGTCTAATAGAAATTTTTGCAATGATGGAAATAGTTTATATCTGCACTGTCTAATATGGTACTCCCTAGCTACATGTGACTGTTAATCATTTGAAATGTGTCTAGCATGACTAAGGAACTGACTTTTAAATGTGATTTAATTCTTATTAATTTCATTCAGATATAAAGAGCCATATGTGACTGTTTTGTAGACATATGTGACATCCATATTAGTGCAGCTCTAGATCTTTAATGCGTAGTGATGTTTTGTTCAGGAATCTTTAGACTTTAGTAGCACAAAACTCATAGACTTATGACTCTGAAATCATCTTGACTTTATATTATAGTACTCCAGAATCGAGATCTCATATCCTTGATTTTGAGTCTTGAGCTTTGGATTCTGATCACAGTTTGCCTGACTGATTTCAGCATGATTCCGGTGTTGAACCTCTCATTTCCTGAGCCTATGCCTGATACCAGGTTTCTCATCATTCCAGCTGCTTTTTTGTCTGTTACTATTGTTCTGCCCTTATTTCCCCGCACAATGCTGCTATCCTCTAGTGGAGTGGTTGCTTACAAAATTGATTTACTTAGAGACTTGGTGTTATCTTTGCATCCTGTTACCTTATTCTACAGATAACAGTTGTCAGATATCTGTCTGCATTATCTTTTACTCTCTATTCTTCTCCTTTATCACTGTGCCTATACTATTTTATGCTTTCATTACTACTTACTTGGGCTATTGAATTAGCCTCTTAATTCCAGTTTCCAGTATCCTTCTTGACTTTATTAATCTTCCACCTTACACTAGAAATCTTCCTTAAATAAAACTGTGATTGCAGTTGTCCCTGGTTATCCCTGGGGGATTGGTTCCAGGCCCCTCCCCTTCCCATGGGTACAAAAATCCATGGATGCTTGAGTCCTTTATATAAAATGGTGTAGTATTTACATATTCTCTCTACACATCCTTTCATGTACTTTAAATCACCTCCAGATTATTTATAATACCTAAGGCAATGTAAATGCTATGTAAAGAGTTGTTATACTCTATTTTTTACTTGTATTTTTTTATTACTGTGTTTTTTTTCCTTGAATATTTTTGATTTGGGGTTGGTTAAATCTGTGGATGTAGAAACCTCACATACAGAGAGCTGACTATGTATAGTTTGTCTAGTCATTGCATTTTTGGACTCTTTACCAGTCCTATAGAATAACGCCCAAATTCCTAGTGTAGAATGTGAAACCCAATTATTACCTCATGACAGAGCTGCAG
Source organism: Homo sapiens (assembly GCF_000001405.40). NCBI lineage: Eukaryota > Metazoa > Chordata > Mammalia > Primates > Hominidae > Homo > Homo sapiens. The sequence goes on from NC_000011.10 coordinate 14,792,172, forward strand.
CCCTTACTTGGAAAAAGTAAATGAACTAACACAGATGAGCAGTCTTTCAAATAATGAGAATAGAAAAATGATATGGAAAGCTTTCTAGGTAAAAACAGTAGGCATGTAACTTGTTTAAGACTCTTCCTTGATGTTTTCTGGTAATTTTGTTCTTGGTTTAACACCATTTGAAAATTAAGCTAAATTATGTTTCAAAATAATTAAAATACAAACAATGAAATATATATAAGGTATTTGGATAAAAAGTAATACCCTATTTGTGTAAAGAATAATACAGGATTTAATTTTGCTTTTATTCATGCTTTGCCTAGAGAAAAAAATTAAGTATTATAACCCTGGGAGCTATGATAAAAATAATCAGAAGAAAGAAAACCACAGGGAAGAAGAGTTAGTCCCCCATTGAACAGCGACCCTGTTCTTATTGTTAAGAGTTTATTATTGTTCATCTGTTAGAGGACTTGAGATTTTACTAATTAAGGAGGCCATTCCTTTACAACACCAAAATATGTTTCCAACATCACCTTCCTCTAGTCTTCTGAAATTCTAGTCAAGCTGAACTATTTGATCTTCTCTCTGTCCATCTGTGCACCCTTTTAATTTAAAAAGCAATTTAACTGGAATAGATCTCAACTTCAGTTCTGTATATCCTTAGTTGGGCTCATAAATCACCTTATAAGGATAACACCTGGAGGTCCTTCTCCCTTCTCCAAGGAGAAGTACTCTTTTCTTCCTCTGAATTTCCATAACACATTCTCTTACGGCGCTTTTCACATTTGACTTTATGTCAGCCATTACTACTCCTCTAAAGCCTGTTTAAGTTCTGTAAAGAGTTCGAGATTGCATTAAAATGAATCTTTGAAGACAAATGGCTGCTTAACAAGTGTCCTGCAGAGGTATGGTATCCATATGAGATTATGACCCTTAATCTTGCCTTCTGCTTAAGTTTCAGATCTGGGATGAGATTTCTGTGGTCAGAAAGTTCCAGGAAAGGTTGTTTTCTGGATTTGCTGATGATAAAATTACCCATCTCTGAGTTCTAGTTTTAGTACAGGTTGAATATCCCTTATCTGAAAGTCTTGGGACCAGAAGTGTTTCAGATTTCAGGTTTTGGAATATTTGCCTATGCATAATGTTGTATCTTGGGGATACAACCCAATATTCATTTATATTTCATATACACATAGCCTGAACGTGATTTTATATAATATTTTAAATAATTTTATGCGTGAAACAAAGTTTTGACTATATTTTAACTGTGACCCATCTCATGTGGTCAAGTGTGGAATTTTCCATTTGCAGAGTCATGTTTATACTCAAGAAATTTTGAATTTTGGAGCATTTTGGATTTGGGATGCTCAACCTATACTTAGAGTTAAAAGAAGACTGAACTGCTATTTTTGAACTGAGTGATGGGACCCAGCCTTCTCTGAGGTCAAACAGCATATATTCAGGGCTCACAGGTCACTCTTTTTGAACAGGTTTTCCCTGGGGAAAAAAATAGGCAAGTTGTGTTCAATTACCCTGTGGGCTATCAATTATAGTTACCTCCTACACTAAAGAGACTTGCTTTTAAACCCATGAGTCACCATTTATCTTCACCGCTACTGTGTAATGAAATCTAATAACTCGTTGCCTGGCAATAGTATGTATGTTAAATTCTGTGCCTTATAATTTATCAGAGACTTACACCAAGGTTATATTAGCAAACTTGACCCTATTTGAACCCCAGCAATTCAAGAGGGCTAATTGTGTCATCCTACTCAGCTTCTTAAGAGAATAACTCTGTAAATTTAGACATCTACAGTTATCAAGTTTATACAACTGCATTGAAACTGAGTTGGTACAGACCTTGTTAAGGTAATTTGTATTGACTGTCTAGAAGTCAGCTCTTAAAATATAGCTTAGCTCAGGGACCATAACTTTTGACGTCTCTTGTTCGTTTGCTTTTGACAACTCATTCCCAAGTGAGTAGAAAAAGAAAAACAAACTCAATTTCTTCCACCATACTCTGACAGCACATTTCTGATACCAGATGTGTGGGGATTTCTCCCCACCAGCAAGCAAGCGAGCAAGCAAGCAGGCAAGCAAGCAATTCTGTAGTAGACATAAGCTAGGTGTCCTATAATTCAATTATTTCTTTTTCTTTTCTTTTTTTTTTTTTTTGAGACAGAGTCTCACTCTGTTGCCCAGGCTGGAGTGCAGTGGCACGATCTCTGCCCACTGCAGTCTCTGCCTCCTGGGATCAAGCAATTCTTCCTCAACCTCCTGAGTAGTTGGGACTACAGGCACATGCCACCATGCCCAGCTAATTTTTGTATTTTTAGTAGAGACGGGGTTTCACCATGTTGGCCAGGCTGGTCTCGAACTCCTGACCTCAGGTGATCTGCCTGCCTCGGCCTCCCAAAGTGCTGGGATTACAGGCATGAGACACCATGCCCAGCCTAATTCCATTATTTCTGACACCATCTACCTGGAGATAGCGTCAGATCATACTGGTTAAGGACTCAGTCCGACAAGACTGATCTCCACTTCTGATGCCAATAGCAAGCCTCAGGTTATTTTGCCTGTGCTTCTGACCAACCAGCTGTAAATCAGGGTTCCCACAGCCCCCTCCCTGGGTTCAGGTAATTTGCTAGAGCAGCTCACAGAACTCAAGGAAGCATGTTTACTGGCTTATTACAAATAATATTTTAAAGGATACAAATCAACAGCCAGATGAGGAGATACAAAGGACAGGTCTGGAAGGGGCCTGAGTACAGGAGCTTCTGCCCCTGTGGAGTTGGAGTATACCACCTTCCTTGCTTGTGGACATGTTCTTGTTCACTTTCCTGGAAGCCCCCACGTGTTTGGCTATTCACAAGCTCCTCAGACCCAGTCCTTTCTGGATTTTTATAGGAGCTTCATTTTATAGGCATGATTGAGTAAATCATTGGCCATTGGTGAGCAATTTAAGCTTTAGTCCCTCTCCTCTCTCTGGAGGTTGGGTAGTGGGGCTGAAAACCCCCATCATCTAATCCTGTCTTGGTCTTTCAAGTGACTAGCCTCTATCCTGAAGCTACCTAGAAGCTGCCAGCCATCAGTCAACTCATTAGCATACAAAAAGACACTTTGGAGATCCTCAGGAGTTTAGGAGTTGTATGCTAGGAAACAGGGACTGGACTAAAACCAAATATGTATTTCACAATATCACACCAAGTCTGACTTTAATCACCTTCCTGCCAACTATTAGTAGTCATTGGAACTACTCGTCTGCTTGTCTTCTGCTTTCTTCGTATTGATTTATGTAATTTCATTGAGGTGTGTATTTATCTGGTGCTGGGCCAGGACATGATGGGAAGATTCGGGAACTAATCTGAGAACCTATCATTTGACCTGTAACTCTTAATTCTAAATAGCTAAATGAATGTATGATATACTGAAATTATTGAAAGACCCTGGATCAAGGTAGAAGACAGTGGAGCAGTGCTGTGGTGCCATTCTGAAAGGAGAAATCTCTCTTTGTCTTGACTATTAATCATAGAATCAGGGAGTGGGCTTTGGTAGAATACACAGATTTTTCTCTTTTTTTGTTTTCTTTCTTTTTTATTTTAAACTAGAAGCTTTTAGAGTGTGTTTGTATGCTGTGAATGATATGGACAAGAAGAATATGAGATTTAATTTTGTTTGCATGTCTAAGTGTTTGAAAGCTCAATTCATTATCTTATTATTATTATTATCATTATACTTTCAGTTCTGGGGTACATGTGCAGAATGTGCAGTTTTGTTACATAGGTATACACGTGCCATGGTGGTTCACTGCACCCATCAACCCGTCACCTACATTAGATATTTCTCCTAATGCTATCCCTCCTCTAGTCCCCCACCCCCCGACAGGCCCTGGTGTGTGATGTTCCCCTCCCTTTGTCCATGTGTTCTCATTGTTCAACTCCCACTTATGAGTGAGAACATGTGGTGTTTGGTTTTCTGTTCTTGTGATAGTTTGCTGAGAATGATGGTTTCCAGCTTCATCCATGTCCCTGCAAAGGACATGAACTCTTCCTTTTTTATGGCTGCGTAGTATTCCGTGGTGTGTATGTGCCACATTTTCTTTATCCAGTCTATCATTGATGGACACTTCGGTTGGTTCCAAGTCATTGCTATTGTGAATAGCAATAAATATACATGTGCATGTGTTTTTATAATAGAATGCTTCATAATCCTTTGGGTGTATACCCAGTAATGGGATTGCTGAGTCAAATGGTATTTCTTGTCCTAGATCCTTGAAGAATCGCCACACTGTCTTCCACAATGGTTGAACTAATTTACACTCACCAACAGTGTAAAAGTATTCTTATTTCTCCACATCCTCTGCAGCATCTGTTGTTTCCCGACTTTTTAATGATCGCCATTCTAACTGGCATGAGATGGTATCTCATTGTGGTTTTGATTTGCATTTCTGTAAGGACCAGTGATAATGATCATTTTTCATATGTTTGTTGGCTGCATAAATGTCTTCTTTTGAGAAGTGTCTGTTCATATCTTTTGCCCACTTTTTGATGGGGTTGTATTTTTCTTGTAAATTTGTTTAAGTTCTTTGTAGATTCTGGATATTAGCCCTTTGTCAGATGGATAGAGTGTAAAAATTTTCTCCTATTCTGTAGGTTGCCTGTTCACTCTGATGGATGGTAGTTTCTTTTGCTGTGCAGAAGCTCTTTAATTAGATCGCATTGGTCAATGTTGCCTTTTGTTGCCATTGCTTTTGGTGTTTTAGACATGAAGTCTTTGCCCATGCCTGTGTCCTGAATGGTATTGCCTAGGTTTTCTTGTAAGATTTTTGTGGTTTTAGGTCTTACGTTTAAGTCTTTAATCCATCTTCAGTTAATTTTTGTATAAGGTGTAAGAAAGGGGTCCAGTTTCAGTTTTCTGCATATGGCTAGCCAGTTTTCCCAACACCATTTATTAAATAGGGAATCCTTTCCCCATTGCTTGTTGTGTCAGGTTTGTCAAAGATCAGATGGTTGTAGATGTGTGGTGTTATTTCTGAGGCCTCTGTTCTATCCTATTGGTCTATATATCGGTTTGGTACCAGTACCAGAGGAAAGAACAGGCAGTAATGATTGCTGTTCTGCAGCCTCTCCTGGTGATACCCAGGCAGGCAAACAGGGTGTTTTGGTTACTGTAGCCTTGCAGTATAGTTTGAAGTCAGGTAGCGTGATGCCTCCAGCTTTGTTCTTTTTGCTTAGGATTGTCTTGGCTATGAGGGATCTTTTTTGGTTCCATATGAAATTTAAAGTAGTTTTTTCTAATTCTGTGAAGAAAGTCAATGGTAGCTTGATGGGGATAGCACTGAATCTATATATTACTTTGGGCAGTATGGCCATTTTTGTGATATTGATTCTTCCTATCCATTAGCATGGAATGTTTTTTCATTTGTTTGTCCTCTCTTATTTCCTTGAGCAGTAGTTTGTAGTTCTCCTTGAAGAGGTCCTTCACAACCCTTGTGAGTTGGATTCCTAGGTATTTTATTCTCTTTATAACAAGTGTGAATGGGAGTTCACTCATGATTTGGCTCTCTTGTTTGTCTGTTTTTGTTGTATAGGAATGCTTGTGATTTTTGCATATTGATTTTTTATCCTGACACTTTTCTGAAGTTGCTTATCAGCTTAAGGAGATTTGGGGCTGAGACAATGGGGTTTTATAAATAATTGAATCATGTCATCTGCAAACAGAGACAATTTGACTTCCTCTCCTCCTAATTGAATACCGCTTATTTCTTTCTCTTGCCCGATTGCCCTGACCAGAACTTCCACTACCATGATGAATAGGAGTGGTGAGGGAGGGCATCCTTGTCTTGTGCTAATTTTCAGAAGGAATGCTTCCAGTTTTTGCCTATTCAGTATGATATTGCTTATTGGTTTGTCATAAATAGCTCTTATTATTTTGAGATACATTCCATTGATACCTAGTTCATTGAGAGTTTTTAGCATGAAGGGGTGTTGAATTTTGTCAAAGGACTTTTGTGCATCTATTGAGATAATCATGCGGTTTTTGTCATTGGTTCTGTTTATGTGATGGATTACGTTTATTGATTTGTGTATGTTGAACCAGCCTTGCATCGCAGGGATGAAGCCTACTTGATCGTGGTGGGTAAGCTTTTTGATGTGCTGCTGGATTCTGTTTGCCAATATTTTATTGAGGATTTTCATATCGATGTTCACCAGGGATATTGGCCTGAAATTTTCTTTTTTTGTTGTGTCTCTTCCAGGTTTTGGTATCAGGATGATGTCGGTGTCATAAAATGATTTAGGGAAGATTTCCTTTTTTTCTATTGAGTGGAGTAGTTTCAGAACGAATGGTACTAGCTCCTCTTTGTACCTGTCGTAGAATTCAGCTGTGAATCTGTCTGGTCCTGGACTTTTTTTTGGTTGGTAGGCTATTAATTACTGCCTCCATTTCAGAGCTTGTTATTGGTCGGTTCAGGGATTCGACTTCTTCCTGGTTTAGACTTGGGAGGGTGTGTGTGTCCACGAATTTATCCATTTCTTCTAGATTTTTTAGTTTATTTGTGTAGAGGTGTTTATAGTATCCTCTGATGGTAGTTTGTATTTCTGTGGGATCAGTGGTGATATCCCCTGTATCATTTTTTAATGTGTCTATTTGATTCTTTTCTTATTCTTCCTTATTAGCCTGGCTAGTGGTCAATATATTTTGTTGATCTTTTGAAAAAAATAGCTCCTGAATTCATTGATTTTTTGAAGGGTTTTTCGTGTCTCTATCTCCTTCAGTTCTGTTCTGATCTTAGTTATTTCTTGCCTTCTGCTAGCTTTTGAATTTGTTTGCTCTTGCTTCTCTAGTTCTTTTAATTGTGATGTTAGGGTGTCAATTTTAGATCTTTCCTGCTTTCTCTTATGGGCATTTAGTCCTATAAATTTCCTTTTACGCACTGCTTTAAATGTGTCCCAGAGATTCTGGTATGTTTTGTCTTTGTTCTCATTGGTTTCATAAAACATCTTTATTTCTGCCTTCATTTTGTTATGTACCCAGTAGTCATTCAGGAGCAGGTTGTTCAGTTTCCATGTAGTTGTGCGGTTTCGAGTGAGTTTCCTAATCCTGAGTTCTAATTTGATTGCACTGTGGTCTGAGAGACTGTTTGTTATGATTTCTGTTCTTTTGCCTTTGCTGAGGAGTGTTTTACTTCCCATTACGTGGTCAATCTTAGAATAAGTGCAGTGAGGTGCTGAGAAGAATGTATATTCTGTTGATTTGGGGTGGAGAGTTCTGTAGATGTCTCTTAGGTCCACTTGGTCCAGAGCTGAGTTCAAGTCCTGAATATCCTTGTTAATTTTCTGTCTCGTTGATCTGTCTAATATTGACAGTAGGGTGTTAAAGTCTCCCACTATTATTGTGTAGGAGTCTAAGTCTCTTTGTAGGTCTCTAAGAACTTGCTTTATGAATCTCGGTGCTCTTATATTGGGTACATATATATTTAGGATGGTTAGCTCTTTTGCATTTATCCGTTTACCATTATGTAATGCCCTTCTTTGTCTCTTTTAATCTTTGTTGGTTTAAAGTCTGTTTTATCAGAGATTAGGACTGCAACTCCTGCCTTTTTTTTTTTTTTTTTTGCTTTCCATTTTCTTGGTAAATATTCCTCCATCACTTTATTTTGAGCCTGATGTGTCTTTACAGGTGAGATGGGTCTCCTGAATACAGCACACTGATGGGTCTTGACTATCCAATTTGTCAGTCTGTGTATTTTAATTGAGGCATTTAGCCCATTTACGTTTAAGGTTAATATGTGTGAATTTGATGCTGTCATTATGATGCTAGCTGGTTGTTTTGCCCTTTAGTTGATGCAGTTTCTTAGTAGTGTTGATGGTCTTTACAATTTGGTATGTTTTTGCAGTGGCTGGTACTGGTTGTTCCTTTCCATGTTTAGTGCTTCCTTCAGGAGCTCTTGTTAGGCAGGCCTGGTGGTGACAGAATCTCTCAGCATTTGCTTGTCTGTAAAGTATTTTATTTCTCCTTCACTTATGAAGCTTAGTTTGGCTGGATATGAAATTCTGGGTTGAAAATTCTTTTTCTTTTGGCGGATCACGAGGTCAGGAGTTCGATTCCAGCCTGACCAACGTGGTGAAACCCCGTCTCTAATAAACATACAAAAGTTAGCTGGGCGTGGTGGTGCGCGCCTGTAATCGCAACTACTCAGGAGGCTGAGGCAGGAGAATTGCTTGAACCTGGGAGGCGGAGGTGGCAGTGAGCTGAGATTGCACCACTGCATTCCAGCCTGGGTGACAGAGAGAGACTCCATCTCAAAAAAGAATACTGGCCCTCATTCTATTCTGGCTTATAGGGTTTCTGCCGAGAGAGATCCGCTGTTAGTCTGATGGGCTTCCCTTTGTGAGTAACCTGAGCTTTCTCTCTGGGTGCCCTTAACATTTTTTCCTTCATTTCAACTTCGGTGAATCTGACAGTTATGTGTCTTGGGGTTGCTCTTCTCAAGGAATATCATTGTGGTATTCTCTGTATTTCCTGAATTTGAATGTTGGCCTGTCTTGTTAGGTTGGGGATGTTCTCTTGGATAATATCCTGAAGAGTGTTTTCCAACTTGGCTCCATTCCCCCTGTCACTTTCAGGTACACCAATCAAACGCAGATTTGGTATTTTCACATAGTCCCTTATTTCTTGGAGGCTTTGTTCATTTCTTTTTATTCTTTTTTCTCTAATCTTCTTGCTTTATTTCATCAAGTTGATCTTCAATCTCTGATATCCTTTCTTCCACTTGATCAATTAGGCTATTGATACTTGTGTATGCCTCACGAAGTTCTCGTGCTGTGTTTTTCAGCTCCATCAGGTCATTTATTTTCTTCTCTACACTGATTATTCTAGTTAGCAATTCGTCTGACCTTTTTTCAAGGTTCTTAGCTTCCTTGCATTGGATTAGAACATGCTCCTTTAGCTCGGATTAGTTTGTTGTTACCCACCTTCTGAAGCCTACTTCTGTCAGTTCATCAAACTCATTCTCTGTCCAGTTTTATTCCCCTGCTGGTGAGGAGTTGTGATTATTTGGAGAAGAGGCGTTGTGTTTTTTGGAATTTTCAGCCTTTTTGTGCTGGTTTCTCCCCATCTTTGTGGATTTATCTACCTTTGGTCTTTGATGTTTGTGACCTTCAGATGGGGTCTTTGAGTGGACATGCTATTCCTTTCTGTTGTTAGTTTTCCTTCTAACAGTCAGGCCCCTTTGCTTCCGGTCTGCTGCAGTTTGCTGGAGGTCCACTCCAGACCCTGTTTGCCTGGATGTCACCAGGAGAGGCTGCAGAGCAGCAATCATTACTGCCTGTTCTTTCCTCTGGAAGCTTTGTCCCAGAGGGACACCTGCCAGATGCCAGCCAGAGCTCTTCTGTATGGGGTGTCTGTCCGCCCCTACTGGGAGGTGTCTTCCAGTCAGGATACATGGGGGTCAGGGACCCACTTGAGGAGGTAGTCTGACCCTTAGCAGAGTTTGAAAACTGTGCTGGGAGGTCTGCTACTCTCTTCAGAGCCATTGGGCAGGGATGGTTAAGTCTGCTGAAGCTGCACCCGTAGCCACCCCTTCCCCCAGGTGCTCTGTCCCAGGGAGATTGGGGTTTTATCTGTAAGTCCCTGACTGGGGCTGCTGCCTTTTTTTCAGAGATGCCCTGCCCAGAGTGGAGAAATCTGGCAGTCTGGCCTCAATGGCCTTGCTGAGCTGCAGTGGGGTCCACCCAGTTCAAACTTTTGGGCTGCTTTGTTTACACTGTGAGGGCAAAACGCCTACTCAAGCCTCAGCAATGGCAGATGCCCCTCCTTCCACCAAGCTTGAGCATCCCAGGTGGATCTCAGACAGCTGCTGTGCTGGCAGTGAGAATTTCAAGCCAGTGGATCTTAGTTTGCTGGGCTCTGTGGCGGTGAGATCTGCAGAGCCAGACCACTTGGCTCCCTGGCTTTAGCCCTCTTTCCGGGGGAGTATAGGGTTCTGTCTTGCTGGCGTTCCAGGTGCCCCTGTGGTATGGAAAAAACAATACAACAACAAAAAAAACTCTTGCAGCTAGTTTGGTGTCTGCCTAAATGGCCGCCCAGTTTTTTGCTTGAAACCCAGGGCCCCGGTGGGGTAGGCACCGGAGGGAATCTCTTGGTCTGTGGATTGCGAAGACTGGGAAAAGCGTAGTATCTGGGCTGGAATGCACTGTTCCTCACGGCACAGTTCCTCACAGCTTGCCTTGGATAGGGGAGAAAATTCCCCAACCTCTTGCCCTTCCCAAGTGAGGTGATGCCCCACCCTGCTTCAGCTCGCCGTCTTTGGGCTGCATCCACTGTTCAACCAGTCCCAGTGAGACGAACTGGGTACCTCAGTTGGAAATGCAGAAATCACCCACCTTCTGCGTCAATCTTGCTGAGAGCTGCAGACTGGAGCTCTTTCTATTCAACCATCTTGCCTGGGAACACACACATTTTTCTATTTGAATGTTGCCCCGGGTGGTACTGTTACTCTTCTTTTCCAGTCTTTGCCACCCCACATGTAGGCAGTTGCCGGTATGAAATAATCAAAAGGATAAGAATCCAGCTTAAAAGAGTTTATTCAAACACAAAGCTGTGGATGCCCATCCAGGAAACACAGACTCCAAGGAAATAGGGTCAGTGCTTCAAAGTTGAAAAGTTAAGATCATATTTGTATAGGCAGAAAACAAAGATATTTAGCAGAATAACATTTTCCACACAAAGTTGGCTTCTGAGTTACAGCAATTTGATTAGTTACAGCTTGTTTGTTTTCTTTTTCCAATTTAAAAGAATATATTTAACAGTCCATCTTAGAAAGTGTGTCTTTGTGTAAGAGAAGAAAAAGGGAAGTTAATCTATAATGAAGATCAACAGTAAAGAGGGAAGGAGTCTTCTTTGACATCCTTTAGTTATTTGCAGCATTTAGCAAAGCAGTGTAAGTTAGGGGGGAATAAAAGGCTAATCTGTAGTCAGGGAAATCAAGGCTATGTCTGCCTAGGTTACAGCTGCCTGTTAGTGACTGAGGTCCCAAAATCACATTCCTTTAAGGCTCAGAATAAAAGTTCCAAAATTTGGTTTTGAATTACTTATTTTCACACAATGAAAATATGAAGAATGACTGAGCATTGACAGGGAGATGAGTTCATTGGGTGGTATTATTTGCTTACTGCTTGTTTTTTGCCTACACTAATAAAAGTTGTCAATACTTGTGAGGATAGGGAACAGAAAAAAATGAAAAACTATACTTTAGTCCAGTAGTTCTCAGTGAGGTCACTGGATCAGAAACTCCATCATATAAGAACTTGTTAGAAGTGTGGATTATCTGGCCCCACCCAAGACTTAGTGAATCAGAAACCTTGGGGACGAGACCAGCAGCCTATGTTTTAAGAAACCTTCAAAGTAATTGTGATAACCTATTTCACCCCAGGGATTGGCAGTCTGCAGCCTATGGACCTAATCTGGTCTATAACCTGTTTTTTTGTAAGTAAAATTTTATTGAAACAAAACCATACCCATTTGTTCATTTTAGTTTGTGGATGCTTTTGTGCTACATCAGCAGAGTTGAGTAGCTGCAATAGAGAACATATAGCCAAAAGTATTTACCATCAGGTTCTTTACAGAAAAAGTTTGCTGACTCCTGCTTTAGGCCTTAGGCACTAGAGGCGCAAACTCTGAATTTATGAGGATATATTTGCTAATTAAATTGAGAACCATGAGGAAAAAAGGTGAAACTTTTCCTGTTTTTAAAAATTTTAACCTGTTATTTTTCCCTTTTAGTCAAGGATGCTATCTAAATGGGCCTTTTAATTCAAATCTACTGACTATCCCGAAGCAAAGGTCATCTTCTGTATCACTGACTCACCATGTAGGTCTCAGAAGAGCTGGTAAGAAATCATTCTTTATGACTCAAATATGGGGGTTCTCAAAGTATATGGTAGTGTAAACACTTTTCATCACATATTTATAGCTAATTTTGAATACAATTTCATGTATTATAAGTTAACATGACTTAGCAGTTTGGGTTGGCTACTAATTGACCGTTTGCTAATTCTTTCAGTAAAAACAGTTTTAGAACATCTACTCTGTACCAGGTATTTTGCTAAGCAGTAGGGATTCAGAGATAAAATATATAACTATTTAACTAACCTGAATGGTTGCAGACCCAGGACAAGGGAAAATCTTCAAGAAAGAGTATTTTTTTTTTTCATAGAATGATAATTGTGGAGAAAAAAATTTTAGGATTAGAATAGAAAAAACCATGACTTCATCCTGGAAAAACATTATGATAGGAATTTTTTTTAATTAAAAGATTATAGAATGATTAAAAACTCTTGGATGCAAGATATTTTAATAAATACAACATAGGAATAGCAAAGCAATACTGATATTGTGCTTTTAAAGTACATTATGGCTGATATCACATAGGTACAATTTTGTGATTGGGATATACAATTACAAAATTCTTTTATACACAATAACCTATAAAGCATGTGAAGAGATCAGAAAATATTATTGATAATCAAGAAAAGTAGGCACTAGAAAAAGATCTATATATGATATTGATGCTGTATTTTACAATCTTTAAAATAACAATGATGTTTAAAAGGAAATAGAAGGAATAATGGCCAAAATGAATGGATACTTCGAATAGAGAACTAGAACACATAGAAAAGAAATGGACAGTCTAGAACTGAGAAATGCACTTGATTAAATTAAAAGCTTATTCAAGGGTTTAAGAATGGATTGGATACAACAGAATACAAAAGTAGTGAACTTGAAGACAGAGAAATAGAAAATACCCAAACTGAAGCACAGAGAAGGAAAAATACATAAATAACAGAACAAAGTTTAAAAGACATATGGGACACAGAAGTTCTAAAATATGTGTGACTGAAGTTCCAGAAGGAAAGGAGAGAAACAAAAGGACAGAATAACTTCGCAAAACTAATAAAAGAAAGCAAACAACAAATTCATAAAGTGCAGTGAACCCCAAGCAGGATAAATACAAGAAAATCACAGCTAGATGTATGAATCAAGCCTCCAAATTATAAAGAAAAAGTTTCAAAAGCAACCAAGCAAGGTTGTTTTTATTTTTCAAGGAACAACAATAATGATATTGACAGTGACTTGTTAACAGCAACTGTGAACTCCAAAGACAATGGCATATTTGAAAAAGTGTGGAAAGAATAAAACTTGACAGCATAGAATTCTTTATCCAATGAAGAAATATTCTTGAAAAATTAAATAGGAATAAAAATTTTTTTTAGTATCCTCACTTCCCTGCAACAGTAACTGTGGTGATGGGTATGTTAATTAATTTGATTGTCATAATCATTTCACAGTAAAAATGTAAATCAAGTCATTATGTTGTACACCTTGAATACATGCAGTTTTTGTCAATTGTACCTCAGTAAATCTGGAAAAAATCTTTTAGTAAATCAGATGAGAAGTAGAAAAACGTACATTTTTTTCAAACAAACAAAAGCTGAAATAATTTGTAGCTGGCAGACCTGTGCTACTAAGATTCAGTAAAGGAAGTTTCTTAGGCAGGGGGAAAATTATCCAGATTGAAGCATGGAACTACAAGAACAAACCAAAAGCACTGGTAAGGCTAAATAGATGGGTGAGGATTAAAAAGTGTTGATGGGTCAAAAAGTTGGCAAAGGATATGAATAGACACTTCTCAAAAGAAGACATTTATGCAGCCAACAGACATAGGAAAAAATGCTCATTATCCCTGGTCATCAGAGAAATGCAAATCAAAACCACAATGAGATAATATCTCACGCCAGTTAGAATGGCGATCACTAAAAAGTCAGGAAACAACAGATGCTGGAGAGGAGGTGGAGAAATAGGAAGGCTTTTACACAGTTGGTGGGACTGTAAATTAGTTCAACCAGTGTGGAAGACAGTGTGGCGATTCCTCAAGGATCTAGAACAAGAAATACCATTTGACCCAGCAATCCCATTACTGGGTATATACCCAAAGGATTGTAAATCATGTGGCTGGGCGTGGTGGTGCACGCCTGTAATCCCAGCACTTTGGGAGGCCAAGGCAGGCGGATCATGAGGTCAGGAGATCGAGACCATGGTGAAACCCCGTCTCTACTAAAAATACAAAAAAAAAAAAAATCAGCTGGGCGTGGTGGCAGGCACCTGTAGTTGCAGCTACTCGGGAGGCTGAGGCAGGAGAATGGCATGAACCTGGAAGGCAGAGCTTGCTGTGAGCCGAGATCGTGCCACTGCACTCCAGCCTGGGTGACAGAGCAAGACTCTGTCTCAAAAAAAAAAAAATCATGCTACTATAAAGACACATGCACACGTATGTTTATTGTGGCAGTGTTCACAATAGCAAAGACTTGGAACCAACCCAAATGTCCATCAATAATAGACTGAATAAAGAAAATGTGAGGCCGGGCGCGGTGGCTCATGCCTGTAATCCCAGCACTTTGGGAGGCCGAGGCGGGCGGATCACGAGGTCAGGAGATCGAGACCATCCCGGCTAAAATGGTGAAACCCCGTCTCTACTAAAAATACAAAAAATTAGCCGGGCGTAGTGGCGGGCGCCTGTAGTCCCAGCTATTTGGGAGGCTGAGGCAGGAGAATGGCATGAACCCGGGAGGCGGAGCTTGCAGTGAGCCGAGATCCCACCACTGCACTCCAGCCTGGGCGACAGAGTGAGACTCCGTCTCAAAAAAAAAAAAAAAAAAAAAAGAAAAAAAAGAAAATGTGGCACATATACACCATGGAATACTATGCAGCCATAAAAAAGGATGAGTTCATGTCCTTTGCAGGGACGTGGATGAAGCTGGAAACCATCATTAGCAAACCATCACAAGAACAGAAAACTAAACACCGCATGTTCTCACTCATAAGTGGGAGTTGAAAAATGAGAACACATGGACACAGGGAGGGGAACATCACACACTGGGACCAATCTGAGGCTGGGGGGCTGGGGGAGGGATAGCGTTAAGAGAAATACCTAATGTATATGACGAGTTGATGCATGCAGCAAACCACCATGGCACGTGTATACCTATGTAGCAAACCTGCACATTGTGCACATGTACCCTAGAACTTAAAGTATAATAATAATAAAAAAATTGATGGGTAAACACAATAATAACTTTCTTTTAGCATTTATGAAATACATAAAAGTCAAATATATAACAATAGCATAGAGGGTAGTCAAGGGGTAAATGGAATTAAATTTGTCGTAAGGTACTAGCAATGCTTGAAAAACAGTAAAAAGTTCTAATTTAAGAGAAGCTAATATTCAAAGATGAACATTGTAGTATTCAGGGGGCCAATTAAAAGACCAGTAGAAAAAGATATAACTAAAAAGCTTATAAGGAGGTAAAATGGCATGATTAAAAAAAGCTTGAATAATTCAAAAGAATCTGAGAAAAGAAAAGCAAAAACAGAAGAAACACACAAAAAATAAATAGCAGCATGGTGGATTAAACACACTTTATTACATTAAATATACACCTTTGGGGTAGAGGAAGGGATCTGACTAGAGTTGTCAGTATATTATCTGAAATGTCAAGTTTTCAACAAAAATTGGACTTTACGCTCCAATTAAAAGACAAAGATTAGGCTGGGCACTGTGACTCACACTTGTAATCCCAGCACTTTGGGAGGCTCAGGTGGGTGGATCACCTGAGGTCAGGAGTTTGAGACCAGCCTGGCCAACATGGTGAAACCCCATCTCTACAAAATTCAAAAATACAAAATACAAAAATTAACCAGACGTGGTGGTGGGCGCCTGTAATCCCAGCTACTCGGGAGGTTGAGGCACGAGAATCGCTTGAACCCGGGAGACAGAGATTGCGGTGAGCCGAGATTGTGCCACTGCACTTGAGCCTGGACGACAAAGCGAGCCTTCGTCTCAAAAAAAAAAAAAAAAAAGTAATCTTCTGACTGCTCATTGGT
Source organism: Homo sapiens (assembly GCF_000001405.40). NCBI lineage: Eukaryota > Metazoa > Chordata > Mammalia > Primates > Hominidae > Homo > Homo sapiens. The sequence continues at coordinate 14,808,102 of NC_000011.10, forward strand.
TGATGTCCAAATTATACTGATCCCCCCAGGGATGACTTCTAGGAAACCATGCTTAAAAATATAATCAAAAACTTAAGAGAAAAAGCTAACAGAAAACTGAGTAACTACACATTGCAGGAGAAACAGAAACTACACAATTAGTTCAGGTAAGTCACTAAACAAATTATCAGAAAGAAGAAAACACAAAGCCAGCAACATAATAAACCTTTGGTGTTGGAGGGATCTGATATCAAAACTTTACAGTATTTTATGTAAAATGTACGATTTTCAAGAAAAATATGTGAAACATGCAAAGATACAAGAAATTTTTGACATGTACCCAAGGAAAACGTAACCCATAGAAATTATCCCTGAAGTGGATTGGATTTTAGACTTAGTATAAAACAAAACTGTAACATTGTTTTAATAATTATAAAGTAAGGCTACTTTTACTCAATATTGGATTAGAGGTTCTAGCCAGGGCAATTAGGTGAGAAGGAATAAAAGGAAAAAGTAAAATTGTATTTGCAGATGGCATGAGCTTGTATATGTAAAATCCTAAGAAATTCACTGAAACCTATTATCACCAATAAGTTTATCAATGTGGCAGGATATACAAAATCAATTTTATTTCTATATGCTAACATTAAGGAATCCAAAACTCAAGTTACAGAACGATTTCTGTTTACAGTTAGCATTGAAAAAATCTTTGAAATAAATTTAGCAAAATAGTACAAGACTTTTACAATGGAAACTATAAAATATTGTTGAAATTAAAGAAGACCTAAATATATTGGAAGACATTCCACGTTTAAGGATCAGAAGACTTAATATTATTAAGATGGCAATATTCTTTGAATTGCACTAGATTCGATACAGTCCTTATCAAAATTTCAGCTTTGCCAAAATTGACAGTCTGATGCTAAAATTCGTATAGAAACGCAAGAGTCCCAGAATAGCCAAAACAGTTCTTTAATAAAAAAGAAGAAAAAGTACGAGGACTCCCACTTTCAAATTTTAAAACTTACTACCAGGCTACAGTAATTTAGTATGGTACTGGCATAGAGATATTTCTATTCAATGAAATTCAATTTGGCAGTTTCTCAAATTTTAAACATGAAGTTACCATATGACCCAGAAATTCTACTTCTTGATATATATCCAAGAGAAGTGAAACCGTAGGTCCACACAAAAACTTGTGCATAAATGTGTATAGCAGCATTATTCATAATAGCTAAAATTAGAAACAACCTAAATGGCTATCAATAAATGGTTAAACAAAACGTGGCTTAACCATACAGTAGAATATTTTTTGTCACAAAAGTGAAATGGAGTAGTATTCATATGCCATGAATGAACCTTGAAAACATTATGCTAAGTTAAATAAGGCAGTCACAAAAGACTACAAATTGTACAAATCTACTCATATAAAATGTCTAAAATGGACAGATCTATAGATAGAGAAAGTATATTAGTGGTTGCTATGGTTTTAATGCTTGTGTACTTCCAAAATTCACATGTTGAAACCTAATCCCCAATGAGACAGTATTAAGAGATGGGGCCTTTTGGAGATGACTAAGCATGAGGTTGGAGCCTTTGTGAATGAGATTAGTGCTCTTATAAAAGAGGCCTGAGGAAGCTAGCTATCCTGTCAGCCATGTGAGGATACAGTGAAAAAAGTACCATCTGTGAGGCAGAAACTGAGCCCTAATCAGACATCAAGACTGCTGGCACCTTGGTCTTGGACTTCCCAGCCTCCAAAAACTGTGAGCAGCCAAGTTCTATTGTTTACAAATTGCCCAGACTAAAGTATTTTTTTTTTTTAGGTGGTATAGATGGAATTTTAATACAGTGAAAGAAAATAGGGAGTACTGAGTTAATGGTTTTGGGTCATCTTTATAATTATCTGGTAGAAGACTGAATTTCCATCTTACATATTATATACACAGAAATCTACAGATTGGCTACAATTTAGGTGTTCAAAATGGGAATTAAAAGTATTATAAAAGCATATAAGATTCAGAAAGTTTAAATAGATAAATATTTTCTAATAATAAAACCATTAAAAGTTGATAACATTTTTTTTTCTTTTATTTATTATTATACTTTAAGTTTTAGGGTACATGTGCCCAATGTACAGGTTAGTTACATATGTATACATGTGCCATGCTGGTGCGCTGCACCCACTAACTCGTCATCTAGCATTAGGCATATCTCCCAATGCTATCCCTCCCCCCTCCCCCCACCCCACAACAGTCCCCAGAGTGTGATGTTCCCCTTCCTGTGTCCATGTGTTCTCATTGTTCAATTCCCACCTACAAGTGAGAATATGCAGTGTTTGGTTTTTTGTTCTTGCGATAGTTTACTGAGAATGATGATTTCCAATTTCATCCATGTCCCTACAAAGGACATGAACTCATCCTTTTTTATGGCTGCATAGTATTCCATAGTGTATATGTGCCACATTTTCTTCATCCAGTCTATCATTGTTGGACATTTGGGTCGGTTCCAAGTCTTTGCTATTGTGAATAATGCCGCAATAAACATACGTGTGCATGTGTCTTTATAGCAGCATGATTTATAGTCCTTTGGGTATATACCCAGTAATGGGATGGCTGGGTCAAATGGTATTTCTAGTTCTAGATCCCTGAGGAATCGCCACACTGACTTCCACAATGGTTGAACTAGTTTACAGTCCCACCAACAGTGTAAAAGTGTTCCTATTTCTCCACATCCTCTCCAGCACCTGTTGTTTCCTGACTTTTTAATGACTGCCATTCTAACTGGTGTGAGATGGTATCTCATTGTGGTTTTGATTTGCATTTCTCGGATGGCCAGTGATGATGAGCATTTTTTCATGTGTTTTTTGGCTGCATAAATGTCTTCTTTTGAGAAGTGTCTGTTCATGTCCTTTGCCCACTTGTTGATGGGGTTGTTTGTTTTTTTCTTGTAAATTTGTTTGAGTTCATCATAGATTCTGGATATTAGCCCTTTGTCAGATGAGTAGGTTGTGAAAATTTTCTCCCATTTTGTAGGTTGCCTGTTCACTCTGATGGTAGTTTCTTTTGCTGTGCAGAAGCTCTTGAGTTTAATTAGATCCCATTTGTCAATTTTGGCTTTTGTTGCCATTGCTTTTGGTGTTTTAGACATGAAGTCCTTGCCCATGCCTATGTCCTGAATGGTAATGCCTAGGTTTTCTTCTAGGGTTTTTGTGGTTTTAGGTCTAACGTTTAAGTCTTTAATCCATCTTGAATTGATTTTTGTATAAGGTGTAAGGAAGGGATCCAGTTTCAGCTTTGTACATATGGCTAGCGAGTTTTCCCAGCACCATATTAAATAGGGAATCCTTTCCCCATTGCTTGTTTTTCTCAGGTTTGTCAAAGATCAGATAGTTGTAGATATGCGGCGTGATTTCTGAGGGCTCTGTTTTGGTACCAGTACCATGCTGTTTTGGTTACTGTAGCCTTGTAGTATAGTTTGAAGTCAGGTAGTGTGATGCCTCCAGCTTTGTTCTTTTGGCTTAGGATTGGCTTGGCGATGTGGGCTCTTTTTTGGTTCCATATGAACTTTAAAGTAGTTTTTTCCAATTCTGTGAAGAAAGTCATTGGTAGCTTGATGGGGATGGCATTGAATCTGTAAATTACCTTGGGCAGTATGGCCATTTTCACAATATTGATTCTTCCTACCCATGAGCATGGAATGTTCTTCCATTTGTTTGTATCCTCTTTTATTTCCTTGAGCAGTGGTTTGTAGTTCTCCTTGAAGAGGTCCCTCACGTCCCTTGTAAGTTGGATTCCTAGGTATTTTATTCTCTTTGAAGCAATTGTGAATGGGAGTTCACTCATGATTTGGCTCTGTGTTTGTCTGTTATTGGTGTATAAGAATGCTTGTGATTTTTGTACATTGATTTTGTATCCTGAGACTTTGCTGAAGTTGCTTATCAGCTTAAGGAGATTTTGGGCTTTTTTTTATAGCAAGTTGAATGAACTAAGACAGTGGTCCCTTGTGACTATGGGTAGGAGCGACAGGAATAGAGAATGACTGCTAATGGGTCTATGGTTTCTTTTTGAGTTTATGGAAATATTCCAGAATTAGATAGTGGTGATAGTTGCACAACTCTGTGGATTTCTAAAATTCAGTGAATTGTACAATTTAAAATAGTAAATTGTATGGTATATGAATGATATCTTAAAAGGCTGTTTAAAAAACACGTAAGCATGTTCTGTCACCACAGTGGAATTAGATTTGAAAACATCTCTCAATAGATCTGCAGAAAATCCTCAAATTATAAATAACCTATGGGTCAAAGAAGAAAAAGCAATGAAAATCAGAAAATATTTTGAGCTGAATAATAATGAAAATAGGACTTATTAAAATGTCGGAAGAAGCTAAAGCAGTGCTTTCTTGGGAAATTTATAGCAAAAAAAGAGAAAAATTAAAAATCTGTTAAGCTTACATTTTAAGAAGCTATAAGTTTCACAGCAAAGTAAACCAAAAGAAAGAAGAAAACATGACACTGATACAAAAAGATTACACTGATACAAAAATGATAAAAAATCTGAAGAGTCATATATCTTCTAACGAAATTAAACCTGTAGTTAAAAACCTTCTTACAAATAAAATTGTAGGTCCAGATGACTTTACTGGTAAATTCTTCCCTATATTTAACGAAAATGTTGTTATGAAAGGTTATATCCAATGCCTTAGTTTTCTATAGCTGCTTGCTGTAAACTGCATATTCATATCTCCTCACTTACACCCCAATTCATGTGTTGAAACCTAATCCTCAGTGTGATGGTATTTGGAGCTGGGGCCTTTGGAATGTGATTAGGTCATGTGAGTGGACTCTTCATGAATGGGATGAGTGCCTTATAAAAGAGACCTCAAAGAGCTCTCTAATCCCTTCCGCCATGTGAGGACACGAGAAGATGGCCGTCAGTGAACCAGGAAGTGGGCCATCATCAGACACCACATCTGCCAGTGCCTTGATCTTGCACTTCCCAGCCTCCAGAACTGTGAGAATAAATTTCTCTTATTTATAAAATACCTAGTCTATGGTATTTTGTTATAGCAATCCAAAGGGACTAACACACTACTGTATCAAATTACCATATGCTTAGTGACTTAAATAACACAAATTTATACTTATAATTCTGGAGGTCAGAAGTTTAAAATTGATCTCATTGGGCCCAAAGCAAGGTGTCAGCAGGGCTATGTGTCTTCTGGAGGCTTTAGGGGGTAATCCATTTTCTTTGCATTTTCCAGTTTCCAGAGGCCTTCCTAGAGCTTGCCTGCCTGGATTCCTGGCCCATGGCCCCATTACTCCATCTTCATTGCCAGCAATGTCAGTCTGAATCCTGACGCTGCCATCTCTCTGGCTCTTTTATGTCTGCCTCTCTCTTTTACTTAGGCATAGGACTTAGCCGTGTGTGACTCCTGTAATGACAAGAACCCTTGTCATTACATTGAGCACAACTACATAATCCAGGATAATCTCCCCATCTCAAGGTTAGCTGATCAGCAACCTTAAGGCCATTTGCAATTTAAATATCCCTTTGCCATGCAATCTAACATATAGGTTCTGTGGTTTAGGATATGGACATCTTTGGGGGTGATTATTCTGCTTACCACAGCCAATCTTACACAACTCTTTCACTGAAAAGGGAAAGAGGAAACACCAGTTTTTTATGAGGCCAGCATAACCCTAATATTGAAACCTGACAAGGATATTACAAGTAAATTAGAGGCCAACATCTCTTGTGAATATAGATACAAAAATCCTAAACAAAAAGTTACACATATAATTGAGTAATATATTAAAATGATAATACCATAATGTTCATGTTGGGAAGTATTATTACAGGAATATAAAGTCTGTTTAACCTTTGAAAATTCACTGCATTAATAGAATAAAAGAGAATACTCATATGGTCATCTTAATTGGTACAGAGAAAGCTTTTCATGTATGTTCATTTGATAAATTTGATAATTATGATAAAAAATTATAAGCAAATTGGGAATAGAGGGGACATTTTTAATCTGATAAAGTATCTATCAAAAATGTTTTTCAAACATAATACATAATGAAATACTGAACATTTTTCTCCTGACTTTGGAAACAAGATAAAGATGTTCACTGTAAATACTTGTCTCCAACATTATCCTGTAATTTCTAGACAATGAATGAAGACAAGATAAAGAAAAGGAATAAATATTGGAAAGGAAGATATAAACCCTTTTATTTATTTGCAGATTACCATTTTGTATACATGGAAAATCTAGAAGGCTCTAAAAATATAGTAATAGAATTAATAAGTAAATTTTGCAATATTTTAATTGTACAGAAAAATTAATTATATTACTCTATACTATCAGAAAATGGTTAAAATGAAATTTAAAACACCATTTACCACAGCATCAAAAGCCACCAATTACGTAGAGATAAATTTAATAAAAAATATGCAATGCTGCTACACTCCATAACTTCAGGGAAAAATTTCCGTAACAAGACATAAAAATACTTACCATATGGGATTAGATGAATAAATTTGACTACATGAACATTAATAACCTCTTTATTGAAAAAAGTCATATAAAGGCCAGGCATGGTGGCTCACGCCTGTAATCTCAGCACTTAGGGAGGCTGAGGCTGGTGGATCATTTGAGGTCAGGAGTTCGAGGCCAGCCTCGTCAACATGGTAAGACCCCATCTCTACTAAAAACACAAAAAAATTAGCTGGGCGTGGTGGCGGGCACCTGTAGTCCCAGCTACTTGGGAAAGCTGAGGCAGGAGAATGGCATGAACCCGGGAGGTGGAGCTTGCAGTGAGCTGAGATCTGAGATCACGCCACTGTACTCCAGCCTGGGCAACTGAGTGAGACTCCATCTCAAAAAAAGAAAAAAAAAAAAAGCTAGGTGTAGTGGCGGGTGCCTGTAATCCCAGCTATTTGGGAGGCTGAGGCAGGAGAATTGCTTGAACCCAACAGATGGAGGCTGCAGTGAGCCCAGAGTGCACCACTGTACTCCGGCCTGGGCGATAGAGTGAGACTCCATCAAAAAAAAAAGTCATATAAAAAGAATTGAAAATAGTAACAACATCTGAGAAGGAACTAGAATTCAGCTGTATAAAGAACTTTGTCAGTGGAAGAATTATGGACAACTATTCATTTTCTATTGCTGCATATCAGATTACAACAAATGTAGCAGCTTTTGTGCAAGAGTCCACACACAGCTGAGTCCTCTGCTTGAGGTGTCATAAGTCTCAAAACAAGATGTTGGCTCTACCTTGTTCTCATCTGGAGAATCAGCTGGGAATGAATCGGCTGCCAAGCTCATTCAGGTTGTCCTCAGGTTGTTCTTCATTTCCGTTGGTTGTGGATTCTTGATGGCTCTGGGTTCTTGATGGCTATTGGCTGGGGGCCACCCACAGTTCGTAGAGGCTGCCCATAGTTTTTTGTCACATGGTCTTCCTCAGTATGGCTGCTTACTTCATGGAGCTAGCAAGAAGAATCTCTAGAGTGAGTCTCTAGCAAGATGGAATTCATAATGAAACATAATCATAGGGGTGACATCCTGTCATCTTTCTTTTGATAAGAAGCTAGTCACAGGTGTTTTCTACACAAAGACATGAACACCAGGGGGCAAGGGTTAATGCTACCTTAGAGTGTGTCCATCACCACAAGCCAATAGAAAAATTAGCAAAAGACTTGAATGAGGATTTCAGAAAAAAAACTATACAAATAGCATATAAACATGAAATGTGCTTAACCTTATTAGTAATGAGGAAATTAAAAAGTAAAGGTACGGTGCTCTTTTATTTATCATCAGATTGGCAAAAGATAAAGAACATTATATTTATACACACACACACACACACACACACACACACACGCAGAGAAAGAGAGAGAAAGTTTGTTTTAAGGGATTGGCTCACACAACTGTGTGGGCTTGCAAGGCAAGCAAGTAGGAAGTTTTCAGGACAGGCTGGCAGGCTGAAAATTCCAGCAGGGTTAATGTTGCAGTCTTGAACCTGAGACAAAATTTTTTCCTCTTTATGAGACCTCAGTCTTTTCTCATAAGGCCCTAAGCTAATTGGATGAGGCCCACCCATGTTATGGAAATTAATCTGCTTTACTCAAAGTTTATTGATTTAAATGTTAATCACATCTGAAAAATATCTTCACAACAACATCTATACTAGTGTTTGAATAAACAACTGAGCACCATAACCAAGTTGACACCATCGCACACATCTGTAAGTGTTTACCACTATGCCTGAAAATATTGTAGCTCCTTAATGACTGTTACTTGTTTTCCTTTCTGAATGAGACTTTACTTGGGTCTTTATTTTCAAATAAGGTTATAAATCTGCCTGCATCTTTCCAGATATACCCACACTGCTTTAGTTTGAGGCACTCAGCAAAGGTTTCTGGAATAAATAGACAGAATTATAGACTCATCTTATGTGTTCCTGAAGCACTCTGTTTTGTTCCCTTATTAAGCACTTAGCACTTGTTTGTATTCTTCACTACACTCTAGCTTCATTGAATTTCAGGGATGGTATCTTTTTCTTCATTGTGAAAACCAGTATATTTTCCAGCATATAGTAAGCTCTAAATATTTGTTGAATGAATGAATGAGCTGGAAATACTTTCATGTAATTTTTAAAGCGATCTGACATTGCATTAACATATGATGTTATTCTCAACTTGCTTAAATGCTATTAAGAATTTTAGTTCTTACTTTTACACTGTTGGTGGGACTATAAACTAGTTCAACCATTGTGGAAGATAGTGTGGCAATTCCTCAAGGATCTAGAACTAGAAATACCTTTTGACCCAGCCATCCCATTACTGGGTATATACCCAAAGGATTATAAGTCATGCTGCTGTAAAGACACATGCACACCTGTGTTTATTGCGGCACTATTCACAGTAGCAAAGACTTGGAACCAACCCAAATGTCCATCAGTGATAGACTGGATTAAGAAAATGTGGCACATACACACCATGGAATACTGTGCAGCCATAAAAAAGGATGAGTTCATGTCCTTTGCAGGGACATGGATGAAGCTGGAAACCATCATTCTGAGCAAGCTATCGCAAGGACAGAAAACCAAACACCATATGTCCTCACTCATAGGTGGGAATGAACAATGAGAACACTTGGACACAGGGTGGGGAACATCACACACTGGGGCCTATAGTGGGGTGGGGGGACGGGGGATGGATAGCATTAGGAGATATACCTAATGTAAATGATGAGTTAATGGGTGCAGCACACCAACATGGCACATGTATACATATGTAACAAACCTGCACATTGTGCACATGTACCTTAGAACTTAAAGTATAATTAAAAAAGAAAAAAAAAGAATTTTAGTTCTTTGGCCAGATGCAGTGGCTTAAGCTTGTAATCCCAGCATTTTGGGAGGCTGAGGCAGGAGGATGACTTGAGCCCAGGTGTTTGAGACCAGCCTGGGCAACATCTTGAAACCCTGTCTCTACAGAAAAATAGGTAAATTAGCTGGGCACGGTGGCCTGTGCCTGTAGTCTCCAAGGCCAGAGGATCAATTGAACCCAGGAGGTTGAGTCTGCAGTGAGCCATGATTGTGCCACTGGAATCCAGCCTGGGCAATGAAATGAGACCCCATCTCACAGACAAAAAAAGAGAATTTAAATAAAATTTAATTTTATTGAATTGAAAATAATTCAATAAAATTTGGTAGAGATGCTTTGCTCTTGTGGATAATCAATCTGATAGGGACACATAGGTGAAAGTTAAAGACCAATAGGAATTAGGAAAATTTCTGCCATACAGTATGTATGTTTTAGTCATACTGTTCACATTTACCTATTATAAATGTAGATATTTACCCAACAAGGGGTGTTTACCCAACAGCCATTGATCATGACAAATATGGCAAATATTGCATAAGTTTCTAGAATATTGTGAGGCCCCATGCAGGAATTTATAATTTATTTGTAAATAATCTGCTTTTTTTAAATAAGGAAAAAATCCATAAAAACACAAATATATTTAATAAACATACACACATAAATACATTCTTATTTATCTATCTCCTTTCTTTTAATTTTTAAAGGTGTTTTGTCCAGTCTGAGTCCTGTGAATTCTTCCAACCATGGACCAGTGTCTACTGGCTCTCTAACTAATCGATCACCCATAGAATTTCCTGATACTGCTGATTTTCTTAATAAGCCAAGCGTTATCTTGCAGAGATCTCTGGGCAATGCACCTAATACTCCAGATTTTTATCAGCAACTTAGAAATTCTGATAGCAATCTGTGTAACAGGTAAGTTTCCCAACTGTTTATTATTTCTGTTTCAAAATGTTGATTACAGTTAAGTCCTCAACATTTTGGATAGGTTCTTGGAAACTCCAGCTTTAAGCTAAATGACCATAGTTTTTTTCGGTGTTATAATGAAATGACATTATTTTAAGATGTGCTATAAGTTGTTTCACTTAAAATGTCAGTTTTCAAAAACTTATTGATGATATTGAGGACTTTACTGTATTTTAATAAAGTATTACCAGTTTTCTAGTTCTATGTTATAACTAGATGATGGATTCAGCCTATATTCTTTTCCTTATTTATCTAGTAGTTTTTATTCTAAATAAATATCTTCTCATTTTAGTGGTTATTAATTTTTTAAATTAAATGGTCTCCATCTGAGCTAAAATATAATGGTATTCTACCCATCCTAAGATCTTAGTAAATATTAAAGTATTTTAGTATACACTACTTTAGTACCTATTCATAGTACCCAGTAAATGGTGTTTGATCTTATTTCTGCTTTACTAATAGTAAGGGTTTACCTCAGATCCAATGTTGACTTTTCAAAAATATTTTGTTTCCTTCAAGGACACACAGATACTTTCTAGGTTAAAGCCTTTGAACTTTATGGAGAGATTGGAATTTTAGGATGCGTTGCAGTTGGGATCTTGGTTAAAAATTAAACAGATTTTCTAATTGTGTTCAGGTAAAAAACTTGTACCTCATTTACCGTATATATTTATCTATTTTATTCTATAAGCTGTGGACATCAAATGCTGAAATATGTTTCAACATCTGAATCAGATGGTACAGATTGCTGCAGTGGAAAATCAGGTGAGATTACAAAAGTCATATGTATTTGAGTTTAAGAGAAATTTCTTACAATGATTTTTAGAATGGGAAAATGAATGAGTTTAACTTCAGTTTATCCATCTTTAAAATGAAGATTATTATTTTTTACCCACTTCACAGAGGACTTATTTAGAACAAATTATAAGTAATAGATGGTGAAAGTAATTCAAAGAATAAAAATGTCCCATACAAATGAATGTAGTCTTCTTAGGTTATGTCTATTGTTTATAAATAGTGGAATTATTTATATTAAACATTGAAATTTGTAGTGCACAATCTAAATCCAAACGGTTTTGCATAAATTTTTTATGGCATAAAGAGGGGTTGTTTTAAAGTGTGGTTAATTATATCATTCTGAAATATTTTGTATCCTCATACAAGACATATTGTGTTGATGAAATTATAGTTGTTTTATAACCTTAAAATTTGATGACTCAAACTACCAGTAGTAGTTAACTAAGTAACTCAGACCAACATTTCCCCTGAGGGCAGCTAGAAAAGGTGGATGAATTATTTTTTTAAAAAAAATCTACTTGAAGCCATTGAAGAACTAAAAAAATCTTATGAATCACCAGTACAAGATCTGTTGGAAGACAGAACTCCAAGAAAGTGAGCCTGGAGTTTGGGGCTATCAAAAGAGTGTATGCCAATTCCACAGAGACCAATGACTGATAGGATGAGCAATTTTATTAGCAGCTTCATGGGGCTAGGAAGACAGAGGCTAGAGTTGAAGGCTTGCCATGGTTTGGATAACTTGATAAACTCTAAAGTGTTGTATCCTAAGAAAAAAGTTAAACCAAAAATAGATAAGCCTTTTCAGGGATTATAGGTTCTTCTCAATCCCTTTACATACCATAAAACTTACCCTTTTAAAGTGTGCAATTTAATAGTTTTTTGTTTTTTACATTTTAAAGGATTGTTAACAAATAAAATAAAATAAAAAGACTAATTCTTCACAAACTCTTCCAAAAAATAGAAGAGGAGGGAACACTTCCCAACTCATTCTTTTTTTTTTTTTTGTATATCATTACAATGGAATTCAGTTCAGCAATTAAAGGAATAAACTTCTGATACATGCTGCAACATAGATGAACTTCAAAACATTATTCTAAGTGAAAGAAGCCAGGCCCAAAAGATCATATATTATATGATTACATTTATATGAAATTCTTGAAAGACAAATTTATAGAGACAATAATCAGAACAGTTGTTGCATAAAGTGAGAATAGGGATTAACTATAAATAGGCATGAAGGAACATTTTGGGTGGGGGTGTTGAGAATGTTCTAAAATTGGATTGTAATGATTGTTGATAACTGCAAATATACTAAAATTGTTAAATTGTACACTTGTGGGCTGGATGTTTGTGTTCCTCCAAAAATTCATGTGTCGAAATCCTATACCCTGATATGACGGTATTGGGAGGTAAGGCCTTTGGGAGGTAATTAGGTCATGAAGGTGGATCCTTCATGAATGGGATTAGTTCCCTTATAAAAGAACCCCAGAAAACTCTCTTTCCCACCCTCTTTCCCACCGTGTGAGGATACAATGTGAAATCGGTAGTCTGCAATACTGGAACTTGGCCAGGCTGGCACCCTGATATCAGACGTCCAGCTTCCCTAACTGTGAGAAATAAATTCCTATTTTTTTATAAGCCACTCAGTCTGTAGTATCCAATTATAGCAGCCTGAACTAAGGCATTTTACAATGGGTAGATTTTAATGGTATGTAATTTATACTCAATAAAGTTTTTAAAAAGAACAATAATTTATTAAGTGTCATATTTCTTTGGGTGGACTAGCCTCAACTGGGAGATTCTCACCTGAGGACTTTGATGAGATTGCAGTCAGTGCAGTCAGATATTGGTTGGGGAAGCAGTTATCTGAAGGATTGATTGGGCAGAATTTCCAAGATGGGTTACTCATGTGCCTTTTGGCTATTGACCAGTCCATCTAAATATGACCCCTCCATGGGCTTCTTCAGTTTGTTGGCAGCATTCCAAGAGAGTAGGAAGTGGAAACTACCAGTTCAGTTAATGGCTGAACTCAGAACAGAGTGTCACTTCTGCCATATTCTGTTATCAGAGCAGTCATGAGGCCTGTTGAGATTCCAGAGGGTTGGTAAATAAATGCTCTGTCTTGATAGAGGAGTGACAAGAATACATTTCAGAAAAGTGTTTGGGACAAGAGATAGTGTTGTAGACATCTTTAGAAAGAAATGCTTCATTTACCTCACCTGTTTTTATTATTATCTGTAAGATAATAGTTATTAGGAGTTCATATCATTAAAAAGTAAATTATGTAATATACCTCAAGTGCAAACAACTTTTAGATTAACTTCTATTTTAGAATATCATTGTAGTTATTGCCTTACCTTACCAAGAATACTCGAATAGTCTAAATTTAATTTCTTAGACTAATTTTTTTCATTTGGAAAAAATAATATTTTCTAAACAGTAATACTTCCAGATCATCATCTAATCAATTAATGATTGGTATATTCATTGTATTAAGTTGAGATTATACTGACATTTATTAATCACCTATTATGTATAACATCTTGTAAGATGGGTATTATTATCCAAATTTTACAGGGGAGAAAGCTTGCCATTATTAAGTACGAAAATCAGGATTTGAACCTAGTTTTCTGAAACTCAACTCCAATGATTACTCTTAAGAATTTTTTTTTTTTTTTTTGAGACAGAGTCTTACTCTGTCATCCAGGCTAGAGAGTACAGTGGCACAATCATGGCTCACTGCAGCTTCCAACTCCTGGGCTCAAGCAATCTTCCCTCCTCAGTCTTCTGAGTAGTTGGGACTACAGCACCATGCCCGGCTAATTAAAAAAATTTTTTTTTGTAGAGATGAGAACTCGCTCTGTTGCCCAGGCCAGTCCCAAACTTTTGGCTTCAAGTGATCCTCCCGCCTTGGCCTCCCAAAGCACTAGGATTATAGGTATGAGCTGTTATGCCTGGCCAAGATCTCTTTTTACAAAAAAACAAACAAAACTCTACATATTGAGCTTATAGCATGTAATTATCATATAATCAGCACCCAGATCCAGAAACAAAATAAGAGGCTGGCCAAAATGGCCAACTAGAAGCAGCTAATGTGCACTGCTGTCATGGAGAGAAATAGAAGGGGTGAGTACATACAGCACCTTCAACTGAAACATACATGTACACATGTTGGGATTCATCAAGAAAACAACCCACAGAGAATGTAGAAAAGCAAGGCAGGATGACTGCCCACCTGGGAGTGACACGGAGCCAGGGGAGCCTCCCTCGCCCAGGGAAGCATGAGTAAGTGGGCAACCCTGGGGACCCATGCTTCTCCCATAGGTCTTTGCAACCCTTGAGTCAGGAGACCCTCCTCGTAAACCCACTGCACCAGGGCTTGCAGTCTGATATGCAGAGCTCTGTGGCATCTTGGCAGAGTAGCTGCTCAGGCACATGTGGAGCCCCAGGAGCTATAGATACTTGGGTTTCTAGGCAAAAGCAGCTGCAACTTGGCAAAGTAGGAGGTTAGACCCCCATACAGACCCCTAAGAAGTAGCTGAATTCAGGGGTCTGAGCAGCAATGGTCTTCAGGTCCCATGTCCACAGCACCTTGCAGGATAAGACCACTAGCTTGGAACTCCAGCCAGCCACTGGTAGCAGTGTTGATGGAGCTCCCAGAGGGAGGGGTAGGCTACCATCTTTGCTGTTTTGCAGCCTTAGCCATTGTTGCCTTCAGTGTAACCACCCTACAAAAATGCAGCCAGCTTGCTTTTTTATGTGGGTCCCTGACCTCTCTTCTCCTCACTGGGCAGGACCTCCCAACCAAGGTAACCAGCCACTCTTGCCACTGTTTTTCAGCTGGCAGTGGTTCCGAGCCTCCCTGAGATAGTGCTCCCGGGGGAGGGACAGGCCGCCATCTTTGCTGTTTCACAGCCTTAGCCATTGTTGCCTTCTGGCTCTAGGAAGTCCAAGGTGACTAGGTACTGGAGCCGTCTCTCACCGCAGCACAGTAGCTCTATGGGAAAGCAGCTAGACTGCTTTTTCACATGGGTCCCAGATCTTATTTCTTTTCACTGGGCAGAATCCTGTGACCAAGGTCTACAACCACCCCTGCTAGTG
This sequence comes from Homo sapiens, assembly GCF_000001405.40. Lineage (NCBI taxonomy): Eukaryota > Metazoa > Chordata > Mammalia > Primates > Hominidae > Homo > Homo sapiens. The sequence continues at coordinate 14,823,344 of NC_000011.10, forward strand.
TTTTCTGTCCAGCAACAGTTTCAAACTTTGCTGGGATGGAGTTCCCAGAGGGAGGGGCAAGCTGCCATCTTTGCTGTTTTGCAGCCTTAACCATTGTTGCCTTTGGGATTTGGAGAGTCCAAAGTGACTGGGGGCTGCAGCAGACCCCAAACACAGCCCAACTGTTATATAAAGAAGTGGCCAGACTGCTTTTTTACACAGGTCCTCAACCCTATTTCTCCTCACTGGGTGGGACCTCCCAACTAGGGTGTCCAGCCATCTCTGCTGGTGTTTTCTGACCAGCAGCAGTTTCAAACCTCCCTGGGATGGAGCTCCCAGAGGGATAGGGGGACTGCCATCTTTGCTGTTTTACACCCTTCACTGTTGATACCTTCAGGTGCTAGATAAACCAAGGTGACTAGGGACTGGAGTGTACCCCCAGCATACTGCAGCAGCCCTACAGAAAAGTAACCAGATTGTTTGTTACTTGGGTTTCCAATCTCATATCTCTTCACTGGGCAGGTCCTCCTGGCCTGGGTCTCCAGCTCCCCTCACCTCCAGGCTATCAAGCCAGTAGCAGCTCTGGAACTCCCTGGGAAAGAACTCCCAGTGGGAGGGGTGGGTTGCTATCTTTGCTTTCTCACAGCCTTAGGCTTTGCTGTCTTCAGGCTTTGGAGAATCTGTGGGGACCAGGGGCTAGCTAGTCCATACCCGAGCACAGAGTATCCACCTCACAGAAAAGTGGTCGGACTGTTCTCCACGTAGGTCCTGGTCCTCACTTCTCCTCTCAACCTGGTACTCTAGCACAAACACGCTGTCCCTGTCAGACCACATCAATCAGAGGCAGCCCAGCAGTTAAAGGAAGAGCCACATGCAGAGATAAGAAAGAACCAATGCAAGAACTCCAGCAACCTAAATGGTCAGTATCTTATGACCTCCAAACAACCACACTAGTTCTTAACCAGGCTGAGCTGGCTGAAATGACAGAAATAGAATTCAGAATATGGATAGGAACAAAGATAATCAAGATCAGGAGAATGGCAAAACCCAGTTCAACAAAACTAAGAATCACAATAAAATGATACAGGAGCTGACAGATGAAATAGCCAGTATGAAAAGGAACCTAACTGATCTGATAGAGCTGAAAAACACACTACAAGAATTTTGTAATGCAATTCCAAGTACAGCAAAAGAGACCAAGCTGAGGAAAGAATCTTGAAACTTGAAGACTGACTCTCTGAAATAAGAAAGTAAGACAAAAATTATTTTAAAAAGAATGAAAAGGAATGAGCAAAACCTCTAGAAATATGGGATTGTGTAAAGAGGCCAAATCTACACATCATTGACATCCCTGACAGGAGAAAGCAAACAACCTGGAAAACATATTTCAGGATATCATCCATGAAAACTTCCCCAGCCTTGCTAGAGAGGCCAACACCCAAACTCAGGAAATACAGAGAACTCGTGCAAGATTCTACTCAAGAAGATCATCCCCAAGATGCATAATCATCAGATTTTCCAAGTTTGAAATCAAGGAAAGAATGTTAAAGGCAGCTAGAAAGGGCAGGTCACCTACGAAGGGAACCTGATCAGGCTAACAGTGGACATCTCAGCAGAAACCCTACAAGCCAGAAGAGCCTGGGCTCCTATATTCAACATTCTTAAAAAAAAAAAAAATCTTCAAGAATTTCATATCCAGCCAAACTAAGCTTCCTCAGTGAAGGAGAAATAAGATCCTTTTCAGATAAGCAAATGCTGAGGAAGTTTGTTACTACCATTTGTTACTACGAGACCCACTTAAAAGAGATCTTGAAAAGAGCACTAAATATGAAAGGAAGAACCATTACCAGGCAATACAAAAAAACACAGTTAAGTACACAGACCCAGTGATGTAAAGCTACCACACAAGCTGGCTTAATAACCAGGTAACAGCACAATGACAGGAACAAATCCACACACATCTATACTAACCTTGAGTGTAAATGGGCTAAATGCCCCATTTAAAAGGCATAGAGTGGCAAACTGGATTTTAAAAAAAGTAAGACCCAATGATACACTGTCTTCAAGAGACCCATTTCACAGGCAGCAACACCCATAGGCTCAAAACAAAGGGATGGAGGAAAATCTACCAAGCAAGTGGAAATCAGGAAAAAGCAGAGGTTGCAATCCTAATTTCAGACAAAACAGACTTTAAACCAACAAAGATCAAAAAAGGCAAAGAAGGGCATTACATAATGGTAAAGGGTTCAATTCAATAAGACCTAACTATTCTAAATATGTATTCACCCAACACAGGAGTACCCAGATTTATAAAGCAAGTTCTTAGAGATCTACAAAGTGCCTTAGACTCCCACACAATAATAGTGAGAGACTTCAACACTCCACTGACAGTATTAGGTCACTGAGGCAGAAAATTAACAAAGATATTCAGGACCTGAACTCAATATGGGACCAAATGGATCTGATAGACCTCTACAGAACTCTCCACTCAAAAACAACAGAATGTACATTTTTCTCATTGCCACATGGTACATATTCTAAAATCCATCAGACAACCCTCAGCAAATGTAAAAGAACTGAAGTCATGCCAAACATACTCCTGGACCACAGTGCAATAAAGATAGAAATCAAGACTAAAAAAAATCACTCAAAACCATGCAATTACATGGAAAGTAAACAACTGGCTCCTGAATGACTTTTGGGCAAATAGTGAAATTAAGGCAGAAATCAAGAAGTTTTTTAATACGAATGAGAACAAAGATACAACCTACAAAATCTCTGGGACACAGCCAAGGCAGTGTTAAGAGGGAAATTTATAGCACTAAGCAGCCATATCAAAAATTTAGAGAGATCCCAAATTAACAACCTAATATCACCACTAAAATAACTAGAGAAGAGAGAGCAAACCAACCCAAAAGCTGACAGAAAACAAGAAATAGCCAAAATCAGAGCTGAACTGAAGGTGATTGAGACACAAAAACACCATCCAAAAGATGAATGAAACCAGGAGTTGATTTTTTGAAAAAATTAGTAAGATAAATAGGCTGCTAGCTAGAGAAATACAGAAGAAAAGAGAGAAGATCCAAATAAACACAATTAGAAATGACAAAGGGGGTGGTACCACTGACCCCACAGAAATACAACCATCAGAGACTACTATGAACACCTCTTTACACACAAACTAGAAAACCTAGAAGAGATGGATAAATTCCTGTACACATAACCCCTCCCAAGACTGAACCAGGAAGACATGGATTCCCTGAATAGACCAATAAGAAGCTCCAAAACGGAATCTGTAATAAATAGCCCACCAACCAAAATAAATAAATAAAAATAAAGCCCAGGACCAGATGGATTCACAGCCACATCCTACCAGATGTACAAAGAAGAGCTGGTACTATTTATACTGAAAGTAGTATTACAAAAAACTGAAGAGGAAGGACTGAAAGTATTACAAAAAAATGAGGAGGAAGGACTCCTCCCCCAACCCATACTATGAGGCCAGCATCATTCTGATACCAAAACGTAGCAGAGACACAAGAAAAAAACAAAACCTCAAGCCAATATCCTTGATGAAAATTGATGCAAAAATCCTCAACAAAATACTTGCAAACCAAATTCAGCAGCACATCTAAAAGGCAATCCACCATGATCAAATAGGCTTCATCCCTAGGTTGCAAGTTTGGTTCAACATATGCAAATCAGTCAACCTGATTCATCACATAAACAGAACTAAAGACAAAAGCCACATGATTATCTCAATAGATGCAGAAAAAGGCTTTTGATAAAATTCAACATCCCTTCATGTTAAAAACTCAATAAACTAGGTATTGAAGGAACATACCTCAAAATAATAAGAACCATCTAGGAGAAACCCACAGCCAACATCACACTGAATGGGCAAAAGCTGGAAGCATTCCCCTTGAAAACGGGCACAAGACAAGGATGCCCTCTCTCACCACTCCTATTTAACATAGTATTGGAAGTCTTGACCACAGTAATCAGGAAAGAGAAAGAAATAAAGGGCATCCAAATAGGAAGAGAGGAGGTCAAACTATCCCTGTTTGCAGACATGATTCTATATCTAGAAAACCCCGAAGTCTCGGCCCGAAAGCTCCTTAAGCTAATAAGTAACTTCAGCAGAGTTTCAGGATACAAAATCAATGAACAGAAATAACTAGCATTCCTATACACTAACACAGCCAAAACAAGAGCCAAACCAGGAACACAATCCCATTTACAATTGCCACAAAAAGAATAAAATACCTAGGAATATAGCTAATCAGGGAGGTTAAAGACCTCTACAATGAGAATTACAAAACACTGCTCAAAGAAAGCAGAGATGACACAAACAAATGGAAAAACATTCTGTGCTCATGGATAGGAAGAATCAATATCATTAAAATGGTCATACTGCCCAAGGCAATTTATAGATTCAGTGTTATTCCTAACAAACTACCAATGAAATTCATCACAAAACTAGAAAAAGCTATTTTAAAATTCATATGGAACCAAAAAAGAGCCTGAGTAGCCAAGGCAATCCTAAGCAAAAAGAACAAAGCTGGAGGCATCATATTACCTGATTTCAAAGTATACTGCAGAACTGCAGTAACAAAATATCATGGTACTGGTACAAAAACAGACACATAGACCAATGGGACAGAATAGAGAGCCCAGAAATAAGACCACATGCCTACAACCATTTGATCTTTGACAAAGCCAACAAAAACAAGCCCATTAATGGGGAAAGGACTCCCTATTCAATAAATGGTGGTGGGATAACTGGCTAGCCATATGTAGAAGATTAAAACTGGATCCCTTCCTTACACCATATACAAAAATCAACTAAAGATGGTTTAAAGACTTAAATGTAAAACCCAAAACTATAAAAACTCTGGAAGACAACTGAGTCAATACCATTCTGGATATAGATACTGGCAAAGATTTCATGACAAAGATGCCAAAAGCAATCATAACAAAAGCAAAACTTGACAAATGGGATGTAATTATACTAAAGAGCTTCTGCACAGCAAAATAAACTATCAGCAGAGTAAACAGACAACCTATGGAAAGGGAGAAAATTTTTGCAAACTATGCATCTGATAAAGGCCTAATATCCAGCACCTACAAGGAACTTAAATTGACAAGAAAAAACAAACATAAAAAAGTGGGCAAAGGATATGAACAGACAATTTGCAAAAGAAGACATACATATGGGCAACAATCATATGAAAAACAGCTCAGCATCACTGATCATTAGCGAAATGCAAGTCAAAACCACAATGAAACACCATCTAACACCAGTCAGAATGGCTGCTGTTAAAAAGGCAAAAAATAACAGATGCTGGCGATGTTGGGGAGAAAAAGAAACACTTATACACTGTTGGTGGGAGTGTAAATTAGTTCGGTCATTGTGGTAGACAGTGTGGTGATTCCTCAAAGACCTAAAAATAGAAATACCATCTGACCCAGCAATCCCATTACTGGGTATATATCCAAAGGAATATAAGTCATTCTCTTATAAAGCCACATGCGTGTGTATGTTTATTGCAGCACTATTTACAATAGCAAAGACATAGAATCAACCTAAATATCCACCAATGATAGATTGGATAAAGAAAATATGGTACATATACACCATGGAATACTATGCAGCCATAAAAAGAATGAGATTGTGTCCTTTGCAGGGACATGGATGGAACTGGAGACCATTATCCTTAGCCACAGGAACAGAAAACCAAATATTGTTATGTTCTCACTTATAAGTGGGAGCTAACTGATGAGAACACATGGGCACATAGAGGGGAACAACACACACTGGGGCCTGTCAGAGGGTGGAGGGTGGGCGGAGGGAGAGGATCAGAAAAACAACTAATGGGTACTAGGCTTAATACCTGAGTAATGAAATAACCTGTACAACAAACCCCTTTGTTACATGCTTACCTATGTAACAAACCTGCACTTGTACCACTAAACTTAAAAAATAAATAAATGAAAAAAAATCACAGCTAGTGAAGTAGTGAGGCTAGGACTCATTTCTATAAGTAGTATTTAGATTTGAATCCAGATTCTATTTTACTATATAGTTTGGGCTCTATCTTATATGTCCATAGTGGAAAAGTAATAAATGATTATCATAGTTTTTCTAAGAGAAAAGGCAAAGAAAAGAAGATGTAGTATATATACATCATGGAATACTATGCAGCTATAAAAAAGACTGAGGTAATGTTTTTTGCAGAGACATGGATGGAGCTGGAGTCAAACTAACATAGGAACAGAAAACCAAATACTGTCACTTATAAGTGGGAGATGAATGACGAGAACACATGGACATAAAGAGGAGAACAACAGATACTGGGGCCTACCTGATGGTGGAGGGTGGGAGAAGGAAGAAAATCAGAAAAAAATAGTAATTGGGTACTAGGCCTAGTACCTGGGTGATGAAATAATCTGTACAACAAACTCCATGACACAAATTTACCTATATGACAAACCTGCACATGTACCCCTGAACCTAAGATAAAAGTTGTTTTTTAAAAAAGAAACAAAATATTACCCACACCTCAAAATTACCCATCATGACCCCTTCCAATCATATGCCCCAAAGATAATGATCTTTTTGTCTTTCATACGCTTTTGAACTTTTCTTAAAGAGAATCAGAGAGTATATACTTTTATGCCTGGCTTCCTTCACTAAACATTATATTTTTAAGTACCATCCATATTGTAGTTCATTCTCTTTGCTCTGTAGTGATCAATTGTGTAAATATACCACAAGTTATTTATTCTACTGTCGATAGGTTTTGGGTAATTTCCCTGTTTAAGATATTACAAATAGAATGAATATGAATGTTTTTTAACACGTGAATGAATGCTATTTAGCTATGAATACTGCTCTTCTTTTCCATGTGATTTGAGAAAAGAAATTATTACATTGGTAGAGATATAACTCACCATTAATAATATTATGGTTTAAGGTTTACATGTGATTTAATCTTATTGATTTGTAATTATGATTTTAGAATTTTTATCTAAAACTCAGAGATGTTGGAAATTGTTTATATCAAATTGGTAAGAAAATTTCTATTGATAGGAACTTTTTCTTTTTCTCACTTTTATAAAGAATATCCACTTAGCATCCATGAGTAGATATGAAAGGTGAGTCCAATACAGGAAGTGTCTTTGTTGCCTGAGCATAAGGTATCTAGGCAAAATAGCACAGGAAGATACAACTTAATGGTATCGTGAAATAATTTAGATTGAACTCCATTATGATTCATTTTATCTAAATATTTTTAACAATTATTTTTCATGTAAAGCTGTACATATAGGGCACATTTTACTCCTATATATTACTATATATATTTTTTGAAAGGTGAAGAAGAAAACATTTTCTCGAAAGAATCATTCAAACTTATGGAAACTCAACAAGAAGAGGAAACAGAGAAGAAAGACAGCAGAAAATTATTTCAGGAAGGTGATAAGTGGCTAACAGAAGAGGCACAGAGTGAACAGCAAACAAATGTAAAAGATAAACTTTCAATATGATTATGTTAAGGTGAAATATAATACTGTTAGTACTGGTTTCATTACTTTTGCCCAGAACAAGATTTTTAATATAGTAGTATTTTTTAATTTTTTTACTTATAAGTCACTATAACTGAAATATTGCTTGGGTTACAAATAATACAGTAACTTGTTCTAATTCTATCATCCTAAAGCAACAAACTGCATTCAGTTTTAAATGAACATATTTTATTTAGTTTTATATAAAATATATTATTTTCTATTCTGATATTTTCTTTTGCGTATGTGAAGGTATAGAGAATATGTGCATGTTACTAAAAACAATGAAAACAATGTATTTATAATGGCAATATAGTTTTGTTCTTAAATTTCAAAATTTAGGCTTTTAAGGAAAAGAAACACCTATTTCTTTTGAAAAATTATCCTGGTAATAAATGCCAATATAAGGATATGGTTTTTTTTCCTCTTACCCTTTGATACCTGTAACTACTAAAATGAAAATAATAGACTTTGGATTTGTGTAGTAATTTGGAAATATAATACTTTTATTCATAAAAGTAATATAAGAAGATTAATAAGTCTTACACCCAGGAGTTATGTTTTTAGTTTTTGAAGATAACATTCTAGAAAGAGAAATTAGAAGGGCAGATAAGACTATATTTAAGAATAACCATTATAGAAAATAGTACTGACTTTTTTAAATGTTTAATCCTAAGTGTTCTCATTGTAATATATATTTTACAGTATTTATAAAAGATAAAATAAAGTTGTTGTTTCCCTGTATGTACAGATTGAACAGGAAGTATCACTGGACCTGATTTTAGTAGAAGAGTATGACTCATTAATAGAAAAGATGAGCAACTGGAATTTTCCAATTTTTGAACTTGTAGAAAAGATGGGAGAGAAATCAGGAAGGATTCTCAGTCAGGTTTGCTTTCAAATATCTACTTTTTAACTGTAAATTAATTTTTCTTAAATCTTTATAAAAAGCAAAATCTAATATGTAATGGTTTAAGCACTAGTTCAACAATGACATTGTTCATTATTTTTTTCAGAAAAAAATAAATATATACATAAAACAATTATATATAAGATGTAGATCATACTATTATATATATGACAAGTAGTTTATTTGACCATATTAATGGGATTTAATTTATGCCAAAGAAATAATAAAGATTTACATTTTCTTGAATGTGGAGGTTGAAAAGGATATGAAAATATCATCTAGTTCTAACCATTGCAATTTAAGCTTCATTTTTTTCACCTGCACTCCCTATACTTTACCCAAGGCCGGATGATTCATTTCATGCTAGAACCATGGGAAAGTACTTTGATTTTACCACCCAGACTCAGGGTTATACCTGATGGGTCCGCATAACAGCATCAGATTAACTGCCCCAAAATATTACTCTCATTAATTACTTTCATATCTTATTTATGAAATGCAAAAACGTAAGGATAAATTTTGTGAAATATATAAGTTCATTTAATTGAAGTTCTTAGGGATAAAAATGTGATAAACTTAGTATTGTTTTGAATTTTGTTTTTAATACCCAGGACTAGATTAGAATAGAATTCACATGACCTTCAGTAAATTAGGAATAAAAAGCTAAGGAGAAGAATGGAAAAATTAAAAATTGGGACATGATATGTATGGTAAGCCTTCTTTAATTTTCAGTGGCTTTAGGGTGACATCTTCCATTCTGATTTTTTTGAAAGAATTAATTGTAGGCAAGTTTTAAATAAATTATTAAAGACGTATATTAATACATGGTTAACATTCCAGAATACAAATCACAAAAACATTATACTCAGCTACAAATAGAAATTCTGATTTTTAAAGTAAACTTTATTTTAATTGACATTTAGGTTATGTATACCTTATTTCAAGACACTGGTTTATTGGAAATATTTAAAATTCCCACTCAACAATTTATGAACTATTTTCGTGCATTAGAAAATGGCTATCGAGACATTCCTTGTAAGTATTAACATATTTTATTATTTAAGTTCAAATAATATGGGTTTTGAAACTCTTTATCATCTTTCTCTTCAGATGGTCCCTTAAACACTTTTAAAACTGCTTGTTTGAAATTTTCTTTTTTTTTTTTCTTGAGACAAGAGTCTTGATCTTGTCGTCCAGGCTGGAGTGCAATGGCGCGATCTTGGCCCACTGCAACCTCCGCCCCCCACGTTCAAGTGATTCTCCTGTCTTGGCCCTCGCAGGTAGCTGGGATTACAGGTGCCCGCCACCACACCCAGCTAATTTTTTATATTTTTAGTAGAGATGGGGTTTCACCATGTTGGCCAGGCTGGTGCTGAACTCCTGACCTCTGGTGATCCACCTGCCTTGGCCTCCCAAAGTGCTGCGATTATAGACGTCAGCTGCCGCGCCTGGCCTGAAAAATTTTTAAATGGAGTTTTAAAAAGAATATTTGTATTATACTACCTAGATTTAACTGACTACTGTTAACATTTTGTCTGTTTTTTGTTAACATTTTGGTATATATTCTCCAAGAGTTCTTACATAAATTTATTTTTTGTAAAGGTGGTCATAATATTGATACATATTTATGATCTGCTTTTTCACCTGGTTGTTATACAGTATACATCTTTCTATTTTTAAAATTAATTGCCTGTGTACTTTATCTTTTTAAAAGTTAGTCAAGAGTTTCAGAAAATCATTCACTTAAAAATGCTTAAAATTGATCATCTAATTTCAGTTTTTAACTGTGTTCTGATTTATGGAATAATTTAATGGCTATTATATATTATGTTTGAATATAATTTGAGTTTCATATTAGAAAAAGATGGACTGTCTTTATATATTGTCTACAGTTTCCCTCCATGTGGACACATTTTTGAGAAATTAATTCTATAAATAGTGAATTATTCTTCAATTGGCATAACTCACTAATAATGTTTAATAATTTAAGATGAGTTACATATACTATAATTTCCACTTATATATTGTGCATTCAAAAAAGTGGTTGGATTTTATAAATGGAATATAGGGATACTTTAAGATGGACTTCAAGGGAAATGGAACGAAAAGAAAGAGGTGGTAAGGAGTCTTCACTGTCAGCTTCAGTTAGGATACATTAGTTAAGAAAATAGTCTCTGGACCTAACTTTTCTAAACTTTAAAAATTTGTGAATGAGAATAACAATAGTACCTACTCCATAGGTAGTACTAATATAAGATAATTAATGTAAAGCACGTATCAGAATTCATGACACTTAGTAAATTGTTAGTAAAAGGTGGTGATTTATTAATAATAATTAAGTTCCCAGTGTACGCCATGTCATATCTATAGGCAAAACAATATTATTTTATCTACTAATGCATACATACACATTAAATATTTGTTGAAGTGTTAAATTTTTATTGGATATCGACATTAACTGCAATCATTAGATTCACATAGGTTATCTTATTCAATCTTTTTTGGCAAAGTTGTATTATCTAACTTTTATAGGTGAGAAGTAAACTCAGAAGGATCTTTCCCAAGATTATAAAACTAGATACCAAAGTAGTGTTTCAGTTTTAGGTCTATCTGAGTTCTGAAGCCTATACTCTTTACACTATGCCACATTGCCTTTTCACATAGTTGAATTTCAGGAAATAGATGTTTTATTGATCATATATGATGTGTCAGACACTGTGCTGGATGCTTTCACATATTTAGTATTTAATTCCTGTGGCAAGCCTGAGACATAGTATTTCTGACCTTTTTGTGGGGGACACAAATGTAAGTAACCAGAATTTGTAACTGTTCTGTGTACAAAACTGTTTTGTGTGCAAACATGGGTCTCTGTAATCCAGACACTACATGATATTTTTGAAAGCCAGAAAATAGCCACCTTGAGAACATTTTCCAATGCCTTTCAATACTCCTTGGTTATCCTGCCTTTTCTTTGGCACCTTTACTATGTTTTCATAGTATATGGGAAAGTTTTTAAAAGATATTTTTTTTAATACATCAAGAGACTTTAGATGAAATAAAATTCAATTGTGGGGAATTAGTCTGTCACATCTTTTTTATGAGGATATAGTATGACTAGGAAATTATTGTACTTTTTAAATGTTGTGTGTTAAACCTAACAGAAAAACGTTTTGGTGACTTTAGATCACAATCGTATACATGCCACAGATGTGCTACATGCAGTTTGGTATCTGACAACACGGCCAGTTCCTGGCTTACAGCAGATCCACAATGGTTGTGGAACAGGAAATGAAACAGGTACTTCCTTCTACAAATCTCTTAATTATTTTGATCAGGAATAGTAAATCAAGCTTTCTCATTTCATTACCTCTGTTCTTTTAAGTTTTTCATTAAGTAACCGTTTAGTACATACGAAGGACTGTGTACGTTTTTTTAACCACTTATCCCCAAGTTCTACTGTGTAAGTTTTGATGCATAATAATGACATGAAAAATTTTAAACCTGATACCCATCTTAAAGATAGATTAATATTCAGTACTGCTGGATCTATCATGTTTCCTTCTTTCCCCCATTCTTTTGTTTTCCTCACTGAGGTAGCCACTATCCCGAATATTATGATAATTAGTCCTTTGTTTTTTTAAAAAAAATTTTTTTTTTGTTTCAAGTACATCACATACATTTAAAATACATAACATTCAAAAACCAAAGAGAACATTTTCAAAAGCCTTGCAAAGTATTTCAATGATGACATTAAAAACTTTTATAAACAAATTTTGCTTCCAAAAAAGTTAATGCTATTCCTTATCATAAATATAATAGTTTATATAAATACAATGAATCATAACATTTATAGTTCTCTTATTCTAGCTTATTAAAAGGGCCAGGCCTGGTGACTCATGCCTATAATCTAGCACTTCTACAGGCTTAGGCAAGAGGATCACTTGAGGCCAGGAGTTTGAAACCAGCCTAGGCAACAAAGCAAGACCCCATCTCTACAAAAAAATTTTTAAAAAATTTAGCTGGATGTGGTGACACACACCTGTCCTAGCTACTCAGAAGGCTGAGGTGGGAGGATCTCTTGAGCCCAGGAGTTCAAGGCTGCAGTGAGCCATGATTATGTCATTGCACTGACATATATCAAGACAGAATTTGCTCAGTTACCAATACTTGAGAAATAACATTACCATACTAACCAGTGTAAATGTCATAGACTCAACCACTGATATTACTTTTTACATTTTGGTAGTTGAGTCTAAAGTATGCATTATTTGTTTAATGGATTTGCTTTATGTCACTGGTTCATTTTTGTCTGCCATCTGTATTTATTCTTTCTAGTGCCCTTCATTCCTTCCACCAGTCCTGTGCTTTTATTAGAGATAATTTTCTTCAACTTTTTTGTTTTAGCTGTCATTTTGTCTTAGAAGAATATATTTATATTTTAGCATGTTTGAAGGTATTATTCCATAATCTTGTGACTTTCACAGTTTTTGCTGACAAGTCAAGACTTAGGTCATATTGAGAAATATAATATATAAATATAATATGTTCCTTTTTCTCTTTCCTATTGGTTTTTAGCATTTTAACTATGATGTACTCATGTAATTTTTTTTTGTATTAATCCTGCCTGATGTTTAGTGAACCTTTTGAATATGTTGATTGGTAGTTTTTTACTGGTTTCTATCATGCTCTTCAAAATTCAGCCTCTCCATTGTCTAATTCCAAAGCCGCTCCCACATTTTTAGGTGTTTGTCACATCAGTACCTCACTTCTAGGTGCCAAAAGTCTGTATTAGTTTCCTATTGCTGCTGTAATAAGTTACCAGAAATTTAGTCACTGAAAACCACACAAATTTATTATCTTACAGTTCTGGAGGTCAGAAGTCCAAAAAAGGCTTCACTGGAGTAAAATCAAGGCATCAACAGAACTATTTTTCTCCTATATACTCTAGAGGAGAATTTGTTTCCTTGCCTCCTCCAATTACACTCCTTGGCTCATGGCCCTTTCTTTCTTTCTTTCTTTGTTTATTTTGGAGACGGTGTCTCACTCAGTCACCCAGGCCAGAGTACAGTGGCTTGATCTCGGCTCACCGCAACCTCCGCCTCCTAGGCGGGTTCAAGCAATTCTCCTGCCTCAGTCTCCCAAGCAGCTGGGACTACAGATGCACGCTGCCATGCCTGGCTAATTTTTCGTATTTTAGTAGAGATGGGGTTTCACCATGTTGCCCAGGCTGGTCTGGAACTCCTGAGCTCAGGCAATCCGCCCACCTCAGCCTCTCAAAGTGTTAGGATTACAGGCGTGAGCCACTGTGTCTGGCCGGCCCATTCTTTAAAGACAGCAGCATAACATCTTCAAATTTCTTTTTGACCCTGACCTTTTGATCTTTCCAAGGAACTAGTGAAAATCAATCCAGCTCTGCAACCTTGGCTTTCTGTGCAGAACACACTTAACTGACAGTGACTCTCTTAATTTTAGTCTCTCTTGTAGTCTGGATAGGCTGAGAATTTCCTGAATTATCAAGTCCTTATTCCTCTTTGCTTACGAGTTCTCCCCCAATCTTTCTTTTTCCTCTCATATTTACTATAAACAGTAAGAAACCAGACTACACCTTCAATGCTTTGCTTGGAAATTTCCTCAACTAAATGTCTAAGTTATCATTTGTAAGTTTTGTATTCCACATAACTGCAACACCTAATTCAGCCAAATTTTCTGTTACTGTGTAACACGGATTCCCTTGCCTCTAGTTTCCAATAACATGTTTCTCATTTCCTTCTGAGCATTCATTGGCAATGACCTTAATGACCATTTTTCTATCTCCAGTCTGTTCTCAATGACTTAGGTATAGTATTCTCTAAGACAATATATGTTTTCTCTCTCATGCTGCACACTTCCTTCTGAGTTCTTACTAGCAGTGTTATGAGTTCTCATACATAGTGTTATGGAGCCAAGTATCTGTAGAAGAAAGGAAACCAAGTAGCTTTGGGAAACCAAATAGCTATTGCAATGGAAAATTATGATGAAAACTAAGACAAGAAGGACCATGGGATGTGCTGTCCTATTCTCACTGCACTGGAGAACTAATGGAAAATAAATGACAAGTTTAGGGCTGTAATTAATGGTTGGAGAACCAGGTAGCATCTCTGACTGACCTAAAAGAAACCCTTATTTTTTTTTTAATTTATTTTATTTTATTTTTTTTTTGAGACGGAGTCTCACTTTGTCGCCCAGGCTGGAGTGCAGTGGCGCGATCTCGGCTCAGTGCAAGCGCCGCCTCCTGGGTTCATGCGATTCTCCTGCCTCAGCCTCCCGAGTAGCTGGGACCACAGGCGCCCTGCCACCATGGCCGGCTAATTTTTTGTATTTTTAGTGGAGACGGGTTTTCACCGTGTTAGCCAGGATGGTCTCGATCTCCCGACCTCGTGATTTGCCCGCCTCGGCCTCCCAAAGTGCTGGGATTATAGGTGTGAGCCACTGTGCCCGGCCAAGAAACCCTTATTTTTTATAGTAATAGGATCATAACTTCTGAAAATAAAACCCAATGTCTGATCCTGAAGTTGCTTGAAATACAATGCAAATGAGTTTGTGGCCTCAGTAGACTTCTTATGTTAGAATTAAGATATCAAATGGGAAATAAAGGATCCTGATAATCAAAAAGAGATCATTTGGATAGATTTAAATAAATGTTGCCTTGTATTCCCCAAATCCTGCTGATTCTTCATGCTGGGAAGCAGTCATTTCTCCTTGTGTTGATTGCCTGAAAACCCTGTAATTACCTCACTTGAGATTCTTGATTTATAGGGAAATAATTCACTTCTAAATCCAACTCCACTGTCACTCATTTCTTTGAGATCCATAATTAAACTTAAATCCTGCAGATCTTAGGGGAATAAGTATTAAGTCTGAACACCAGAATAATTTACCAATTCATATTGGTAGAAACCTGGGGGATATATGTCTGAATAGACTTAAGGGTGTTAGACCAGGGAGAAAGGAAGATGTACCTACCAGAGATTCTGGAGTCAGTGTATTAGCTTGAGCAACTGGCAGTGGCTCTAACAGTTTGCCTCATGAGTTGTCTAAAGTATAGGCATCAGATGAAGTAGAATTGTTGAAACTCCTTGTATACTGTAGAGGAAGGAATCCAGAAGCTCACAATGTTAAGATGTTGAAATGGGGTGATCATATTCAATTTTATCACCCATCCCTAATTTTATCCCCAAGAAGTATCCTCCTTTATCACAGTGGTGAGAAATATATTTCAGCATTAATTCCTGGAGAGTGAAATGCTATGCTGGTCCTACAGCCAGAGTTAGGGGCCTATGGAATTTAGGTGATAAAAGGATTTTGGCCTGGGTTCATCTCATAATGGTAGTTAGCAGAACCACACCCATTTTCTGAATGTATAGTTTGAGTAAACATATTCAGCAACTGTCAGAATCCCTTCATCAATTCCTTGATCTTTGGAAAGAGGACCATCGTTGTAGGAAGGATCAAATGGAATCTCCAGGAATTGCCTCATTCTGGCAAAACAGTGAACCAAAAGCAGTATACCACATTCCTAGATGAGTTGCAGAAATCAGTGCTACTAGCAAATACTTAATAGATGCAGGAATGGTGATTTCCATCACATTGCTGTTCAACTTAATTATATAGCTTTTACACAGGATAAGTAGATCCTGGAAAATGATGGTGGATTATTCTCAATGTAATCAGGTGGTTACTCTAGTTGCTACAGCTGTTCCAGATGTGGTCTCTTCTTTTAATAAGTTAACCTAACTTGTGATATTTGGCACAGAGCAATTGATCTGGAGAGTTGTTTTTCCTCCATAACTCATAGCAAAATTCACAAGAAGACATATATTTACATCTGGCAGGCATCACAATACACTTCTATTGTCTTAGTTCTGGGCTATGTCAAGTCTTTCATTCTCTGTTATAATCTAGTCTGTTCCCGTAAGTTATCAAGGTCAGCCATTACATTGATGAGATAATGATGAATAGCTCCATTGAGCAAGAAGTAACAGATATCCTAGATGCCTTCATAAGAGTGCCAGAAGATGAGAGATGAGAAAAATTGCTAAAAAATTCAGAGATCTGTCATATCATTGAAGTATACTAGGGATCCAGTGGTCTAGGACATGTTGAGATATTTCCTCCGAGTTGAGGGATAACTGATACATTTGAAATTCTCTACATAAAGGGCTCTTTGGATTCTGAAGGCAAATTCATGACTTCTGAGTACTATTGCTCCAAAATACTACTGTAAGGCTGTATGTGCAACCCAGAGCAAGAGAAGCATGTGAAGCAATTTCTACTCGTTGTGCAAATTACTCTGCCATTTTTCCATCTGACTGCCAAAAGAAAATGTCTTTTGCAGATAGAGATCCCCTTTGGAGTCTCTAGAAGACCACTACAAGATAATTACAGTGTAAATACATGGAGTTTTGAAACAAAACCAGGCAGCTTTCCTCAAATAATTATTTTCCTTTCTGTAAAAGCAGCTAAATTGTTGTTGCACTTTGGTAGAATCTGAATACTTGGCCATGGGCACTAGATTACCATGTTACCTGCCCATAATGAATTTGGGGCCCTCTGATCCTCCAGTTCATAAATTTGTCATGTGCAGTAGTTCTCAATCATCAAGGGGAAGAATTACTTACAAGATTAGTTTTGAGTTGCTCCTAAAAGCACAGAATGTAAGTTCAGACTTCCATGACATTTATTCCTAATACACCAATACCTCTTCCTTAATCCATAGTTACGGCTTTGTGGGGAATTCCCTATGACCAGTTGACTTAAAGAGAAAGACCAGTTGCCCTGGTTTATAAATAGTTCTGCCCAATATGCCAGTACTTCCTCAAAGTGGATAGCTACAGCATTGTAGGATCACTCAAAGGTATCTTTTGAAAGGTAATAAGGTAAATCCTTCCAGTGAGCAGGTCAAGCGGTGAATCAGTTGGTCAAGAAAGAGACATGGCCAGCTGAAAGGATCTGTACTGATTTATGATCAGTAGCTAAGAGCTTCCTTGGATGCTTTGGGACTTAGAAGGAAAAATATTTTAAAATTGGAGTTTTTAATTGGACAAGGTGTTTTAGTTAGGGGGTTTATGGCTAACCTTCCCAGAGTGGAAGGTGGATATTTGTTTGCGATGTGAATGCTTACTATGATGCTTAATTTTACATGTCAGCTTGGCTGGGCAGTAGTACCTACATATTTGGTCAGACATTAATTTTAATATTTCCTTCAGGGTATTTTTTGGATGAGATTAACATTTAAATTGATGGACTTTAAGTAAAGCAGATAACCCTCCATAAGGTCGGTGGGCCTCATCCAGTCAGTTGAAGGCCTTAATAGAAACAAAGAGTGACCTCCTCTGAGCAAACAGGAATTCCACCAGTAGACAGCCTTCAGACTTGAACTGGAATATCAGCTCTTCCTTGGGTCTTTAGCCAATCAGCCCACCCTGCAGATTTTGGATTTGCCAGCCTCCTTAATTTCATGAGCAAGTTCCTTAAAATAAATCTCTCTCTCTCTCCCTCTCTCTCTCTCTCTATATATATATATAAAATATATATATGAATTATATATATTCATATATATATATGAATAACCCTCACTAATATATAATATTTGCCAAAGGCCATTCACTGCAAAGAAGGCTCTTGATGATCAGGTGGACAAAATGATCTCTTATCTTATAGCGATCAGTCTCTTTCCCTATGAACTCCAGTTCTTATTCCGTGGGTTTATGCACACAACAGCTAAGTGTATTAGTCTGTTCTGACATTGCTATAAGGAAATACCTGAGACTGAGTAATTTGTGAAGGAAAGAGGCTTAATTGAGTCACAATTCTGCGGCTGTACAGGAGGCATGGCTGGAGAGGCCTCAGGAAACTTACAATCATGGCTAAAGGTGAAGGGAAAGAAAACACCATGTTTCTCAGGCTGGTCTAGAACTCCTGAGCTCAAGTGATCCACCTGCCTCGGCCTCCCAAAGTGGTGGGATTATAGGCATGAGCCACCGTGCCTGGCCCATGCTGTTTTGATTACTATCGCTTTGTAATAGATTTTGAAATCAGGTAGTCTGATGCCTCCAGCTTTGTTCTTTTTGCTCAAGATTGCTTTGGCTACTTGGAATGTTTTTGTGGTGCCATATGAATTTTTTTTTCTATTTCTCTAAAAATGTCATTTTTTTTGTTGCTAAGTATGTAGAAATGCAATTGATTTTTGCATGTTTATCTTGTTCCCTGCTAACTTGATGAACTAATTTATTAGTTCTAATAGTTTTTCAGTAGATTTCTTGGGATTTCCTACATATACGAGATTAGGCCATCTGTGAATAAAGATAGTTTTGCATCTTCATTTCCAATCTGGATGTCTTTTACTGAGGCGTCCTTTTAAATGTGTCAGCAAATTTTTAAAATCACAGTTTTCTGAAACGAAGTGAATAAATGGGATTCTAAGTAGTTATGTTTCATTGCCCTTGCCAACTGTGTTCTTTTTTGTACTGTTATTTTTTTGGAAACATATATAAGCTAATGTTTTAAGATCCTAATATATAAATTCCAAGTAATTACTGAATTTAAAAGGAAATATTTTGCCATGTTTGATTTTTAAAATATATTTTAAAATTGTAGGGAAAGTCCAGAATGTGTATCACATAGGAAAATTCAAATTATTGACTCTGTATTGATATTTAAAGTCTTATTAGAAATTTGAGTGCTTACATATATCATTATGCATATAATTTAACTGCCTCATGTTTGCTTTTTATAATTATTTAAAAAATAGCTCTAAGCCGGTGTAGTGGTACATAACTCTAGTCCAAGCTACTCAGGTGGCTGAGGGCAGGTCAATTGAGATGAGGAATTAGAGGGTGTAGCGTACTATTACGATTGGACCTATGAATAGCTAGCTGCTGCACTCCAACCTGGGCATCATAGCAAGACCCCATCTCTAAAAACATAAATTTTAAAAAAATGCTCTAGTGTGGGCTATTCCAAAACTTAATTTTGATACAAATTATAAATAGCATGAAAATAATGAGATATATTTATAATTGTCACTAGTGTATTAAAGTCATGTTAAAAAATTCTTGTGATGGTGTATTGAGTCAACTAAAATAGGATTAAATAATTCTTTTGGACTTTAACAAGCCAGAGCATTATTTCTAGGTTCCCCCAATGAATACAACCAAGGAAACTTTGTACCTAATATCTGTGGTTTTATGTGTCTACTTTAAATATAGTTTCTTTTTCCTTCTTATACTTTTTAAAGGTTTCTTTTGCAAAAATAATAGAATGATCATCTAGATAGATAAAGCCACCAAAAAAGAAGAAATCAATGGTAAGATATTAAGACACCAGAAGCACAGTGTGGATAGTGAACATATTGTTTCTAAGAAGAGGATAAAAATAGAGTTATGTTGACTGAGATGTTCCCCAGTTTTCCATGCCTTTTCATTTTCCACTATTTTTTATTCCGTTATATTATATGGAGCTTCATGAAAGAAAACAAAAGGGAGATAAGGAGTTGTAGTTAGGGCTACAAATGAAATGTAATCTTTCCGGATGAGATTTGAAAAGCATCTATGTAGAGAAGCTTAGTTTGGTAAGATATTAAATTCCTAAATCTTTGTAATGTTTTCATCAAATTTTATTCTCTAGTATTGCCTTTTTCTGTTATATCATATATCCTGGCCATTGTATCTATCTAGTCATTAAACAGCAAATATTTAGAAAATCAGAGGTTTTTAAAATTATTATTTGCCTGAGTAAGCATCAAACTTGTGTGAGAATCCTATCACGTCTTGTAAAGTAAGCAACTTCAGGGTCAGATTTAACACTGTTCCTCTCTACTAACATGTTAAATTGGGAATAATATACTCTTTTAAGTTCATAGATTTTAGTTCTTACTTAAATCAGCAAATAAAATAAGTAAGCATATTACCTATGAGAATCCCCTCCATAGCAAAATTGTGAGGAATTTATGTGCTAATGCTGGTTTATTTTGCTATTTATTGTTTCTCAGATTCTGATGGTAGAATTAACCATGGGCGAATTGCTTATATTTCTTCGAAGAGCTGCTCTAATCCTGATGAGAGTTATGGCTGCCTGTCTTCAAACATTCCTGCATTAGAATTGATGGCTCTATACGTGGCAGCTGCCATGCATGATTATGATCACCCAGGGAGGACAAATGCATTTCTAGTGGCTACAAATGCCCCTCAGGTAGGAAATATTTTTAAGAACCTTTAAAGAGTAATTCTGAAATTTTCAGTCATGCTGTGTATCCCTTTATAAATCATTCAGTTGAATCATATGTCCAATCCATCTGACTTTAATACCCTACATTTTAATTAATTGGATAACACATGGCATTAATGTGATGTGTGCTAGGAAATTAGGGGAAGAATCAACTTCTTGAACTAGAAAATAATAGACAGTTTTTGAAACAACTCATTGTTTTGTGAAATTCTAGAGTCCTTGCTGTCAATATTTTTGTCTTTAATCAAACCAGCAAAACTCTGACTGTATTTAAGATTTCTGTTCCGCTGGAGCCAAGATGGCCGAATAGGAACAGCTCTGGTCTACAGCTCCCAGCGTGAGTGACGCAGAAGACGGGTGATTTCTGCATTTCCATCGGAGGTACCAGGTTCATCTCACTAGGGAGTGCCAGACAGTGGGCACAGGACAGTGGGTGCAGCGCACCGTGCGCGAGCCGAAGCAGGGCGAGGCATTGCCTCACTCGGGAAGCACAAGGGGTCAGGGAGTTCCCTTTCCTAGTCAAAGAAAGGGGTGACAGACAGCACCTGGAAAATCAGGTCACTCCCACCCCAGTACTACGCTTTTCCGACGGGCTTAAAAAACGGCGCACCAGGAGATTACATCCCGCACCTGGCTCGGAGGGTCCTATGGCCACGGAGTCTCGCTGATTGCTAGCACAGCAGTCTGAGATCAAACTGCAAGGCAGCAGCAAGGCTGGGGAAAGGGCGCCCGCCATTGCCCAGGCTTGCTTAGGTAAACAAAGCAGCTGGGAAGCTCGAACTGGGTGGAGCCAACCACAGCCCAAGGAGGCCTGCCTGCCTCTGTAGGCTCCACCTCTGGGGGCAGGGCACAGACAAACAAAAAGACAGCAGTAACCTCTGCAGACTTAAATGTCCCCGTCTGACAGCTTTGAAGAGAGCAGTGGTTCTCCCAGCACGCAGCTGGAGATCTGAGAACGGGCAGACTGCCTCCTCAAGTGGGTCCCTGACCCCTGACCCCCGAGCAGCCTAACTGGGAGGCACCCCCTAGTAGGGGCAGACTGACACCTCACACGGCTGGGTACTCCTCCGAGACAAAACTTCCAGAGGAACGATCAGACAGCAGCGTTCACGGTTCACGAAAATCTGCTGTTCTGCAGCCACCGCTGCTGGTACCCAGGCAAACAGGGTCTGGAGTGCACCTCTAGCAAACTCCAACAGACCTGCAGCTGAGGGTCCTGTCTGTTAGAAGGAAAACTAACAAACAGAAAGGACATCCACACCAAAAACCCATCTGTACATCACCATCATCAAAGACCAAAAGTAGATAAAACCACAAAGATGGGGAAAAAACAGAGCAGAAAAACTGGAAACTCTAAAAAGCAGAACGCCTCTCCTCCTCCAAAGGAACTCAGCTCCTCACCAGCAATGGAACAAAGCTGGACGGAGAATGACTTTGACGAGTTGAGAGAAGAAGGCTTCAGACGATCAAATTACTCTGAGCTACAGGAGGAAATTCAAACCAAAGGCAAAGAAGTTGAAAACTTTGAAAAAAATTTAGAAGAATGTATAACTAGAATAACCAATACAGAGAAGTGCTTAAAGGAGCTGATGGAGCTGAAAGCCAAGGCTCGAAAACTACGTGAAGAATGCAGAAGCCTCAGGAGCCGATGTGATCAACCGGAAGAAAGGGTTTCGGTGATGGAAGATGAAACGAATGAAATGAAGCAAGAAGGGAAGTTTAGAGAACAAAGAATAAAAAGAAACAAACAAAGCCTCCAAGAAATATGGGACTATGTGAAAAGACCAAATCTATGTCTGACTGGTATACCTGAAAGTGAGGGGGAGAATGGAACCAAGATGGAAAACACTCTGTAGGATATTATCCAGGAGAACTTCCCCAATCTAGCAAGGCAGGCCAACATTCAGATTCAGGAAATACAGAGAACGCCACAAAGATACTCCTCGAGAAGAGCAACTCCAAGACTCATAACTGTCAGATTCACCAAAGTTGAAATGAAGGAAAAAAATGTTAAGGGCAGCCAGAGAGAAAGATTGGGTTACCACAAAGGGAAGCCCATCAGACTAACAGCGGATCTCTCAGCAGAAACTCTACAAGCCAGAAGAGAGTGGGGGCCAATATTCAACATTCTTAAAGAAAAGAATTTTCAACCCAGAATTTCATATCCAGCCAAACTAAGCTTCATAAGTAAAGGAGAAATAAAATACTTTACAGACAAGCAAATGCTGAGAGATTTTGTCACCACCAGGCCTGCCCTAAAAGAGCTCCTGAAGGAAGCACTAAACATGGAAAGGAACAACTGGTACCAGCCACTGCAAAATCATGCCAAATTGTAAAGACCATCGAGGCTAGGAAGAAACTGCATCAACTAATGAGCAAAATAACTAGCTAACATCATAATGACAGGATCAAATTCACACATAACAATATTAACTTTAAATGTAAATGGACTAAATGCTCCAATTAAAAGATACAGACTGGCAAATTGGATAAAGAGTCAAGACCCATCAGTGTGCTGTATTCAGGAAACCCATCTCATGTGCAGAGACACACATAGGCTCAAAATAAAAGGATGGAGGAAGATCTACCAAGCAAATGAAAAACAAAAAAAGGCAGGGGTTGCAATTCTAGTCTCTGATAAAACAGACTTTAAACCAACAAAGATCAAAAGAGACAAAGAAGGCCATTACATAATGGTAAAGGGATCAATTCAACAAGAAGAGCTAACTATCCTAAATATATATGCACCCAATACAGGAGCACCCAGATTCATAAAGCAAGTCCTGAGTAACCTACAAAGAGACTTAGACTCCCACACAATAATAATGGGGGACTTTAACACCCCACTGTCAACATTAGACAGATCAATGAGACAGAAAGTTAACAAGGATACCCAGGAATTGAACTCAGCTCTGCACCAAGCGGACCTAATAGACATCTACAGAACTCTCCACCCCAAATCAACAGAATATACATTTTTTTCAGCACCAGACCACTCCTATTCCAAAATTGACCATATAGTTGGAAGTAAAGCTCTCCTCAGCAAATGTAAAAGATCAGAAATTATGGCAAACTGTCTCTCAGACCACAGTGCAATCAAACTGGAACTCAGGATTAAGACACTCACTCAAAACCGCTCAACTACATGGAAACTGAACAACCTGCTCCTGAATGACTACTGGGTACATAATGAAATGAAGGCAGAAATAAAGATGTTCTTTGAAACCAACGAGAACAAAGACACAACATACCAGAATCTCTGGGACACATTCAAAGCAGTGTGTAGAGGGAAATTTATAGCACTAAATGCCCACAAGAGAAAGCAGGAAAGATCCAGAATTGACACCCTAACATCACAATTAAAAGAACTAGAAAAGCAAGAGCAAACACATTCAAAAGCTAGCAGAAGGCAAGAAATAACTAAAATCAGAGCAGAACTGAAGGAAATAGAGACACAAAAAACCCTTCAAAAAATCAATGAATCCAGGAGCTGGTTTTTTGAAAGGATCAACAAAATTGATAGACCGCTAGCAAGACTAATAAAGAAAAGAGAGAAGAATCAAATAGACGCAATAAAAAATGATAAAGGGGATATCACCACCGATCCCACAGAAATACAAACTGCCATCAGAGAATAGTACAAACAGCTCTAAGCAAATAAACTAGAAAATCTAGAAGAAATGGATACATTCCTCGACACATACACCCTCCCAAGACTAAACCAGGAAGAAGTTGACTCTCTGAACAGACCAATAACAGGCTCTGAAATTGTGGCAATAATCAATAGCTTACCAACCAAAAAGAGTCCAGGACCAGATGGATTCACAGCCGAATTCTACCAGAGGTACAAGGAGGAACTGGTACCATTCCTTCTGAAACTATTCCAATCAATAGAAAAAGAGGGATTCCTCCCCAACTCATTTTATGAGGCCAGCATCATCCTGATACCAAAGCCTGGCAGAGACACAACCAAAAAAGAGAATTTTAGACCAATATCCTTGATGAACATTGATGCAAAAATCCTCAATAAAATACTGGCAAACCGAATCCAGCAGCACATCAAAAAGCTTATCCACCATGATCAAGTGGGCTTCATCCCTGGGATGCAAGGCTGGTTCAATATATGCAAATCAATAAATGTAATCCAGCATATAAACAGAACCAAAGACAAAAACCACATGATTATCTCAATAGATGCAGAAAAGGCCTTTGACAAAATTCAACAACCCTTCATGCTAAAAACTCTCAATAAATTAGGTATTGATGGGACGTATCTCAAAATAATAAGAGCTATCTATGACAAACCCACAGCCAATATCATACTGAATGGGCAAAAACTGGAAGCATTCCCTTTGAAAACTGGCACAAGACAGGGATGCCCTCTCTCACCACTCCTATTCAACATAGTGTTGGAAGTTCGGGCCAGGGCAATTAGGCAGGAGAAGGAAATAAAGGGCATTCAATTAGGAAAAGAGGAAGTCAAATTGTCCCTGTTTGCAGATGACATGATTGTATATCTAGAAAACCCCATTGTCTCAGCCCAAAATCTCCTTAAGCTGATAAGCAACTTCAGCAAAGTCTGAGGACACAAAATCAATGTACAGAAATCACAAGCATTCTTATACACCAATAACAGACAAACACAGAGCCAAATCATGAGTGAACTCCCATTCACAATTGCTACAAAGAGGATAAAATACCTAGCAATCCAACTTACAAGGGATGTGAAGGACCTCTTCAAGGAGAACTACAAACCACTGCTCAATGAAATAAAAGAGGATACAAACAAATGGAAGAACATTCCATGCTCATGGGTAGGAAGAATCAGTATGAAAATGGCCTTACTGCCCAAGGTAATTTATAGATTCAATGCCATCCCCATCAAGCTACCAATGACTTTCTTCCCAGAATTGGAAAAAACTACTTTAAAGTTCATATGGAACCAAAAAAGAGCCTGCATCGCCAAGTCAATCCTAAGCCAAAAGAACAAAGCTGGAGGCATCACGCTACCTGACTTCAAACTATACTACAAGGCTACACTAACCAAAACAGCATGGTACTGGTACCAAAACAGAGATATAGATCAATGGAACAGAACAGAGCCCTCAGAAATAACGCTGCATATCTACAACTATCTGATCTTTGACAAACCTGAGAAAAACAAGCAATGGGGAAAGGATTCCCTGTTTAATAAATGGTGCTGGGAAAACTGGCTAGCCATATGTAGAAAGCTGAAACTGGATCCCTTCCTTACACCTTATACAAAAATTAATTCAAGATGGATTAAAGACTTAAACGTTAGACCTAAAACCATAAAAACCCTAGAAGAAAACCTAGGCATTACCATTCAGGAGATAGGCATGGGCAAGGACTTCATGTCTAAAACACCAGAAGCAATGGCAACAAAAGCCAAAATTGACAAATGGGATCTAATTAAACTCAAGAGCTTCTGCACAGCAAAAGAAACTACCATCAGAGTGAACAGGCAACCTACAAAATGGGAGAAAATTTTCGCAACCTACTCATCTGACAAAGGATTAATATCCAGAATCTACAATGAACTCAAACAAATTTACAAGAAAAAAACACACAACCCCATCAACAAGTGGGCGAAGGACATGAACAGACACTTCTCAAAAGAAGACATTTATGCAGCCAAAAAACACGTGAAAAAATGCTCACCATCACTGGCCATCCGAGAAATGCAAATCAGAACCACAGTGAGATACCATCTCACACCAGTTAGAATGGCAATCATTAAAAAGTCAGGAAACAACAGGTGCTGGAGAGGATGTGGAGAAATAGGAACACTTTTACACTGTTGGTGGGACTGTAAACTAGTTCAACCATTGTGGAAGTCAGTGTGGCGATTCCTCAGGGATCTAGAACTAGAAATACCATTTGACCTAGCCATCCCATTACTGGGTATATACCCAAAGGACTATAAATCATGCTGCTATAAAGACACATGCACACGTATGTTTATTGCGGCATTATTCACAATAGCAAAGACTTGGAACCGACCCAAATGTCCAACAATGATAGACTGGATGAAGAAAATGTGGCACATATACACCATGGAATACTATGCAGCCATAAAAAAGGATGAGTTCATGTCCTTTGTAGGGACATGGATGAAATTGGAAATCATCATTCTCAGTAAACTATCGCAAGAACAAAAAACCAAACACCGCATATTCTCAGTCATAGGTAGGAATTGAACAATGAGAACACATGGACACAGGAAGGGGAACATCACACTCTGGGGACTGTTGTAGGGTGGGGGAAGGGGGGAGGGATAGCTTTAGGAGATATACCTAATGCTAAATGACAAGTTAATGGGTGCAGCACACCAGCATGGCACATGTATACATATGTAACTAACCTGCACATTGTGCACATGTACCCTAAAACTTAAAGTATAATAATAATAAAATTAAAAAAAAAAGATTTCTGCTCCTCCTATTTAGGCCCATTGTATGGCTAGAAAGCTATAATGGTTGAGAACTATTAATCTTTTTTGTTGTTCTCTTTTTTCCCTTAAGATTTGCCTTAATACCAGAGCTAAAATCTCTTACTTCTGAATATATTAGTGTATGTAAAAATTCTTCTGGTATATTATTTTTGTACCTAGTATAGCTGGTAAAATATAAAATTCCTTTAAGGTCACAATTTGCATGAAAGAGGCAAGAGTTCTCAACAAATAGATACTGTAATTGCAATAGCTTTAAACATTAGGACTTGGAACTAAATATGTGTTGTGTTTTGCTTTGTTTTGTTTTTTGAGACGGAGTCCTGCTCTGTCACCCAGGCTGGAGTGCAGTGGGGCATTCTCGGCTTACTGCAAGCTCCGCCCCCCAGGTTCATGCCATTATCCTGCCTCAGTCTTTGGAGTAGCTGGGACTACCACACCCAGCTATTTTTTTTTTTTTTTTTTTTTTTAGTAGAGACGGGGTTTCACTGTGTTAGCCGGGATGGTCTCGATCTCTTGACCTCGTGATCCGTCTGCCTTGGCCTCCCAAAGTGCTGGGATTACAGGCGTGAGCCACCACGCCTGGCCCTAAATACGTGGTTTTAAGTAGAATTTAGTGTGGTTGTGGTTTAAGCAGATTTTTGTGTGGTAGCTGGGTTTGTTTATGCTGGGGATTCCTGAAATGTGATCTGTGTGTTTCTAATTGGATGCTTTATGAAGAGTAGGTGCTCAGTGATAGTTGCTGAATTCATCTCACTTCCCACTTCTTTATTCTATGTTTAAACCTTGGCTCTGATCCTTTCATTTTCTGTAGCCATTTTCTGTTTTTCTTTTTTTTCTTCAATCTCTTTCATATACTCCAACTTTTTTAAAAATAGGAGATATATTCTCTTGAATTGTGAGCATGTGTGTTGGGGTCGGGGGAAGGCATGTAGGGAACTATGAATATGTATATGTGTAAATGGGTATAATGGGGTGTGTGTGTGTGTGTGTGTGTGTGTTAATGGGTTAAAAGGGCCATGTGATTCATTTATCCAATGAGACTTTATTAATAGCTCATGATTTCCAGAGGTAACTTTCTGATTAATTTAAATCTAGTTACTAGTAGTTGCCCACTTTCTAAGTATTATTTTTTTAAAAAAGTACCTTCTAAGTGGCACATATTTTCTTATTTGCAATACCATTCTGTAAGAATCAGATGCCCATTCTCTCAAACCTAGCACATCATAATCTTTGAAAATCCTAGTCCTTTGGTGAATCATAGACCTGAGGATTAATGGCATAGTGGAAAAAGCACTGGACGAGATTAAAAGTCCTGTCTTAGATTTCTGATTGCCCACTTATTAGCTGTATGACCTCAAATAAAGGTTTATTCCTCTGAACCTAAAAATAGTTATCTGATATGATTAAGGAGGTAACATATGGAAGGTTTTATACTGTTTCTGATGGCATGAGAAGCTCCTGAATCAGAAATCACATAGGTAGAAGTTACTTACTGTTCTAGTCCACTCTGCTGTTTTGTTTTGCTTTGTTTTGTTTTGAGACAGAGTCTTGCTGTGTTGCCCAGGCTGGAGTGCAGTGACGTGATCTTGGCCCACTGCAACCTCCATCTCCTGGATTCAAGTGATTCTCCTGCCTCAGCCTCCCAAGTAGCTGGGATTACAGGTGCCTGCCACCATGCCCGGCTAATTTTTTATTTGTAGTAGAGACAGGGTTTCACCATGTTGACCAGGCTGGTCTCAAACTACTGACCTCATGTGATCTGTCCGCCTCAGCCTCCCAAAGTGCTGGGATTACAGGCATGAGCTACCATGCCGGCCTACTCTATGTTTTTATTACAGCTTTCATTTTCGTAAAGTATATCTTCCCTCAAGGATGTTAGAAATGAGTGAATTCCAATGTTAACTGTCTCACATGAAGATAATTTAAAACAATGTTATATGAACAACTTATACAAGTTGCATACTCAATTGTTGTCCTAATCAAAATACAGTTGTGAAGTCTGAACATGATATCAATAATCACGTTATTTCTAACTTCTCATTGTTACGAATTGCCATTAGATGAAGCCATAGGAAGTGCTAGAATGGAAAGGAGATGGATTAGAGAGTTCAGCTGTGAAAATGCATAGCCTCTTACCTAGTCTCCTTGCTTGTTGTCTGCTCTCCTTCAGTCTGTTCTCAACATGTCAGCCAGAATGTGACCCTGTTTCAGTGTGTTGCATCACTCTGTTCCAGACTCTTTTGCCAGGCGCTGTGGCTCACACCTGTAATCTCAGTGCTTTGGGTGGCTGAGACATGAGGATTGCTTGAGCCTAGGAGTTTGAGACCAATCTGGGCAACATTTGAGACCCTGTTTCAAAAAAATAAAAACAAAATAGTAAACTCTCCAATGGCATTCACCTTACCCCTAGTAAATGACAATCATAAAATGTTCTGCAAGGCCCTACATTATTGGTCCCATTAAGTCTCTCTCTCTTTTTTTTTTTTTTTTAACTTACTCAAGTCTAGTCTCACTGGCTTCCTTGCTAATACCATCTCTGTCCCTTTCTGAGAGTGTTTGCACTTTCTGTTCTCCCTGCCCAGAGGGCTTTTCCTTTAGATATCCGTATACGCATTTTGTCACCTCCTTCCATCTAAAATTTCAAAATCCCCTTCTTTATACCATTATGCTCCTTCTCTGCTTTTTTTCCATTGCAGTGATCATTTAGGATACTATATATTTTGTTTATGTACTTTGTTTTTTATATGTATCTTCTCAATGGAATATAAAGTTCCACAAGGGCAGGGATTTTTGTCTTTTATTCCATAATACCTAGAATAGTGCTTGACATACAAAAAGCATTTAGTAAATATTTGTTGAATGTTGAAGGATGTCTGAATTCTTTGCTCTGTAGTACTCCTAGGTTTTCTGAAAAATGTTCTGTGCTTCCCAAAGTAACGAAGTTTATGAGGCCTTCTTCAACTAGCACCTGTGAGATAAGGACCCTTGTAAAAATCTAGGGCTTAATGTGGTTAAGTAACAAAGTAGGTTCTTTCATCTTTGGAAACTCAGTGGGTCTAGTCAGGCCATAATTAATGAAAGATATTATAGTTTCAGTGTAATATAGACAGTAGCATATAATACCACCAGCTGGGTCAAGCATTCTTCTTCATTCTCATGGTAAGGAATGTGTGCTAGAAAGATACAGGAGGATTCTTGCCACGAAAGAAGGTGATACATATAGTCAGGTATATCCTGGAGGAATGTCAGTATTAATAAGATTCTAAGAGATTTCTGAGCTATTTCCAAATGAGAAGTTGGCTGAAAGATGCAGGTTAGTGCTTGAGATAGTAAAATTTCTGGAATATTTTTATGAGACTGGGTAAAAGGAAACAAAATTTTAAGTTGAGATTTTTAAATGTTTTGTCTTCCAAAATATGGATTAAGATGACTAAACACATGAATCTGTTACCCCTTCTTCCTGAGAATGCATTAAAATAATAGTAAGTTATGAAGTTCATTACAACAGAGAGCAGTAAGAGGAGGATGGGTATTATCACCAGCAGATAAAAGTTTTTTTTATAACATTTCTGGAAAATGAAAAATGGATGAATATTGACAGATAAAACAAAAGTACCCAGCACAGCTGGAACCCCAGAGACTCCTGTTACCATTTGCTCCTGCTTGCTCTCCCTGTGCATACACACACCTTTATGCAGAGTGACTAAAACCCTATGTTTACCTCCAGGCAGAAAACTCATCTCTTAGATATTGAAGGAACTGCCTGGAGAGAGTAACAGTTCCTGGAGTGGGTATTAGTAGTCTAAAGTAAATTTCTCTCATTCTAGACATCTAATAGCTGGCACCCATTATTCTAAAGCAAAACTTGCTAGGTAACAAACCCTATCCACATTTACATAGTTCCCACTCACTCATCCCAAGGGGAGAGACTCCACAATAAAACATACATAACAGCAGAGAGATTACAACTGAAATCTAGAATTTTTTTTTTTTTTTTGTGAGACAGGGTCTCACTCTGTTGCCAGGCTGGAGTGCAGTGGCACGATCTTGGCTCACTGCAACCTCTGCCTCCAGGGTTCAAGAGATTCTCCTGCTTCAGCTTCCGAGTAGCTGAGACTACAGGGGCATGCCACCACGCCCAGCTAATTTTTGTATTTTTAGTAGAGATGGGGTTTCACCATGTTGGCCAGGATGGTCTCGATCTCTTGACCTCGTGATCTGCCCACTTCAGCCACCCAAAGTGCTGGGATTACAGGCGTGAGCCACCGCACCCAGTTTAAAATTCATTTTTCTATATACACAGAAAACCAAGGATCATCAGCCATGGCATTAATCAGAAGCTTGGAAAGAAAAGGCTAAGATGGAAAGAATAACTGTCACAGGGAGAATCTAGGGAATAGAGAAGCATCTAATTATTTTTTTTAAAATGTATTCTCAGAATTTGAAAAATATTGCATCCATAAAGTAAGAACAGGAAACTATAATAAAGGAACATCAGAAAACAAGTTAGGCTCTTAGAAACTAAAAATATTACTGCAGGAAATTTTAAAAATTCAATATAAGCATTGGAAGTAGAAGTCCAGGTAGTCTGTCCCAGGACATAGACCAGGAAGATAAAAAGAGAATATAGGGAAGGAGAAGATAAGATATAGGGGACTAGGTCAAGATGTGACTAGTGGAAGTTCTAAAAAGAAGGGAGTCTTTGGATTGAAGGGGCTCACTAAGTGCCAGGAAAGTTGAATAGAGAAAAAAATTCAAACACCACACATAGCACATCATGGAAAAATTTCAGAACACCAGAGATTTTGTTTAAAAAAAAAAAGAATTCCCGAGAAGATGAAAACAATACATCTATAAAAGAACAAAAATTCAACTGTCATTGTATTTTAGCAACAATAGATGCTAGACAATACTGGAATGAAGTCTCTAAAATTCTAGGGGAATTTATTCATTTATTTATTTGTTCAAGTATTTATTGGGTGCATATTGTGGGATAGGCACTATTTAGGCATTGTTATATTAAATAAAACATGGGAAAAAATCTTGCCCCTCATCGAACTTACATTCTAGTACAGCAAGAAAATAAATACATAAATAATGTGTGTGAGCAAGAGAGAGAGAGAGAGACAGAGACAGAGCAAGAGAAAGAGAGACCAAGAGAGACAGACAGAGAGAGAAAGAGAAGATTATGACTTAAGAGCTAGGAAATAAGTAAAATGAGAGGAGATAGGAAGTGCTGGCATAAGAGTATTATTTTCAAGTTAGAGTTCTATATTCAGCTAAGCTACCATTTTACATGAGAGCAAAATAATGAGATTCTCAGATATGCAGTGATTTTAAACAGTCATATCTTGACCATCCTCAGAAAGTTATTTTAAAATGTATTTCAGCAGAAGAAGGGTGGTAACTAAGATAAAGGAAGATAAGGGATTATTAGAAATTTTTGAACTGATACGGTTTGTCTCTGTGTCCTCACCCAAATCTCATCTCAAATTGTAATCCTCACATGTCAAGGGCAGGGCCCTGGTGTGAGGTGATTAGACCATGGGGGCAGGTTCTCCCATGCTGTTCTTATGATAGTGAGGGAGTTGTCATGAGATCTGATGGTTTAAAAGTGGTAGTCTCCCCTGTGTGTGCTCTCTCTCCCTCTCCTGCTGTCTTGTGAAGAAGGTGCCTGCCTCTCCATTGCCTTCCACTGTGACTGTAAGTTTCCTGAGGCTTCCCCACCCATGTGGAACTGTGATTCAATTAAACCTCTTTTGTTTATAAATTACCTAGTCTCAGGTAGTATCTCTATAGCAGTGTAAACACAGAAAAGAACAAACCGAGAACAGTGTAAAAGAATCCTGAGATAACAGCTGTTTGTCAAGACTATTTCTTTACCCTATAAAAAAACAACAAAACTAGCTGCTTTGTGTTCTGTGGCACCTTATTTATCTGCTAT
The DNA here is from genome assembly GCF_000001405.40 of Homo sapiens. NCBI lineage: Eukaryota > Metazoa > Chordata > Mammalia > Primates > Hominidae > Homo > Homo sapiens. The sequence goes on from NC_000011.10 coordinate 14,856,482, forward strand.
CTCTCTACTGAATTTTTTTTTGAGTTGGGAATATTATTTTTTAAATGAACAATCTTTCTTAATCTTTTTCACTTGAAGTGCCTTCTTAGTTGGCCAGGTGTGGTGGCTCACGCCTGTAATCCCAGCACTTTGGGAGTCTGAGAAGGGCAGATCACGAGGTCAGGAGATAGAGACTATCCTGGTAACATGGTGAAACCCCGACTCTACTAAAAAACACAGAAAATTAGCTGGGCGTGGTGGCGGGCACCCGTAGTCCCAGCTACTCGGGAGGCTGAGGCAGGAGAACGGCTTGAACCCAGGAGGCAGAGCTTGCAGTGAGCTGAGATCGCGCCACTGCACTCTAGCCTGGGCAACAGAACGAGAGTCCATCTCAAAAAAAAAAAAAAAAGTGCCTTCTTAGTCATGAGATAATGGCTATGACCTAGATTTTTGTTAATGTTTCCTCCTGTTTCTTATGTTTTAAAAGGGGACATTTGTTCAGATTAGTCAGACTTATCCTTTGTATGATCTAAGTCCTTCTTATGTCTGAAGGGTTTTCTCTTTTTGTTCTTATTTAAGTGTTACTATTTGCTAAGATTCTGTCAGTTTGTATTAAACCCCTTCTCAGATCTTTCCAACTCAGAGGGTGAAAAGTAAGATTTATGACCAACTAATTTGTTTTGCCAAAGTATTGATGTATTTGCTGTAGAGAGAAGGATCTATAGCTAGAAAAAGCAGGTAACAAGATGCTTTAGCACAAAGTCAAAGGATGTTAGTTTATTGCAGCTCCAAATGAGCTGGGACCCTGTCTTTTTTCTCTGCTTCTAAGAGCCCGCAGTAAGAGCTGAGGCTTCATTATCTGTTTGCTTGAAATGTTTTTCTTATTTGGTTTAAGCTTGGTCTGCTGCTCTGTGTGCTACCTTCAAGTATTCTTCTAAAGTAGCATTGACATTTGCTTCCTACTTACTGCTTCATGATTCTTTCTTGCCTCCCACTCATCTTTGAGCTTGTGAGTCTACTGGGGATCAGCAGGGAACCCCTTCCACTTACTCTTCATATAGGCTTTTTCCTTCTTATGCAGTGACTTGGTTAGCTTTTCTCAATCCATTCTCATTTTCACCATGTCTTTGAAGTTTCCAGTATGGTCATTATATCTAGATTCTAATACTGATTCAGACCTTCCCCCCTCCGCCCATTTTATATTTCTTTGGCAATTTCAAAGGGTAATTTGAATGGTGAAAGAATTCCGAACTTGCTCATTTTTTTAAAAAACTGATCTTGCTATCTGTAAGTTTATTAAGTCAGCTAGCTTCACAGGGCATTCATTGTACATTGTGTTGTATTGAGCCCAGAATCAGATTACTTCCTCCTGAACAGACAGAGCTGTTCTCATAGTTAAGTCCTTGTCACATTTGAGCATGAATTAGTCAAATCATTATTAAATGTAAATGACCCCTTAGGGAGTTTTCGAAGCTTACTCTTTCTGTTTGGTATTTATAATGTTTAGAAGTTGTATTACAGGTGGTATGAAATGCCTTTATATGGCTCATTGCAAAGTTTAAATCATACCATTGCTTTTATAAAACCAAATAGCTTAAAAAATAATCACTTAGTGTTATGCATCTGTGCTTAAATCTAGGCTATAGCTAATTTTCACAAATAAGTAGAGCTATTCAATTAAGCTCTCAGAATATGTATCCTACCTGAGATCTCATTCCGTCCTTCTTTCTCATTACACAGTAGGCTCCATGAAAACAGGGATAGGGTTTTAATTTTTATCCCTGGCCTTTAACACAACTTGGCTGTAGAAGTTTTTTTAATAATTACTATGCTTATTTAATAATTTAAAGAATTGCTTAATTTGTAGAGGTGGAAGAGGCTTTAGAAATTCTATACTCCACTGATTTTAAGTCTGTATTCCAAAGTCCTAGAGTACTGAGGAGGCACCTCAGGGTCTTCTGCTGGAGTGAAGTGTAGAAAAAGTGAGTAGTTCCACACCATTTGAACCAGAGGATTTGTGTTTTTATCTGTTACATAGTTCTGTTTTACTCCCAGGCCCTGTGTGAGGATGGGAATCCAGGATATGTCCATCTCAGACAGGCAGGTCTCTTACTTACCCTGGACAGTACTGCTTCCTCTTCTTTAGTCACCATCACCATTGACTCCAGAATGACTAAACAACAGAAATGTATTCTGAAACCTGCTCTAGATCCCTAATGACTTTATTCACAGAAGTTTATCTGAGAAGGTTTTCTGATTAAATGAAATAGACCTCAAAGTATCAACTTTACATCTCTTGGGAGGCAGCACGGTGTCTGCAAAGATAAACTTTAAAGATATATAACCCTTTCACTTACTAGAGCTATGTATGTTGGAAGGAAAGGTGTATCTTAACCTCTTTGTACTTCAGTCTACTCATTTATAAAATTATCACAACCTATTTTCACAGGTACTAAAATACCTGGTAAAATGCCTAGTATATAGTAGGTATTCATTGTTTGTATACTTCCAACCTGATATTAAAGATATTAAACTTTAATATCTTTGAGGTGTCTGCCTCATTTTTCTATATTTCTTTTTAGGCAGTTTTATACAATGACAGATCTGTTCTGGAAAATCATCATGCTGCGTCAGCTTGGAATCTATATCTTTCTCGCCCAGAATACAACTTCCTTCTTCATCTTGATCATGTGGAATTCAAGCGCTTTCGTTTTTTAGTCATTGAAGCAATCCTTGCTACGGATCTTAAAAAGCATTTTGATTTTCTCGCAGAATTCAATGCCAAGGTTTGTTATGAAAATTAGTGCCTGATTTAAAAAATCTTTATTGTCAGTGTTACTGATAAAATATGTTTTTTAATGTTAAGTTAGAATTATTACTACTTAGGAAGTAACAATAAATAGTTGATATAAAATAATATATATGCCTATATTTTTAAAAATAAACATTTTTATTGTTATGGTAACATTTCCTAAAATATTATTGCTTGTTATATTTTCTTTCGACACATAAACTTATACTATTGTGACTTTATTTCACATATTTTTCACATAGAAACAAACCAGTTATTAGAAACAAACCAGTTATTTCAAATGAGTTTAAAGAGAGATTTGACAAAGCCATGCTCAGTGTCAAGTAAGGCATTATATAAAATTAACTTTATGTGTTTCTTAAGAATCCAGTTAATTATGTCTACCTCACTGCACCTGTTATACCTTCTTTATATTAGTGATTCTTTAGCTGGCTAGTTTAGGGAAAAGGAAGCACCCTCTTCTACTTGAGAATAATTCATTCATTCAACAAGTATTTATTGGGATTGCCCACTATGTACAGACATTGTACTAGGCCAAAGAACTCATATTCACCAGGGGATCAAGAATCACTGCCCCAGTATGACGGTGGTACTCATGGGACTATGCTTTATCCCTCAGACATTTGAGGTGAAAAAAGTTGAGAACCACTGCTTTAGATTCCCACCCTGGCTTGCAGGAAGCTGCTATTTTCTTGATGACTTTTGTGACCTAAAAGAAGCTGTACCTGCAGGGTAGAGAAACTGGTAACAAAGGAGTACTAGATTAGACCTGCTGGAAGGAGACCCTTATATATGTTGCTGTCATGACATTAATGAAATGCTTATAAAAATCAGTGAGAAGTAAGGGTACCTTTAAAATTATTTCATAGTTGTATAGTCTTATTCACTTTAATTTTTAAATAAAATTCATTTAAGTGCTTAAGTCACCTTTTATAGGTAAAAGATTATCTAATACAATACTTTGAATGTGTATTCCTTAAAGACTTCTATTTTGAAGTCTCTCAAAAAAATGCCATATGAATGGGGCTCTAGACTTCCTATTAAGTTTCAATCAAAAGAGCTCTTCTCTCAAGTGTTTTCTATGGTGGTGTTCTACATATATATTTTTTTTTTTCTGAAAGAGTTTGGTGCCAAAAAGCAACCATCACACTGAAGTTCAAAAGCTATGATGTGGCTCATTCTTTTCATTTTTTACAAAATGAAATTTTAGTTCTTGAAAGGCTTTTTTTCAGCTAATAATTATCATTTATTTAAATAACAATATTTAACATTTTCCGTGAACAAGGCATTTTTTCATTTATTAATCCTCATAGCAGCATGGCTAGATTGGTACTACTTTTCCTACTTCATAGATGAAGAAAGTTAGATTCGAATAGGTTAAGCAGTTTTTTCACTGTTACACACTGAATTTTTGATTCAGAATACAACTTGCTGATTCATGACATTCTGAGTCAGGATTTAAAACTATAGGGCCAGCTTCTCAGACTTGTGTTCAGTTCACTATATCATGTTGCCTTTCACAGCAAGGGCAAACTTCTCTAGCTTCTTAAGTGTTCTTTTTTGAGGTAGAAATAAGTAGTTATAATTCTTATATGATTTTTTGATATTGTGTATGTACTATACTTAATAAATACATATATATATATATACACACACACACACACATATAATTCATGATTCTTTGTGGTAATCACAAATATTGAAACCCATGGTTAGTTATATGTTTTGCTAGAAAGCATTTTTTAGAAAGGAAATTTAACCAATAGAGGTCCATATTATGGAATAAGCTGATTTTAAAAAGAACTATTTGCTGAAATTTCTTTCTGTCATTTAGACAGGAAACAGTTTTAAGATAATTTGGTAAAAGCAAACAAAACAACAAGTTTTAAAAATGCCTTCAGAACCTAAAATGATGTTGTTTTTCCAAAATAGGCAAATGATGTAAATAGTAATGGCATAGAATGGAGTAATGAAAATGATCGCCTCTTGGTATGCCAGGTGTGCATCAAACTGGCAGATATAAATGGCCCAGCAAAAGTTCGAGACTTGCATTTGAAATGGACAGAAGGCATTGTCAATGAATTTTATGAGCAGGTAAGTTGAAACCTGAGCTTGGTGGGATTTTTAAGAGCTGTCATGAGAAGACACTACTCTTTGGGTTTTGGATAGCTTTATTAAGTGTTTGAAATCTGAGTTGCTTTGACTGGGAAGGGTTAAAAATTGTTGCATTTGCTTTGGTTCTTAGTATTTTCTGTGTTCTGTTTGCCTTTGCTGTTAAAATTTTAAAAAATAACTTATTCCCTATCTTGACTGAGCTGAATATACTCATGAGTCTACAGGTAAGGCTGTTAGCAGCCGCAAATCCGAGTTTGCAGCAACCTCAATTCTTGCCCCCTCAGAAGAAAGAATTCAACTGAGGGGCATAAGGCAGAGGGAGAGACTGAACCAAGTTTTAGATCAGAAGTGAAAGTTTATTTAAAAGCTTTAGAGCAAGAATGAAAGGAAGTAAAGTACACTTGGAAGAAGGCCAGGCGGGCAACCTAAGAGATCAAGTGCATGGTTTGACCTTTGACTTGGAGTCTTATACATTGGCATGCTTCCAGGGTTGTGTTACTTCTCCCAATTCATCCTTTGAGGTGGCTGTCACATGTGCAGTGACCTGCCAGCACTTGGGAGGGGCCACATACACAGTGTGTTTACTGAAATTGTACTCATGCTCACTTGAGGCATTTTTCCCTTACCAGCCCAGTGTTCATGGAAGAAGGTCATATACCAATTAAACTCCACCATTTTGCCTCTTAGTGCACATGCTTGAGCCCACTCACCCACCTCCTGAGATCTTACCAGGAAGCTGCTGATCACCAGTTTCTGTTGGGTGACTGCCTTTCCCTGGTGCCAGCTGTGACCAATTATTATTTTAGAGAGACAGCTTAACCTATCACCTGATGGTCACCTGACATTTCTGATGGGGTTGGGGGTGGGCCCTCTCCTGCTCTGCCCATGTCTGCCTGACTACTTTCTATAACAAGTCTAGACTACATTATGATTCCAAGGTCTCTTTCAACCCTGAGATTCTGTAACCTAGAAGAATTTATTTCCAGATGAAGTGGTTTTTAAGTTATTCAGGGTGTGCTCAGAATATATTTAAAGAATATCAATCCATTTTCAATTCTGCTATAAAAAGACTAACTCCCTGCAGTAGGAACATCAACTGGGAAGAAATCCGGACAGAGGGCTACAAAATGGAGAGAATAGACACTTAGTGGTTCTCAAGGATTCAAAGATATAAGCAGGCTCTTTTGTTCTTAAATCTTTTTTTGAGACAGAGGCTTTCTCTGTTGCCCAGGCTGTAGTGCAGTGGCGCGATCTCGGCTCACTGCAACCTCTGCCACCTGGGTTCAAGCAATTCTCTTGCTTCAGCCTCCTGAGTAGCTGGGATTACAGGTGCACGCCACCATGCCTGGCTAATTTTTGTATTTTTAGTAGAGATGGGGTTTCACCATGTTGGTCAGGCTGGTCTCGAACTCCTGACCTTGTGATCCGCCCACCTCGGCCTCCCAAAGTGTTGGGATTACAGACATAAGCCACTGTGCCCGGCTGTTCTTAAATCTTTAATTTTTTTTTAAATTATTCTTTAAGTTCTGGGACACATGTGCAGAAGGTGCAGTTTTGTTATATAGGTATACACGTGCCATGGTGGTTTGCTGCACCCATCAACCTGTCATCTACATTAGGTATTTCTCCTAATGCTATCCCTCCTCTAGCCCCCTACCCCCTAACAGGCCCCCATGTGTGATATTCCCCTCCCTGTGTCCACGTGTTCTCATTGTTCAACTCCCACTTATGAGTGAGAACATGCGGTATTTGGTTTTCTGTTTCTGTTTTTGCTGAGAATGATGGTTTCCAGCTTCATCTATGTTCCTGCAAAGGACATGAACTCATCCTTTTTTATAACTGCATAGTATTCCATGGTATATATGTGCCACATTTTCTTTATCCAGTCTATCATTAATGGGCATTTGGGTTAGTTCCAAGTCTTTGAAAAGCATTCCTATTTCTCCACATCCTCTCCAGCATCTGTTGTTTCCTGACGTTCTAATGATCGCCATTCCAACTGGCATAAGAGGTTATCCCATTGTGGTTTTTATTTGCATTTCTCTAATGACTACTGATGATGAGCTTTTTTCATATGTTTGTTGGCTACATAAATGTCCCACGATGCATAATCATTGGATTCCCCAGGGTTGAAATGAAGGAAAAAATGTTAAGGGCAGCCAGAGAGAAAGGTTGGGTTACTCACAAAGGGAAGCCCATCAGACTACCAGTGGATCTCTCTGCAGAAACCCTACAAGCCAGAAGAGAGTGGGGGCCAATATTCAACATTCTTAAGGAAAAGAATTCTCAACCCAGAATTTCATGTCCAGCCAAATTAAGCTTCATAAGCGAAAGAGAAATAAAATCCTTTACACGCAAGCAAATACTGAGAGATTTTGTCACCACCAGGCCTGCCTTACAAGAACTCCTGAAGGACACACTAAATATGGAAAGGAAAAACCGATAACAGCCACCTCAAAAACATACCAAATTGTAAAGACCATGGACACTATGAAGAAACCACATCAACTAACGGGCAAAATTAACCTGCTAGCATCATAATGACAGGATCAAATTCATACATAACAGTATTAGCCTTAAATGTAAATGGGCTAAATGCCCCAATTAAAAGGCACAGACTGGCAAATTGGATAAAGAGTTAAGACCCATCAGTGTGCTGTATTCAGGAGACCCATCTCACGTGCAGACACACATAGGCTCAAAATAAAGGGATGGAGAAAGATTTACCCAGCAAATGGAAAGCGAAAAAAAAGCAGGGGTTGCAATCCTAGTCTCTGATGAAACAGACTTTAAACCAACACAGACAGAAAAAGACCAAGAAGGGCATTAAATAATGGTAAAGAGATCAATGCATCAAGAACAGCTAACTATCCTAAATATATATGCACCCAATACAGGAGCACCCAGATTCATAAAGCAAGTTTTTAGAGACCTACAAGGAGACTCAGACTCCCACAAAATAATAGTGGGAGATTTTAACACCCCACTGTCAATATTAGACAGATCAAGACAGAAAATTAACAAGGATATTCAGGACTTGAACTCAGCTCTGGACCAAGTGGACCTAATAGACATCTACAGAACTCTCCACCCCAAATCAACAGAATATACATTCTTCTCAGCACCACATCGCACTTGTTCTAAAATTGACCACATAATTGGAAGTAAAACACTCCTCAGCAAATGTAAAAGAATGGAAATCATAAACAGTCTCTCAGACCACAGTGCAATCAAATTAGAACTCAGGATTAGGAAACTCACTCAAAACTGCACAATGACATGGAAACTGAACAACTTGCTCCTGAATGACTACTGGGTAAATAACGAAATTAAGGCACAATGACATGGAAACGGAACAACCTGCTCCTGAATGACTACCAGGTAAATAATGAAATTAAGGCAGAAATAAATAGACACAATGTACCAGAATCTCTGGGACACAGCTAAAGCAGTGTTTAGAGGGAAATTTATAGCACTAAAATGCCCACAGGAGAAAGCAGGAAAGATCTAAAATCGACACCCTAACGTCACAATTAAAAGAACTAGAGAAGCAAGAGCAAACAAATTCAAAAGCTAGCAGAAGACAAGAAATAACTAAGATCAGAGCAGAACTGAAGGAGATAGAGACACAGAAAACCCTTCAAAAAAATCAATGAATCCAGGAGCTGGTTTTTTGAAAAGATTAACAAAATAGACCACTAGCTAGACTAATAAAGAAAAGAGAGAAGAATCAAATAGACACAATAAAAAATGATAAAGGGGAAATCACCACTGATCCCACAGAAATACAAACTACTATCAGAGAATACTATAAAATTTTTGGCATTAAAATAATCTTTCCACTTTGCTGAATCTGCCATTTTTTGGGGTCCCGTTTTGAGGCTTCCTACAATGTAGGAGTGCACTGATTTCCTGACATGCCTAACATTTTGTTATCTCCAAAATAGCAACTACACCTTTTTGGCTTTGGAATTACATTCCTTAGGAATCCTTGTTGGCCCTAATTATCAGGAAAGGTCAACATATCTACTAGGTGAGGGCTTTCTTAACATGAGTGGAAAGTGGGAGTAATTGAGCCTATATAACCATGCACCTGGTATACTTTGTTACTTCCAGATTGTATTGAAAATGTGCAATGTTTTACACCCACCAGCTAAACATCCCAACACAATAATGTATACTCTGCTGTTTATAAGTTACAAAATGCCGTACTGTATAATCATGGAAAGATTATTAATATTTTACTATTATCTATTTAAATTATATTTAATTTCGGGTAGTAAATGGCTATATTTACCTAATTTGTAAGATTATACTATGCAGTTTGCATATTCTCATTCTCAGTGATAATTGAAACTTGCTTTAGAGCTCGCCCATGGATCTCATGTTTACAAAAGAGGAATTTTATGCTAGGGAAAATGTTATCTTTATATTATATGTACAAATGGGTAATAAAAAATAATAGTGTATGTAAATTTTAGAAAATTCACTAGTTCAGTGAGAGAACATTAGAAATATTCATTTAGGTCCCGCATATCATTTTAAAAGCATATAGAATTAATACTTATTAAGCAAACCTGGAAGCCATGCCTGAGGTTGAATCCTGGCTTCTCTTCCTTATCTCCAATACGACCTTGGTTGGGTAAGTTACTTAACCTCTCTGTGCCAGTTTCCTCATTGATAAAATAGGAATGATGGTACCTACCTCATAAGGTTTCTGTGAGGATTAAATGAACTAATATATGTAGACTTCTTAGAATAGTTTCTGATACATAAGTGCTCAATAAATGTTAACTATTATAATTTCATATATATCACTAAAAACAATATGTTATCTCAGAGAGTTTCACTTAATCTAAGTGTCATTATTCAATATCAAAGCAGGAAAATGTCATCTGATATCCTCCCACTTATGAAAGTTTTAATCATCCCTCATCAGAACTAAACTTCTTTCTCATTCTGGTTATGCTATTAAACTTTCTTCAGATATTGATGTAAAATTCTAACCATGCCCAACTTTTTTTTTATTATACTAATTATACTGTCTTTAGATGCCTACAGCCATTTAACTGCCATGGACTTAGAAAAGCCAAACTCCTGGGTTATATCTGTGAAATTACAGAGTCCTATAGATAAACCCAACTGTTTTTGGAAAAATATCAATTGTTTTCTTCCTCATAGACAATAATCTCGTAAAAGATTTCTAATCATGGGACAGTTAATCACGGGGACAGTTTCTGGTTGTTTCCTCAGAGTTATGTTGGCTCATTACAGAACAGACACTCCTTACCTGCAGAATTTGTACATTGTGGGGAGTAATTTATCCCAAACCAGTTCAGACACTAGGACTAAAATGTTAATAGTACCATTTGGAGAATGCTCAGTACTTGCTAAACACTTTATATTAATATTTCCTTTAACCTCATCATAGCATCCCTATTAGGTAGATTATTATTCAGATTTTACACACAGTGCATTTGTACATAGAGCTTGCCCAACACCACACAGGTAGTAGTCTGATCTCAAATTAAGCCCTAGAAGCCACAGTGGGAGAGTACCAGAAGGCAGGCCGTTGGGGATCTAGCCCCAGGATCCTCACCTCAATCGTGGTAGCTCTACTTTATTTGTTTTTCATATTAGGTTTTCTGATTTTGAATCATTAGAGAGTTCTGCTGTTAAAAAAAAAAAAAAAGGGGGTGGAGGTAGTGTTATTGAAAAGCACTTGCAAAATTCAGCTCTGTACATTTGAGATATAACTACAACAAAAATGTTTCTATTATGCTTTTGCCCCTAGATAAAGAGAATCCATAATTGACACTATGGAATTTTGCAGTTTGTCAGTAAAATATCTGATACTTATTTTAATAGATCTGTATGTTTCTTATTAACTGAGTATCAGCCATATTGGTTGATGTGAACAGAATGTGAGAATAAAGTTTTGTTTAGGATTTCTCAATGTTAAATTCTTACAGTTGAAATGATAGATTGATGCTTATTCATAAAAAATATTTTGATATAGATTGTTTATTTTAAAAAAACTCAAGATAATTTTAACAGCAAAGCTCAGTGGTGGTTCTTTCACCAGTTAAAAATGTACTTTTCTTTTTAAAATATGCAGGGAGATGAAGAAGCAAATCTTGGTCTGCCCATCAGTCCATTCATGGATCGTTCTTCTCCTCAACTAGCAAAACTCCAAGAATCTTTTATCACCCACATAGTGGGTCCCCTGTGTAACTCCTATGATGCTGCTGGTTTGCTACCAGGTCAGTGGTTAGAAGCAGAAGAGGATAATGATACTGAAAGTGGTGATGATGAAGACGGTGAAGAATTAGATACAGAAGATGAAGAAATGGAAAACAATCTAAATCCAAGTAAGAATATAGGGACATTATAATTTATTTAATGTTATAGGTTGAGTATTCCAAGTCTGAAAATCTGAAATATGAAATGCTCCAAAATCCAAAATTTTTTGAGTGCCAGCATGGTGCTCAAAGGAAATATTCATTGGGACACTTGGATTTCAGATTTTTCAATTAGGGGTGCTAAATATAATGCAAATATTCCAAAATCAGAAACCCCTCTGGTCTCAAGCATTTTGAATAGGGATATTCAACCTTTAATAACTGCATATATCCATTTAACTTAGATTTGGAACTTTGTTTCTCAGATACAGATTCAGCAGTCATTACATTGAGTAACCACTATCTAAATGTTCAGATTCAACAGTCATGTTTTGAGTAACTTCTATATGCCGGGTACTGGGTGAATACTGTCATACAACAAGCATTCTTATTCTTATTTAATTAAAGTAACATCTCTTGAGGTGTTGTCCTCCAGCCAGTACTCTTCACAGTACCTGTGCATGCACGATAGGGCCATCACCACATCTGAACATATGTGAGGTGGATCCTCATGGCAAGTCCTCCTTCATGTCACTCCTTTTCACACATCTCACCCCCAATCCCACTAGGCAGCTGAGGAGCACAACTTCCATAGCAGCCTACTAATCTGCTGTTCACATAGACTTGAGAAGTAGATCAAAACAGTGGGGGGGAGGGGGGAAGGAAAACATACATTCCCTGGCTGTAGAGGGAGAGCCAATTTTGTGGCATTATGAATTTGAGTTACCAAACTGTAATGACATACTTTCCTGTATAAGACAATTAGTATAAATGGAAAATGAAATGAAAATTATCACTTTGTAATTGTGAATGAAATCAGTTATTTGCTCATTTTAAAGTAGAATTTAAATTATACCTACATAAGTATTGTTTTGATTTTCAAGCATGCAATAAATCAGACCAGACAGGAAAACTACAAAGAACCTCCCACTGCAACACACACATGCCTTGTATTTAGGATTAGCATGGCAAATCCTATTAAAATGTATTTAAAATTCTTTTTTTAAAAAAATGGCATTAGCATCTGAAGGTTGACTGACTTCTAAAAATTATACTCCCCCATCTCTACTAAAAATACAAAAATATGCTGGAAATGGTGGCAGGCGCCTGTAGTCCCAGCTACTAGGGAGGCTGAGGCAGGAGAATGGAGTGAACCCATGAGGCGGAGGTTCCAGTGAGCTGAGATCGTGCCACTGCACTCCAGCCTGGGCGACAGAGCAAGACTCCGTCTCAAAAAAAAAAAAATTGTACTCATCAAAATGTTGGTAATTGTGTTTAATTCAATACATAAGAATGCCCTTAAAGGTTGGTTTTTAACTTTGGGTTATTTTCATTTGAAATTTCAGCACGCTTCTTCCCTCTCCACCATACCCAGCCAGTTTTCCCTAAACCTCTTCTCTATTTTGTTTTTATCCGTAACAATACCATCTAACATATTCCTGTTTTGCTTCTTTCTGTTTTCCTAGCTCTTTCCACTAGAATCTGAACACCATAACGCAGGGATTATTTTTATAGTACTATTTCATTATATTATTTTTATTATACTATTATTTTATAGTACTGTTTACTTTTATACTCCCAGTGCTTAGATACCTAGAATAGGCACTTAATATTTGTTGAATGATTAAATCATATTGCTATGATTAGAATATATTTATTTTAAATTTCACAGAACCACCAAGAAGGAAAAGCAGACGGCGAATATTTTGTCAGCTAATGCACCACCTCACTGAAAACCACAAGATATGGAAGGAAATCGTAGAGGAAGAAGAAAAATGTAAAGCTGATGGGAATAAACTGCAGGTGGAGAATTCCTCCTTACCTCAAGCAGATGAGATTCAGGTAATTGAAGAGGCAGATGAAGAGGAATAGCGACAGTTTGAGTAAAAGAAAAGTCATATTGAAGAAGCCCAGAGGGTTGTGCCCAGGGGCAGAAATCATTGCCTAGTGTTCACCGGCTGACTCTCAACTGACCATTCCCATGTGGACAGGCCTTAATACTGTGAGAGGATCCTTGCTCTGCTGGCAGTTTCCCACTCCTATGCACTTTCACAGGAACTAGAAAACTATTCTTAAACCAAAAATACCATCCGTGTTGACCCATGTTGCAGAGCCCTTACTTAAATCCTTCACTGGTGTATGAATACTTTGTCATAATGCTGCTTTGCTGGGTAGTGAGCTCTTATTTTTCACTGGGGGTCAGCTATAACTAAAAACTCAAGTGACATATTTCAGTTACCAAAGTGGCCAGGAACTTTTTGCTTTTATGAAAATAGATTCATATTGTATTTCCCAGTGTGTCTTTTATGTCTTTGAATGTTTTGGAGAAAAGTCTATGCCTGTCTAAAAATGAATCCAGTGTTGCCTTTCTGAGGGATTTCTGCTCAATGCAATACACTGTTCAGTGCTATTCTCCCAGCTAGGTTTATCCATGAAGGACTGAGTGACCTTTGTTGTATTTAACAAAATCCAGGTGCATCAATTTCTGATGCTTTTTACTATTGTGTATTATCTACTATGTGTGTTTTATTTCTGCTGAGAGTATTCAGGTTTGCCATGGACATCAGAAGTTTGAATTCCAGTCTTATCTTATGTTCCATGGCTGAATTTTAAAGCTGTTTAGGTTTAACAATGAAGGGATTTATTCTTTAGTCAAAATTGTTGTTTTTACTCTAGCTCAGGATTCGTATTTTTAAAGATTTAGTTAATATGAACACAGCACAGATTTGTTAGAAGAAAAAAAATTTGCTGTAATACCAAAACTAACCTCATCAAAGATACAGAAAAAAAGAAATATAGTGAGCCCTAAAGGACACATACATTGAATAAATAATTGGAACATGTGGTTATCTTTAGATCCACATCTTAGCTGTCATTTGTTCACTCTAAAACTGATGTTCATCTTTCTGTTAATTTCCCTCTGCCTAAAGACTACATGACAGAAATGACCTATCACTACTTATTATTTCTGAAGCCTAACTGCAAGACTGATTTCTGAGAACAAGTAAAGAACTGGAATACTTATTTTTCATATAAAAATCTAAATGTGTTAATAAATCATTTCATACAAAAGTACATTATTAAATAACCACATTATTAAAATAATTGCAAGAAAATGGACCATATTTACAATGTTTTGTAAACTTGCTAGTGTGTGGATATGTACCCTACTTGTGAAATACATTTGAAGATATAAAGAGCAGCCAAAATGATGGCAAAATGGTAGGCTAATATTTTCTATTATTATTGGAGAACATATCATATTTTGGAATCATGCAATTTTGCACACAGTGAAACCATTAATTTTCCAAGGTAATTCCTTTAGAATATGGTATTGGCATGCAGTTTCTTACTTATCTAGAATATTTGGCTTATCTGAAAGATATCAATTTAAGATCTCTGGAAGTGTTAGAATTTTTGATCCTTCACAGTGTCAATATTTAATGAATCACTAAGCTTTATTTATTAGACGTGTTGAGTGAGTGCTGAGTTCCTTGCTGCCACTTTTGTTACCATTGTCACACACTATGTGTAAACCAGTCCCACCACTTATTACTAATAAAATTTTGACTGATAATTTATATTTGCACTTACAATATATATATCCTGTCCTTATATTTCTCTAGAGTACATTTTCCATCATGTTTAAGTGTATTTCTGCTATTATTTCCTCTCCTGCAGAATACATACAAGTGTATGTGTATAAAGTCATACATGTACAAGCATGCATATTGAGATTGAATCACATTTCCATACTGTCTGTTATTTTATTGGGTTTTATATTGGGTTTCTTTAGTTTATGTTGTTTTCTCAAAAGCAGCATTTTAAATTACGAATACTGGACTTATTGGATTTAATTATAAATCCAATTACTACTGGAAACTCATTTTTACATAATATAGTCCTTAAATTATTTAACCCTTGCTAAGTAATTGACATATGTAACAATAACTAGCCTAAAGAAACCCAAAAAAGTATCTCTCCCGAGCTGAAACTTAAAAATTCGTAAGTGTAAGAAAGAATGTGAGAATATATTAAATGCACACTGTACCATTAGATGAAATCTTACTTGAGAAATTGCCATAAGCCATATTACAGATCTTACTTTGTTACTGAATCAGATTAATTTCTTGTTATAATAATTTTCATCATAAATTTTCTATTTTTAAAGCCGCTGGTACTAGAAATATTCTTTTAATGCTATATCTATGTACCTACTGACACATTTTTCTCCATAAAAGTACTTTTAAAAATTACTTCATGATTTGAAAGCTGTTTCCTGCTATTATTTCATTACTTACTTTGTTGGTGCTATTGGCTTTTTCTACTTATTTTTACAAGAAACCTGGAGATTCTGGCTTACTTAAGTCATCAGAAATTCTCTGTATCTAGATTGCATCATCTCATAGAAACACACTTCACAAAAGAGATGAATAGATACAACTCTGGTTCCTTCATTATAGTTGCCAGATTAATATAAGCTGCTCTAGAGTGTGTAGGGGATAGGAGTGGCAGGTGGAGCAGAAATGAATCACTTCTCAAAGGAAGGTGACTTTTAAACTCAGAACTGAAGAATTAAAGACTTAGCTCAGAAATGATTGCTTGTAGAGAGAGAATAACAGCATGTACAGAGGCCAGAAGAGAAAGCATCCCCACACTGGATAAGCCAAAAGAGATTTAGGGTGGCTGGAAGATAGAGCACAAGAAGAGGGAGTGGTAGAGAGATGGTGGTTAATGAAGGGCCTTGTAAAACATGACATGCCACTTAAACTTTATTCCTAAAGGAAATGGGAACCAATGGAAAACTTTCAATCTGGAAGAATAACACGATTAGATTTACATTTTATGAGGATCAAATAGCATACTTCAGTTGTCCCTTGTTATATGTGGGGGATTGGTTCTAGGACCTCCTCAGCTATAAAAATCTTCACATATTCAATTCCCACAGTCAACCCTATGGAACCTGCAGATACAAAAAGTTGGCCCTCTCTATACAAGGGTTACGCATCCCACAAATACTATATTTTCATCTGCATTTGGTTGCGGATGCAGAACCTGCCAATGCAGAGCCAACTAAATTTACTGAAAAACTCCACATATAAGTGGACCCATGGAGTTCGAACCCATGTTGTTCAAGGGTCAGCTGTATTTTGAATGGTTTAAAACTATTGTTTTGGACTGAGTTCCTGCACCTAGGCCCCAGTAGACCAGACCAAAGCAAAATGGAGTCACTCATACTAAATGCCACACAATCAAACTGAAACTTTAAGGAAATAGGTAGATCCCCAGACTAGTTTTTCCTCAAAACAGGAGATTCCACTCTATCTGAGCATAATCAAGGAAGTCCCCTCTGCTTTAAACTGTACAAAGAAGATGTAATCTGAAGTAACCTAATGATAACCAATCAGTTTTTATTTTTCTATTATTCTTTGTTCCCATCCTTACAAAACCCACTGTTCTGCCATTACCCAGTGGGAACTTCATTCTATTTTGTAGAATGAAAGTTACCTGATACATGAATCTAGAATAAAAGCCAATTAGATCTGTAACTAATTTGTTGTTAATTTTGTCTTTTGACAGAACGGCAGAGCAAGATTTAGACATAGGGAGTGCTTGGTGATATTGACTGGAATAGATTGTGGACCACAGGGACATGTACAGAGTTATGGTTTAAGATAGATAGAGTTGGTATGGGGGTAAGAAAGATAATAAGGGTGGCTCCCAGATTTCTGATTTAGACAGCTGTCAATATCATTCACTGAGATAGGGTATATCAGAGGAGTTGATTTTGGATGTGTTAAGAGAGTGAAGAGATGAATTCAGATTAGAGCAAAGTGAGATTAAGGGGCTTGAGACAACCAAATGTATTTCAATGTAGGTATGGAACTCAGAAAAGTGATAGGGGCTACAAGTATGGATTTGGGAGTCAACAGCAAATAGTTGGAAGTCTACTTTGAGTATCAAGCTTTCCTTTTCTCAAAAACTGTGTGTCATAGTATTGGCTTCTGGTACATTGGACAATGAGCCCTTTTTGCTTGCTAACACTGCTGCATTCTGTATCTATTATTTATCCTGGACATCTCGCCATATCACTACACAGAAAAATTCCTTATTCTTGGCTGGGTGTGGTGGTTCACGCTGCAATCCCAGCACTTTGGGAGGCCGAGGAGGGTGGATCTCTTAAGCTCAGGAGTTCGAGACCAGCCTGGGTAACATGGCTCTCAGTATTAAGGTACTTCTACCTATTTCTTTTTGCATGTCTTGTAATTTATGCTTTATGAAAGTTGTTACTTGGTGTGGTATTGTAACTATTATAAAGTCCTTATGAATTATAGTATTTAGAATTACAAAGTGCACTTTTTTGTCTTATGTTTTCTGGCTTGAATTCTGCCTTGTTTTATTAAGATCATGACTCATGCTTTCTTTTTATTTGTATTTCCTGGCATGCCTTTAACCATCCTTTTATTTTTAACCTTTAACCTATGTTTTAAGTATCTCTTCTGTACAACAACAATATAGCATTGGATTTAGCCTGAAATCAAATCCAATGCTATATTATATGAACACCTTTTTGATAGGTGAGATAAGCCCATTTATATTTATTCATGTGACTGTAAGGACTTAATTCTTCATATTATTTGCTCTTTTCTTAAAAACTCATTATTTTAATTACAACATTTAAGAAAGTGTGTATCTTTGATTCAGTGGCTATAGTTATACTATCTTTGGACCCCATTTCTTTATAGTATCTGCTTCTCATCTATAAATTAAAAATTTAGCTTGTACATATTCTTATTTCCCACTACCCAATTTAAGGCAATATTATCCTTTACTCTTGTAAATTGTACTATTAAATATTCTTAAACTTCTACTACTTGTCACTTTTAAACTGTATCTTTTGAATTCTAACTATACAAAGCAAAGAGCTTATTCTGTGTTCTACCATTTCTCCTCTTCTCATTTTTTGTTAGATGCATTATTTTTATCAGAGTATAAAACATTTAGATAGTATTGTCACATTTATGCCACCATTGTCTTAGTTCTATAATTAAATGTATTCAGTGCTCAAGGCTAGTCCTTTTGTTGATGTTTCCTCAGTCATCACTTGGTTCACTGAAACTTGTCCTCATACCTGTTTAACAGTTTAGGCGCTAGAGAACTTACCGTTCAAAATCAGACGAAATTAGGGAGCCCTCAATCTAGGGCACTAATCCCAGGTAGGAGCACCACCATCTCCTTGGCATAGGAACCCAATTTATTTATACTTATTTCAGCACTTGGGGGCAAGTTCTACAGCTGCACAAACAGAAGGAGAAAATGAGATGGGGCAAATTGTTCAGCTGTTTATCCCAGTAAATCTGCTTGATTTCTTTCCACTTTTAGAAAAAGTTCTCCTTACCTACTTCTCTCCTTATGTACCGATTTTCTCCATAGCTATCCCGTGAAGAATGGGCTCCCATCTCCACCTGTGGCTTCGTCTATGCATGATTTTATTTGTGGTTTTCTATATTTTTCCATTCACCTTCCATCTCCTAAAATTTCAAAGTATCTGATCCACTAACATTGCCCTCAACCCGTATTCTCAATGCCTTTATTCCTTTTCCTATCCTTAATGGTTATTTCAGTGATACATGAGAAAAAACAAGTGTGCTCACTTGTTGAATAAGAAATTAGATTTCTAACATTTGAGTTAGTAGCTTAGCACTGACTGATGAGAGAGAAGGCATCCCTATTGCGTAGATCCAATGTATCTGTTACAATGTAATTTCAAAAAATAGATTTTTCCAATATGGCTTACTAATTCATGCTAATTTATATTTTTCCAAAAGTGCAGCATTTTATTTTTACCACAGCTAACTGGTTCCAAATAATTGAGTTGAAAGCATAATGAAAAACAGCCTTATAAATAGTAAAGCATAAGATAAATTATTGGGTGTGAATAAAAGGAATATGGAATGAAATAAGGCATGCCTCTGCTGTGATCTAGAGAATTCACTTCCCCTGTGTAAACCTCTATTTCCTTGGCTATAAAATGAGCACATTAAGTGAAGTTAAGGCCCTTCTACCTTTAAAAGTTTATGAATCTACATCTTTTATAATTTGTCAGGCTTACATTAACCTGATTAAGGAAAAATGCAAACTTGGAAGCAAGGCAATGAAAATAGCATGATCTTCATTCTGCATAGATTTATGGAGTTCCTAAATTGTACTAGCAGCAGTAGTGGTGTACTCAAAAGCAAAAGAAAGCCTCCTCAACTTTTATTATAGTCTACTTCAGTTCACTAAGTTGTTTTGCCTAGTAAAACTACCTTAAAGTTCAACTTAGGCTCTTAGAGCAGATATGACACTAAGTAGGAGGCCCTGGGATGAGAGATTTGCTGTATCAAAGAAAGAACAAAGACTAAGGAGCAACTTGAATATGTTTGTCAAGATTCAGGAAGGTTGGGGCAGGATGTGACGGCTCACACCTGTAATCCCAGTACTTTGGGAAGCTGAGCTTGGAGAACTGCTTGAGCCCAGGAGTTCAAGACCAGCCTGGACAACTATCTCTGAAAAAATAAAATAAAATAATTAAAGAAAGATTCAAGAAGGTAGGTTGGAAAGTTGCTTGGCTTAGCAAGTGAGGCAGACACTATAGTTGGTCTTCTGACTCTTCATAATTATCCCTAGTTTTGTTTAGATAACTACACCACCCATATGTAGCACATGTATTTTGGGAGAAGCCAACTCCATCACTACTTCTAGTAGTCAGGCATATGTTCAGGCTAAGTGAACCATAATTACACTCACAAAGCATAGTTTTAAATTAATGGATGGGCACATAACTCAGAACCTACAGGACACAAAAAACAGTTTTCTGGGGGCATCTGAAAAATTCCCTCGCTCTCCCAGAAACGATCTAAGCTTGCTTTCTCTGTATGGAGGTGAGCAAAGCACATGTGCTCCATGAGCTAGCCTTAAGATAAAGCTGGTATCATCTGGAAGGCAAAATTCAGAGGTGGAAAGACACAGGATCTTTGATTACACCATGTAACATCTAAGCCATACGGACCCTAAAACTTCCACCCTTCCTCCAAATTCCCCTTTTATTGCTTAAGTGAACTTGCAAGGATTTTCTTTCCCTTGCAACTGGAAACATCTGAATATATCCAAGATGCAAACTCCTGATGTATAACACACAAACTTGAAACTGTTCAACAACTAAGTCCAAACTAAGGTTAAATCCATATTCTTAATAGAAGTCATTGTGTGCACTGACTCTGAGGCTGCAACTATTCATGAGCCATGTTACAAGAGCATGTACCTGTAATATAACAACTTTAGAAGAAATGATGATGTAAAAATAGCTATAAATGGGTCAATATACATTCCAGTTTGTTTAGGGCAGTCATAATTTACCCTTGTTGTCCTGACATAATTATGAATAGGACCCCATTCACTCTCAAGTGTCCCAGTTTACACAGTTACCCTGTCTCTAAAGCATGTTTTTGGATTTGAATATAATTATCTTTAGAAAAATAACACTAACCCATGGAAATGCCTAGAGACCTCTAAAAGATATAAGTGAATTCGATCTTTAATCCTTGTGATTGGTTTTAGAAAGAAGTGGTGCCAGGGAAAATGTGCCAACAAAGATTCAATAGCCATTTATCATTTTAAATTTTAAATATATTATTGTAATGTCCTATCTACTTAACTGCTATGAAGATGGACACTCAGGGTCACACAGACCCTCATTTATAAGAAGAATGACACAGTTCTTATGAAGACAGAGCAGGAAGCAAGATATGAAAGCACTGGCAGGCTCTACATTAAATACATATTTCTTCTACCATCTCCCACCATATCTAAAATACCTCTATAGTCCTAACTCATTTATTTGTGTTTTAATTTCTTCTGTAGTCCTCTATTAAACTGGACTGGTACCACACAGTTTATTAATGACAATACCTGATCAGAAGGGAGCTGGTTTCTGGAACCAAGGCCCCCCAGGACAGAAGGCAGATGGAGTCAAGAAGGGATGAAAGTACCTGGTACTAAACAAGATGCTCAGCTTAGGGCGTCCATGACCCTTCTTAGCATTTTAAGCAACACCCATCATTTGCACCTTTGTGTCTCTCAACAGAGAATTTTACCCCAGAAGTCATAAAATCTTGAAAAACAATCACGACTAGTGCTTGTTTCTGCTCTAGTACTATTTTAAGACACATCTGTGTTCATTTGGCTTTTTGATGCTGTGACTTTTATTCTAATACACACATTGATTTGATTAAACCAAGTTCAGGGATAAGGCAAATATACATTCTTGTTCCCGAAAACATCCCAGGCAGTTTCAGCGTCTTTCAGCACAGATGAGGTAGGGTTGGGGCTGCAATGTCATGCCTAACCTGGGCTTCAGATCTGGAACTAGTTCATGTGGAAAATGCAAATGAAACCTCTGAAGCAATGCTGTAAAAAACAAGAACATTTCCATCCGAGCCAAGTGTTCTCCAAGACAATGTCTTCTTCCTAAACAGAAAAAGCAGATACAATAATTTTTTAAACCCACAATCTTTACCAAAATTAATGTCTAATATTTGGATGTCATTCAGGAAATCTGGAATTTAAACAAAGAAAGAGGGAACTATGTTTATTAAAGGATTTTCTTAAATCTCAAAGAATAGAAATTGACACTTCAGCAAGCAGAACCCATTCATTTACCTCCTTTTGTTAGACCACGGACTTTTGTAAGACTTTAGTTCCATCTCCCACTTCCCTCCTATGCTGCAACAGAGCCTAAGATATGCCACAAAAGATCTAATTTGAGGTGAGACATTTTGCTCAAGAACAGTCCACTTCATTTCAACTAAGTGTGTATTCTTCTCCAGTGAAGGGGAAGAGTTTCTAGTCCATCTTCCATGGGTCTTGTGTACCTTTTCACAGAAGAAGCAATATTTTCCTAATTGAAGATGAAGTACAATAACCAGAAGCCAAGAGAGTGAGATTCTAGTTTTACTTAAGTGACTATATCTTTTCCCTCTCTGGGTCTCAGTTTCTCAAGCTACCTGTTACTGAATTCTCATTCCACAAGTTTTGAAAAACAGATTTAGAAGAAGCCAGGGGTTCTCAAAAGTTCATCTATAGTTAATAAATTAAGGCTTATATTAAGCCGAAACAGATGTTAATTACTTCCAATTTAATCATTCTCTCCTGTTAGAATCAGTTCTGTGTTTTTAGAATTGGGATATTTAATTCTATAGAAGGATGCTTCAGATTAAGATGCTGTATCTAATGAATTATCATTATCCTTTATTCTAAAGTTACGCCCCGTGAAAGTTCTCTTACCTAGGGAAAAAGGAACCAAAGCTTCCTTCTTGGCAAAATATCCACTGCTGTCCAGAAATCGCTCAGGATGGAACACTTCTGGGTCTCTCCAGTACTTTTCATCAAAGTGTACAGAATAAAGATTTGTAATTACTGTTGTGCCTTTAGGAATGGAATAACCACGTACAACTGCATCTTCAGAGGTTGCATGGAAAATCCCTAATGGAACTATATTACAGAATCTTAAAACTTCATGCAAAACTGCCTCAGTATAAGGCATTTTGCATTTGTCGTCCCAAGAAGGCTTCCCATTAGGGCCCATAATTAAATCAATCTCTTTCTGAACTTGTCCTGTCAGAGAAAAAGTATTCAAGTTATTATGCAGTTCTTAGAATTATACCTAAAGTTATTTCCCTCTGGAATAAAATAAAGGATAACCTATAACAAGCCAATAGGATATAGATACATCCAGATTCAGATTTTTTATTATCTGGGCGTTCTATTGAAATATATGCTATATATCTTGTACTAACAGTAGCCAGTGCTCTGATAACCTATAACAAGCCAATAGGATATAGATACATCCAGATTCAGATTTTTTATTATCTGGGCGTTCTATTGAAATATATGCTATATATCTTGTTCTAACAGTAGCCAGTGCTCTGGGTAGCTCTATTGTGAAAGACATAAGTAATAAGAATAAACATTAAACATACCTAGAATTGGAGTAAGAAAAATAGTAAAGCATAAAATTAGTTTTTAAAATTCTATCAGAGTTCAGATTCCAGCTCTGCCACTTGCAGACACACAGTGTTTTTTCTCATTTATAAAATGGGCATAATAAGACCTCTTTCAGAGATTTTTTTTACATGAATTGAGATAATAGATTTGAAAACTCTTTTTTGTAACTATTAAATATTTCTATACTTGGCTGGCATCGCAGGAGTTCCTAAAGAAAATGTATTGTGCATGGCCAAGACTCAAAAACATGTATGAACCCTACATGTAAGGATAGACCCTGAGATCATCAAGAGAATCCTCACCTTGAATATTAGGATAAAGGGCCATGAAAAGAATCGCCCACCGTAGCACATTGGTTGTAGTTTCAGTTCCAGCAATGATGAGTTCACCCACTGAGAAAATTAGGTTTTCTTTGGAGAAAGTAGATGATGGGTCATTTTTACCTTGATCCATCTCATCTAAATAAGCATCAACAAAATGCTGAGGTAGCTGAGGCTTTCTGTTGACTGAAGCTTTTTCAATGAGTCTGGAGAGAAAATCATAGACTACAGCTGCATTTCTAAACAGCTGTTGATGTTTTCCAAAAGGCAGGATGCCAATCCATGGAAAGGCATTATACAAGAAGACTGAGGCACTGGCAGCTAGTTCCACATTTTCACTAAATAACTCAATCATGTGCTGAAAATCGGTGTCTTCATAAGTGAATCGTTCTCCAAAAATGATCAGATTGGTTATGTTTGAAACAGCATTCGTTATTAACTGTTTAAAGTCAAAAGGTCTACCTTTGTATGTTTCAATAGCATCATTGAAAAATTTGGTTTCTTCCAAGATTTTAGATTCAAAAGACTTTTGGCCATATCCAAAATATCGAAAACTGTTTACAGCTAATCGTCTGTGATCAACCCATCCTCGGCCATATCTGGAATTGAGTAAGCCTGAAAAAAAATATTAAAATATTGTATAATTCCTACTTCTCTGTATCTAAAAAATGAAAGGGAACAAAATTTTTTTAATGGATGGTTAGTCATCCTTCTCCAAATTGTCCTCCTATATAACTACATGGTTGGGTCCTGTTCTCAGCAACTCATTAGCCAGAGTATTATAACAGATAAAGTTTTTCTACTCCTTATCTGTGGACTGGCAGAAAAGGCCTATAATTGCACCACCACAAGAAGCTAGTCAGTCCTGTGTAATTTAACCTGGTGAAATAGGCCCAGGTGACTATATTATCCAACTTTTACTATAAGCCTAATTTACCAAAGACAAATGACCACATGTTCAATGGACAAAGTTTTATCTTAGACTAAACAAACACCTAAAAAATCATCCTTCTAGGATTAGAAATTTTCTGCTTAAAAGAGAATGGATTTTAGAAAATAAATTTCCTCCCATTAAAGGGATATGGTAGACAATCAAGTAACTATGACAGGGGTAAGGGTACTCTGAATGAGCTGTCAATATAGTCGAAATGCTGAAGTCAAAAAAAGGGCAAACATGAAGCTCAAACTTTTCTAATGCTGATATTGCCTGCCTTAAAATTTCAGAGTCTCCACAATGTATCTGCTGTTTTGATGTTGCTACTATTGAAATTTTCTCCCTTAAATTAATTCAACATCTTCAGTGCACATATTTATGTAACATGTACTTTACTCAAAATTTCACTCATTACTGGGACACGGTTGTACCTCTGATAAATTTCACATTGATAAGTGATTCCCAATGTTGGAGGTGGGGCATGGTGGGAACTGATTGGATCATAGGGGAAGATCCCTTATGAATGGTCTTACAACATCCCCTTGGTGATAAGTGAGTTCTCGCTCAGTTAATGTGAGATCTGGTTGTTTAAAAGTTAAGGACCTCTCCCTACTTGCTCTGTTGCTACCACTCTTGCCATATGACATGCTGGCTTTCCTCAATGCCTTCTGCCATGATTGTGAGCTTCAGTAGAAGCAGATGGCCTCAACAGAAGCAGATGCCAGCACCATGCTTCCTATAAAGTGTGCAGAACCATGAGCCAATTAAACCTCTTTTCTTTATAGGTTACCCAGCCTCGGGTATTTCTTTATAGCAATACAAAATGGACTAACACAACCCACAATGAAAAATGTCACATTCTCTTGTGTACATGAGGTACACACAAAATTTACATTCCAACAACTTATTGTGCAATAATTTTTGAATGTAGAACTTATTAAAAAGTTACTGTAAGGGGGTCATTAGTGCTGTGTAGCAATCTTACATTCCCATAGTCCATTCTTTTTTCTATACTCCCAGATGACTATTCATTCAACAAATATTCATTTAACATGTATTTGTGGAACACCTACTATGTTCCAGGCAATGTTCTAAGTGTCAGGAATGTATCAGGGAACAAAAGAAGCAAAGGTCCCTGCTCTCACAGAGCTTAGACACTAGTAGGAAAGACAGACAAAACAACAAATAAATTATACAGCACGTAAAAAGATATAGGGTAGTCAGCAAAATGCTCACTGAGAAGATGACATCTGAGTAAACATTCATAGGAGATGAGGAAGTGAGACAAGCAAATACCTGAGGAAAGACCACTGCAGTTAGAGGTAACAGCTAGTGCAATGGTGCCAAGATGAAACCAGCCCTAGAGAAATATGTGCACATGGGATATATACACAAGAAGGTACAGAGGAGCACTGTTTATAAAAACCCTACACTGGCCAAGCTGTGTGCCTGGGCATGACACTGGGCTCACCCAAAGGGCAACTTTTTCCCATTCACACAGTGGGCTAATAGTGGCCATGATTTTCTACTTCCAAGGTCAGTACATAGTACCTTAAAACAACACATATCAACATAGTGTTGGAAGTTCTGGCCAGGGCAATTAGGCAGGAGAAGGAAATAAAGGGTATTCAATTAGGAAAAGAGGAAGTCAAATTGTCTCTGTTTGCAGATGACATGATTGTATAACGAGAAAACCCCACTGTCTCAGCCCAAAATCTCCTTAAGCTGATAAGCAACTTCAGCAAATTCTCAGGATACAAAACCAATGTACAAAAATCACAAGCATTCTTATACACCAATAACAGACAAACACAGAGCCAAATCATGAGTGAACTCCCATTCACAATTGCTTCAAAGAGAATAAAATACCTAGGAATCCAACTTACAAGGGATGTGAAGGACCTCTTCAAGGAGAACTACAAACCACTGCTCAATGAAATAAAAGAGGAAACAAACAAATGGAAGAACATTCCATGCTCATGGGTAGGAGGAATCAATATCATGAAAATGGCCATACTGCCCAAGGTAATTTATAGATTCAATGCCATCCCCATCAAGCTACCAATGACTTTCTTCACAGAATTGGAAAAAACTACTTTAAAGTTCATATGGAACCAAAAAAGAGCCTGCATCGCCAAGTCAATCCTAAGCCAAAAGAACAAAGCTGGAGGCATCACGCTACCTGACTTCAAACTATACTACAAGGCTACACTAACCAAAACAGCATGGTACTGGTACCAAAACAGAGATATAGATCAATGGAACAGAACAGAGCCCTCAGAAATAATGCCGCATATCTACAACTATCTGATCTTTGACGAACCTGAGAAAAATAAGCAATGGGGAAAAGATTCCCTATTTAATAAATGGTGCTGGGAAAACTGGCTAGCCATATGTAGAAAGCTGAAACTGGATCCCTTCCTTACACCTTATACAAAAATTAATTCAAGATGGATTAAAGACTTAAACGTTAGACCTAAAACCATAAAAACCCTAGAAGAAAACCTAGGCATTACCATTCAGGAGATAGGCATGGGCAAGGACTTCATGTCTAAAACACCAAAAGCAATGGCAACAAAAGACAAAATTGACAAATGGGATCTAATTAAACTCAAGAGCTTCTGCACAGCAAAAGAAACTACCATCAGAGTGAACAGGCAACCTACAAAATGGGAGAAAATTTTTGCAACCTACTCATCTGACAAAGGGCTAATATCCAGAGTCTACAATGAACTCAAACAAATTTACAAGAAAAAAACAACCCCATCAACAAGTGGGCGAAGGACATGAACAGACACTTCTCAAAAGAAGACATTTATGCAGCCAAAAAACACATGAAAAAATGCTCACCATCACTGGCCATCAGAGAAATGCAAATCAAAACCATAATGAGATACCATCTCACACCAGTTAGAATGGCAATCATTAAAAAGTCAGGAAACAACAGGTGCTGGAGAGGATGTGGAGAATTAGGAATACTTTTACACTGTTGGTGGGACTGTAAACTAGTTCAACCATTGTGGAAGTCAGTGTGGCGATTCCTCAGGGATCTAGAACTAGAAATACCATTTGACCCTGCCATCCCATTACTGGGTATATACCCAAAGGACTATAAATCATGCTGCTATAAAGACACATGCACACATATGTTTATTGCGGCACTATTCACAATAGCAAAGACTTGGAACCAACCCAAAGGTCCAAAAATGATAGACTGGATGAAGAAAATGTGGCACATATACACCATGGAATACTATGCAGCCATAAAAAATAATGAGTTCATGTCCTTTGTTAGGGACATGGATGAAATTGGAAATCATCATTCTCAGTAAACTATCGCAAGAACAAAAAACCAAACACCGCATATTCTCACTCATAGGTGGGAACTGAACAATGAGAACACATGGACACAGGAAGGGGAACATCACACTCTGGGGACTGTTGTGGGGTGGGGGGAGGGGGAGGGATAGCATTAGGAGATATACCTAATGCTAAATGACGAGTTAATGGGTGCAGCATACCAGCATGGCACATGTATACATATGTAACTAACCTGCAAATTGTGCACCTGTACCCTAAAACTTAAAGTATAATAATAATTTAAAAAAATAAAAATTAAAAAAAGAAATAAAAAAACACATAATTTTCTACCTGGTTTTTAAAAATCTTAAGTTGAATGCTTTATGATAAAAACAGTCTAAACAATAAATTTACAGCTTTGAAAAATATATACTTTTCTCAAATATTACTGTGATTGCATCATCTTTCATTTTCATCATCTTTTTAAAGGTCTATTATAATTGTGGCTGCTTCTTTGGTCTAATTGTTTGTTTTTTATTTATATTACTGCTTTCAAGTATCATTATACTCTGGCCTGAGAATTCAGTCTTTTACAATTTGTGCTTTCTCTGCATTAGTTCATTTCCTTTGTGATGTAATATAGGATTTTAATTTTTGCCTTTTCAACCAATGTCTTTAGTTTTTGCCTATGTAAGCAAGATATTGTTAAATTTTTATTTGAAATTAAATGTGAAACTCAGAGAATTTAGGACACAACTTTAGTAAAAATTCTTATACTATTAACTATTAAAACCACTGTATGTGATCTGAACATTCTATTTTAGGCTGTCTGTTGCTGCTTTCTTCTTACCGATTTTGTCAACTTTCAGTCTTTCCCCCTTGTTGAATATGGAATCCCCAACACTGATCAATACTAAACCATACAGAATGCTAGTCCTTTACACAAACCATGCAACTCTATACTTACTAATCACAGTGATTAGTAGTCAAAAAAGCTGCTTCAAGTTCTGTAAGCTTATAAGTAAAATGATAGTAAAAATGTCACCAAGTACTCAAGACTAGGTTCAAAAGGGCACTTCGGATTCAAGTGGAAGTATGTGTTTATTCCTAACTTGTTTCACAAAACCTGCAGATGTTATTAGGTGTTGATTCTTTAAAACATTATTTATAATACTTATTAGAGCTGGACCACAATAGAATTAGCAATGTACTGGTCTAAAATATGCGTGTAGTACAGCCTGAAAGGTCCTCAAATACTAGGTTCTGTAAATAAATAGTTTCTTATTAATCAGTATAAAATAATCCCAACTGTATGCACTAAAACTTAAAATAAGGAATGTGATTTAAAATATCTTAGTAAATCACTAAATAGGTGCAAATAAACATACCTCCCATTTTTGTCATCTTCATGAATAAAGGAAGGCATGGTCTGTCTGCAAAAATTTCGCTTTGATGAACAAGGCATTCCTTTACTACATCATAGCCATTTAGAACCACAGTTGATATGCCTCCAAGATCTAAACTGAAGATCTTTGAGAAGAGAAGAAAAACAACATTTAAATGACAGCATGTATGGAGAAATATAACCATGGAAATCTACAAGTGGTAAGTGCGGCTCTTCCAGGATTTGTTACGTCCCTGAAAATATAGGCAGTTATTACTCAACTGACAATGTTCAGAGTGCCCTCCTTCTATAAGGCATGCAAAACTGTGTGATTTCATTATGCCATTCAGTGCCTAAAGTCACAGTCTTACCAACAGTATAATGAAAAGGGTACTGGACTCGGGAGGCCTGGGTCTAGTTTAAGGTTTGCCATTAAACAGATAAAAGACTCTGAGCAGAACACTTAACCTATCTGGGCTTCAGTATTGCCATAGAAAATATATTTGATATATATGCTCTTTTATGATTCATTTTACCTCAAAATGTTCAATGATATCTAGGAATCTCCTTCTATTTCCAAGATGAATGAGGCTAGTGAGGGAGAGGATTGTCAAATACCTGAGAGACAACTTTGAAGTATAAACATATTGTAACTAAGCCCATTTGTATTTGGCTCTCTGTATTCCACAAAGTGAATGAAGAGGGCTCTAAGGGAACCTAACCTTGGAGGAAAGGCATTTACCACATAGGTTAGGTGGCTGCCTCTCAGTTAAGGGGAAGGCAAAACAGGATCCATTCCATGCCTTGCTGGAGTTGTCTGCCCTGTGCCTCACCCCAGGTTCACTTACAATGTCACACCTCCTGTAGTCTATTCTAGTTAACCCAATATAAGAGGCCAGTCAGTGAGAGAACGATATTCCCTTATCAGTGGAATGTAAAGATTGCTTATTGCCATCCTTTCAGGATAGCATTTTACAGCCAAAATACTGAGACAAGCCTTATCCCTGTGCAAACAAGTCAAGGAGATTTAGCCATGGTACACACTACTTCAGAAGAAAACAGGAGGCTTAGCAGAGAACAAAAGTTCAGCAGAAAGTTATATCAGCAAAGGTCATGAGGACTGCCAAGTGGTAACAACTAACCAGCTGAGTAATGGGGCCACCAGAGTCTTTGGCACACGGGTGGGCTCTGCCAAGTGAGCACTAGGTATATCCAGAACCTTGGGAAAAGAACATGGACTGCCTGCCATAAGCAGTGGTATTAGTCAAAAGTGACAGTAGAAGAGTTCTAAGTAAAAGGGAATGGCTACCAGCCGAGCAAAGTGGGGACAATGCAGTAATGTAGTCCTATTAAAGGAAAGTCTCTTCGCAGAAGGGAACTTTAGCAGAGACAATAAAAAGATGCCATTCCACAAGGATAGTAAAAGAGCCATGAACTTAAAGTTGTGTCACTATGAAGGCAGAACAGAGGGCAAATGTATTTCAGGATAGAGCTTCAGGGTAGAGCTTCAAATTGTGGACACCAGGGATCATAAAAAGCAAGGAGGAGCCATGGCTTGAGAAAGTTGTTACACAATCCACCTTTACTCAAGAATCTGAAATAGTCCTCTATTTGAGGGTAGAACTGGAGAAATTTTTACTTGAACTAGTATGTATTCCTGTATACAGTTTTCAAGGACTTTTGGTAAAGGTGTGTGACTCAAATTGTGAAAACTTATCCTTAAACTGCTTTGATCTATGGAAGGGTACAAGATTAGCTTATATATTCTTTGATTTATTCAATAATTTTAGTGCCAATTATGGGCTAATTATAATGCTGGCAGAGATGTAAACAGGAATACACAAAACATTTTCCTTGCCTTCTAGATCACTCCATGATCTTCAAGTCTCTTTCCCTCACCCAAACCAGCCCTACTCATAATTTTTCACTCTCCCAGTTAATGACCACTCCATACATCCTTCAAGTGGTTGAGGCCCAGGACTTTGCAGTCACCCACACTGACTCATTATCTTCTTCCAAACTCCACATCCAACTGCTCAGCAGTTATGCTGTTTCTACCTTCAGAATATAAACAGAATCAGACAATTTATTATAACCTGCAGGTGACCGGTCTAAGTCACCTGCATTTCTCCCTTATAACAACAACCTCCTAACTGGCCTCCCTAATTTCATCCTTGTCTTTTTACAGGTAATTCTCAACGTGGCATTCTCTTGCTTTATGGCCTTTGTTCTTGCTCTTTTCTTAGTCTAGAATGTTCTTCCTTTTGATATTCCTATAGCTTGCTCCTTCATTTCCTTTGTCTTTGTTCAGATGCTATCTTTGTGGTGAGACCTGTTCTGATTAAGCAATTTAAAATCTGACCCACTAACATTCTCCATTCCCTTACCCTAATTTAGTTTACTTCCTACTCTGTACTCTTTGAATATATTATATAATTTACTTGTGTTTATATTGTCTGTCTTCCCCCAACTAGAATATAAGCTACATAAGGGCAGGAATCTGTTTTGGTCACTGCTATATCTCTAGCACCTAGGACAGTGCACAGCATATGACAATAGAAATATATGTTGAATTAATGAATAGTCATAGAGACATACATTTAAACATATTATTATAACATCATGGGCTAAATGCTAATAACAGACAAATGTGCAAAGTGCTGTTGATGAAAACCATTAAGTGACTGCCACACTTTTCAACCTTTGCTTGGTTTGTTTCCTCATTTGGAAGGCTTCCTTTGACTGCCATACTACCCTAACCATACCAAGTCTTTAGGGACCATCCTCCATGATGCCTTTCTTGGGGCACTCTTTTTCTCTCTGCTTTGAACCACACATGGGAGCTTAGAAGCTCCCATGGCACTTATTTAACACTATCTTGAACCAGAAACATTCATATTCTTGTCTTCTGCCTGCATGCTAAATTACAAACTCCTTAGGAGCAGTGATTTCATCTTTTTCATCTTTGAATCCTTACACAGAATCTCATTCAGTGCTGTGCATAAAGTTCTCAATAAATGCTGTAAAAATAAATTAATACGCTGTCAATTCTACTTGCTTTAATGGAATTATTTTATTGTCCTGAAGTCCATTACCTGAAAATAATCGATAAAGCCACTTGTATTGGCTTTCCTAGCCAGGGAATGCCTCTTGAAATCTAGACTAAGATTAAAGTTACTGCAGAAATTTAAACATTCAGAATCAATCTCCAAGGAAATGGTAATTTTCAGTGTGATACACTTCTATTTAAGATTGCCTTTAAAATGAATATATAAGTCCTGAGGACTGGCTGTTTAACTTTCAAGAATCACAAAGCAGAATTGAATTCACAGACTAACACAAAGGCGGGTGTCACTTGAAGTGACTGTCCTAAGCAATTTTAAAGTCCAGTTGTTTTTTTTTTTTTTTCTGTGAGCATACATCTCAAATTTAAAAGACAGTGGAAAACTAAGATTTTATTTAAGTCCTAGGTACAACTTTCCAGAACTTTTTGGAAGCACAGGAGGGAACAATATTCTTCAACCTCCAAAAAAAGGTATAGTATTTTAACAATTTATGCCAACTTTGAGACTTTGTCAGAATTGGAAAATATCTCTAAGATAATGGGAGATCTTTAGAGATGTTTCATACCAGGATAAAGATCAAATGCCGCTGTAGCCTAGAGTTAATATGTTTGGTGGTTATCAACTAGATCTAAGGCATAGTGAGGCAAACAATGTCTACTCTTTGATGCATACATTCTTTTTCATTTTTGCTCCTTTCAGTTTTTCCTCTGCCCCATTGCAGCTAGTAACAGTTTGGCCCTATTTCATTTGTAGTCAAGAGCTCTCTCTGTAAAGAACCATGGTTCCCTCAAACAGTGGTACCAGCAATAAAACTATGATAGGGGACTTAGAAAACCCCCTGCCCAAAAGAAATATTCATAGTAATACCGAGTGTCTTTCAGTTCAAATATTTATATAAGAAAAGCTTAATTCCTTTTTCTGTGAGAAACCATTTCAAATAACTTGTTTAAAAATACTTTCAAATTTGGAGGTCGAACAAATGTGTTCTGTGTATAGAAACTAATAACATAGGCCGGGCGCAGTGGCTCACACCTGTAATCCCAGCACTTTGGGAGGCCGAGGCGGGCAGATCACGAGGTCAGGAGATCGAGACCATCCTGCCTAACCGAGTGAATGCCCATCTCTACTAAAAATTACAAAAAATTAGCCGGGCGTGGTGGCGAGCACCTGTGGTCCCAGCTACTCGGGAGGCTGAGGCAGGAGAATGGCGTGAACTCGGGAGGCGGAGCTTTCAGTGAGCCGAGATGGCGTCACTGCACTCCAGCCTGGGTGACAGAGCAAGACTCGTCTCAAATAAAAAAAGAAAGAAACTAATAACATACACAATAACCAAGAACACTTGAGTAGCACTTTTCTGTTTTCTGTTGTTATTCTCACTACCGAGAAAAAAAAAAGACTCAGAATAGAGGTCAAGTTTTGTCTGGCAGAAGACCTGACCTCTAGTCTTATGCTTTCACATTTTATTTCTCTAGAATATTATGATGCTGTGTACCA
Organism: Homo sapiens; assembly: GCF_000001405.40. Taxonomy (NCBI): domain Eukaryota; kingdom Metazoa; phylum Chordata; class Mammalia; order Primates; family Hominidae; genus Homo; species Homo sapiens. The sequence goes on from NC_000011.10 coordinate 14,890,331, forward strand.
AGATACCAAAGAGATGAAATATATTACATGAAAATCATGGGAATAAACTCAATTCTGGGAGAATTGCAGGTTGGAAAATAAGATCTAAGAATTATACATACCTTTATTATCTCGTCCAGCTTCCCTTTAACAACGTAAACTATTCGTGAACCATGAAAGGAACGTAAACCATTAGTGACTTTCTATTCTAGAAACCTAGACCAATTCTTTTTTTTTTTTTTTTTTTTTTTTTTTGAGACGGAGTCTGGCTCTGTTGCCCAGGCTGGAGTGCAGTGGCGCGATCTCGGCTCACTGAAAGCTCCGCCTCCCGGGTTCACGCCATTCTCCTGCCTCAGCCTCCCGAATAGCTGGGACTACAGGTGCCCGCCACCACGCCCGGCTAATTTTTTGTATTCTTTTAGTAGAGATGGGGTTTCACCGTGTTAGCCACGACGGTCTCGATCTCCTGATTTCGTGATCCGCCCGCCTCGGCCTCCTAAAGTGCTGGGATTATAGGCGTGAGCCACCGCGCCCGGGCACCTAGACCAATCCTTGTAAAAATTGGTTTAAGTAAGGATTTAAGGTCAAACCTGAAATACCACAGTTGCCAAACATCCCTGTACTTTTCCTTCAAAACACTGACCACAGCCTGTGGCCGATAATGAGATTAGTTTTCTCTCTCCCACTCATCTGCCAACTCCTTAAAAGGCTGTATCTGCCTTCTTCACCGCTAGCGTCAGGCCTGTAGTTGCATATAAATAAGTGTAATTCAAAACAAAACAGGTGAGCTCTGTCCCAGGACCCGTGGAAACTCCTGCCCCCTCCGGACGTCGGGACACCCACACACAAGCGGTGGTCGCCTTTTCCGCTGCCAGTCACAGGGCATTTCCGTGCTGCTTTCCCCTCCGCAGAATGAGGAGGAGCGAAGTACCGACCTCACCGGCTGGTTATGAGTTTTAAATGAGTCACCAAGTTGGCAGTGACAGTGGCACACAGAAGGCGCCTTTTAAGTATCTGCTAAGGTGCCGTTCCCAGCCAGTCAGAACGGCATTACCATCTGCGCTGTAGGACCCCCGCAGCGGATTTTAGTCATCAATTCATTCACGCGTTCACAATCGTTTCCCAGGGCCCGCTTCTCAGTCAGGGGCGTTCCCCTGCATTCTCCATTCTCACAGCAAACGCCTACACCAGTCGTTCGTCGACTGCAGACACCGAAGAACCTGCTATTAACCATCTAGAACTCAGAACGCCTTGATTTTCCGACAAGCCGCGTGCAGCTTCCACAGAGCTGCGAGGCCGACTCGCAAGACGCCCGCACCTGAGGGCATGCGTCCACCCTGGACCTGAAGTGGCGGCGCGGCTGGCGAGCCAAACGGCGCAGGCGCAGGAGCAAGAGCTCGAGCGGTAGCGGGAAAATCAGGACTGGATCGCCTCGGAGCCTCGGCCCGGAGTGGGTCACCGGCAGGGGCGGGGCTCCCCCTGCAAGGGGGCACGGCGTCGAGGACTTCTCCCTTCCAGACCCGGGAAGCGGGTGTCCCTCAAAGGGCAGCCGGCACACGGAGAGGTCCCGACTAGTCGGCCCAGGGGCGGCCATAAGTCCAACCAGGAAGGCCCTGGCCAGCCCGGGCCAGCCTGGCGGCCCTCCCTGCCCGGGGCCCGTCGGGGCTGTACCTCTCCGTACACCTGGCTCTGCTTTCTCATGTAGACATGGGGAAGCTCGGATGAGGCTGCCAGGGAATAGATGTTGCCGATAAATGGCAGCCCCGGCGGCCCCGGGGGGAAGCCCATCGGCCGCCTCTGCTTCAGCAGCTGGCGGACCCCTAGCGCGAAGAGCAGCAGGAAGAGCGCGCCGCCGAGCGCCGCCGCGCCCTCTTCAGCTCTCCAAAGCTTCCACATCGGCCCGAGCTGGAGGTGCGAACTCCACAGCAGCCCTGAGACCCAGGCACTCCCTCCAGCCCTGCCATACTCCCATTGGCAGGATACCCTCAGGTCCCGCCCTAGCTCCGTGGCCATTGGCTGACTGAGTGAGCGCTCAGGCCCCTTCGGGACAACTACCTTCTAGTTTTGCGCGGCTGAGAGTGGACTTTGCGGAGCGGGTGGCCGGTGCTACCCTTTGGAGGTGGCGCGGCTCTAGGCGGAGCAATGAGCCAGGAGTCCGTTTTCTAGAATGTTGACACAAGGGCATTGACGAGGTGTCAGGACGGCCTCACTCACTGGGCTAGGCGGATCCTGCCTCTCTGGGGCCAGACCTTTCTTAAAGTGTCTTTTTAAGTACCAGGTCTGCTTATTTCATTTCACACTAGGAAAACTGGAGAGATGATCAACACTGCAGTCTTTAGCTGAACCTGATACTTTTCAGAATTTCCAGTAGAAAATTGACCCATCAGTAGTAAAAGAAAGTAATTTTACTGTTTTGTCCTGTTTTACTATTTTTCTCCTGTTAATGTATTTTTGTGTGTGATCTTTTAATAATTGTGATGATTGAGCAGTTTATGTGATTAACTCAGTTTACCTATATTTGACCCCTCTCTGGTCTTTCCAAACTGATTACTTATTGGCAATCACGGGACTCTTGTCTGCACTTGTTCACGGAGAGTATTTACTATTCAAGATTTCTGCCTCCACTGCCTGGAATTAAGCAACTGATTTCATATTATTCTTGCTAATTGTTTTTATTCCTGTTTTCTATTGGGCAGTTCCTTGCAATACAGGACTTACTGGGTTTGGGACTCTTCTAACAGCTGCCCTCTAATTGTGATTTAGCAGTGGCATGAGTTTTATGGTCCTCATTAGCTTACGACTCATTCACACAACAAATATTTATTGAATGTCTACTATGTTCCCATGTCCTAAGCAATGGAGATACATAGGTGAATAAGAGCAACAAAGTCCTTTCTATAACTTACATTCTTATGAGAGGGAAGAGCAATGACATGGAAATACAATAATTTTCAATAATCAGAAGCAAACAAAAAGTGCGTTATAGAAAACGCCTGGTGGTTGGGGAGATACTTTAGCAGGCAAGGGCTGTCAAGGAAAGTCTTATTAGGAAGATGACATTGGAGCTGAGATCAACTGCTAAAGAAGTGTATTTGTTTCCTACTACTGTTGTAATAAATTACCACCAATCTGATGGCTTAAAACCACACAAATTTATTTTCTTACAATTCTTGAGGTGAGAAGTCCAAAATGAGTCTTCCAGGGCTGACAGAGAGGTGTTAGTGGGGCTTCATTCTTTCTAGAGACTGTAGGAGAGATTCTATTTCCTTGTCTTTTTCAGCTTCTAGAGGCTGCCCACATTCCTTGGCTTTCGTCCCCATTCCTTCCTCTTCAAGGCCATTAATGTCAGTTTGAATCCTTCCAACATCGCTGTCTCTCTGATTATCTCTCTTCTACTTCCTTCTTCCACTTATAAGGATCGTTGTGATTATATTGGGCCCACCTGGATAATCCCAACTCAAAGATCAGCTGATTAGCCCTTTAATTCCATCTGCAACCTTAATTCTTCTTGCCATGAAACCTAACATATTCACAGTTCTAGGGATTAGTATGTGGACCTATTGGGGGAGGGGAGCATTATTCTGCCTACTATAGAAGAGAAATTTGAGGCAGATATGGGGGAAAATATTCCAAACAGAGGAAATATCAAGGGCAAAGGCTTCATATACTAAGCAAACCTTGTCCTCTGAGAGTGTTTCCAATTTCTCTCCATCTCCCACGCAAGGACACTGCGGAAGTCAGCAAGTTAGTCAGGTCTTTGAGTTTTTCTGTTTAACTGGCTTGTGACTATCCCCAGGGGCTGAAGTTACCCCCACAGGTATGTGTCACAGTATCTGCAGCCACAGAATATCTACCTACTGCCTATTACAAATGCCTATTAAGAGATACCTTAAAATTCTTATTAATCAATAATCTAATAAAATGAAAAAATAATTGTGAGAGATCATTACTAAATTTGGTCTCTAGTTTCTTACCAAAGGCCAGTGGAGATGACACAGGATGGATATTGGGACTGTGGGTGGGAGGCAATGCTGCTGAGGCACCAGGAGCTGAGGAATATCACCTATGGGATGCCTGAGATCAACCCTGCCTTTGCAACACCAGGAGGCTTACAGTTTTTGGTCTGGCCACAGCTGTTATACAGTACAGGTACTTGGTTCAGGAGTGGGCCCCCTGCCATCATTTATTTTCAGAAAGGATTAATTTTCATTACAAAAATATCCTCCAATTCACTTAAATTAAGGAGCATTCCTTCTTTGGCATTCTTTCCCTGGCTACATAGCAGAGGAGAGCTGAGTTACCCCGAGGCAGCCATTTCTGACTGACAGCACTGATGAAATGTTCCCCACCCCACCCCACCACAGCTCCCCTTGAGAGATAATAGGTGGGGTATTCTCAGGAATAACTATAAGTCTTTCAGGACATAGAGCCTTCCCTGTAACAGTTTATCATGTTCCCTCAGCTCAATAAGGAGAAATCCCTCCCTTATTCCCCCTTCTTGCATTTGCTCTTTGAGTGATAGAAAACAATCAATAATGTTTGTCTATGGCTTTTATCATGACAGGAAGGTTTAGGGCAGCAGGAAGTTAAGTATTTCACTGTTTCATGGCTGAGATCTCATCTTCAGTACTCGGGGTGGAATGGGTGAACACACTGTATAGGGCTTTGCCATTTCTATGTGCAGAACAGTAATGGTTCTAACAGAGAACAGCAATGCTGTGCCAGAATCAGAGCCTCTTTCTGGGCCTTTGGGAACTGAACCCAAGCTCCAGGGCTCATCCTGAGGGGCAGTATCAAGTGAGATTCTCCTGGGGTCCCTTTCTGTTCTTGAATGGCTGCAGCCCTGGCCTGGGCCGTGGGAGTTGTCCCAGAGAGCTCCCCACACAGAGTGATGCAATCAGCGCAAATGTGCCTCCTTTGCATGTTCCATTATGTGCATTCTCAGTGTGTTTCATCAGAATTGAAGGAAGTGAGAGCCAAAGGAAGTGCCAAGCTGAGCCATACTGGAGGCTGAGCTAAAAGAAAAAAGTCAATAATAGTGATCCTGCCTTATTAAAAATTTGATGTCTTGTTCGTAATGGGTTTTTGCCTCAATTTTGATTTTAAACTGTTGCATTAAAGTGTTATCTTGCTTTTGATCTTCTTGGAGCCCTCTTAAATTCTGTTCCCAAGGTGAATTTCTCACTTGCCTTATCCTAGTCCTCATGCTGGGAGGTAGGGTACCCAAATGAAGACTTTGATTACAAAATGATGTGTAGAAACTGAATTCGTGCACTTGGATTTTCATTGTGCTCTTAGGAGCCAGGCACTGAGGTGGGGCTGGCAGACCAGTAGCACTTCTGGGTGAGATTAGGAACCTTATGAAAGTCTCCCTGTGACCACTTTAAAAAGTCCTCCTCACCCCACTGCCTGAAGTTCAGTCTTTACAAATTAAATGATACTAATTGAACATTCCCTATAACAGGCTAAGTTGGAAAATGCAAAACCTGGTGGCAGGAGAGTACAGCAATAGGAAGTTCTAAAAACGCTTATACATGAATGAATTTAATCCCACATTTACAGGCAAGGCCGAATGAGGGACATGATGACATGGATTTATTGGAGGTGGTGGCATGGTGATGATGATGATGGTGGTGGGTGTGGGGGTTTCAGAAGAGGATGCAGAAGGGGAAAGGAAGTTTTACAGAGAAACTTCTTTCCCTTCACAATTTTTCCAAAGGCTAGATCAACTTAGAGAAATCACATTTCTCAGAAGCAGGAGTTATTCCTGCCATTTCCTAGGGATACTCAGCCAACCAATCCTTGCCACTTCCTCCCATCCAGCTACCCACTGGGCCATCTTCTGTCATGATATCTTGTATTCCTTTCCTTGTGTTTCAAAAAAATAGAAATGCATGAACACTTCATGATCTTGTTGAAGACCCTCTTCCAAATGCAGTAACAGAGAGTCAGAGGAAGTTTAGTGTTCTATCCAAGTCACACAAGATAGCACCAGTAGAACCAGAATTCTGGGCTCTGGACTTGCCATGTGTTCTTTCAGTCATTCACCACAAATGTATTGGGCACCTACTAGATTAGATGCTGGGAATATAATGGTGAGCAAAATCAGCCATGGTCCCTGTGTTCCTGGGGTTTACATTCTATTGGGGGATGCCAACACCAGTCAAATAATCACAAGTAAATTTATTATTTATATTTTCAAACATTACTATGTTTTCAAGATGCCAAACATTTTTGTTTTCTGAAGTAAAGAAACAGTTCTACAAGTGTGCATAACATAGGAAATGTGATCAGTCTTGGAGGTCAGTAATTGTAGTCTGCACCAAACAACCAGCTTATATCCAGGGACTCCCCCATGATCGTGTTCATGGAAGATGTTACTACAATTCTTCCCTATCAACTGGTCTCATATGGACACTGAGTGAAGGGAAAGGAAAGTAACAAAATCCTCTATTTAAAATTCGTGAATATCACTCAGAGAGACATTTAAGTCTTAATTTAAAGCCTTCTTCTGCTTTGCAAATGATTTTCATAAACATTCTTATATTGTGCTTCTGAAAATAGTAGATTTGAAGAAGCAAACTAACAGTAGATTGAATTGTTGTTAGAGATAGCCACAGCAACAATTCTGGAGACATCTGACAATCTGATAATGAAAAAGGAAACAATAATTATCAAATATAGATGTAACAAACTAAAAAGCACAGGAGTCTGAGATCATTTAGGGTAGAGAATATCAGTGCCACACATCTCAAAGTCTGAGAGCATCATGTGTATGACAACAGAACACATTAATTCATGTTCTCATTAAATGAACATCCTTATCAAAGATTAAAATTATTTAAGAACATTCTAATTTAAGAGTGCAGAGGAAGTGTATATGTATTTTTGAAAGATTTGGCTACATTTCAAAAACAGAAAAAAAATTCCTAGAACTTGAATAATTTAACTTTGATTATTTAGAAAATGTTCTTTGGGAGCCCTAATACCCTGATGATGATGAAGGAGGCCTCCTAGCCCTGGCTTGAAGGTTTAGTGGGGTTGCCTCTGGCCCCTCTCTCCCTGGTTTTACAGGTCAATGCCCTCAGAGGAAACAAGAAGAGAGTGATCTGGTCTTTGTGTCTGAACCCCAAACAATTTTTAATCATTATGGAATATAAGTTGAGAAATTCTTTAGTGTCATTTGTGGAGGTTGTCCACCTCTCAGAGTGAACAACCTGGGCCTGTATCTGGGTACTGTATCTTGGGTCATCACACTCAGATCATGTTCTTCAACAACTTTGAAAATTATCTTCTGGTCTTCAGAAGGGACATTTGCAGATGGTTGGTGGTACAGAGGTTTATTTCTCTGGGGTTTTAGAGACTGGCATTTTAAGCATCAGAGAGAAAACAGAGCATTTTCTGGGCCTGCAGGAGATGGTCAGTCAGACTTTTCACAGGAATACCCGGCTTTCTAATTTCTGTCCATCCTCAAACCCACCCTCCTCAGGCCTGCTCCAGACCGCCTCTGTTGCAGAGCCTTATCCAAATGCTCTGGGCCATAATGCATCTCTACCTGTGAGCCCCTCCAGTTTATGCTTCTTATCACCTAGCTCAGCATTCACCTTGCAGGGCTTTCTCTTTTTCATCTATCATTTAACGAGAAAGGCTCTAGACTTCTGGAGAATAGGATCCCTGTATTACTCTTTTCCTGAACCTTAATACCCTCATATGTGGTTAGACACATCATGGAACCTGAACCCATCCTGGATGATTGGCTGGGTCTACCTGGGATAGTCTCTCCCATCAAGACTCCTCCTTAGAGGGCCCTCTGGGGAGGATATTTCAAGCCAGTTTGTAGGCTCCAGCAGAAGATGTGTTTTGCCTCTCGGTGGATTCATCGGACAACCACACTGGGAAGCTTTTGTCTACGGAAACACATGGTGTTATCCACAGAGAACTTGTTCACAGAGAAGCAAGGGCCCAGACACAATGCAAACCTGTTTTAAAGAAGAAGGAATAATCCCTACTGGTCTGAAGGGCATAGTGCTCCTCACCTCCTTTTCCTGTCTCTTCTGGGAATTGTACACTTCTGCTGTCCAGGGGATGGGGCAGTAATTTTCCTGATTATGCCTCACACCACAATGACACATCCTTGTACCTCTTAGCTATACTTCTGGAAGTCATAGCGTGACCTGATATAGAAAAGTAGTGTAGAGTTCACATGGCACAACATTTACAGCAACTTTATAGAATTTCAAAATTGGAAGAAATTTTGATTTCCAAAAGCTATATTTTACATACGGATGTGGAAGTTGAGGTCCTGAGAGGACAAATGACTCACTCAAGGTTACACATTGAGCTGGTGGCGAAAAAAACAGCACAGTGTACTGACTCCTGGGGCTATGCTCTTTCTTTTTTTCTCTTTTTCTTTTCTTTTCTTTTTTTAAGGCTGTCTCAACTGTGTGAGAGTGAGTATAAACTTATTCAGATTGGATATCTAATACCATTCAACCTGAAATCAAGTTGCTTGCTTCTTTTTTTTTTAATCCACGTAACTGAAAGCCACCCTACTAAACACTATAACTTAGCCTTCACTAGCTTCATTTTAAATAATACCCCGACATATATGTCTTTGTGGTAATGATTGCTTAAGATGTCTTTCAGGAACTTGCAGCAGCCCCTGTCCAGTTCAAGCCAGTTGAGACCCTCTGGCTGAGCCTGCACAGATGTCTGAAAAGTGACCTTTTGATGTCAGAGGGCCCAAAACTCCAGCCTCAGATCATGCTAATGCTGCCATTTTCTGAACATGTGACCTGTGAAGAGCCATGAACCCTGACTATGCTTAGTGCTGGATCAATGATTACCTCATTTTTTCGCACTGCCAATTACCTTTCCACATGCTTTTTATCACCCTGCTTCTTTATTGAATAAATATTCCTAAGTCTTATCTTCAGGAAGTTGGATTTGAGAGCTGTTCTACTGTCTCCTTCCCTGGCTGTCCTGTGAATAAATTTTTTCTCTACTGCAAAACTTGTCATTTCAGTAATTGGTTGTCTGCATGACAGGCAGAATGAACCTGGTTTGGGATCAAATCTAAGTAAATTTGCAGATGTTTGAGTTCCAATTTAAGCAAAACAGGTTGATTTATTTAAGCAGATTTGTCAACACAATAAAATGAGTAGAGAAATTTTCTGCTGTTGTAAGTATATCTTTTACTTTAATGAATTTAGTTATTTAAAAATTTCTATGATTTACTCTGAAATAAGTGGGGAAATACATATTTTTCTCCTGCAAAACTGGAAGTTTCCCACACAGTATCTTTGGATAATTTATATACTGTCATGATGTCTTTCATACAAATCAGTCTGGTCCAAGCAGAAAGACCTGGCTATATTTTCTCTTGAGTACATTCATTGCCCTAGGGAACCAGGTGTCTTAGCAAATATGGCAGGAATATGAGAAGTCTGTGGGCTAATATATTTTAGTTAAAAGTCTATGGTGAATATTATTACTGAATTCAAGTTTAACAATTAATAAAACATAAATATCTAATGTTTTGTTTCCAGTTTTAGTTTGGGTACTTTTCATTATACTTATGTGTTGATATCTTTAGAACACAATCTTACAATTAGGTTTATAGTCAAACTAAAATCTCCCTGGGTTTGCTTGTGGTAAGGCTACATAAACAGTGGTATAATAAACATCCCTTTCATACAGTATTCTCTGTGTCTGAAATAATTTCCTTGGTGTAGTTTTCCAAATTCAGAATTATTAGATCACTGCCAGATCACTAAGCAGAATCCCCATTTTGGTACCCTGCTACCTGGATTCGATGCCCCCCACCCCCCCTACCCACAAAGAGAAGTAATACAGTTCTCTCTGATAATAACCGAATACACAGCAGGCTAGCAATCACTTTATTTCCTTTTTAAGTTCTCTCTTAATAGCAGTCCCTTTAATAGAAGGCTTTTGGCTGTCTCCTTCAAAAACCATAATCTCTGTACAATTTGGAACACTCCAGTTAATTAGAGATCTTTAAACTGTGCCAAGATACAGAAAGGACCAAGCTTTAAAAAATATTGTCTTCCACATGGATTGGTCTAAAAGCAGTATTTTAACCTAAGCTCTGAAATACAGTTTTACAGTAACTATTATCTTAGGGCAAATGAAAATTTTGAAAAAATGCATTTTGACTATGTGACATATTATTCAATTTCAGAGCTTCATAATATGCTCTCAGCTATGAATCTAATAATATCCTAGAACTTACATATAAATTTAAAATCAAATTTAAACCACTTATGTTTTCTTTGTAAAGATTTGTGTGTATGTATGTGTGCATGTGGTGTGTATTCTGGCAATAGTGGTATTAAATTTCTGAAGAGAATAAAAATGTGTTAAAAATATTATATAAGTAATCCGCTCAGAATTTTTCAAAATATATTAGAAAATAGAACCTCTATCTTCTAATTAAATATTGAGAATTAGCCATTACTGCCCAAATAAAAGTTGTGAAAATAGTTAAATACCAAACTACAAGTAAGATAGTTATGGAGGTAATATATTTACTATTTATTTTTATTTATTTATTTTTTTTGAGATGGGGTTTTGTTCTTGTTGCCCAGGCTGGAGTGCAATGGCGCGATCTCGGCTCACTGCAACCCCCGCTTCCCAGGTTCAAGTGATTCTCCTGCCTCAGCCTCCTGAGTAGCTGGGATTACAGGTGTCCGCTACCATGCCCGGCTAATTTTTTGTATTTTTATTAGAGATGCGGTTTCACCATGTTGGCCAGGCTGGTCTCGAACTCCTGACCTCAGGTCATCCACCTGCCTTGGCCTCCCAAAGTGCTGGGATTACAGGCGTGGCCACCGCGCCCAGCCATACATTTACTATTTAAACAGTTCTTAAAAACATATAAGACAACCTTTGAAAATCAAAGAAATTATTAAACAAATGCCATGAGTAGATACAGAATTCATTAAAGAGGAATTAACAATGGGTAAACAAACATGAAAAGGCACAGCTTCACTCATAATAAAAAACGCAAAATAAAATATCTCTGAAATTCACAGCAGCTTAATTCAGAAAACCCAAAAACTGGACGTAACCCAGATATATATCAACAGGAGAATCAATAAATAACTGGGTATATTCATGCAATGGAATACTACTAAACAATAAAATGGGGGAGGAAAATCTGCTGGTACATGAAACAATGTGGAAGAATCTCAAAAACATGCCAAGTGAAAAAATGTATATCTCAAAGCGTACATACTGTATCTGTCCATTTACATGGAGTTCTGGAGCTGCCTTTAGTAAACTGTGATTTTAAAAATTGAAAATGGTATTTGCCTCTGGGAAGGTGGGAGCAGGTATTGGGGGCAGGGTTTGATGGAAAGGGGTATGAGGCAACTTTTTGGCATAATGGTAACATCCTGTATTTTCTTGTAGGTTTATATTTTGTAGGGGTATGCATTTTTCAAAACCCATCAAACTGAGTACTTAAAATTTATGCGTTTCATTGTATTGAAACTTCTTCCCTAAAAAGGACCAGCAAGCAAACATTGAACTCTATTTAGGATATGCATACTAAAGTGTGTAGGGTGAAGTGTCCTATTGAATGCAACTTACTTTGAGATAAGTTAAAAACAATACACATTAATGCATATACAAAGGGATGAATAGATATCTAAATATGTGTTAAAGCAAATACAGCAAAATTTTAAAGTCTAGGTATGGGGTACATGGGTATTCATTGTACAAGTGCTTCAACTTTTCTGAATTTTTCAGTTTTTTCTTAGTAAATTGCTGACAAACAAACTCTGAAGTACCATTTTGCCTATTAAATGAGAATAATATTTTTAAAAATATAATAAGCCGAAAAATTTTTAAACCCACAATAATGGCCATGATGCCATGAAACAGATACTCCCTTGTCTATTGATATTTGATATTGATACTAAAATATCTAATGGATTTTTTTGGGAGACAATTTAGCAATTTCTATCCAAAGTCACCAAAATGGCCTACCTCATCTAATAATTCTATATATAATCTACACCAAGAAATAATCTCAAACATGGAGAACTCTGAATAAAAAAAGATATTCATTATAACATTACTATATAAGAATAAGTTAGAAACCTAACTGACCAAGAATAAATCAATAGATAAATTTGTATCTCTTGTTGTCACAGAAAATTTGAGGTTCTGGTAATAAAATTACGTACAATCAAATAGTAAAATAGATATAGAAATAATGACTGATGAGGGAAATGAAATTATGAAGTAAAATACATCTTGAAATGCCCTTGAAATATTACACATAGTTAAAAGGCATAGCTATGAAGACAACGAAGTTTCACTGAAAATGTCTGTGATGTGATAGGTACAAAGTAGACAAGTGTGTACATATACACCATAATTAGAGCTGTGTGAAAGTGGTACATGTCTGAAGCTGTTTGTAGTGGATGCTGTTGTGTACTGCCCAAATCTCACTTTCAGGACTGAGTCTTGCATTCCTCCAGCCTCACTGGAGTATGGTGGCTGACAGCTCTCAGATGAGTCAGTTTCTGAGAATGGCTCTCAGCCAGAGGGAATTGTGTTGATCAACGTCTAGATCCTTCCTGGGAAAAATTCTCATTGAATGCATGATTGAGGGCAGGGCCAGCTACATAATTTGCAAAGTCCAATGAAAAATGAAAATATGGGTCCTCTTACTCCAAAATTACCAGGAACTTCATGACAGTAATAGCAGAGCATTAAACTAAGCATGGAGCCCTTGTGAGTATAGGGGCCCTGTGTGATTGCATAGATCATATGCCAATAAAGCTGGCCCTATTCCAGTGAGGCATAAAGGGTCAGGCTTCTTGCCTGAAGCTGGAACAACTCTGAAGTCTTAGCCCAGCTCTAGAGCTCCCTGTGAGACAGGTCTTTCCTGTACAGTTCAACTTTTCTTTCTGCCCATTCCTACTTTCTTCACTCCCTTATAGGTGTTGATACCAGGGATTCCTCCCAACTACCTTTTGGCACACAAATCTCCAACTAAGAGTTTGCTTCCCCTGGAATCTTACATAACATCTATTGTTAATGCAAAATAAATGAGCATAAAATACAGGAAGAAAATACAGTAATTGTATAAGAATAATTTCTTTCTCTTCTGAATTTTAGTGTATATGCTTACATGACATTTAAAATAAAAATAAGTTCCAGTTTAAAAAATGATACTTTTAAGAAAATACACAAAAGAATTGAAAGCATAGATGCAAATAGATAATTGTACACCAATTTCATAGCAGCATTATCAACAATAGCCAAAAGGTGAAAACCACGTAAATATTCATCAACATATAAAATAATGAACCAAATGTCATATATACATATGCAATGGTATATTATTTAGCCTTAAAAAGGAATAAAATCCTGTCACATGCTACAACATGATGAATACTGAGGACATTATGCTAAGTGAAAGCCAGACACAAAAGGACAAATATTGTAGGATTTTACTTATATGAGGCACCCAGAATAGGCAAACTCATACAGACAGAAGGTATAATAGAAATTACCAGGGGCTGGTAGAAGGAATAGTGGGGATTATTGTCAAATACAGTTTCCATTTGGGATGACGAACAAATTCTGGAAATGGATAATGATGATGATTTGCACAACATTGGGAATATAATTATTGCCACTGAACTGCATGATTAAAAGTGTCAGAATGGTGTTAAAAGGATTCTGTTCCTGCTTACAATTTCGAAAGCAACAGTAGCATATCACTCCCACCCTAACAATGAGAAAAACCTGAATAATCTATAAAATCATAATTTTTTGGACCCACCAGAAAGCTGAAGTCACAAGGCAAACTGAGTCACAAAGTATACTGATTCAAAAGGGTAACAAGCTCCTCCAAGAAGAAATGGATCACATGAATTGCTTCAACTTTGGAAGAAGAGGTGGCACTTGTAAAAGCTGGTAAGCAGGACTGGATTTGAGCAAATGCGTGTGTGGGCATCATCCAATTGGTTGAGAGATTGATAGAACAAAAAGATTGGGAAAGGTTGGATTCCTAGCCCTGTCAGATCCTATTTCAAGTTTAGATATGTTCTTTGTCCTGGATGTTTTTGCACTCGTTTTTATCATTAAAGACATTACGTTAAAATATTACTCTGGATTCCTGAGATTTTTGGCACCCCTTTACATTTTGCAATGGAAACAAGTGCCTCACTCATCTCACCCCAGTTCGGGCCTTCCAGGGCACCTTTATAGAGAAACTGATTTTGTTCACCAAATAAAACGAAGCTAGTCTTTGCCCCAGCAGTTTGCTTTCCTAGGTAAGGAGAGATCAGATATAAAATGTAGATGTGCTCTGGATTTATTCTTGATTGAGGATTGCACCAGGCAGCAGCAACAAAACGATTTTGATTTGCTGAGTCTGAATCTAATTGATCCACACAGGTTTCCCTTTGCTCGCTATGCTTAGGTCTGGCCTGGCCCACTGGCTTCTGACAGGGTGGCTTTTATTTTGGAAGTGTGAGGACGCACTGGACGGTCGCCACATGGGGATTTCTGGTTGAACAGTTTTCAGAGAATGAAATCAGTTCCTTCGTGGTTTTCCTGGGAGCATTTCCTGAGCGCTAGAAAAGTTCGCCTTTCTAGGCCCAGATCGCACAAGGGGCAAGCAAAGCGTCAAAACAGCGCCCCCTGTCGGCCGCGAAGGCGTGGCGGCCCGCGGACCGGCGGACCCCGGGTCATACCAGCTGTCCGGGTGCACAGGCCCAGGGGCCCCACGACCGCGGGTGTCGGGACCGTGGGCTCCACTGAGGAGCCCACCGAATCCTTCGGCCTGGCCAGGCGGGGGGTCTTCTTCCCAGTCCGCGGAAGCCAGGTCCGGGAGACGGCGGGGCTCACTGTGCCTTCGGACCTACACTCTGCTCGGGGGCCGGATTTCTGCAAAGCGTCCACTTGGAAAGAAGTTTCACTTGCAGGGAAGGCGGGTGTACGCAATGATGGTCCGTGTGTCCGGGATGTGAATGCCAACCAAGACTGCGTCCGTTGGTGGAGTGTGCGCGGGTCCTCCGTGAGGGTGCTTCTGGCAGTCACAGTTCACGAGTTAGCGAGAAGATGGCTGGGAGGCGGCGAGCCCCCGCTCCCGGGGCGCGCATTTCGAACTCCATAGGTATGGGTGAGTTGGTTAGCATTGGATTCGAGTGCTTGTTCTTATCTGAGTACAGACACCTGGTAACCTTCGGGCCTGCAGAGGCCCCTGTGCTCCTTTGGAGGGCGCTGCAGGACGGGCTGGGTTGCATCCGGGCCTTTACCCCAGGTAGCCGGCAGCAAGTGAACTGGCCTGGATTGGCCGGCCCAGGGCACCTCCACACACAGAGCCCCGCGGCACAAGGCAGCTGTGCAAAACGGTCTCTAGAGGGGCTGCCCTCGCCCTGGTGAATGGGCAGGAAGGCGTGTGCATATGTGTGTGTGTGTATGTGTGTTCGGGCGCGCGTTGGGGTGCAGCCGGCCGGTCGTAGGCTGCGGTGAAAGGTGGCTTGTTATTCTGGGCACCGCAAAGGGTTTCACTTCCCCTGGGTGAGCCTTCTGGGGGTGCTGTCTTGGGCAGAGCGCCAGCCCCAGTGGTACCACTGCTGGGGAGCCCGCTGGGGTCCGAGTCCGCCCACTGTGGGGATGTTGTCTGCTCTTGCCGTTAGCCCCGCACGTTCTCTGCATTTCCCCTGGTCTCTCCCCTTTGATCTGGAGGCGCTGTTTCAACGGCTGTCAGTCTCTAGAAGGGTAAATTCGGTTCCGGTCATTCTTCCAGTGGGCCCTTATCCCTAATCCTCCCTCTCCTCTCGCCTGCTCCCTCGGAGGCGAGCTCCCTGTTTGGGGCCGTCACGGCGCCGCGGCGTACTCTGCGCGCGCGCGGAGAGGCCCACTTCGGTGGCAACCTGAGCTGGGTCCAACACTACGGTGTGTGCCCCTTGGGGAACAGTCCCTAAATCAGCGCAGGGCAGCAGGCGATCCCAAGGAGATGGGTTTGTCCAGGGGTTTGGCCTTCTAGAGAGGCATGAGGCACCCGCATCTACGTTCAGGTGAAGCTACGGAGCTCAGTCCCTACAGACAGCCGGAGCCTTGGGCTGTGTACCTGTCATTAAATGTTCCTGGGACTAGGAACGTGCAGAGCAAGTGTGTATGTGTGTGTGTGTGTGTGTGTGTGTGTGTGTGTGTGTCTGGGCTATTGAAATAACGACCTTGCCCCGGGAAAGATAACCCCAGCTGTCTAAGTGCCTAAGGAGGGAGACAGTGAGCCTGCCTTCTTCAGCCATATTGGGCAGAAAGCCTTCATGGTAGACTAGACCCACAGGATGGGACTAAGTGCCTTCAACCCCAAGCGGAACCCGGCACCCTCAGGCCTGGACATCTCTCTCTGCTCTGTGAAGCTTCCAAACCGTTTACATTCATGAATGCCTTCAAACTTGAAGGTACCCCACTGGGGCAATGAGGCCTAGATAGTGTCCAGTTACTTGCCTGAGGTTACACAGGAACAGAGGCAGCACAGGAAACCTGGCCTCTAGCCACTCTGCCACACCAACCTCTTGGGGAAGGGCCCCAAAAGACACGAGGAACCCTAGGAGACACTCTAGAGAGCCCCCTGAACAAACGCAGAGCTGTGTGGAGCCTGGAGTTTTAAATTCCTATGAAGAACAAAGCCAAGGCAGACTACAGGAGGGGCAACTGAATCCCCCACCCCCAGCTCCACATGTTGTTCTAGGCCCTGGGGAAGGGTGCGTGGAGAGATATTTCATGAGGAGGTGTGAAGGGATGGAAAGACTTGGAAAGGGGACCTGAAGCCTGAGGAGACTTGGGGACTCCTAGTTAGGAAGTGCCTTTGGAAAAGCTATGGAAAATGGGCGGAGCCCGAGACATCCTCTAAAGAGTCCGGGATAGATGGGAAGAAGGATCTAGGCTGGTGGGCATGGTAGGGAAGAAAGCAGGTATTTAGGGCAGAAGCTCTGTGCAGTAATGAGTACCATGCTTTCGCCTTTAGATCCAGGTGTGAACATACCGAAAACTTAGCTGTAGCTGGCCTGGCCCCACTCACTAGAAGGTGAGAGAAACCCCTAATATACCAGGTTACCTTAAACGACTGAAAAAAGCTGTGACAGTGACCCCAGCTGGGGATTAACTGACTTGCCTAAAGGCGGCATCATTTTACTTGTTACATAGAGCAAACAAAGGCTCCCAGAAGTTCTCCCGCTTGCTGGCTCTCAGTCTTGGTCCTGTGCCAGGCAGGCAGCCTCCAGGCAGCGCCATTCAGGTGAGACAGCTTGGAACCAGGGGCTCCTCTGCTCCCACTGCCCCTGGGACCAGGCAGCTCTGTGCCTCTGAAACCATGCATGGCTCCCGGTGAAGCAGTGCCCACAGGTGGACCCTGACCTCATGCCCTGTCCCCTGGGAGTCGCAGTGGCCACATCCTCAGGGGAAGAAGCAGATACCAGGGAGCCTGGCTGTTTATCCTGGGGAGGGGCAGGCAGGGACTCACAGCCTGCATTGAGTTTGCTTCCCCTCCACAGGTCTCCCGTGGAGAGCAGCCCAGACCCGGCCACACTCAGTGAGGAGGAAGTGCGCCTCCTGCTGGCTGCACTGGTGCAGGACTATGTGCAGATGAAGGCCAGTGAGCTGGAGCAGGAGCAGGAGACAGAGCTCCAGGTGAGGCTCCCCAAGCGCCCAGAACAGGGCCTCCTTTCCCCGCAGCATACCAAGAAGGCGGATCCCAAGAGGTAGGAGAGAGCACACTGGCAAGGGGTCCAGCAAGCTGATTTGTTCAGGAGGACTTGGAGCCCAGCCTTTCTCAGGCTCCAGGGGAGACAGAGGTCCCAGTGCAGCTGGAAGGACTGTGGTTAGACACAATAAAAAGCTCCGTTTTTGAAAGCTGTTAGGAAGTGAAATGCGAAGATGTGGAATCGCTCACTGTGAGAATTGCTCTTGCAACAATAGCTCTCATTAGATGGGATAATTGTGAAATACATGTACTTTGTTTAGTGCTGACTATGAGCTGGTTACAGTTGTAAATAGTTGACTGATGATTTTGATCCTCACAACAATCTGTGAGGAAACTAAAACAAGTACGGTTAAGTAATTTGTTAAAAGTCATAAACTAGTAAATGGTAAAGCTGAGCTTTAAAATCCGGGTAGTTTGGCTCCACACTCCATTTTCTTAACTAGTATTTCTACTGCTTCTAGTTAGTGAGTGTGTGAAGACCTAGCATGGGGGCTGGAATACAGTAGGTGCCCTAATGTGTTAGGAGGTTTTAGACTTGCTGTTTCTTACACTTTCTCCTTCCGTTTCAGTCAGTTCGATTTCTGATGGCTGGTTCTCCCCATTCCTTCCCTTTCTAAGGTGGAGAGTAGATCTCAGGTAGAGCAGCTGATCACCAGCAGATGGCAACAAAGACTGTCCAGATAAGAGCTAAGAGCTCTTTACAATGTGATGAATTAGTAGTTCATTTGTAAAAAAGAAAACTGAAATAGAACTCATGGAAATGTTTCTCATTTCTGAATAACCAAATACACAGGAAACTAAGTAAAATCCTTAGGCTTAATTGATGTTGAAATGCCCTGAGAACATTTGTTGACATCCAGAGTGATATTGAAAAGAACTGATTGAGGATAGTGAACATCTTCATTGTGTTTGTAAACTCAGGAGGAATGCTCATTCAATATGATGTTAACAGTGGGATTTTTCATAAGTATCTTTGTTCAGAATAAGAACATTCTTTTCATTCTAGTTTTCTGAGAGTTTGTATCAAGAAGGTTCTTAAGTTTTATCAAATGTCTTTTTAAAATCTATGTAGATGATCATATGGTGTTTCTCTTTTATTCTGTTAATGTGGTGAATACATTGAGTTTTGGAGGTAAAACCAATATTATATTCCTAAAATAAACACCATTTGGTCATGATCATCATTCTTTTCCACATTGATGATTTTTGATTTACTTTTCTTGTTTGTTTAGGATTACTACATCTATATTTATGACATATATTTGCTTGTATTTTGCCTTCCTGGTGATGTCCTTATAACTTTTTGTGGGATTCTACTAGTTTCATTAAATGAATTCGGAAATGTTGCTTCTTTCTTTTTTCTCTGAAAAATTTCTGTTTGATTAATTATATTTCTTCCTTCTTGGAGCTTCCTTTGTGAGAGAGATTTAAGTTATATATTTAAGTCTTTATCAGATACAGAACTATTCAGATTTTCCATTTCCTCTTGTGCAAATTTTGGTAGCTTGTCTTATATAAGAAACTTGTATATTTTATCAAAATTGTCAAAATTATTGGCACAAAATATTCATAATATTCACTTATTTTCTTTTAATGTCTTTAGGATCGCTAGTGGTATAACACTTTTTATTCTGGATACTGGTAATATGTATTTTCTCTCTTTTTATCTTGCTCAGTTTTGCTAGGGGATTGTGAATTGTATTAATCTTCTCAAAGAACCAGCTTTTGGCTTTGTTGATTTTCTCTCTGCTATTTCATTAATTTCTACTGTTATTATTTTATTTTTCTCCTTTTTTAGATTTAATTTATGTCCTTTTCTTCTATCTTCTTTGGATGGAGGCTGAGGTAACTGATTCCCAACGTTTTGTTTTTTCAAATATATGTATTTAAAGCTATAATAACTTTTTAAAATAATGGTTTTTAACTGCAGCCCACAAATTTTGATGTCATATTTTAATTTCAATATTTCAATTGAAAAATATTTAAATTAAAAATGTTTTTTATTTTCTTTATGACTGCTTCTTTGATACATGGGTTATTTAGGTATATACTGCTAAATTTCCAAATATTTTTCTGTTATTGATTACAAATTTATTTTCACAACGGTTAGATAAATACTCTCAATGATTCCAGTTCTTGGAAATTTATTGAGAATTGCTTTATGATTAGCATATGATCTATTTTGGTAAATGTTCCACTTATCCTTCAAAGATTGCATATTTTGGAGGTGTTGAATGTAACATTGTATATAGGTTGATTGGGTCAAGATGCTTAATTGTGTTGTTAAAATCTCATTGACACTGTTTTTTTTTTTTTTTTTGAGACGGAGTTTCACTCTTGTTGCCCAGGCTGGAGTGCAATGGCGTGATCTTGGCTCACCACAACCTCTACCTCCTGGGTTCAAGTGATTCTCCTGCCTCAGCTTCCCAAATAGCTTGGATTACAGGCATGAGCCACCACGCCTGGCTAATTTTTGTATTTTTAGTAGAGATGGGGTTTCTCCATGTTGGTCAGGCTGGTCTCAAACTCTCGACCTCAGGTGATCCACTTGCCTTGGCCTCCCAAAGTGCTGGGATTACAGACTTGAGCCACCATGCCCAGCCATACCATGTATTTTTTTTTAACTGCTTTTTCTATCAGCTACTGAGAGAGATAAGTTGAATTATACAATTACATACATTTGTCTAGTTCTCCTTCGGGTTCTTTATTTCTGTTGTATATATTTTGAAACTATGCTATTAGGTGTATTTAAAATTTAGGATTTTTTTTTTCTTACTGTTTCAGGTCTTGAAATGTTCTTTATCACTAGTAATACTATGTATCTTAAAGTCTGCTTATTTGATATTATATAGCCACGCTATGTATATTATGTTAGTGTTTTTATAGTATATCTTCCCCATTTTCTAACTTTCATATTTATAAACAACATATAGTTAGCATTTTTAAAGACAGCCCGACCATTTTCTTCCTTAATTGGAGTGCTTAATCCTTGTACATTTAATATAATTTCTGATATAGTTGGGTTTGTCTTCTACCTTCTATTTATTTTGCTTTAGTCCCATCTGGCCTGTTTCTTTATTTTTTTTTCTTGTTTTCTTTTGTACAAACTAAGTGTTTTGTTCATTTTTTCAGTCTTTCTTTTCCTTTCTTTCTTTTTGCTTTTCCTTAATTGTAGTAGTGACTTTGTCAAAACTTGCCAAACTATAAATTTAAATGCATTTAATTTTATGTAAATTATACATCAATAAAGTTGATTTTAAGAAAAGATAATAAAAGAATAAAATAGAATACATAAAGGAAAGGAAGAAAATTTAAATTTCTTTCATATGTTTAATTAAAAATATATCCCTTTCCATTATCTATTTCTCTTTATACACTCTCCATTGTGTTTATTCACTAATGTATTACTTCTACTTTAATGTCCATTTCCAAAATATTTTTTCTTTTATTTCTAATGCTTTCCTTGGTTTTGTAAGCTCCATTTTCATATCTTCCTGCTCTCTTTTCTCCAATAATATTATTTCTGAGTTATTTTGATCCTAATTTAAGTTGTTCTTTTGATCCTAATTTATATTGCTCTTTTGAAACTTTTATTATTTTCTTAATTTCTTTTACCTTGTTTGTTTAGAATATTAGCATATAGTTTTTCCTATTTTGTGGGCATGTCTTTCTGGCTTGTTTTCATTGCTTGCAAGAATATTTTTCTGATAATAATTTTGAGGTTTCACTAATTTTATTTCTGTTGCTTGTATTTTAGTAAGACAAGTTTTCCTGTACTAGAAGGGAAGACAGCCGGTGTAGCTTTCCTAGCCTAAAGGTTCTAGAGCATCTTCTTCTGCAGTTTATTTGAAGTGTTAAAAAATACTGTGCTCTCTGAAATGGGCTGACTCTTCTTTCCTTTTCTTTGCTCCTTTTGTTCCTGCTCAGTACAGGGGCTTTGTCCTATAACTAAGATTTGGGCCCGGAATCCAGATCACCCCAGCATTCTCTGACTTAATATTGTCCCCTTGCACTCCCTTGCAAATTTTAGTCTACAAAGCTCCTCCCAGTTTTGATTGATATTTTCCGGAAGAATATACCTGCAATACATATAAAAACAAAGCATTCCTAGTAATATCCAAGTCATATATAATAAATAAGGAAAAGAAGACTACCCAATAGAATAATGTATACAGGTTACAAACAGGCAATCTATAAAGGAGGAAACCTGAATGTGAGATAAACATATGGAAGGGTGCTTCATCTCACACATAGTTGGAAATGCTTAATCTCACCCATGATTGGAAACATATGGAAAGGTGCTTCATCTCACTCATAATTGGAAATAGAGTTTCATCTGATTTAGCACTAAAAACATTATAATTATCTCATATAATAATTACCAAATTAAAAAAAGGAATCAAATCTTGGCTTCTTTTAAAATAATTCTGAAAAAAGAAAGCCGGAAAATAAATCTGATGACAAGAGAAAATTGCATCTCTAGTGCTCTTTCTCTCTCTCTGATTTCTGGGCCCTTGCTTATACTATTCCCACATCTCAGAATATTCTTTATCCATCTTTTAATCTAGCTAATTCCTACTCATCCTTCAGCTTTTATTTTAACTATCATCTCTTTCAGGAAACATCTTACTACCTTAGCTAAGATAAATGCCCTTACTATCTTATAAGATACGTAAAAGATGTATGTCCTTGGCATTTTATACTACCATAGCATTTTCCAAATATAAAAAAATACAAAAATGATGTCAGTTTTATACATTACCTTGGCTAGGCTATAGTACCCAGTTATTTAATCAAACACAAATCTAGATCTTTCTGTGAAAGTATTTTGTAGATGTGATTAACTTGTATAATCAGTTGACTATGTAAAAGAGACTATTTTCCATAAGCTGAGTGGGCTTGATTCAAGTACAGCCGTCCCTTGAAATCCATGGGAGATGTGTTCCAGGACCCCTAGTGAATACTAAAATCCATGGATGCTGCAAGTCCCTGATATAGAATGACATAGCATTTGCATATAACCTATGCATATACTCCCATATACTTTAGATAATCTCTAGATCACTTATAATATCTAATACAATGTAAATGCTGTGTAAATAGTTGTTACACTCTATAGTGTAGGGAATAATGACAGGGAAAAAAGTCTGTACATGTTCAGTAGAGCTGCAATATTTTTCCCAAATATTTTCAACCTGCTGTTGGTTGAATTGATGGATATGGAACCCAGGGATACGAAGGACTGACTGTAGTTGAAAGGCTTTAAAAGCAGAACTGAAGTTTGCCTGAGGAAGAAGAAATTTCACCTTTGTACTGTAGTTTCAGTTCTTGCCGGAGAGTTTCCAGATTTCTCCTCCTGATGGCCTGTTCTGTGGATTTTGGATTTGCCAAGGCAGCCCTCACAATCCGGTAAGCCAATTCCTTGCTGTAAATCTCTTTATATCCATATATATGGATATGTCCATTTATAGCTATATATACATACATATACACATATACATATATATATATGCATGACAGAGCCTGTAGAATAAATAAAATATTCTAAAATTATCTAAATAAAATTATATATTATATATGCTTTAATTTTATTTATTCTACTGGTTCTCTGTCTCTGATGGAACCCTATCTGATACAATTACTATACCAGATTATATAATTACCTATTTTCTTTCACATCAGACAGTAAATACCATTAAAGCAGAAATGCTGTCTTGTTGATCTTTGTATTTCTAGTGCTTAGAATATACTATATGCTCTAGCTGACCTTCTGGAAAAAAAAGGAATATAGTATATGCTCAAAAAAAATGTTGAATAACAAATCAATTTCCTACTGAGATTGAAGAATATAAGTGGCCTAATATGAAAAATCCTCAATATAGCTGTGGGAGACCCTGCTTAGTGCACTATAGGATTGGAGAAGGAATGGGCTAAGAGACTGCTAGATGCTTCTAGTAAGTTCTTTGGAATACCAGATAGTAACAATTCACTCCTTAGAGAAATCATCCATTTGGTAAGTCACTAGAATATCCATTAAGTTTTCACAGTTGTCACAAACATTGAAAAAAGTAAGCTGATTCTAGGAGTTAGTAATTTCTGTACTAAAAAAGAAGGTCCAACAGAATACTACTTGCATAGTTTAGTGGCAATAAACTTTGATATTTAAAGGAAATGTAAATGTTAATATATCAAGTGGCCCATAATTGCATACTCTAGGAGTCTGATTCCATTTTTAAATTTCAGTGAAAACATGAAAACAGAATTTCAACTGATTCAGCACAAAAGATTACAATAACCTAATATGATCATTGGAAAAGAATGAATCAGAATCTTGGCTTCTATTGAAGAACAGACATTACCTTGTAGGTATCCCCCGCCACAAAAAAGCCAGAAAAAATCTGATGACAATAGAGAATGACGTAAAAAATTTTTTAATGCTAAAGATTGAACTGTAAAAAACTCTCCTGAATTGTGCCCTAAACCTATGTGTTCCAAAAAAAGTTTGAAGGCTTATTCCATCTGCATCATCTGGGTACTTGTAAAGACATATACATATCCCCAGGCTCCATCCTATGCCAACCAAATCACCAGGGGTCAGGTCTGAGTATTAAATATTTACCAGGAGATTCTGACGCACAACGACTTTTGGGAAGTAGCACTCAACTGTCAGTGCTTATGTCATATCCTTTCTTTCCTTCATCTCATTGGTCAAGGTCAGGTTTCTGCAGGAAGCTCTCTGTGTTTTTTTTTTTTTACCTGCTGGCAAATTTCTGCGGTTCCTTTTGTTTACTAACTCCCTTATCTTAATATGGCATTTAATCAGAGTATGTTAGTTTATGAAACCATGAAATTGGGTTTGGAAAATAGTGGAGAAAAGTAAAACAATATTTAATTTCTTCCCATATTGGATCTTTAGATCCTGCTTTGCTACATTAGTTCAGGCATTCTCTCACATAGAACAACAGGCATATTAATATTCAAATGCAAATCTGAATGTAACCCACATCACTGGCAAGAAAGATCCTAGCATGTAGTTTCCTGGGAAGATATCATAGCTCACTTGGATTAAACAACAGCTAAGGATTTTCCAACTGATAAGCTTGATATAATAAAGTTCCTGACCTAATGCTTTAGGTTTAATTAACAGTACCACTTTAGGCTTAGAACAAAGGTCTAATCCTCAGGATCCAAAGTTCAAATCCCAGTTGTACTATTAAATGGGATTTTAGGAAATTTGCTTCACTTTTTCACATCTAGATTTTCTGATTAGTAAAATGAAGATACAGTATGTCATACTGAAACAATAACAATAGCTAATAGTCATTAGACGCTATGCTAAATGGAAGGCAAGTGGGAAAACAAAATGAATTGTTTCTCATCCATTGAAGAAATATTGGCAAGGTGTGGTGCCTCATGCCTGTAATCCCAGTGCTTTGGGAGGCTGAAGGAGGAAATTGTTTGAGGCCAGGATTTCGAGACCAGCCTGGTCAACATAGCAAGACCCCTGTCTTAACAAAAAATATATACAAAATTAACCTGATTTGGTGTGGGCACTTGTAGTTCCAGCTACTCAGGAGGTTGAGGTGGGAGGAAGTATTGGATCACCTGAGGCCACTGCACTCCAGCCTGGGTGACAGAGCAAGATGCAAGACCCTGTCTCTTAAAAAAAATAAAAAGAAAGAAGGAAGGAAGGAAGGAAGGAAAGAAAGAAGACATGAAAGCAAAAGAAAAGAAAAGAAAAAAGAGAGAAATTGGAGACCATGCAACTACCACAACTTTTAGTCATCGTACGGATTAGCCTGATGAGTATATCCACAGGAAAAAATGTGTAGTTCTGGTAAAATATTTTTTTTCAGAATCAGATAAAAGGAAAACAATAAAATGTGGATATCCTTGTTTTAAAAAATCAACAATATCATTATATTGAGATCTATCTATCTGGATCAAAGAAGGTATTTTTTGGCTGTGGCAGATTGCATTTTTCCAGTAGTGGCTGCAATAATATTTCCCATCCTGCAAGTTTTTTGAGAACCTTGACAAATTCTCATCAACTGACTGAGTTTATATTCTCTCCTCTTGAACTTGCATAGACCTTTGTGACTAGTTCAATTAATGCACTATGAGACTTCTGAGGCTAGGTCACTAAAGACAGTATAGCTTCTGCCTAGCTCTGTCTTTCAGAATTCTTG
Source organism: Homo sapiens (assembly GCF_000001405.40). Taxonomy (NCBI): domain Eukaryota; kingdom Metazoa; phylum Chordata; class Mammalia; order Primates; family Hominidae; genus Homo; species Homo sapiens. The sequence continues at coordinate 14,916,257 of NC_000011.10, forward strand.
CCCTTGGAATCCAAGTATCATTCCATGAGGAAGCCCAAGCCACATGGAGAGACTCGTTCAGAAAGAAACCAAGTTTCCTAGCCCTCCACTCCAGCTGACTTTCCAACTGATCACCAGGACCAACCAGTTGAATGAGCCTTCTTGGAAGTGGATTTTCTGGCCCTTAGCCAAGGCAGATACAAGCATTTCCCACCAAGCCCTGCCCAAGTTGCAGATTTCTGAGCTAGAGGAATGATTGTTTTGTTTTATGCCACATAGTTGAAGAGTGGTATGTTATGTAGCAAAAGATTACCAGAACATTGCCTAATTTTCTAGAGCATGTATACATTAATACCACATGTCAGCATTTCTTTAATTACCCCATGGAGTGTTAGGATGGAGTAACTGGGCATCCAATTCAACTGCAGAATGTTATTCAGAGCAGTGCTAGAACTCCTGCTTGAAATTTATATAGCGGGTATGTTAGTATTTTTGTGTGGCTATAACAAACTACCACAGACTGGGTAACTTTAAAACAATAGGAATTTATTTCTCACAGTTCTGGAGGTCGGAAAGTCCAAGATCAAGGCAACTGCATGTTTGGTGTTTGGTGAGGGCTGCTCTCTGCTTCCAAGATGACACCTTGTTGCTGCATCCTCCACAAGGGACAAACTGTATCTTCACATGATGGAAGGGAGGGAAGGGATGATCTGGTGCTCTCAAGCCAGTTCTTTTATAAGGCATTGATCTATTCATAAGGGCAGAGCCCTCATGGCCTAAACACTTCCTAAAGATCCCATCTTTTAATGCTTACACTGGGGATTTAGTTTCAACATAAATTTTGGAGGGGACATAAACATTCAAACCATTGCAGTGGGTACATTTTCTTAAGTTGGAAAAAAATTTGTAGATGAATGTTAATTACAGTCCTATTTTTAATATCAAGAAAGAAAGACAAAGAAGGAAATGAAAATGGAAACTAAGTGATCACTAATAGGTGAAAAAGATATGGTATATCTATACAAGGAATGCTATACAGGCGCTAAAAAGAAGACAAAGATGTAAATGTACTGACCTACATTTTATGGGAAAAACACAAAATGACATGTATAGGAAGATCCCATTTGTGGTAAAATATATAAAAGATATTCCATTTATGTAGTTGTATAAGGAGAAAGATTTCTGGAAGGAGACGAGTAATGATACTTTTGGGGTATGGGAATGTGGAATTGAATTGGGAAATAGGAACTTATATTTCCTTTTCTATATTATCTGTATTTTTCAATTTCTTTATTTGAGTATAGGTTTTATAATAAAAAATGCTTTTTAAATGCATCAAAATTGTACAGATTTCCTATAAACTATCAGAATTAACTTTAAAAAGGAAAAAGATACCCTGAGGGGCATCTGGAAATATTAGATATGCATTTGACCTCTCTGGATGATCATATTTGTGTATGACAGCTGTCCCACACAGAGCTATGCACTCCAATGCGTTTGATGTCAGGCAGCCATGGATTTAATCTGGAATAGTAAAACTCTTTAAGAAAAAGTAAGCAATTTGATCAAGGCTGTTCCACCATAAGAATCTGAAGTACTCCAGGTGAGGTGGCTCATGCCTGTAATCCCAGCAGTTTGGAGGCTAAGGTGAAAGGATTGCCTGAGCCTAGGAGTTTGAAACCAGCCTGGGCAACATGGTGAGACTTCGTCTCTACAAAAAAATTAAAAAAAATTATCCAGGCGTGGTGGTACACGCCTATAGTCCCAGCTACTTGGGAGGCTGAAGTGGGAGTTATGCTTGAGCCCAGAAGGTTGAGGCTGCCATGAGCTATGATTGCACCACTGCACTCCAGCATGGGCGACAGAGTGAGACCCTGTCTCAAAAACAAATAGACAAAAGGATCTGAAGAACCATAAATAAAAGGATAAAATAGCTTTAACCTTTAACTTTCCCATAATAATGCTAAGTGTTCCACAGACAACATGGTTACTTACCTTATTTTTCAACTTGCTCTAAAATAAAATACATTGTCATAGTAACTGGGACAACCCTATATGTTACAGAGAGGAACAGTGTTGGGTATGACCCCATGGTCATTTACTTTACCCAACATTTTAGGACTCTCATATCAGTTCACTGGTGAATTGCTGGAGCTAAGGGTAAAAGTACTCTGATTTTCTAAACACACGTCAGCTAAGCATTAGGTTAGGTGGCCAGGGTGGAGATAGGTGGTGAGAAAAAGCAGTAATAAAGAATGAAATTTGCCTTATTGTAACTCAGATGGAAATACCATTGATAATTAATTATTTGTAATATTATCAAAACAAGCATCTCAGTATAGCTTTGATGTTTTCATGTTATTATATTATGTTTCATGATAGGAAAGTTTTGATTTGAGATTAAACAATCACTATGAAGAAACTTTCATGAAAAATAAAAGCCAAAGCAGGGAGCATGCTAACAATTATCCCCAAACCAGTAATCAATGAAATAGACAGAAAGCCACAGTGTTCAATTAGCCTTATGCAATCTCAAGATATTAAACTTTCAGTGCATCCAATCTTCCTGCTCCCCCGATCTGAGCTCCAAGAGCATGCATTCGTATGGTTGACAAGCCTGTGTTAAGCCCCCTGTGCCACGTATTTTGCCTGACATTAAGGACAGAGAGGTAAAGGATGCTCTCCTTGCCCTCTGAGAGCTTGAACTCATATCATTATGTGGTTCATATCAAGTTATGTTATGGCTTGTAGTAAATATGTCTTATAGAAAGGCTTGGGTCTTACTCATATTTGTTCACTGTCTCTACCACAGTTATCAACTGTAACCACAGCAAAAGGTTTAAATACTGATATGGTTTAGATTTGTATCCCTGCCCAAAACTCATGTTGAATTGTAATACCCAGTGTTGGTGGTAGGACCTGGTGGGAGGTGATTGGATCATTGGATCATGGGGGCAGTTACTCATGAATGGTTTAACACCATCCGCCTTGGTACTGTTGTCACAACAGTGAATGAGTTCTCATGACATCTAGTTGTTTAAAAGCATGTAGCACTTCCTTCCCCTCTCTCTTGCTCCTGCTCTCACCATGTGAGATGCCTTACCCTTTGCCTTCTGCCATGATTGGAAGCTTCCTGAGGCCTCCCCCGAAGCAGAAGCTGCTATGCTTCCTGTAATGCCTGCAGAACCGTGAGCTAATTAAACCCCTTTTCTTATAATTACCAAGTTTTAGGTATTTCTTTATAGCAAGGCAAAAATGGACTAATACAAATGGTAATTTTCTTTCCAAAATATGGTCAGGGAATAAAAAGAAAAATGAGAATAGATGAAAAAGAATCAGAATTGTTGGACAAAAGAAGGCACTGATGTTTCCTGATTGCCTGCCACATGCCAAACTTTGTGCTAGGGGTTTTGTATGTGTTCTTTTGTTGAATCCTTCTTCCAATCCTGTGAGGCAGAAAGGAAGCTAAGACTTATAGAAGCTTTACAGAGGTCTAACATCTTCATTTGTTCTCTTCCATTCTCCCCATTGCAGCTGGGTTGTCTGGTCTGATCATTGATTTAACAGCCATCCATAGTTCACCATTACCCTGGGAATAAAGTTCAAAACGCTACACTGACTTTTAAGGAGCAATGGGACCTGGTACTTTCCTACGTCTCCAGCCTCATTTCTTGCCTTGCTTTCTCTTGCTCTCTTCTCTGTAGACATAGAACATTTACTTCAGTTTCTTGAGCACATTATGCCCTCTTTCATATCCTGGCCTTCCCACAGGCTGTTTTCTCTGCTTGGAATGCTTTTCCTTCCTGTCTTCTCAATAATGTTGAATGAATGAATAAATGAAAGGATACTGGAGAGAGTAAGGGTAGGAACCTGTTCAGGGGAAAGACTAGGCATAGATAAAGGGATTAGAGAGTTAATCATAAACCTGTGATAATAGACGCATTCTTTAAGGTTTAAGCTGGTCAAAGATGACCAGATCTTGGTTTCTTCTCTTTTATTAGCTGCTTCTCCTCCTTCGAACCTCACCATTGGTGCCACTTCCTCTAGGAAGCTTCTCTCACCCCCACAATGGTTAAATCCTCTTGCTGTATGCCCCACAGCTCTATGTATTTTTTGTCTATAACGCTTATCACAACAGACTAAAGCTGCTTGAGGACAGGGCCTTGTCTTTCTTGTTTGCTTCTCTATCCCCAGCACAGAGCAGTTGTTCTAAATATATTTGATCATTTGAATTATGAACAGTTAGGAACACATAGTTGGTTTGTGTTTCTCATTGGTTTTGTTGTTGTAGTTTTTGGACCATTAGTTTCTTTCATGCAGTGTTATCAGTGGTTAGCAATTTTAGAAATTCCCATTCTTCCAGAGTGAGTGCAACTGGTTAGGGAGTGGGGCTATTCTCAAATACAAAATGATACTCTCTAATTTATAACATAATTAAAAAGCAACTATTCTGAGTTTTCTAAATGTCCCTCTGGGCACAGACGCTGGGGACACATGTTTATTTTCCATTCTTTTACCTCAGCTCCCTCCCCTTTTTCCTTTGCCTGACTAATTCCTATATATTATGTCTCGGCAGAACCGTAACTTCAGACAGCATGCATCTAGACTATGTAGGTGGCAGTGGCATCTTAATGCGAGGCACAAGAGTACTTGACATATGATAGCTAGATAAATGATGTTGAATGAATGAGTGAGTGAGTGAGTAAATGAAGGGATGTTGTGGGGGAGATTCAGGGTAGGATCTTGTCAGGGGAAAGGTCAAGAGGAAAAAGTTAGGGAATTAATCACAAAGCTATAATAATAACTGTGTTCTTTGACATTAATCTATAATAATAGCTGTGTTCTTTGATGACTGCTATCAAAAGATGCAGCACATCTAGCACCCAGAACTTAAATCATAATTTTATATTTATATATTGTATATTATTCTCCAATAAAAGGAAGCAGGAATCCCTGGATAAATGGATGACTCTAAGGCTGGGGTAGGGAAAATACAAAGTAAATTTGGAGCATCTTATAGTGCCAGAAAGTAAGGAAGTGCTCAAGTGCCTCTAAATATGGGCTGCATTTACTGACTCTCATGTGACAAACAGTATATGGAAAAGGAAAAAATAGTAATTTTGGTAACAGGAAAAGCTGGCAGACACTACCTTAACCAAGTGATCAAGATTAACATCACCAGTGATAAATATTAATAAACATCGTGAACTTCTCTATATGAGGCAATGAGAAAGACACCTTGCTTCTGGGACTTTTCCCCAAGATCTATAACCTCAAGCTAATCATGAGAAAACATCACTCAAATTTGGAACAGTCTAAAAAATACCTGACCAGTGTATTCCAAAGTGTCAAGGTCATGAAAAACAAGGAAAGACTGAGAAACTGTTAAAGACTCAGGGGAGACTAAGGAGACGTGACAACTAAATTGCAACATAGTATACTGGAAAGAAAAAGGACATTAGTGGAAAAACTGGCAAAATCTGAATACATTCTGTAGTTTGTTAATATTACTCTGTACCAGTGTTAATTTCTTAGTTTTGATAAAGGATCATGGTGAAGGGTATATGGGAACTCTGTATTATCTTTGCAACTCTCCTGTAAATAGAAATTTATTTTAAAATTTTAAAAAAAAGTTTTTTTTTCCTTTTTTTTTTTTTTGCCATGCAAGGCTTGGCTGCAGGATTTGTTTGTGAAGAATACTAATGCATGGAGTAGCGAAGCTTGTCTGATTTGGGATTCATGAAATCTTGGCCCTCTAGCAGTGCATATATGCTACCTTTTTCTGCATAGCTTTTTTGATTTTTATGGAAGGATTTCACATCCTTAAATTCCTTTGACCTTCTCCATCAAGAGGAAGGATAGGAAATGAAGTACATTAGTTGCTGTGGGACTAGAGTAAGCTTCTTCCAGGACCTTAGGATAAAATGAATAATCTCACATATAGTGTTCAAGATTAGGCATCTGTGGAAATGAAAGTGTGGTCTCTGAAAGAGACTGATCTAAAAGAAGACTGTGACATAATTAACACACTAAGGGAAGAGTCTGACAACGGTGGCAACCAAGTCCAGAAAAAGAATAGCCAAACACTATATATTTGTTAGCTTATTTCTAGCAGAGCCCAGGGGAAAGCAGACCCTAGCAGTCTCTCATAGACTTAACCAACAGGATCTTCCCTTTGGTAGAGATCAATGCCTCAGACTATTGCAACTCCTTTGTTCTGATTCTACTCTCCCTAAACAAATTATTAAGCACAAAAAAAGGAAGGTGAGCATGTATTTGCTTATCATTGTGCTAGGTAATTTAAATGCTTTATGTTTTTAAATTATCTCAAGACACTATGAAGTTGGCATTCTTGTCCCTTAATTTACATGTGCAAATCAGAGAGAGTTAAGAAAACACACTTGATTACACAGTAAGTGGCAGAGCTGGGATTCAAACCCAGATGATTCAATGCCTTGGCTCACGCTGTTCCTACACCCAGATGGTAAGTTCAGTCCTCCCTTGGTATACATGGAGGATTGGTTCCAGGAATCCCCGGGTATACTGAAATCCACGCATACTCAGTTTCCGAAGCCCGGAACCCGAGTATACAAAAAGTCTGCCCTCTGTATACACAGGTTTCACATCCCGAGAACACTTCATTTTCAATCTGTGTCTGGTTTGGTTGAAAAAAGCCCACATATAAGTGGACCTGTGCAGTTCACACCCATGTTGTTCAAGGGTCAACTGTACAGAAGAAACGCCCTTCAGCCCCACTGTGCTCTTTAGCCATCCTGCCGGATAGGGACTCCTGGCAAAACTGATCTTTGGGATTGCATTGTGGAAAGTGCCTGGTTTAGAAGCAGGAAATCCTACTTTCCTTAGGAAGACAAGCTCTGGAGTGAATCAACAACAGGGTGACTCCCTGACATTTGTTTCCCCCTTCTGTTGGGAGGTATCTTGATTTTTGTTTGGGCATTAATCCTGCCTAGCCCAAGTACTTTGGTTGAGGCTGATCCCATCCCTGGCACTTGGGGCAGGAAATGTGATTCAGACTAGTGTGACCCTATTTTATAGCCCCAGATTTTGGTTATAGGATGGGTGTGTAAGTGAAATTGGGTCAAGGAACACAAAGATTTGTTTGCTGGGAGCTCTGGGCTTTTCTAAGAGGTTTTCAGAAACATTCTTTCCTGTCTTCTGGAATATGAATGATGTCGTGCTGGACCCCTATTTAGTCCAACAGTGATGGCACCATGTCCAAGAGGCTGAAGAAGACACTGGAACTAGCACACTTGACGTAGGGTTTATTGGGGACTTAGATACAGGGCCATCCAAGAGAGGGGAGCTGGACAGAAAAACCGCTCCCATTAGTAAGAAGTGTGCAGGTTATATAGCATTTTCACGTAGCAGCTTCTACCTAGCAACCCCCAGCTAGCAACCCCCATTTAACCCAAAACAAAGGGCCTCAATTCCCTGAATTCCAAGGAATGGGTCAGGGGGCTTTGGATGTCCTTTAGAGATAAGGAGTGAACTGGATTTCTCAGAACCCTGAACACACATTCTTATTAGACCATAAGGTCATTCTCAGGGTATGCTTGAGCTATTGCTGTCAGGTGCATCTGCCCTACAAATGGGAAAGTGTGCAGCACAGGGGTGTGGATAAGGAAGCTGCCTGCTGCTAATTTTACTTTGCCACAGTGATATGTGGATCAAAGAAATCAAAATAAATGAAACGTTTGGTGTTCCCACCCTACCTTATGAGCTCATAGATCCATTTTATTATTAACTCAGTTTGAATTGGATTTTTTCCTATTTACAACTGAAATAATCTTACAGACAACTTCCAAACTAATTTTTCTGAAAGTTAGCCAGTGAGTAAGGTAATCACATAATTATTCAGATTAAGAGTATTTTGAGAAAGCAGTGGGAACCATTAATAACTGTCCTGGGCAAACTGAGATGTGTGGACACTCAACTCGTGAGGCATGAGCTGGTTGCAATTCTGCCTGTGGATAAGCTTCGAAACTCTGAGCAATTAATTTTAGATCTCTGGATATCAATTTTTCTATGTGTAAGATGAAATATGAAATTCTGTGAGTTTAGGTTATTTCTCTCCAGTCTATACTATTCTGCACTCCCTTCTGCAGTAAGAGTCTGAAGGCCAAAATGTTCTGTCGAGTAGATATAACAACAACAACAACAGCAGCAACAACAACAACAATAATAATGAAAGTCAACCACTGCAGCAGTAATGCATCACAAACCACCACAGAAATCTCAGTAGCTTTCAACAACAGTGATTTTTATTGCTGATAAATCTGCATATATGTTGTGGTTTGTCTGACCTCAGCTGCGCTGACTTGGCCAGGCTGAGTTCAGAATGCTCCATGTGTTTCCATTCCTGTATCCAGGCTGAAGAAACAATGACCATTTGGGGCATACTCTTCTCATGGCAGAGGGAGGAAGCTCCAAGAGGTCCGAAAAGAACCAAGCACATTTAAAACCTTTCTGACATGACATATGTTATATCCACTCACATTCCCTTGACCAAAGCAAGTTGTATGGCCACGCTCAATGTTAACCATGAGCATGACCATATGCTACTCCAAGAAAAAGACATTGAAAAGTCACATAGTGAAGGGCTTAGATATATAAATCTATTACAGGGTAGAAGTAAATAATTGATAATAATAATCCAATGTAATAACCTCTGGTACATACACTGGGCACTCACTAGGTGCCAGACTGTTAAGATACATAGTATCATTTAATCTCCACAGCAAGTATATGGGACAGATACTATTAGTATTTGTTGTATGAATGAGTGATTGCCTATTGTATACCTACTGGGCTATGTTCTGTGGCTACTGTATAAAACAGTTCTGATATTCAGTTGGCTGGATATTAGTCAGGTTACCTGGAGGGTTCTGTTAGGCATGAAGAGGAAGCTGAAATTATTTCCTAAACTCACATTAGCAATGATGCACATCTGAACCCAGGGCAACTGATGAACAGGAGAGTCTCGACTTACATAGAAAGAGAACTTCTAGTGTAGATGCCTTTTCTCCCTTCCCCTCCCAGTCATCACCTGTGGGCATCACTCTTTAGGGTTACTTCCTATATGGTACAATTGGATACATTGTCTTCCCCTTTTCCCAACATACAAGCTCAGTGGAAGATTCACAGGTTAACATACTGAATGTTTGCTAGTTAGGATTTTGCTCCTCTGCCATTTTCATACCTACATTACAGAAGCACCAGTGAACAATAATTACAAACCAGAAAACACATAATAAACAATCAGAAGATGGTACATTTGATGTCTGGAGGTTCTTATGATGGGATTACTAACACAAGGAAAAGCCTAATTAGGGGAAAATCTGGGACAAGGGTGATTTCCAGTCACTGTTCAAACAGTTCTTCCTCACACTCATTCCCAAGACCATTTTGATGTTGTAAGCCTGGAGCCTCAAATCTTGAGTCTTTTGCCAACTCATTATTCTTTAAAGGGATGGGCGAGAAAGCCTGTTTTTCTGTTTAATAAATAATATACTCTAACAATTAATACAAGATGTCAGGGCGCATAACTTTATTTCATCCAACATTTACTGAATATCTACTATATGCCAGGCAATGAGCTAGGTACAAGTGACAATCCTGCCATCAGGGTGACATACAGACCAGTGTGGAGAGAGACACATATGTACGGATTTAACCTTAATGAAGAGTGCTCCATTTGAGATGTGAACAAGTGATATGAGACAGAAGAGTGAATAATTATTTCTTTTTTTGAGGACAGGAGCAGAAAGAGTGGATGCCATTTTATCTGAGCCCTGAAATCTAAGACAGAAGAGGTAGAAGAACATTGTAGGAAGAGGTTCAACATGTAAAATGGCACAATAGAATTAAAACATGACTTTTCTCTTCCAGAGTCCTGGGGCTGTCTAAGGAACTATGGTGAGATAGAGTGTTATGGGTTGAATTTTGTCCCCCTCAAAAAGGTATGTTGAAGTCTTAAACTCAGAATGTGACTATTTGGAACTAGGGTCTTTATAGAGGTAATTAAGTTAAACTGAGGTCATAAGGGTGAGCCCTTGTCTAGTATGATCAGTGTTGTATAAAAAGGGGAAATTTGGTCACAGATAGACATGCATAGAGGGAAAATGATGTGAAGAAACACAGGAATGATGCCGTGTGGAGACTAAGGATTGGAGTGATGCATCTGTAAACCAAGGGATGCCAAAGATGCTGGCAAACAAGCAGAATCTAGAAAGAGACAAGGAAGGGTTCCCTTACAGGTGTCAGAGCGAGCATGGTCCAGCAACACTTTGGTCTCTGACTTCTAGCCTACAGAACTGTGACACAATACATTTCCATTGTCTCAAGCCACACAGTTTGTGGTACTTTGTTACAGAAGACCTAGAAACTGATACAGGGAATTAAGAAGGAGCTGTTAGGATTCTGGACTGCCCATTCCTATTTCAAACATGGTGTCTGTCATTTTATGCTTCTCTTAAGTGTTTGCTTGAGAAGCAGTGTTTCGTTGGTAAACATGAAAACAACAGGTAGCGAGTTTTGAGAGTGTGTCATTTGGACACTTTCAGTTGATTTAAGTTGCAAATAACCAAAAACCTAAGTCTACTGGCTTAAATAACAAGGTTTATGGTTCACATAATGACAAAAGGCTAGAAGTGATGTGAAATTCCTGTGCAATTAATAGAGGGTTTGATCAAGGCTCTAACTCCATTTCTTTGCAGTTTTCTGTAGAGTTCTCATGTGTTGGTTTCTTCCTCCGGTTGGCTCTTGTTATGGTAGCAAAACAGATGTGATATCTTCAAGCTTCACACAGCGCTCTACTCAAAGTAGGGATGAATAGATGAATAGCTTTGACTTGGTATTCCCAGCCAAGGCCTTGAGGTTCTCACTGATTGGGCCACTCCTGAACCAATCTCTGCATGCATTGATGAACTGAGGCCTGTGTTATGAACCAAATGTGGCAGGAGGGAAGGATTTGCCCTGATTGGCTTACCCACTTTTTCCATTAGCCTTATTTACATAACAAAACATTTAAAAAATTTAGTGGCTGAAAACCACAACAATTTGTTTTCTCATGATTCTGTGGGTCAGGAATTTGGGTAGGGCTCAGCTGGGATGTCTCATTCTCTACCATGTGGTGTTGCCTGGGCTCACTCATGCACTTAGGGTAACTTGGCAAGTCAGCAAAGGGCTGGCTGGTCCTGGGTAAGGACAGCCACATGTCTGCTGGTTGAGGGGGTAGTTTGGTTCTCTTCTCTGTGTTCTTTCCAGTAAGCCAGCTTGGGCTAATTCACTTGAACATGTCATTCTATGAGAGTGAGAACAGCTGTAAGGCCTCTTGACATGTAAACTTGGGACTTGTGTGACATGATTTCTGTCACATTATATATTGGTCAAAGCAAGTCCCTACATATTTTTAAAAAAATAATTTCAAGTTTTATTTTAGATTCAGGGGGTACATGTGCAGGTTTGTTACATGGGGATATTGCATGATGCTGAGGTTTGGGGTATGACTGATCCCGTCACTGAGGTAGTGAGCATAGTACCCAATAGTTAGGTTTTCAACCTTGTGCCCCTCTCTCCCTCTCCCTTTCAGTAGTTCCTAGTGTGTATTGTTGCCATATTTATGTTGACGGGTACCCAGTGTTTAGCTCCCACTTATAAGTGAAGACATGTGGTATTTAGTTTTCTGTTCCTGCATTAATTTCCTTAAGATATTGGCCTCCAGCTGCATCCATGTTGCTGCAAAGGACATTATTTCATTCTTTTTTATGGCTGCATAGTATTCATGGTGTATGTGCACCACATTTTCTTTATTCAATCCACTGTTGATAGGCACCTCGGTTGATTCCATGTCTTTGCTGTTGTGAGTAGTGCTGTGATTAATATACAAGCACATGTGACTTTTTGGTAGGATGATTTATTTATTTATTTATTTTTGGATATATACTCAGTAAGGGGATTGCTGGGTCAAATGGTAGTTCTGTTTTAGGATTTTTAAGAAATCTCCAAACTGCTTTCCACAGTGGCTGAAGTAATTTACATGCCCAACAATGGTGAATAAGCATTCCTTTTTCTCCACAACCTCACCAGTATCTGTTGTTTTTTGTTTTTCTTTAGTAATAGCCATTCTGAGTGGTGTGAAATGGTATCTTACTGTGGTTTTGATTTGCATTTTTCTGATGATTAGTGATGTTGAAACATTTTTTCATATATTGGTTGCTTGTATGTCTTCTTTTGAGAAGTGCCTGTTCATGTTTTTTGCCCACTTTTAAATGGGGTTATTTGCTTTTTGCTTGTTGAATTGGTTAAGTTTTTTATAGGTTCTGTATATATGTCCTTTGTTGGATACATAGTTTGCAAATATTTTCTCCTATTCTGTAGGTTGCCTGCTTACTCTGTTGATAGTTTCTTTTGCTGTGCAGAAGCTCTTTAGTTTAATTAGTTCCCATTTATCAATTTTTGTTTTTGTTGCCATTGCTTCTGAAGCAAGTCCCCACATCTTGATGTAAATAGTTATAAAAATTTGTGATCATTTAAAATCTATCAGACCCACCCTTACAACTGGGGGAGGGGTAACCAATTTCACCCAAACCACATGCTTCTAAGCAGAATGAACATCATGGAGAAAGCTGGATAGAGGCTGGAGAAGAGGCTGAAATCATGTTGTGGCAACTATACATTAATAAAACTGGCAAAAATGAAAAGAAATTAGCATGTAGGGGGATTTGTATGACATGCTTTGTATGACATGCTAAGCATACTTCATCATCTAGGCTCATGATTCTTCATAGTTGATGAATATGATGCATTCCCATTAGTAAACATGATTCAAAAGTTATTTACCATGGCTGTGATTCTCATCATGAAGAGTCGGGGTGAGAAATATTTCCTATAGGGACTGCATCAGACCCTCCATCTATTTGTGGGGAGGGTCATGGACTTACCTTAATTGTTACTCACAGTTCTAGGTGATGGGGAGTCACTGATGCCTTGATCCTGAGTGCAAGGCAGATTTTCTGCTTTTAGATCCAGTCTGAAGTTGCTCCTATAACAGTTCTGGGTTAAATTCACATAAACCTGCCTTCATTTCCCCCAGTGTGCACATATGCTGCTAGTTTGGGACTCTCCTGTTTCTAGCAGTACACTGTCTCCGTAAGCAACATTTCTTCCTGAAGTCCAAGTCCTTGGGGATCAGTCTACTTCTGAGTACTCACACACCATTCTCATTGCCATGGCTTTATCCTGCTCTCTAGCCTTGACAAGAGCAGCCCCCATCCATCCAATGTGTTTTTGGACCTCAATTCGGCAAATGGCCACAATACAATTCTTTTCTTTCCCAGAAGTCTCCTTCATACGTGCTCCACCTAACATGGTCTCCAATACCCAAACAAACATGAACATAAACTTACTGGGCAAGAGGAGGGTGATATCTTTGTGGCATTCAAGCTGCGGTTACAGTGTTCTGCCATGTGTAGATATTCACCTCTGCTGTTGGGCTGAATACAAGTTATAAAAGAAACATGGGATTTCCCTTGTTTATGGAGAAAATGAATAACTAAATAAATTTATTGAGTAAATGAATTAATATGGATAAATAAGATAACCCTGTGCAGCATCCCTCTAGGATGAAAAAGCATAGTGACATGGAAAATGTTCCCTGGTGGACAACTTTTCTCCTCTTCACTCAAAGCCCAGGAAGGCACCAGTACAAGTGGTTATAAGGCATCTTAATCTTGGATCCCCTCCATGCACTGGTGGAGAATACCTAAGCCAAGAGGAAGAGTTTAGAACAATGAAAATGTCTCTTAAATTGGGTAGGAATAAGGTTCCGAGCAATTCTTTGGCATACTGGAGCAGAGCAGGGATAAGGGTGGGGTAGATGGACGATAAAGAGAAAGAGTGTTGTAGGTGTGAGCTGGGAAGAACCCCTTTGTCACCTCCCCAGGGGCCCTTCCCAATAGAAAATCTCACCATGGAGCCCACAGCCTTGTTTCTGCAGGACTTCTGGCTGTGCCTCCCCATTGAGGAGTGGCTAGTTTACAAAAAGGACTTGAAGCCTTAAGTGTCTCTGACTTAATTCAGTGGCTGCTGCTCCATTTGGATAGCTCATTTCTGCTCCCACACCTCATTAGAGGCAGCCCTTGCTCACTTCCATTTGGCTAACAAGCATGAGCACTGGAGGAAATGGAGGCTATTTACAGTAAATTATTCAATTAGAACCAGGAGCAACAGTAACTTCTACCATTGCCTCACAGGCCAATCCCAGGGCAGCTCAAGATCGCTAGGATTGTTTAATCTGCAGAGTCCATTAGAGCTGTCAACAAGGGTAGTGTGGAAAGCAGTTGAAGGGTGCGGCTTGACTTTAGCTTTAGAAGCAGTCCCAGTATGGGGAGGAGGTATCTGGGGGAGAAAATTAAGCAGGGAGAGGCAGCAAGGCTAGTCAGGCTGGCCTTCTTGCCTGCTCCTCAAGGACTTCTAACCCATTGGTTCTCACCACTCTTGGATGCACATTGCAATCTCCCGGGAGGGTTTTACAAAGTGCTGATAACTGGGTTCCACTCCCCACACAGATTCTAATTGAGTCAGTCTGGGAGTCAGGGTTAGGAAGCTCCCCAGGTGGGGAGGCTAAAAGGGAATGGAGAGATTTTACTATTTCACAGTGGAAAGCTGGAAAGACTCCTACAAAACCCAGCTTCTCAGGTGAAGAAACAAGAGGAAAAGGTCTCCTACCTGGCTTAGCAACAAAGAGAGGACCAAAAACTCTTGAGTTCTCAGGTCAATTAATTTTCCCATTTAACACTCTTCTTTCACTTACCAGTCATGTGACCTTTGCCAAGTCTCTGTTTTCTCATTTGTAAATGGGTATAGTCATTTATTCTACTTATTTCTTATTGCCACGGGGTCTGAGTTCATGAAGATGTTCCTGAAGATAGTAGGGGGAGAAGAAAGAGCAGAGATACATTTTTTAAGTGCAAGACTTTAGAAGAGATTATCTAAATCAATGGTCCCCAACCTTTTTGGCACCAGGGACTGGTTTCATGGAAGATAATTTTTCCACAGACCTGGGTAGTCTGGGGGTCAGGGTTAGGAAGCTCCCCAGGTGGGGAGGCTAAAAGGAAATGGAGAGATTTTACTATTTCACAGTGGAAAGCTGGAAGGACTCCTACAAAACCCAGCTTCTCAGGTGAAGAAACAAGAGGAAAAGGTCTCATACCTGGCTTAGTAGCAAGGATGATTCAGGTGCATTACATTTATTGTGCACTTTCTTTCTGTTATTATTACACTGCAATATATAATGAAGTAATTATACAACTCACCATAATGTAGAAACAGGGGGAGTCCTGAACTTGTTTTCCTGCAACTAGATGGTCCCTTCTGGGGGTCATGGGAGACAGTGACACCCGAAGTGTGTTTCTTATGTCCAGTATACTCTGTAATCTCATTTTGGTTGCTGTCACTGCAGAAAATCCTGCTTCACAAAGATAGGATGTTGGAAATGGAAGCAGGCTTTTCAATGCTTTTGTGGCAATCTCAGGATATCCCACCTTGACCTTAATCCAGAATGTATGTAGATTTTACATTGGCTCAAACATACTTTTAAGGCTACCATCATTTGCGATCTCAAGCAGTTGATCCCCTTCTAGCACGGACAATGCTGACTCACCTGGCTTATTAAAAAATGGGTCACAGATCCATTCCTTCCCAGTTCGGGGGTTTTTGTGGTTGAAAAGTAATGCTCAAACTCTTTTGAAAGCTGAGATAGGTGATCATGCGTCAGCTTGGAGAAAGATGACCTGACTCAGTCTCTTTCAAAATCTCTGCTAATGTTTGAAACATGTCAAAAATCCCAATGTTCACTTGTCACCCCCATAATTCCAGTTTGGCTTTGAATGCAGCCACTTTATCTGCCAACTTGAACACAGTTGTTGTTCTCTCCTGGCATGACAGATTGAATTTATTGAGCAGGTTGAATATACCACACAAGTAAGTAAGTTATGTGACCCATTCTGTGTCAATGAAATGTGCTGCCAGTGATGACTGGTTTTCTAAACGAAATCTCTGGAGTGGCTCTCATAGTTCAAAAACTCTGGCCAGTGATCTACCTTTAGGAAGCCAATGCTCTTCTGTGTATAAGAGAAGACATGTGTGCTCTGTGTCCATCTCCTCACAGAGCTGCATGAACAGATATGAATTAAGGGCATGTACTTTAATGTAGTTGATAATTTTAATCACATCCCACAAAACATTGTTAAGTTCAGGTGATATTTTTCAGCTAGCCAGCATTTCTCTATGGCTGACACAGTGCATAGACTCACATTCAGAAGCAACTTCTTTGAACTGAGTAGTGAAACCAGAAAGCTGTCCAGTCATGGCAGCTGCTCCACCCATGCATATACTGACACCAAATGACCAACACACATTTCCTGATATGTAATCATTCAAGGACTTGGATAGTTCTGCAACTGTGGTGTTGGTTGGCAGCAAAAGTGCATGTAACACATCCCCATGCACATCCTCCTGAAAATAAATTGCACAAAAGCAAGTGTTGTTGCCTTGTTGTCAACTTGGTAGACTTGTCAACCTGGATTGCATACCATGGTGACTCATTAATCCTCTCTAACAATTGTGCCTCAACATCCTCTGCTATTTCATCAATTCATCTAGTTATGGTGCTAGCTGAAAGAGGAACACATGCTACCTTTTGAACTGCAGCCTCTCCTAAAAATTCATGAAATGTCCTTAGCAGCAGGTGGTATCAACTCTTCGCCATTAGTAAAGGACTTCTTCACTTTAGCAATGCAATTAGTCACTAAGAATTACGCTCTTGGTGCAAACACATTTGATAAAGTGGTGGCCTTCAATTGCTTCTGTTTGGTATTATTCCATTTTCACACTGCTAATAAAGACATACCAGAGACTAGGTAATTTATTAAGAAAAGGTTTAGTGGACTCACAGTTGCATGTGGCTGGGGAGGCCTCACAATCATGGCAGAAGGCAAAACACATGTCTTTGATGGTGGTAGACAAGAGAGAGAATGAGAACCAAGCAAAAAGGGTTTCCCTTTATGAAACCATCAGATCTCATGAGACTTATTCACTACGATGAGAACAGTATGGGGAAACCAACCCCATGATTCAGTTATCTCCCACCAGGTCCCTCCCACAACACGTGGGAATTATGGGAGCTACAATTCAAGATGAGATTTGGGTGGGGATACAGCCAAACCGTATCATGTTCTTTGTGTTCACATTTCTTTCTTTGGAAAATGCCAAAGGCTTGTCTTTTAGCACAAGGTGCTTGGTCTCCCTGTTGTGAAGGAATTTTGAAGGTTTCATGGCTTCATTTGATAGCTGGTCACTGCACATTATACAAAGCACACTTAGAGAATGTGAATCACCTGTTGCAATGAACCCATAATTTAAGAAGGACTCTTGGTATTTTCTTTTAAATGCAGCTTTCTTTTTGTTGGCAGTCTTAGAGTCTTGTGCTATCTCATCATTTGGTCTTTCCCTCTTTTCAAAGAAGTTCTCCAGTGATGTTTGTTTTTTACTAATTTTGGCTAGGGTTATCTTGTTGGCTTACCAAAACTGACTGAGATAAGCGCACAGTGCAGAAAAGAGGTGCAGATGGAAGTGGTAAATAAAATAATGGGTGGGCCACATGCAGACTAAATAAGTGTCGGATTCTGACTTAAAGCCTGCCACCGAGGCAGCTGTACAATTGAAGTAAATCAACTCACTTGCCACTATACAGCCTGCCACTAAATGCAGCTTAATTGTCACTTGCCACTCACTGATAGGGTTTTGATATGTCTGCAAGCAGTTGATTTATTATGGTCTCTGTGCAGTCAAACCTCTCTGCTAATGTTTATCTGTATTTGCAGCCACTCACCAGTGCTAGCATTGCTGCCTTGGCTCCACCTCAGATCATCAGGCATTAGATTCTCATAAGGAGGGTGCAACCTAGATCCCTCGCATGTGCAGTTCACAGTAGGGTTTGCACTCCTATGAGAATCTAATGCCACTGCTGATCTGACAGGAGGTGGAGCTCAGGCCACAATGTGAGCTATGAGGAGGGGCTGTAAATACAGATGAAGCTTTGTTCGTCCCACCACTCACCTCCTGCTGTGAGGCCCAGTTCCTAACAGGCCATGGACTTGTACCAGTCTGTGGCCCAGGGGTTGGGAACCCGTGATCTAAATGACAAGGGCGGGATAGACATGCATGAAAAATAGACATTCAAAGGACTCTATCTTTTAATTTTTTTCACCAAAGGGCTGCAGTAAAATCTGGTCTGAGTGTTGTGAAGTCTCTGATCAGGCTGCCTCTCTGCTTGCTGGAGTCAAATCCAGTCTCATTTGTCTGCTAAGGAGCCAGTGGCTGTTTTGCCTCCTCATGAGTGGTCAGTTAGTCCAGGGCTAGCACATATCTAATTCATAGTTAACAAGGTTGTCAGATGAATGAGTGTATGAACTCTTGGCTCCTTACAGACTTGGTTTCTGTCCCACCTTCCTCAAACTCCTAAAATGATGACCATGCCCATGAAAAGCTACAATCCCAACCATCATATACCCTTGTACTAACATGCTTCGCTATACTTCACTTTATTTTCAGCCTTAATGATTCCAAAGAGAATTATAATTTTTGATCCAAATGACTAAGGCACTCTCTTATACAGCCTGTAATTCCTTCCTTCCTTCCTTCCTTCCTTCCTTCCTTCCTTCCTTCCTTCCTTCCTTCCTTCCTTCCCTCCCTCCCTCCCTCCCTCCCTCCCTCCCTCCCTCCCTCAAGTTATTGTTGAATTAAACCACAGGAATCTTAGCTACATACCTTGGAAGTCAGTATGTGAAGTCTTGTGTTGTTCTGCCCACTAAACTTTCATGCCCAAGGCACTTTGCCAACAGGCCCAAAGGGGATACTAAAGGGCTCATGTAGTTGACCTCATTTACCAGGACAGGAACATGTATTGGTTGCCATGAGCCCAAGGGTAGAGCTTCCTCTTCTGACCTCTTTATCCCTATAATAATGAGATAGAAGATGTAGGGGAAAATGCAAACTGGAGATGGCTAGAAGTGGAAGCCAGGGAGCCCATGGGTGACTATCCAGACAGTAGCCACAGAGGCAAGGTCTGTATACAGTTGGCAGCAGAGAGGTTTGAGATTAGGAAACAACTATGGGCGTGGGCCCCCCAGGCAAGATGGGAATGAAGAGGGGAGGGCAGGGAAGGGGAGGGGAGGGAAGGGGAGAGGAGGGGAGGGAAGAGGAGAGGAGGGGAGGGAAGGGAAAGGGAAGGAAGGGAAAAGACTTCTTGTTTTTGTCCTGGGAAAGCTGCTTCTAGACTGGAACTAGCAATTAGGCTAGGACAGGTGCCCAAGGCAGCTCTGAAGGTGACCTTCCCCAGGAAATCAGTGGCCCCAGCTATGAGGGTCAGAAGTCAGAGCTCATGGAGGCCTATGGTACATCCTTTGCACACCAGCCAAGGTTTCAGATTCTGCTCTGCTCTGTCCTACAGAGCAGCACTTGGCCCAGCAGAAGAGGTTTCTCCTCTAAGGAGGTTTCTCAACCTGACCCAGGATAACCAAACCCCTTAGTAATGAAACTTCTGCACTTTGGGTCCTCATCCTCCCCAGGACAGTGCTTGGGCAACAGAGGCAGCATGTTGAATTGCTGGTTCTGTCAAGGCAGCTTTGGGAGAAGCTCTTAAGCTTCTGGACACCTCCTGAAATGACTACTGGGAAATTAGTAGTATCTTGACTTGATAGGTTGGATGGCATGGAAGGTAGGGCTTTCCTGCAGACTTGACTGGGGCTGTCTGTGAGGCTGCTATCTTTTCTGCCAAAGCCCAAGGTCTCCACACACACAGTGTTCTCAGCCTTGACAATACTAGCATCTTCTTCCGCATATCATCCCGTCTAGAAATTGCAGGAGCCTCTATTATGAGGGCAAAGCATTAGAAGCAAAACCCACTTGATTTCAGACATTAAAGCAGTAGCAAGCTAGCAGCTTTAGATCGGAGAAGAGAGGCCAGCTGAATCCAGCTGAGAAGATAGGCCCTGGGTCTCTATGTACCTACCCAAGTACAGGCTGGTTTCAGGAAAATGTCCTTCTCTGGCTTGTCTTTTGGCACTAATAGGTCAAATTAGGCACTAATATTGATGACCTTATGCAGATCACTCTCTCTCTCTGGGCCTCTATCTTCTCACATGTCAGATGGAGCATTAAAACTAGATCAGTAGCCGGGTGCAATGGCTTATGCCTGTAATCCCAGCACTTTGTGAGGCTGAGGTAGGGGGATTACCTGAGGTCAGGAGTTCAAGACCAGCCTGGCCAACGTGGTAAAACCCCATCTCTACTAAAAATACAAAAATTAGCTGGTAGTGGTGGCACGTGCTGGCCTGTAATCCCAGCTACATAGGAGGCTGAGGCAGGAGAATTGCTTGACCCCAGGAGGTAGAGGTTGCAATTAGCTGAGATCACACCACTGCACTCCAGCCTGGGTGACAGAGAGAGACTCTGTCTCAAAAAACGAAACAAAACAAAACAAAAACAAACAAACAAAAAACTAGATCAGCTCAAAAGCTCTTGCAACCCTAATACTCTGAGAGCTCCTCCTTCTGTTCCCTGCTGAGCCTGGACCTGCTTCTGGCCTCCCTGTGTCCTCAGCCATTGCTATTCCTTCTCTCACCTGCCTTACATTCTTGAGCCTGGGTTTCCTTTGCTTATTTTCTTACTGTGACCCAGAGATAGCTCATCTTTGCTGTTTCTCTCTTGCTTGCCCATTAACCATCTGTACTTCGCTATTAGTGAATGTGTTCATTATACTTGGCATAGCTCTTAAGTGTTTCTGGAGCTCCTTCACAAAAATTCTGTCACTAATTTTCACAAAGGAACTTGACCTGGAAGAACCCCACACAACTCAGTCTCCAGGGGGCCTGTTTTAGTCACTGAACCTTAGGGCCATCTATTCTGGATTAAGGCTTATTTCTTCTTACCTTGACACATCTATATGAGCTGAACTAGTTTCACATGAAAACTTGCTTCCACAGGGAACTTTAAGAAATTACAATGCTTTTAAAATAGGAGTTTATTAATCTCCTCTTCCAATATTAAAAGCTATTAACCAAATTATGTCTTGCTGGTTTGGGGGCTTTATAACCACAGAAATTAGACTGTATTGATGTGACTCTCTCTTAGTTGCTTAAAGGGCAAATTTCCAGGCTGACCCAGCTCGAAGCCTGCAATGCCTTGAATAATTTTTCTCCAGGGGTCTCTGAGTGGTCACTGGCTACAGCCCTCCCCCATCTCTACAGTCAGAAGCTTTCAAGGAGGCTACAGTGATGAGAAGCAAGCTTCTCACAATTTATTAATCAGGTATGGAGAAGGACTATTGAAGAACAGGCCCCTAGAGTGTCAGTAGCTAGCCTAAGACATTGATTTTTAGAGCTGCAGAGGAGCAACTGGCTTCTGGGCAAGGCCTTGGACATGATCTCAATAAGGAAAAGTGAGGCAATGACTTTCTTGAGAGCAGAGGAAACTCAAGGACATGTTTTCCTCATTCACTGAGGGAAAGCGTGGTGGGCAGGTACCTGTATTATTTGAGACTGGATAGTTTATAAAGAAAAGAGGTTTAATTGACCCACAGTTCTGCAGGCTGTACAGGAGGCATGGTTGGAGAGGCCTCAGGAAACTTACAATCATGGCAGAAGGCAAAGGGGAAGCAAGCACATCTTCACATGGCTGACGAGAGAGAGGGAGAGAGAGAAGGGAGAGGTCTACACACTTTCAAACAACCAGATCTCATGAGAACTGTATCATCAAAACAGCAAGGGGGAAGTCCACCTCCATGATCCATTCACCCTCTACCTGATCCCTCCTCCAACACTGGGAATTACAATTTGACATGAGATTTGGGTGGGGACACAGAGCCAACCATATCATTCTGCCCCTGGCCCCTCCAAAATCTCATGTCCTTCTCACATTTCAAAACACAATCATGCCTTCCCACCAGTCCCCTGAAGTCTTAAGTTATTCTTGCATTAACTCAAAAGTCCAAGTCCAAAGTCTCATCTGAGACTGGGCAAGTTTCTTCCACTACCTATGAGCCTGTAAAATCAGAAACAAGTTAGTTACTTCCAAGATACAATGGGGGTACAAACATTGAGTTAAATGCTCCCATTCCAAAAAAGAGAAATTGTCCAAAGCAAAGGGCTACAGGCCCCATGCAAGTCCAAAACCCAGCAGGGCAAGTCATTAAATCTTAAAGCTCCAAAATAACCTCCTTCACTCCATATCTCACATCCAGGCCACACTGATGCAAGGGATGGACTCCTAAGGCCTTGAACTGTTCCACCCTTGTGACTCTGCAGGGTGCAGGCCTTGTGGCTACTTTCATGAGCCGGTGTTGAGTGCCTGCAGATTTTCCAGTTGCACAGTGCAAGGTGTCAGTGGATATACCATTCTGGGGTCTGGAGGATGGTGGCCCTGTTTTCACAGCTCCACTAGGCAGTGCCCCAGTTGGGTATCTGTGTGGGGGCTCTAACCCCACATTTTCCTCCTGCACTGCCCTAGCAGAGGTTCTCCATGAGGGCTCTGCCCCTGCAGCAGACTTCCGCCTGGACATCCAGGTGTTTCCATACATCCTCTGAAATCTTGGCAGAGGCTCCCAAGCATCAACTCAACTCTTGATCTCTGCAAATCTGCACACTTAACACCACGTGGAAGCTGCCAAGGTTTTACACCCCCTGGAGCAGTGGCTTGAGACATATCTGGGGCCCTTTTAGCCATGGCTGGAGCTGGAGTAGCTGCAATGCAGGGCATGGTGTCCAGAGGCTGCACAGAGCAGTGGGGCCCTGGGCCTGGCACATAAAACCATGTTTTCCTCCTAGGCCTCTGGGCCTGTGATGGGAGGGGCTGCTATAAAGATCTCTGAAGTGTCTTCCAGGCATTTTCCCCATTGTCTTGGCTATTAGCATTTGGTACCTTTACTTATGCAAATTTCTGCAGCAGGCTTGAATTCCTCCCATGAAATGTTTTTTTTTTTTCTACCACATGGCCAGGGTGCAAATTTCTCAAGCTTTTATGCTCTGCTTCCCTTTTAAATATAAGCTCCAATTTCAGGTCATTTTTTTTTTTTTTTGCTTATACAAATGAGTGTAGGCTTTTGGAAGCAGCCAGGCCAAATCTTGAATGCTTTGCTGCTTAGAAATTTCTTCCACCAGATACCCTAAATATATCATCTTTCTCAAGTTCAAAGTTTAACAGATCCCTAGAGCAGGGGCACAATGCCACCAATCTCTTTGCTAAAGCATAGCAAGAGTGACCTTTACTCCAGTTCCCACTAAGTTTCTTATCTCCATCTGAGACCTCCTCAGTCCAGACTTCATTGTCCATATTACTATCAGCATTTTGTTCACAACAATTTAACAATTCTCTAGGAAGTTCCAAACTTTCCCTCATCTTCCTGTCTTCTTCTGAGCTCTTCAAATTGTTCCAACCTCTGTCCCTTACCCAGTTCCAAAGTTGCTTCCACATTTTCAGGTATCTTTATAGCAATACCCCACTCTCAGTACCAGTTTTTTTTTTTTTTTTTTTTTTTTTTTTGAGACAGGGTCTCACTCTGTCACCCAGGCTGAAGTGCAGTGGCATGATCTTGGCTCACTGCAACCTCTGCCTCCTGGGTTCAAGTGATTCTCCCACCTCAGCCTCCTGAGTAGCTGGGAGCTGGGACTACAGGTGCATGCCACCATGCCCAGCTAATTTTTGTATTTTTTGGTAGAGACGGGGTTTCACTATGTTGGCCAGGCTTGTCTCGAATTCCTGCCTTTAAGTGATTCACATGCCTCTGCCTCCCAAAGTGCTGGCATTACAGGCATGATCCACCACACCTGGCCCAATTTTCTGTATTAGTCTGTTCTCACATTGCTATAAAAACCTACCTGAGACTGGGTAGTTTATAAAGAAAGAAGTTTATTTGACTCACAGATCTGCAGGCTGTGCAGGAGGCATGGCTGGAGAGGCCTCAGGGAACTTACAATCATGGTGGAAGTTGGAGGGGAAGAAAACACATCTTTACATGGCTGGCAGGAGAGAGAGAGGGGGAAGGGGGAGGTGCTACACACTTTCAAACAGTCAGATCTCATGAGAACTGTATTGTGAGAACGGCAAGGGGGAAGTCCGCCCGCATGATTCAGTCATCTCCCATTAGGCCCCTCCTTCAACACTGGGAATTACAATTTGACATGGGATTTGGGTGGGGACAAAGAGCCAAACGATACAATGTAGGTATATAGAAAGAGATTTATGAGGGACTGGAAGGTCTGGAAGCTGGAGCCCAGGTGGGCCAGTGGTGTAAATCCCAGTCCAAGCCTAAAGTTCCAAGAACTGGAGAGCCAATAGTGTAAGTACCAGTCTGCATCTGAAAGCCAGGGAAACAGAAGCGCTTATGTCCAAGTGCAGGAGAAGATGAATGCACCAGCTCAGACAGAGAGAGATAATTCACCTTCCTTCTGCCTGTTTGTTCTATGCATGGCCTCGGCAGACTGGATGTTACCCACCCTCTTTGGGTGATCTTCTTTGCTCAGTCTACCCATTCAAATGCTAATCTGTTTCAGAAACATCCTCACAAACATGCACAGAAATAATGTTTTACCAGCTACCTGGGCATCCCTTAGTCCAGTCGAGTTGACATAAAATTAACCATCAGAGTGCCCAAGGAGATATGACTTAAATGATGTTAGGAGACCAACCGCTTCCAAATATCTCTCATCTTTCCATGATGCTACCTACCATTGGGGCTTTGCATTTCTTGCTAGAGACCTAAGCTATGCCAAGCACAATCCTGGTGCTGAAAATACAAGTGAAATAAGACCTAGCTCCTGACCTTATGGAACTTCTGGCTTATTTTGGAGCTTGATAGGACTAGTTGGCTGTGAGGTTAAATTATAATAGCTGTAGGATGTCCCCCAGCATTTTGACTTAGGAACTGAGTGGAAGCTCTGAAATACTGATGTTAGTTACTCTCATACATGTTAGGAGGGAGTGTCCCAGCATTTTTCAAAAGCCAGCACCTCTAGGCTCTGGGTCCATCCTCCTCCACCCTCTTGTTTTTCACTCTTGCATCAATTTGCTCCTTTACACTGGACCATTCTCATCAGCATGCAAACATGTCTGTTTTCTGCTATTTTTAATCCCTCTCTTTGACTTCTGACCTTACTGCTGCTGTTTTATAAAAAAGTTATCTCTGTCACTTTTTCCTTGCCTTTCATTCTCTCTCCACCTTACATCAGTCAGGCCAGTGAAATGGCTCTTGAAAAGGTCACTAAGGGTTCCCTTGTTGCCAAATCCAGGGGTTATATTTCTGGCTTCATCTTACTTGATATCTCTAGCATTTTTGACATAACTGGGTATTCCCTCTTTATTCAAATTTATCTTGTTTTTTATGACTCCACTTCACTGGCCACTTTTTCTTAATTTCCTTTCCTGACCCTTCTTTTTCTTCTGAACCTCTAAATTTTAGAGAGCCCCACTGTAACTGCCCAAGAGTTTCACCTTGCCCACTGCCTAGACAGAGCCAATTTATCAAGACGGGAATTGCAATGGAGAAAGAGTAATTCATGCAGAGCCAGCTGTGCAAGAGACTGGAGTTATTTTTATTACTCAAATTAGTCTCCTGAAAACTCAGAGATCAGAGTTTTTAGGATAATTTGGTGGGTAGGGGGCCAGTGAATCGGGAGTGCTGATTGGTTGGCTCGGGGATGAAATCATAGGGAGTCGAAGCTGTTCTCTTATGCTGAGTCAGTTCCTGGGCAGAGGCCACACAACTGGTTGGCAGGTCCAGGTGGGGCCACCTGGTTGTTAGAAATGTGAAAACCTGAAAAGACACCTCAAAAGGGCGATCTTAGGTTCACAATAGTGATGTTACCTTTAAGAGTAATTGGGAAAGTTGCGAATCTTATGACCTCTGGAATAATGGCTCGTAATATTTAGAATTCCAGCTCTTCTCATTCTGACTTGGTGGCTGGTGGCCTTTCATTCATTCTGCAAGAACAGTTTAGCTTTGGGGAAGGGCTATTATTTAAACTATAAGCTAAATTCCTCCCCAAGGCTAGTTTGACCTATGACCAGGAATGGATAAGGACAATTTAGAGGTTAGAGGCAAGATGGAGTTGGTTAGGTCTGATGTCTTTCACTGTTAGGTCTGATGTCTTTCACTGTCATAATTTCCTCAATTATAATTTTGCAAAGGCAGTTTCACTGCCCCAGGCCCTCTACTCCTCTCTGCCCTCTTAATCTGAGTGAGCCTCTCTGCTTCCATGGCTTCAAATACTGCTGATGACTCCTAAATTTAGTTACCCTCTGAGCTCCAGATTTATAATTAAATTGCTTATTTGACATCTCTATTTAACACTTGGCATGACAGAAACAAAAATATTGATTTCTGTGAATAGTTAATTATCCACAAAACTGTGCATAGTTATCCTCCTGTGGATAAATAGTTAGCAAAACTCTTCCCTTCTGCATAAGAATCTGACTTTCAAGCTTTTTAGCTACGTTCTCCTAATAACCTGAAGATGGTAAGAATGTCAACTCTGTTACTAGGCAATGTCACTTAGAGTGAAAATGACCCCTGGTAGGTAATCTAAACCTGGAGTGGGAGGAAGTATAAATGAACCGTAAATGCCTCCTGTGAGAGCACGCTTTGGAGCTTCTCTGTGTGTGGCAGTTCTTGTAATTGTCATGGCTCCTGTAGGCAATGAAGCTATTAAGCTAGGGAAGCCCCTGCACCTGACTGATATAGATGCAGAAAATCATAATGTGGTTCTGGCATGGAGAGCTTTTTCAGCTTTTCTCTGTTGAAAATCTCCATCATTCTTACCTTTATCACTGAGAATCCAGAATCCTTCTGGATCTATATACTGCAATTTTCTTCACGTTTTTGCTTTCCCTATTGTTGGACATTTAGGTTTTTTCAATTTCTGCTATTATAGATAATGCTGCAGTGAAGAGCCTCATACATACAGATTTGCCCTCCTTTTGAATTATCTCCTCATTCTAAATTACAATGAATAAAATTACTGGGTGTGAATAATTTTATGATTTTCAATATATACTGCCATGTTCCTGTTTTATATCCAGTGCCAGAAAGTATGTACACATTAATTTTACTGAAAAATCTGTTGCACTAGTGTTATTATTACACATTCCTTGCCAAGTTAATAGATATAAAAACATACATTATTGTTTAATGTAAATTTTGTTGCACCCTCAACCCGTGTTTGCTATCTACATTTTTTCTGTTTATATCTTTGCTGATTTAGCTATGAGAGCATTTATGATATTTATAATATATTAGAATACATTTTATATGTTATACATAATAGTCCATTTCTCTAACATTTAAGACAAATGCTTCTGCTGTTTTCATTTTCATTATGGTTAGTTTATTCTTGTACACAAGCTATTATTGATCTTTTCCTTCATGAATTCTTTCAAAGTTTCAAAGTTCAGGCATTATCATCTAAATAAATGTATAAAAACTCTTGGTTCTATTCTGTGAAATTTATTCACATTAAATTATTTAACAAATTCTTAATTTTAAATGTACATTTTTGGATGTAACTTGATTTTTCCCCAAACTGGTAATCCAGTGGTAGCTTCAGAGTCTGTATGTTGGGGACTTGTGGAGCAACCTTGCTAAAAGCGCGGGCAGATTCCTGGTCTTGCAACTGCACTTGTACAGCATGCATGTTGTTTTAATTTAGACCTCATGCTATTTGGTAGCTTGTGATAATAGTAAGAATGATGGAGATTTTGAACAGAGAAAAGCTAAGAAGCTCTCCAAGCCAGAACCACATTATAATTTTCATGACTCATAGGAACTTTTGCTTTTATGAGTGCCTTTCTTCATGAAAATATTAAAAATTATATTTTACAACTGCTTTGTTATTATACTCCAGGATGGATTATCATATGTTCATTATTACTATTGTATTATTTTTTCTTATTTTAAAAGATCTTAAAATGAAAACATTTTTGTGGTCACTAAACTGCCTTTTGTGCCTAGTGGATAAGTTAACCCTGCCCCAAATTACCCCTTAGCACTAATTAACTCTCTTTATCTAAAGTATTGGGCCTGCTTCTTGCCTTTTTATTCTGTTCTTCTGATACGCATTTGTCTTATATAAGAACCACAGTATTTAACTATTATTATTTTTAATATGTTCTAATAGTTTTTAGAGCTGACCTATATCCCCAGATTTCTTCTTTTTAAGTTTCTTGACCACCTGTTTTTCCAAGTGAATTTTAGAATTGCTCTATTTTAATAGAGTCCTCTTGAATTTGCATTGTATTTGTAAGTTATCTCATTGAGAGATGACATCTTTATAAAGTTACAACAGTTTGCTATTTTGCTCTATAAACAAAATACCATTACCATGCTAGAGAGAGAGTTTAATAGGAATTGAGACAGAGGCCAGAAATTGGGTAAAGAAGAACCTGTACTTTTTTAGGGTGAGTGACCAACTAGGGGTGCTCAGTGAGGCTGGGACAAAAGCTCCCATGAACCAAGATAGCCCCAGAAGTAGGTCTCAAGCCAGCCCTATAGGACAAGTGCTTAGTTTATTCTTCAGATGAGGGGAAAGGGGATGCCCATGGGGTGAGACTAAAGACCATTCTTTTGGCCAAACCCACCTGCTCCCAATCTGGCATTCTAAAGAGGCTATAGTTTGATAATATGAATATTAGGATTATACACAAGTTTAAACAAGACATTTTGTTTTTCCATGCACATATCCTTGAGGCCAATGAGTAGTGGTAGGAATAGAAGAGATGAGAAGGTGGAGGCTGACCAATATGGCAGCATATTTAATCATCACTTATAACCATCTTGCTCCTCTCCCTTTTTTCTTTCATGAGAAACATTTTATTTATAGTTATAACTTTATATTTTTTAAATATGAAAGACAATCATTTAAGGACAGACTTGCAAAATTCAGAGGCCTTCCTCCCTAAGTCCAAGTCTTTAGTGTTGAAAGTGAAAAATCATGATACTTCAAGTGAATGACTTACAGGTATTGTCTGCTATGAATAGACATAACTCTAATATAAAGGCCGTTAGAGGAAATTGAGTAACTTTAATGTAGAGAGAATTTGGATTTATATTATATTTTATAAGTCACATGCTGAGGTTATACTTGGCAAGCTATTTCCTTTTATGAATCATGAATAGGACCTAGGCTGGGAAGATTTTTGTGCCTCCAAGAAAAAGATGAAAGGTGTGATCTGAAAACTTAAACTTTCAAAATTTCAAAGGCAATGTTTTATTTCAATTTTAATGTTATGGGGCACATTAGAGCAACTTACTGGAAAATCTCTCTGTGGGTCTATGCTTGCCTACTCATCATGCCCAGAAGTATACAGTTATCTTTATACTCAAAGAAGCACCCCCTCACTCCAAATAAATCAAATAATGACCTATATGTGTACCAGGGATATACATTAGTTTCCAACACTGATCAATGTTGTTCAGTATCTCTCTAAACAAAATCTCATCCTATATTTGAGATGTGTGAGTAGATTTTTAAAAGGGGACAAGCTGAATAAACAGAAAAAAATTCTCATGATGAAATAGGGAATTTAGCTTAAAGTTATGAACTGATCACATTCTTAAACATCAAATAGAAGTAAAAGTAAATTAATTTTAGAAAATATAAACTCAGGCTAATAAAAACTCCCAGTTATTAAGTACCAATGAATGTGAACTAAAATTTAAAAATCACAAAAATATACATGAAACAAGTCATCATACGCAAGTGTCATCAGAAATAAGAAACTAAAGAATCAGACCCACAAATAATGCAGATATAGGACTTACTGGTTTCAAAATAAGTTTGTCTAATATTTTTGAGTAAATTAAAAGTGACGTTACAAGTTGAATTAATCAGTTAGGGCTGCCATAACAAAATACCACAGATGGGGTGGCTTAAACAATGGAAATCTAGTTTCTCACAGTTCTAGAGGCTGGGAAGTTCAAGGCCAAGGTGGCAGCTGTTTTGGTTCTTGATGAGGGCTCTCTTCCTGACTTGCAGATGGCTGCCTTCTCACTGTGTCCTCATATGGAGAAGAGAAGGAGCTCTTGTGTCTTTTCCTCTTCTTATGAGGGCATTAGGCCTCTTAGATTAGGGCTCCGCCCTATGACTTCATTTAACTTTTCTCATCTCCTTACAGACCTTATATCCAAATACAATTATATTGAGGGCTTAGAGCTTCAACATGTGAATTTTGGGGGACATAAACAATTAGTTTATAACACAACTATAACTAAAAATAAAGTGTCTATAAAAAATCTAAGATTGATTGGAAAAACAAACCAAATAAAATTTTTAGAAGCCAAAAACAACTAAAAATTTAAAAATCAATAGGTAGGTTAAGTAGAATATTAAAGCTAAGGAGAGAATTAATGATTTGGAAGACAGATTTAAAGAAATTCCTTTGATCCAGTTGTGCAACAAGAAAATAGAGGCCAGGTGCAGTGGCTCATGCCTGTAATCCCAGTACTTTGAGATGCCAAGACAAGCAGATCACCTGAGGTCAGGAGTTTAAGACCAGCCTGGCCAACACAGTGAAACCCTATCTCTACTAAAAATACAAAAAATTAGCATAGCATGATGGCGCATGTCTGTAATCTCAGCTACTCAGGAGGCCAAGGCACGAATATCACTTGAACCCAGGAGGTGGAGATTGCAGTGAGCTGAGATCATGCCACTGCGCTCCATCCTGGGTGACAGAGTGAGACTCTGTCTCAAAAAAAAAAAAAAAAAAAAAAAAACAGAGAGAGAGAATAGAAAATATGATATAAAAGTTTAAAACCTTGGTGGATGGTGTGAAGTCTAATGTCAACAAATCAAGTACCAGAAGGAGAGGATACAGAGAATGGATGAGAGGAAATAATGGAAAGGTAATGGATGTGAGTTTTCCAGAAATGACAGAAGTTTATGACTTTTAAAATTCAACAAGCTCTACAAATCTCAAAGATAATTAATAAAAAGAAATTTATACTTAGACACAAATATATGAAATGACAGCGATGTCTAAATGACAAAGGAAAGACCTTAAAAGTAACTAGGACAAAAATACAGGTCATCTGCAAATAAATACCAATTAAACTAATAACTGATTTCTCAACAGCAACAGTGAAAGCCAGAAGATTGTAGAATAACATCTTTAAAGTACTGAAAGAAAATAAAATATCATCCCACCTATGTGTGTGTGTGTGTTCAGAAAAAAGGGGCAAAATAAAAATATTTCAAAGAAACGAAAAGAAATTAAGACTATTTACCATAAATAGAACCTCTATAAAGAATATTCTAAATCAGAGTTTTTCTGTCTTTTCCTTTTTACTGACAGTATTGAAATGATCCTATATGCTTGTGTATTCAATATGACAATGTTCTAGAAGTGATAATTATTAGATCAACAGATATGCCTCTGCATTTCAAATTTTGGCAGATACTACTAAGCTTTTCTTAAAAACAATAGCACTAGAGCTCATCAATCTTTTAACTTCTTTTCAGACTCAGGCTACACCAAGTGCTGGACTCAGTCAGGACCATATATGTATATATTCCACGTGCCCATTCAGATGTGATGAAACTCTTTTGCGACTGCTTGTCCTGATGCTTTTGTCTTTTGCATTGACTTTAGGTAATGGAGACCCCTAAGTCCCCTACTCCCATCCTTCTCTCCACTGCTCCTCAGTGGGAGTCTTCATTACAGCAGCCCCTATCACCCACTCACATTCATGGCCATGAGCAAAACTTCCATAACTTGTGATGATAATAGAGGTAATTAGTTGCAAACCAGGCCACATAGGGATTCTAAGTTATTGTGTTCCTCAGATATACATTTCTGTCTTATATAAGAACCCTCCTCAGGCAGCTTTTTCTGATTCTTCTTCTGAGAAGCTCTGAGATCAGCCCAATATCTTACTTACTTTGGTCAGGTCAAGAAGGGAGACAGTGTGGCCCTGTGTTCACAGTCAATCAATCAATAAACATATCTTAAGCTTCTGTTGTATAACACACTAGAAAGAGACACACAAATGCATAATTAAAATAAAATGTAGTAACTCTTAACATGAATTCAAACAAAATACTACATCTGATTCTGCATGACCTTGGACAATCATGCTCCTTATCCGGACCTCTAATTTCCCAAGACCTCCAATGGCCCCATTCCAGTAATATACCCGTAAATATTCAGTTGTTAACATTCTGAAAAAACACGTCTATAAGTTTGTTATAAATTTTACTGACATAAAAGGTGTGTAGCACACAATTTACAATGACAAAATGTGCTATAATATTTATTGCAAATTATGTAGCCAGTTGGTCCTTACAGAATGCTTTATTGATTTTTGCTGAACTCTTGTATCATAGACAACCTATGCTTGTAACTGATGACGGAGTATAGCTCTGGCCTGAGCGTTGGTCAGTATTTTTGTTTTCATATGTAAGACAAAAAGGAAACAATAAATACATATGTTGGAACTTCACTCATTCATCAGTAACATGACTAGCTTCTTTGTGAAACTGGATAATAGTGATAAAATACTGAAAGGCTGTTTCCTCAATTTTCTGTTAGTCACAATGTACCAGCTATAGACATGACACACTTGTAAGCTTAATTGCCATTTAAAAAATTTTCTCTATTATTTCTTGAGTCTAAGCAATCAAGAAAACAGTAAATCAAGCTCTGATTCGTAGTATTTGTAATTTCTGGGATGTAAGTATTCCTACCATGATCAAATTCAAGCTACCACATATGCATCACTGAATGAAAGTTGGGAAGAGATGTGACTAGCACACCATTATATAATGTTTCTACCATACATACACAATAGGTGTAAATAACCTTAACAGCACAGATAAAAGTGACATGTAGTACAATAAATAGGAAGTGACAAGTTTCGCATATTTATTACCTTCTTTTTACATTTAATTCAATTATAAGTTTATATAATTTAATTTTATTAATGGCTCAATGGTGTTTAGTAAAATGGCTCAGCATTTCTAAAAATTTAACAATCAGCTCTCAAAAGCCAGTGTGAGCCAGTTCCATAACGCCACTGCCTACTGCTCTTAAGATAATGTTCTATAATCCAGTAACCTCCAGAAGCTTCTGGAAGAGCATTTCATAACCAGATAGCATGACAGCTGGCACCAAAATTTTTCTTTTTGGCTATCCCTGCCCAGAAGGTAATTATTTATAAATGACAGGATCTGGAGGGGTGTGACTAGGTTTAGTTTGTTACTTAGCCCACAAATTCATGGGATAAAGCACAGTCTTGAAGGAAAGCAAAACGAAAATAAAAGCATCATTTTTGAACATAGTGAAAGGAATGCGATTCTCCATTCACTCCCCCACCCTCTGCTGCCCTCATGCATTTATTTATACACAAACACTAACTTTTGTTTATAGCTCTCAAAGCTCACCTTCGGCCCATGGTAATAATCAGCCCCTTCAGTCAATGCCTTCAACTTTTTGCTGGCTAGAGAAGCAAAGTTACTCTCTAGTGGTCTTTCCTACCAGGCCTACCACTCCTACCCGAAGTGATGAGTCAGTGAGAGAACTAGAACAAGAACTCAGATCTTATGCTCTTTGCCCCATGTTAAGTTGTGTACATATACACATACATGCATGTACATAAACATGCACAGCCATGCACATATATACACTCACTCATACTCACAGAAGCTTGTCTGTCATCTGGCTTCCAGAAGCTTTGTTTCTCCTTCACAGTTGAGCTGTGGGCCCAACCAAGGCCACTAAGTGGAGATGAAGTTCCTTCATCTGTAACTGTGGCTCTGCAGGTGCCTGGAAGACTTGTGAGTGGGGAAATTCTGTCTCAGGCTGAGGCCTCAGCTCTATGCCTCCCCACTTTGAGGTTGAGAAATATCCAAAGCTTAGACTTCCACTGCCCTTTGTCCTTCTAGTTTCTCAGGGGAGGGTTTCTCAGCTCTAGGGGATAGGGAGAAGAAGGATCTATAAGGGACCTGGGGAGACTTCCACCTCCCCTGGAAAGTGAGGGAATCACTGAAAAACAAACCCCTTAAAGAATGAGAGAAAGACAGAGATAATTCTCATTCGTAACAACTAAGTTTCCAATATAATCCCAGGTTTTGAATGGTTTTCTCTTGAAAGCTCCCTGAGGAAAGAAACCTTGCAATTCCTCTAAGCAGCTTGTTCTTTCTTTGTCTGACCTCATTCTTTTCAGCTTCAGAGTCAGCTCTGCTATCTCTTGATGGACCTTTTGGGGGTCCTGTGATGGCACCCTCTGTTTTGATATACCTCCAAGATTAGGACAGCATCATCTTTTCCATTGGCACCTGCACAGAGAACGTTATCAAAGTGACAGGGCAGTATAAAAATAGCTGATGACCAGAGAGAACCCAGACCTGTGATGGAGATAACAGATCAGAAGGTCATGATGATAGTAGCTGACATGCCCAAAAATATGACAGGTGGGCAAATATCCAGATACCACAAGTTTTATTCCATATCCTGCCACCATCCCTACAGAATATGAGCTAGAGGGGAGCTTGACGATCATATGGTTCCAATTTCTCCATTTTATAGAAAAGAATGCTGAGACCTAGTGAGGACTGGCCTAGCTAAGGCCACACAGGGAGGCCAAAGCAGAGAAAAGGAATAAAAAGTCAGGGTCCTGGGCTCCTGACTCTCACCCTAGGCCCATTTTCTTTTCCCTATATTATACTGCTACATATTCTGGTGGCATTGTCTGCTTGAGAACCAATGGTTGCTCAGCTTAGGGAAGAAAGGCCATCCTTGCTCAGGCATAAACAGTGTGGGCTGTGGCTGGTCACATCTGCCTATCCAACCTCTTCAGTCCCACCTCCTGGGGACCTCAGAAATCTGAGCAAAGACTGGGTGTCCTAGCCAAGATGAGAACACCTGTGACCAAGTTCTACTTCCAAAGGCAACATGGTCTCAGCAGAGACACAGGAAGAGGCCAATTGCTGCAGTCTGGTTTTGGTGCCTTATTGAGTTAGTGACTCAGCAGCTAGCACCAGTCTCTTTGATTGGCTAGCGTGTCTGGGGACGGTAGTACCCAGATTTCAGCTAAAGTGATTCTCAGGAGTTTGCTCTTGGCAAGCATGCCAGCATTTCTCCAAAAGGAAACTTCTCATTCTGGTTCCAGAATTGACTTTGGGGGATCCCAGGACCTCATGTTTCCTCTCTAGGGAATTAACATCTGCCTGCTGGTTTGGCCCTCTAAGATGCTTCTTGATTTTGATTTTTTTTTCTGGACCTTCACTCAGTATATTGGCCTAAG
This sequence comes from Homo sapiens, assembly GCF_000001405.40. Classification (NCBI taxonomy): domain Eukaryota; kingdom Metazoa; phylum Chordata; class Mammalia; order Primates; family Hominidae; genus Homo; species Homo sapiens. The sequence goes on from NC_000011.10 coordinate 14,951,607, forward strand.
ACCCTTTTTCTGTCCCCTGACACTTTTTTCTCTCTTTCCAAGCTCAGTGTACAATTCCCTAAGTTTTCCTCACTGTACAGTCTCAAACAGGCCCACTTAAGTTGGCTTGTATAAGGGATATGTGCATTTTTTTAAATGTAAAACACAGCTATTAAGTTATTAGCATCCGCAAGTGCTGAGTACTGTGTTAGGTACCCTGGAGACCACAAGAAGAAAAACCAACAATCCCTGCCTTTGAAATACCTAGAATATATAAGGGGAGACAGAGAGGCTAACCAATTATAATATCATGTATTCAGGGCTGTAATCAAAGTGATCTATAATCAAAGTGCTGTAAACCTGGTTACTCAAAGTTTGGTCTTCAAACTGGTAGCATTGGCATCATGGGGAACTTTGTAGGAGTTGCAATCTCTGGCCTCAGCCCAAACCTACTGATTAGGATCAGCATTTTAACATAATTTGTACATGAATCACCTGGGGGTGCTAATGCTGCTGGTGCCTGGGTCCCACTTTGAGAAATGAGGTTGTAGAGCACAAAGGAAGGGACAGTTCTGCCTAGCTGAGGGAAGGGCTAAGGGTGACATTGAAAGAACCATAGAAGATGTGACATATACACTGGGGAAGGAAGGATGGATAAGAGTTTTCTGAGAAAACGCAGGGAGAAGACAAGTGGATGGGCAGTCCAGGCAGAGGAAATAACACAAATAAAGGCACAGGAGCATGAAAAGTGTATCTGGGGAATGATAAGTTGTAGTCATATTGGACAAATAGATGAAGATGAAATTGAAAATATAGGCTGGGACCATATTGTGAAAAATCTTTTGTGCTATGTCAAAGGCTGTAAGCAACAGGAATTCAAGAAGTTCTTTGAGTAGAGGAGAAGCAAGATTATATCCCTCTCACTTAAATGAAGAGGGCAGACTAAATGAGAGAAAGTCAAACAACATCAAGAAGTCTGGAGGAGTTTATTGCAATAATCTAGGCATGAAATGAATAAGGGTTAGTACAATGAAATGGCTGTGGAATGGATGTTATTTTAAGCTGCTATTATTTGTGGTAATTTTTTATGCAGCAACAGATAACTAACATAGATTTCAGTACTTGGAAGTGGGGTGATGCTGTAACAAATACCTAAAAATATAGAAGCAGTTGCGTAACCAGAGATTAGGCAGTAGCTGGAAGAATTTTGAAAAGCATGTATGAGAAAGTTTAAATTACCTTGAACAGATTTTTAGTAAAAATCTGAATGTTAAGGGCACAGCTGGGGATTAGCATGGAAGGTTTAGGTAAAGGAAATGGATGAGGCTGAATTATTTGATCACTTTTGGGAATCAGATGAGCTCAGCACCACCTGAGCTGAAGCCACACTTGTCCTATCCAAACTCCTCAGTCCCACTCTCCTGAGGACCTCAGAAATCTGAGTAAAGACTGGGTTACAAAAGATAAGTCCATTTTTTTTTTTTAACAAAAATACTGATAGGTAGGCCCTACCCCAATAGTCTAATTTTAGTCTCATCTGTTTCTACTTTATCTTTCACTCTCTGTGCTCTGACTTTAGTATATTCCGTTTCTTAAACATGATTTGCAGCTATGTGTGGTAATTATTTAACAACTGATGACTCTCTGGAAAGAAAAGGGCTGATTTGTAGCATTTGCTCATTTCCATTGTGTAAATACTCCCAAAATCACTGATTTCAAGCTACCAATAAGATATCACTGAACACAGAGTTGGGAAGAGATGTTAACAATTGGCTTCCATGAGCTGATATGAGCAAACTCCGTCATGCCATTGATACTATGACTGTGTTCCTGGTTGCTAGGTCTGCATGCTCTGCACTTTCCCCCAAGACCCTTCTCTTTGGCCACTTCCCTTCAATGTTCAGATTTCCAATTAAAGATTATTTCCTAATGTGACCTTGGAGTTCATACAAATGGTTAAAGTCCTAAGTTCTAAGTGGAAACAAAGAACAGAATTCTGAGTAACTAGGACTCATGAAGGGAGAACATGAGCAGTTATGTAGGCCACAGATTGGGGATTAGCATGGAAGGTTTAGGTAAAGGAAATGGATGAGGCTGAATTATTTGATCACTCTTGGGAATCAGATGAGCTCAGCACCACCTGAGCTGAAGCCACAACTGTCCTACAGGCAAGCTCAGCAATCTTTAACAGCTCCCAGATCTGGTGTGTGTAACATTGCCTTCTGGTTTCTGTAGGATTCTATGGAGTTGCCTTTGCATTCCTGAGTCTTACCCTGGGCCCAGCCTTCAAGAGACCAAAGGACAAAAAACCTGAGTAATCCTGCCCTGACTTGGTATTATTGCACCTAGTTTTGAAATCCTCAGCCCTGGCAGCTGCATATTTTACCATCTCCAGAAACCCAGTCATTGGTGATCAAGGAGGCAGCTCTCTAGCAAAGCTGGCCTTCCTCATGAAGCTCTGAGAGGGATCTGGCTATCTCACAGGAACTGTGTGACATCCAACTGTGACCTTACAAGCTTGTTTCTTATCAAGTTTTAAAGCTCCCCATCCATCATAGGACTTTCAATAACTTCCTGTTTCTGGATAGAGGGACCAGTAGTTCTCATCTGCAGAGGGGAGAAAATGGACATGACTTCCATTCAATAACTGATCAGCTCATTCAGGCCCTTGTTACCTCTTACTTCCTCAGTTGCTTTATTCACCTGGCAGAATCCTGTGCATTTTTAGATACTCAATAGGATAGTATTTTCCCAGGAAATCTTTTCTATCTGGGTCAGGTTGGACCACAACTTCTTGTGCCTACTGCAAGGATAGCATTTATCACATTGGGTTCTAATTGCCTCCTTTTTTCATGCCACAATACTTCTTGAGCACTTATACTTGATACTATATTAAGTGTTTTGATAGAGAGCAACAGGAATGCAGTCCTTGTGTGAATGTCTGAGAATAGATGTTAATCAAATAATTGAACTAATAAATGCATAAACTAAAACTGAAATGGTAAGCTGAAAGGGAAGCACTTCTGCCATTTGAAATCAAATATGAAAGAAATAAAACCTAGACTGAGGGGTTGTAATCTGGGAAGACTTCTCTAAGGAAGTAATACTTAACTGAGATCTGAAAGATAAGAGATACCTGGGAATAGAGAAGATAAGATGACTTCAGGGCAGAGAAATGCCACATTGAAAGGCCCTGTGGCAGCAAGAACAGGCTGAATGTGACTCACTAAAAGAATGCCAGAGTAACTGGACTTCAGAGTGGGAGGAAGAGCATGGTGAGAATGAAGGTGGAGCAGTAGTCAGGTGTCATATTATACACAGCTTTGTAGACTATCTTAAAGGTTTTATACAAAGCCTGGCACATTGTTGGTTACTTTTATGAAGGCAAGGAAGCATTCCTACAAATGTCCAAGACCTACAGATAAGCCAAGCTCTCCAGGAAGCCTCTAAAGCAACCCTGTTTGTGGAAATAATTTATCTTATCATTGTCCTGGCAAGTCTGAATAGGAGAGATGAGGCCCAAATTTATAGTGCTTGGCTCAGGGCCCTACCAGAGACAAGGGAAAGTTGTTTGTTCATGCTACTCATCACTTACATGCAGCAGTGGCTATAGGAATATCCAGAAAACGTTTTGCCAAGAGAAGAGCTATCTGAGGATCCAAATAATTAAAGAGACTTATCCCTCAGCATCAGACAAATTCTTTATAATAGATAACCATCTAGGATGGATTTAGCTAATGAGATGGCTCATACAAACCTCAGTGCAGCTAGGGACTTCATAGTGGAAAAAAAAAGTGATTTCCTTTAAATTTCTGGCAATTAATACCAAATCCTTGCTTGAGATGTCTGGTCTCAGTCACAGCCAATTCTCCATGAAGGGTCTGCCCAAGAGTGAATCTCTTGGGAATCAAATGGAGCTAGAGAGCAGAGAAAGTGAATTCTGCTCATGATTAGAGGACTTTTCTAAGAGTCAGAGTAATCCAAAGTTAGAATGAGATAACAGGAGATGGTTACCTCAAGATTTCAAAAATAAGCCAGAAGACCATGTGGGAGATAGAGAGAACATTCAACCATGTGCTTGGTATACATGGCCTTAAGGGTTTCTTTCCCACCATGAGAATCTCAGAGGCAGAAAGGATGACATGAAATAGTAGATGCAGAACAGAGAGAAATGAGACCTCATAGAGGGAAGGAAAGTGCTGGTAAAATGCACTCAATGACGTTGAAGAACAGAAGAACTTAATTTTGTTTGAAGTGGAAGCAGCTTATGCTATTGCACCTAATCTGATCTGGGCCTGGGAACCAGGGGAATGAGATCTGATGATGAAGCCTCCTTTCTGGGAACTGTGGCCTTCAATGTGATCTCAGGTCAGCACCTCCAGTCAACTCCAAAGGCTGTGCTTTCCAGATTTCAGGGGTTGAGCTGGAGTTATCACAGTTTGATAGGTATTCGATATCTATTACTATGTAGCAAGTTACCTCAAAATTTGGCAGTTCACAACTACAAATACTTATCATCTCACAGTTTCTGAGAACCAGGAATCTGGAAGAGGCTCAGCTAGGTGGTTCTGGCTCAGGGTTTCTCATGAGGATGCAGTCAAACTTTCAACTGGGGCTGTGGTGATCTCAAGGCTCAACTGGGCCTGAATTATCCACTTCTGAGCTCACACACTTGGTTATTAGCAGGCTGTCATTTCTCACTGGCCACTGGCCAGAGATCTCCATCCCATTGCACACGGGCCTCTCCACAGCCTACTTGAGTAGCCTCTTGACATGGCATCTGGCTTCTTACAGAAGAAGTTACCCAAGAGGTAGAGAAAAGTGAGCAAGTGGGTGAAGCAGTGCCCAAAGAGGAAGCGGAGTTTGTATGTAGAATATACATAGAGTTCCTACAACTCAATAGTAATAAGAAAAGCTGTCCAATTAAAAGTGGGCAAAATATTTAAACAGAAACTTTACAAAAGAAGATAAACAAATGGCCATAAGAAGATATTCAACTATTAGTAGTCATTAGGGAAATTTTTTTTTCTTTGAGGTAGGGTCTCATTTTGTCACCCAGATAGGAGTGCAGTGGTGTGATCATGGCTCACAGCAGCCTCAACCTCCCCAGGCTCAAGCAATCCTCCCACCTCAGCCTCTCGAGTAGCTGGGACTACGGGCAAATGCCACCGTGCTTGACTAATTTTTATAAAAAAATTTTCGTGGAGACCGGGTCTCACTATATTGCCCAGGCTAGTCTCAAACTCCTGGGTTTAAGCGATCCATCTGCCTCAGCCACCCAAAGTGTTGGGATTACAGGCATGAGCCACCATGCTCATCTGGGAAATAAAAATTAAAACCCACAATCAGATACTGCTACAGAATCATAAGAGTGGCTAAAATTAAAAAGACTTGAAAACGCCAAGCATTTGCAAGGGTGTGTGGAGCAAGTTAAATGATCACACAGTTCTGCTGGGAGTGTAAAATGGCATAGCCATTTGAAAACAGTTTAGTTATATGCATATTTACCATACTACTTCTAGGTATTTATCCAAGAGAACTTAACTGTTCACAGAAATACTAGTACATAAATGGTCATAAGAGTATCATTCATAATAAAACCTAGGAACATTTTAAGTATTCATCCAACAATGAAATACTACTTAACCCTCTTCCTCCCCCAAATCCTTGAGAATTGGTACCTGATTAATCCCCCAAGTAATTATATAATGATACATGCAACAATATAAATAAGTTTCATGAACATTATGTGAGTGAAAGGAGCTAGATATAAAAGAATACATTCTATCTATCTATCTGTCTATCATCTACCTATCTAATCTATCTTTCTATCTATCTGTATAAAAGTTACTCCACAGTAATGGAAATCAGGTCAGTGATTTCATAGAACAGGGGTTTAGGAGACATTGACTTCAAAGTAGCATGAGGAATATTCTTGAACAATGGAAATATTTGATACTTTTCTTGTGGTGATAGTTACATGGGTTAGATGGTAAACATTTGCAAAACTCATTGAAATATAATTTAAAATATAATTTTATATATTACGTATTATATAGCCCAAATCCTAAATATAACAAAGGTAGTACAAAATCCTAAATAAATCACAAATTAAATTCAGTAGTATATTTTAACATATCCTTGACCAAGTAGAGTTTATCAAGAAGTATAGTGATTTAAGAGAGAAAACTCTAGATAGACAGCCTGGGATTAGGTTTACATCTTGAGATGAATCTAAAAACTGTATGGCTTTCATCAATCTATTTAATCTCTGTGTATCTTAGTATCTTCATCCACAAAATAGGGCTTATGGTAGTGTGTACCTTATGCAGTTGTTGTAAAGATTAAAAGAGTTAATATCTAAAAAGTACTTATTGTGGTGCTTAGCATGTAGTCAGAATTTGAAAATCTCAACTGCAATGATTAGTTCTACATTTGAAAATATATTATTAATATTACTAAATTGAAGGAAGAAAGCCATAAGATAATCTTGTTAGATACCAAAAGGTGTTTTGATAAAATTTAATATCCATTTATGATTTAAAAACATTTCTTAGTACTTTCTTAAGTGATAAAAAATCTCCCTCTGAATTCAACAGCCTTCATCTTCAAGGATGCCTGCTATTACAATTTCTACTTCAACATTGTTCAAGAAGCTCTAGTTGATGCAGGATGAGCAAAAATATGAAATAAGATTTATTGTTTTTCATAGATAATACAATTATCTACCAGAGAAACCCAATCCCATTCAAAATACAAATAGTATTTTTTAAAAATTGAAAATTATTCTAACTTCTGGAAGAGTAAATGTGTGAAAATTGTCAAGAGCGTTTTGAAAAAGATGAGTATGGGGGTGTTTTTCCTTCCCTAGCTATTAAGCTGTGATACTGGTGCACAGATATATCAATGCAAGAGAAAAACAAGAAGGCCAGAAGATGATCAGTATATGATACGTTTGATATTTCAAATAAATTGAGGACATTTTGGTTTATTTAATAAATAATATTAAGACAGAAGACATAATCTGATAATTAATAAAATCTTTCACTTCTTTGTGAGTGTAACCACTGTATGATTTCTGAGATCTGCCATATTGTTGGGGAGTATTTGCCAAGCCAACTTGGAACCACGCATTAGGGGGGTGATTCTAGAATCCTTTTGCTTTTTGAGAAGGGTGCATTAATTCTCTATCAATAATTTTTCAGTAATTACTTTACATAATTTGAGGCTGTATTGTTGAGTGCGTGTTTTCATGATAAATTTATCTTCTTGCTCTATTGTTCTTTTTCTATATGGCATATTTCTTATTCCATAAACCATTTTTTGCCTTGAATTCTATTTTGACCATATATTAAGAAGTTGTCACAACTTGTTGTTTATATTTGTCTTACATATCTTTCGTTACATTTTGAATTTTAATCCATTTGAATCTTTTTGTTCTAAAAGTTTCCTTTGTGCAATAAACATTGCTGAATCCTTTAAAAATGCAACCTGATAGCCTTGGTGTTTAAATTGTTGACTTGAACTAATTTGAAATTATTTTAAAGCCATCTAAGTATTTATTATTGCCATCATTTTTCACATGGTGCATCCACTATACATTCTTGGGGTCTTTATTTTTGTGCTTTGCATTGAATAGAATAGATTCTCTTTGGCTAGTTTAAAAGTTATTTAGTATTTAAAATTTTTATGATGGTTGCCTTAACTTAAAAAAGACCCATGCTTGTGTTTATTTATTCCTATTAAACATGAGTTATATATGCTATCCACCTATTCCAACTACCCAGCTTAGAAAATAAAACCTTAGGAAAGAAAAACCTTGATAGAAGCTACCTGTGTATCCCTCTTCATGACATTTCCTTCCCATCCCCACAAAATTAATCACTCTTTTGAATGTGATATTTACAATCCCTATACATGACTTTGTATTTTTACTATATGTGAATATATCTTTAACTTATGTATAGTATTGTTACATATGCTTTAATCTCAAAATAAATGGCATCACCTGATATGCATCCTTTGCAACTTACCTTATTTTACACTTACCATTATGTTTAAAATTTATCCAAAGTTGATACATATATTTATATTCAGTGCTGTGTAATGTATTGTGCATGTCCATTATACAAATGAACCACAATTAATTTATCTAAGGTATACGTTATTCAGTTTCAGCAACAGGAGGCTGCAACAGAGATGAGACAAACATCCTTTAAGATGATTTTGAGAAGACAGAGTGAAAATGATTACCAAAATAAATTACTAAAAAGAAATAACAAACCTGCACGTTGTGCACATGTACCCTAGAACTTAAAGTATAATAAAAAAAGAAATAAGTAAATTTGTCAAGTTGGACGATCATCAAATTTACTTAGAGCTCAACGGGAGGAAAAGCAAGCTGTGGCAGCAAAAATAATTTTATTTTATAAAGTTATAAAATAATTCTAGGGTGGCCTCTCTTTCTGGCTTGTAGATGGCTGCCTTCTCACTTTGTCTTCACCTGGCCTTCCACTCTGTGTGCACATGCATGAAGAGAGAGAGAAGGCTCTCTTGTGTCTCTTTCTCCTCTTATAAGGACACTAGTCCTATCAGATTAGGGCCCTACCCTTATGACCTTTTTAACCTTAATTACATCCTCAAAGGCCCTATCTCCAAATGCCATTAGGTCTTGAGTTAGGTCTTCAACATATAAATTTGGGAGGAGATTGGGGGTTAGGTCTTCAACATATAAATTTGGGAGGACACAACTTAATCCATAACATCCCCAAATACTATGAATCACTGAATTATTGCCACAACACTACATAAAAGCAAACTTAATTTCAGTGGCTTATAATAACAAATACTTGTTTTTCTTGCTTATGGGTTTGTGGCTTGGTTTGGATGAAACTGATCTCAGCTAGTGTTGGTTGGGTATGGATCCAGGCTGTAGGCCAGGTTTAGGTCCACATGTCTTATTTTGGAGTCCAGATTAATAAGGCAAAGACTACTTCTATGATTTGAATATGTCTCTCAAATTTCATGTGTTGGAAACTTAGTCACCAGATTAATTTGTTGATTGGCAGTGGGGCCTTTGAGGGGAAATTAGGATTAGATAAGGTCATCAGTGTGGAGCACACATGATGGGACTGGTGACTTTATAAGAAGAGGAAGAGAGACCTGAGCTGACATACAATCTTGCCCTCTTACCATGTGATGCCCTTCCCCCATATTATAACATAGCAAAATGGCCCTCACCAGATGCTTGCAGGCACCATTCTCTTGACTTCCTAGCCTGTAGAACTATGAAAAATAATTTTTTTCTTTATAAATTACCCAGTCTTTTGTATTTTATAATAGCAATGCAAAATGGACTAAGATAGATATCTAGGGTATGTTCTTTTCATGGTGATGGCAGAAGCACAAAAGCCCAAAAGCCAACCACGTAAACATATTTCAAGCGTCTGCTTGCACCATGTCTACTATAGCCCATTTGCCAAAACAAACCACATGGTCAAGCCCAGAGTCATGAGGCAGAGAAGTCAACTTCTCTCCTTATGGCAACTTCTACCCATGGTGAACCAACCATTATATCATGGCAATAACAAGCGTTTCTAATACTATGATAGTATAGTGAAGAACTGGGAGCAATAATTCAGTCAGCCACAGCATATATACTGAGGATCTGATTGTTTGGGATGAGCATTAACTGGCATTAAAAGACATCCTTTCTCTGTAGTGTCCTAGGGGTTTGTAAGTAGTAAAGACTGATGATGCATCCACATCAAAACTCATTGTTTCTCCATTTTGTGCTTTGATTGCCGTATGCACTTCTTACATCTTTTCTTAGGTTCCTGATCCAGTGAACTCTATGTTTTATTTGAGGATTAAAATTAACCACACTCTTTTACTCTATGAACTCTGGGTCATTTGAGAAATATTCACAAGGTCTTTGTGTGAATTCAATATAGTATTAACTTTATTATTGGTGAAGGTGTCCTGGACCCAAGACTGAAATAATCTTCCTGCTGTTTCTCCTCCTGATTTTGAAGTTACCTGTCCACTCACAGGTATCAAACCTGGAGAGGACCCTCCTGGTTTGCTTTGTTCACTGCATGGGAAGAAGAAGAAAAGCTGGTCAGAATTAATGACATGGAGGAGGAAGATGGGGTTAGAAGTGTGTCCAAATGAAAGAAATAGTCTGTGGAAAAGCAGTGTGTAGAGGGAAATTTATAGCACTAAATGCCCACAAGAGAAAGCAGGAAAGATCCAAAATTGACACCGTAACATCACAATTAAAAGAACTAGAAAAGCAAGAGCAAACACATTCAAAAGCTAGCAGAAGGCAAGAAATAACTAAAATCAGAGCAGAACTGAAGGAAATAGAGACACAAAAACCCTTCAAAAAATTAATGAATCCAGGAGCTGGTTTTTTGAAAGGATCAACAAAATAGATAGACCGCTAGCAAGACTAATAAAGAAAAAAAGAGAGAAGAATCAAATAGACACAATACAAAATGATAAAGGGGATATCACCACCGATCCCACAGAAATACAAACTACCATCAGAGAATACTACAAACACCTCTACGCAAATAAACTAGAAAATCTAGAAGAAATGGATAAATTCCTCGACACATACACTCTCCCAAGACTAAACCAGGAAGAAGTTGAATCTCTGAATAGACCAATAACAGGAGCTGAAATTGTGGCAATAATCAATAGCTTACCAACCAAAGAGTCCAGGACCAGACGGATTCACAGCTGAATTCTACCAGAGGTACAAGGAGGAACTGGTACCATTCCTTCTGAAACTATTCCAATCAATAGAAAAAGAGGGAATCCTCCCTAACTCATTTTATGAGGCCAGCATCATTCTGATACCAAAGCCAGGCAGAAACACAACAAAAAAAGAGAATTTTAGACCAATATCCTTGATGAACATTGATGCAAAAATCCTCAATAAAACACTGGCAAAGTGAATCCAGCAGCACATCAAAAAGCTTATCCACCATGACCAAGTGGGCTTCATCCCTGGGATGCAAGGCTGGTTCAATATATGCAAATCAATAAATGTAATCCAGCATATAAACAGAGCCAAAGACAAAAACCACATGATTATCTCAATAGATGCAGAAAAGGCCTTTGACAAAATTCAACAACCCTTCATGCTAAAAACTCTCAATAAATTAGGTATTGATGGGACGTATTTCAAAATAAAAAGAGCTATCTATGACAGACCCACAGCCAATATCATACTGAATGGGCAAAAACTGGAAGCATTCCCTTTGAAAACTGGCACAAGACAGGGATGCCCTCTCTCACCACTCCTATTCAACATAGTGTTGGAAGTTCTGGCCAGGGCAATTAGGCAGGAGAAGGAAATAAAGGGTATTCAATTAGGAAAACAGGAAGTCAAATTGTCCCTTTTTGCAGACGACATGATTGTATATCTAGAAAACTCCATCGTCTCAGCCCAAAATCTCCTTAAGCTGATAAGCAACTTCAGCAAAGTCTCAGGATACAAAATCAATGTACAAAAATCACAAGCATTCTTATACACCAACAACAAACAGAGAGCCAAATCATGAGTGAACTCCCATTCACAATTGCTTCAAAGAGAATAAAATACCTAGGAATCCAACTGACAAGGGATGTGAAGGACCTCTTCAAGGAGAACTACAAACCACTGCTCAAGGAAATAAAAGAGGATACAAACAAATGGAAGAACATTCCATGCTCATGGGTAGGAAGAATCAATATTGTGAAAATGGCCATACTGCCCAAGGTAATTTACAGATTCAATGCCATCCCCATCAAGCTACCAATGACTTTCTTCACAGAATTGGAAAAAACTACTTTAAAGTTCATGTGGAACCAAAAAAGAGCCCGCATCGCCAAGTCAATCCTAAGCCAAAAGAACAAAGCTGGAGGCATCACACTACCTGACTTCAAACTATACTACAAGGCTACAGTAACCAAAACAGCATGGTACTGGTACCAAAACAGAGATATAGATCAATGGAACAGAACAGAGCCCTCAGAAATAATGCCGCATATCTACAACTATCTGATCTTTGACAAACCTGAGAAAAACAAGCAATGGGGAAAGGATTCCCTATTTAATAAACGGTGCTGGGAAAATTGGCTAGCCACATGTAGAAAGCTGAAACTGGATCCCTTCCTTACACCTTATACAAAAATCAATTCAAGATGGATTAAAGACTTAAATGTTAGACCTAAAACCATAAAAACCCTAGAAGAAAACCTAGGCATTACCATTCAGGACATAGGCATGGGCAAGGACTTCATGTCTAAAACACCAAAGGCAATGGCAACAAAAGCCAAAACTGACAAATGGGATCTAATTAAACTAAAGAGCTTCTGCACAGCAAAAGAAACTACCATTAGAGTGAACAGGCAACCTACAAAATGGGAGAAAATTTTCGCAACCTACTCATCTGACAAAAGGCTAATATCCAGAATCTACAATGAACTCAAACAAATTTACAGGAAAAAAACAAACAACCCCATCAAAAAGTGGGCGAAGGACATGAACAGACACTTCTCGAAAGAAGACATTTATGCAGCCAAAAAACACCTGAAAAAAATGCTCATCATCACTGGCCATCAGAGAAATGCAAATCAAAACCACAATGAGATACCATCTCACACCAGTTAGAATGGCCATCATTAAAAAGTCAGGAAACAACAGGTGCTGGAGAGGATGTGGAGAAATAGGAACACTTTTACACTGTTGGTGGGACTGTAAACTAGTTCAACCATTGTGGAAGTCAGTGTGGTGATTCCTCAGGGATCTAGAACTAGAAATACCATTTGACCCAGCCATCCCATTACTGGGTATATACCCAAAGGACTATAAATCATGCTGCTATAAAGACACATGCACACGTATGTTTATTGCGGCATTATTCACAATAGCAAAGACTTGGAACCGACCCAAATGTCCAACAATGATAGACTGGATGAAGAAAATGTGGCACATATACACCATGGAATACTATGCAGCCATAAAAAAATGATGAGTTCATGTCCTTTGTAGGGACATGGATGAAATTGGAAATCATCATTCTCAGTAAACTATCACAAGAACAAAAAACCAAACACCGCATATTCTCACTCATAGGTGGGAATTGAACAATGAGATCACATGAACACAGGAAGGGGAACATCACACTCTGGGGACTGTTGTGTGGTGGGGGGAGGGGGGAGGGATAGCATTGGGAGATATACCTAATGCTAGATGACAAGTTAGTGGGTGCAGCGCACCAGCATGGCACATGTATACATATGTAACTAACCTGCACAATGTGCACATGTACCCTAAAACTTAAAGTATAATAATAAAGGAAAAAAAAAAGTCTTGAGGCAGGAAACAGAGTTACTGACAAACTGATGGCCACTGCAGTCTTTAGGCTGTTGAACAATTTACTATCCAGATGTGATTGTTAAAGCTTAAGGCCCTTGGAGAATTTGGCATGAAGAAAAATAGGTCCAGAGGGAACCTAAGAGTTGACCACAAAAGTAAAAGAGAAGAAGACTTTACTTCATTCATTTACTCTTTCATTCAACAAACATTTATAGAGTGCTACCTTGTGCCAGGCACACTGTTCAGCATTTTGGGATACAGCAATTAACAAAATAACCATATCCCTGACCATGTGAATCTTATACTTAAGGCTGGGAGGGATACAAATAACAAAATAATATACAAAACATATAGTATACTAGAGGTAATAAATAGTAAGGAGAAAAAAATTAAGCAAAGAAGAGGGCTAGCGTATGTTGTTAGTGGGAGTGGAGTGCAATTTCAGAAAGAATGGTCAGGATAGGTGACATCTGAGAAATAACTGGAGGAGATGAGGGCCGTGGATGGAGGGTGTTCTTCACAGAGTACGAGTGGTGGTTGAGTGCTGGAAGACAGAAGTTGAGGAATAGTAAGAGGGCCAGTGTGCGGGAGAGTAGGAGATGAGGTCAGGCAGGTAATGGGGGTGGTGGTGAGAGGAGAGAAAGGGAAGATCAACTTGGCCTGCAATGCTTCAGGTGTTTGCTCATGAGATGGGGAGTCACTGGGATGTTTTGAGCATAGGAGAGACACGGTGTGATCTATCTTTTACAGTCACAGTGGGTTATTGTGTTGAATACAGACTGAAGGAGAGAAGGGGGCATAATTCTATATGGCCTGAGAAAATAGAGTCAGTGGGTAGAAGGAGCTGACTTTTCTAACCACTAGCTGACTAGTTAGCTAATAACTAACCCTAATTAGCTGACTACCACCAGTGAAACTGGCTGCCAACTCACTTTGGGAGTTACACTCAGCAGCTTGTCACTGGTGGTCCCAAAGGATGCTATGGTTGTTGATGCTGGGTAATTCCTACCTTGAATAAGGAAGGCATCAGACTCTATGACATTCTGGATTCCTTCCAATACTGAGAGTCCTTGATTCTATAGCATGTACCACCTCAATCTCCCCCACTAGAATGTAAGCCCATGAGCCCAGGGAGTTTTGTCTGCTCTGTTCAGTTCATTGCTCTATTCCTAGTGCCTAGAATAGTGCCTAGCATATAGCAGGCACTCAATAAGTATTTGTGAAGTATGTGAATGTCTCTGTTAAACCTATTGCTGGACCTTGAGCAAGACATTTCTCTGAACCTCACAGAATAAAAAAGTTGGGTTGAATGGCATTGATGACCTTTCTAGGTTGGCCAGTCTGTGATCCCCATTTTAGGCTCTGAGCCATCTAAAGCAGGCTAAGGGGTGCATGAAGAGCTTCTTATATGGAGGAAGGGCAGGGATGGGTAAAGGCAAACCTGCATGAAGGAGGAGTACATGGGTAACTTCTGAGGCTGGAGACCAGGGCACCCTCTGAAAATAAATATGAATTGTTCTCTTTGACATGCACAAGGCCCTAATTCCAATAGGGGATGCTTCACTAGAAACTGAGGGTACAAGACACTAGGGATCCATCCCAGGCATGTTGTCTTTGTGCTAAGTGAGTCAGATTGGTTGGTCAACAGAGTGCTTACAGGCCCCTGAAACTCTCCTGGGAAAAATAGCATAAATAGCAGCAGAGATTCCATTGAAGGGTATAGAAAATACATTTTTAATTTTGATAGAGTTCACAAATGACAGCATTGACATTTCTTTAAACAAATACTTCTGTCAAGGCACAGCATTACCATGTGTCCCCAGATGCCCAAGAGGCAGTGATTTCATGTCCCCCTGAGGTTTAGCAGAGCCACCAATGTCAATAGGGTGGCTGACGGGGCCTAGATTTGCTACCAGATAAGCCAATGAGACATGCTGTCAGATTTATGGTTACATAATCAAGTATTTAAAAAGATGCACAATAGGTAACTGCAATGAGCTTGTTCTGCATTTAGCAATAGTTCCTTTCAAACAAAGAAGATAGTTTTCAGTATCAAGAAGGATGCCTATATGTATGTCTTCCATGGAGCCTTTCCTACAAATTGCTTTCATTACACATTAAAAGGAGTTCAGCTTTATTGTGACCTAGGAGGAAGAAAATAACAGCTAGAATTTAGTTACTGGTTAATTGTCAGACTTAACATCTATTACCTCACTTGCTCTTTATAGTAATGCTTGGAGGTAGGTACTATTGTAGCCCTCAATTTACAGATGGAGAAACTGAGGCTTGGAGAGAGTTAAGTAACCTGTTCATGGTCATATAGCTGGTAAAGGGCAAATACAGTTCTTGAACTCAAGTCTGTACACTTAATTCAGAGGTACACAACATAGTAATGTATACTCTAAAATGATAGTGTCATTATCTTTCAAACTCAAAGGCTAGAATAATCAAAATTATAAATGTCAAACAGCAGTGTTCTAAATAAACAGGATCTGTATTTCTTGGTCTGATGATCTCAGGGTTACAAGGAGAGACTGAAAAAACAGAGATGAATCCAAATTCTAGGGTCTTAGCTACTGGAACTCAGATACTGGTGTGGGTACCTTCCCTTATGGATTTTTTAAAACCACATGGTCTCAGAGAGGCTCAGAGTGGTTTTACACCCCTGTAAAAACCAGTCATTCATCTTCCCATCCCATCATACAAGGGCAGTCACCTTCTTGAGTCATTCAGCTGCTCAGGCTTGAAGGTCCCTGCGGCGCCTGCCAAAGGCTTTGGAACCCACATTGGTGGGCACAAAGTTGTTCTTCACCACACCCCCTGATCTGCTCAGCAAGCCTGCCAGCCGATGAGTCACACAGGTGGCAGTGTCACAGGCTCTCTTCTGGGCAATGATTCTGATTTGCAGGATGGAGAAAGAAGAGAAGATCTGTGAGTGAGAGGCTGGGAGAGAGGTCAGCCCCATGGGACCTTCATGGTAAAGTTGCTGTGCTGAAAGGCACCAATTAACTTTAAGTGTTTCTCCTAAACACAATTATCAGAGCAGAAAATCACAAGGCCATTAGGGAAAATGCCATGATCACTCCCCATAGATATTCCCAGGGGTGTCAGAAAACCCAAGGTGACTCTGGATGACTGGCTATGGAATGTGGAGCAGTAACAGCCAATCTTTCCTGTATAAATTAACTAAAAATCAAAGCGGAGGTTTATGACACTGGAGTGAATTATGGTCCCACACCCAGCCCCATTCACAAAGGACTATAAAATCTACACCCCAGTCACGGGCACCAAATACCCTTTCTTAGGAAAATAAAAAATTCCTCAGTCTTACCTGGAAGAGGAGCGGAGTTTGCAGCATCAAGTCCTAGAGGTGCTTACCTGCTCCTTAGGACCCCTGTTCTTCCTGCTTGAGCTTGGTCAAAGGGACCACCCACCATATCCTCTGTCCAGCTAGCCTAGGGTTAAGGCTATTTCTAAGCATAGGTCTTAGACACTATGAAGCCTGGGACATAGATCAGAGCAATGACCACCACAGCTCAGATCTTTGGGGAAAAATAATTTTATTCCTCAAATGATCAGCACATTCAGAAGCAGGACAGAGGAGCTCTGATGACATCTCTGGGGGACTCAAAGCGGCCCTCATTTTCTGGTATTTTCCCAGGTGATTCTCTTCCAACCTGTGAGTCCTGCTCTCTTTCCTCCCATCTGAAGTTTGAGACATCCTCTGCCACAAGGAAAGCCACCAATACCAGCCCAAAGAGCCACCAGAGAGGAACCAAACCACATGCATCAAGTTATAGGAAGGATGCAAGAAGGGAAATTAGGAAGGAAAGGGAGGAGTTTAGTTGGCATTCTGGGGCATGCTAACATGAGGGCGATGGTCTCTCTCCAAGTCGCTGGACATATCCCTTTTCTTTCCAGGTGCTCCAACCCCAATTGCAGTTTGGGGGAACGTGTGAAACTTGTTGAAGTCCTGCGTGTATGTGCCCAGCATGCAAGTACTCAGATTACCGCACCGCTTAGATCTGGGGCTGTCCAGGCTGCAGGGAAAACACATACCAGACAGTACCATGCACCAGAATCTGTCCCCATGGGCAGTCACTTAGAAGGTTAGACCAGGCAGGGGACCCTGGGAGCAGGAGGGGCAGGCAGGAGGGCAGCTCACTTATCTATCCTTCATTAGGAGAGCTCAGAGGTGCAGTGGGCTAGGGCAATGCAGGGAAGGGCTGGATGGGGAAGGATGATCTTTTCTGGCATTCCACATGCTGTTCAGTCCTTCATGCTTGACAGAGGGGTTCTCAGGGCAGATGCAGGGGCAACACATGCCTCTGCCTGAGCAGTGCTGGGGCCAGGCCAGGGGCTGGTCTCTGCTCAGGCTCAAGGTACACAGGGATGTGGATCTGGGGAAGGGTGCTCTCCCTGGCCTCCTGACAACATGCACATCTCCACAGATGCCACACATTTAAAGGCTCAAACCTACCTCAGACACTGCTCTACCCATCCCCATCCCCTGCAAGGGCCTCACCTTCACCTTGCAAATGTGAAATGAAAGCTCCTTGCAGGTGTGAAAGAATGTCGTATGCAGATTAACAAGGTGGATCCAAATTTCTAAAACTTCCTGAGATGTACTATGTGTATCCCTGACTTCACCCTTACTAGTCTTAACTCATCCAGTGCTGGGAGGTCTCCCAGTACTGCAAGAACAATTCCCACAGTGAGCGATTCCACACCTCCCCATTTCATTTCCTAAGAACTTTCAGAAACGGAGCCTTTTGTTATGTCTAACCACGGTACCTCCAGCTGCAGTGGGACCTCTGTCTCCCTTGGAGGCTGAGAACAGCTGGGCCCCAGGTCCCGGTGAACAACACAGCCTGTTGGATTCCTGGCCAGTGTGTTCTCTCCTACCTCTCGGGATCCACCTTCCTGTGTATGCTGCGGGGAGAGGAGGCCCTGTGCTGAGCGCTTGGGGAGCCTCACCTGGAGCCCTCTCTCTCTTGCTCCTGCTCCAGCTCACTGGCCTTCATCTGCACATAGTCCTGCACCAGTGCAGCCAGCAGGAGGCGCGCTTCGTCCTCACTGAGCGTGGCCGGGTCTGCTGGGCTGCTCTCCAGGGCAGACCTGTGGAGGGGAAGCAAACTCAGTGCAGGCTGTGAGCCCCTGCCTGCCCCTCCCCAGGATAAGCAGCCAGGCTTCCTGGTCTTTGCTTCTTCCCCTGAGGATGTGGCCAGCGGGAGTCCTAGGGGACAGGGCACAAGGCCAGTGTCCTCCTCAGGACCCAGGCACTGGTGTGGCCTCTAAACAGTGGTGTGCTGGAGCCAGTTTGTATAGGCTTGTGAAAGCTAATGGTTAAATTTTCAAGAATTTTGCAAGCTGAGTGCAGCCATTATTAAAAATTAAATGCAAAAACTTACAGTTAGTGCTGAACCTGAAAATAGTTTCAGTTTAATAGATTTATATGTGGGTGAGAAATAGATCAACAGGTAAAATACCAGATTTAACAATAACAAATTTAGTGGCAAACTATTTAACAGAATAGGATGCAATTCATTTTTCAAATCATGGCTGAATAGGATAAATAGGATGGCTACACATACAAAAGTTTGGCTAAAAGCAACAAAAGCATTTTGTGAGACTCAGTGGGCTATATAAAATTTATAATAGGCCGGGCGCGGTGGCTCACGGCTGTAATCTCAGCACTTTGGGAGGCTGAGGCAGGTGGATCACCTGAGGTCAGGAGTTTGAGACCAGCCTGGCCAACATGGTGAAACCCTATCTCTACTAAAAATACAAAAATTAGCCGGGCATGGTGGTGGGCGCCTGTAATCCCGGCTACTTGGGAGGCTGAGGCAGGAGAATTGCTTGAACCCAGGAGATGGAAGTTGCAGTGAGCCGACACGGTGCCATTGCACTCCAGCATGGATGACAGAGTGAGACTCTGTCTCAAAAAAATTATAATGAAGAATATTGTCTAAATATTTATCACTACTTATAAATTGTGTACCACACATTTTTATATCAAAAAATTATATATGTGCATGAGTACATACCTTACCCCGGCCCCCTGTCGGTTTTTAAGCATTCAGTACACCACACTTAAGAGGCATGGAATTGTCTGATACCAGTGTGGTTCTGGCTTCAGGCTGTCTTACCTGAATGGTGCTGCATGGAGGCTGCCTGCCTGCAACAGGACCAAGATGCTGAGAGCCAGGAAGGGGGAGAACTTTTGGAAGCCCATGACACCTCTCTGCAAGGGAAGAATGAGATAAACCACCTGCGCCAGTTCGAAGTTCTAGGAGCCCACAGACCTTGGCTCCTATCCTGGTTTTCTGTCTTGCTTCTAACGCTCTGGCTTTGTGGCTTCAGACTGGTCATTATATTTCTCTTCTTTTTTGTTTCCTCATCAGCACAGTGGACTTCTGGGAGGTTCAGTGGGCCTGTAGCATGCACAGTCTGATAGAGCTGGAGGAGCGATCCTAGAGGGAGAGCTGAGTGGGGGAGGTCTCAGTCCTACCCTTCTCCCCAAAGCCACACAGATACATATAAACCTGTTAGCCAGGTCTCTGTGGAGGACATGCTCCCAGGCCCCTGTCACAGAAGCTGATCCCATAAGGAAACCCAGAGCTGTCCTCCTCTTCTGGGGCTTTTGCATACACCTTGGTGGGAGGGGTGGGATCTATCCACAGAGATTATCTCTGCAATTGGAATCTGAGAAATAAAAGAATCAATTTTAGTGCTCAGCCTAAGCTCCGCCTGCTGGCACCTCAGTCCCCTGCAGGAACCAAGTTTTACTCTTAAATTGGGACCCAAGACTTTCTCTCTTTGCTCCCAGAGCCTGTGACTGGGGCTTGCAGTTTAGGGCTGCTTGTCCCTCAGTCGTCGTGCCTATTTGCCACCCATCCGCTCTGTTCCAGGTTCTGAACCAATTTCCCTGGGACTGCTGGGCTCCAGACGCCGTCCCTGATCGCACCGTCTGCGGAAAGTTTCTCTTGCCTCAGGCTCTGTGCGCGGTCCCTGGGGAGCCTGAGTGTCCCGAGACTGGCCTAAGCCTGTGTGCAGTGCGAGAGAGTAAGACTGGAGTCCGCAGCCGAGCAGGAAGAGCGAGCCGGGGGATTGAGACTGTCCGATCCAACCTAGGGCACGAGCCTGGTATAAATCGCGGACTAACAGAGACTATCTGATGAAGAGACTAACGGAGAGAGAGGGAGAGGAGGAAAGGGAGTGAGAAAATGACGAATGGAGGGAGAGGGAGGGAGAGACATATACCTGAGCCAGGATCTCGGGGCTCACCTGGCGGGAGGTGGCTTGGATCAGAGGCGGTGGCAGCGGCGGCGGCGGCGTCCAGCCAGAGCCCTGTGGAAGCGGCGGCGACACTTGGGCTGGGCAGTGTCTCTGATGCCTCCCAGCGCCAGCGACTGCTCTTATTCCCGCCGCTGTGGGTCGGGAAAGTTCCGCCAGTGCACAGCAACCAATGGGCGGAGGGGTCCTTTGCCCCTGGGTTGCGTCACCCTCATGCTTCCAGAACCTGGAGGATCCAGCAGGACCGTCCCACTTGTATTTGCATTGAGGTCATTGATGGAAATGGTGGGGGATGGTGGGGGCACCAACAAGTAACGCCCTTAAAGTGAGCGGGAATTTGAGGGCAGTTTGACGTCATGGTGAATTTCACCTCTCAGTCCGGCCTGGTTTTGAACCCTCGCCCCACTCCACCCCTGGTTTCACGATTTGGCGGAAAGGGTCCAGGATTGTAGGGACTCTTCCAACTCTGATCCCAGACCCCTGCCCAAGTGAGATTTTAAAGGTTAATGCCCCTAAGGGTGGGTTCTGGGCCCAAGAAATCTGACTCCAGTAGCTGGTATTACCCACAGAGGGCCAGGGCTCGTGGGAAACAAGAGACGGAGCTGGGAGCAAGAACTTTGTTAGACAGGAGTTCAATTACAGTTGGCCCAATTCCTGGTTGTGTGATCATGGGCAAGTAACTTCACAGAGGCTCAGTGTACTCATCTTTGAAATGGGGACCACAATCTCATCTTGAAGGAATATTGTGAGAAACAGCCCAGCGCCTGGGCCTCAGATAGGCAGGGATCTACAAGAGTTTCCTGGTCCGCACAGGGGATTCTGTAAGATCTCCATGGATACTTTCCGAATCTCCATCTCCCCGGACTGTCCCGGGGTACTCTTCAGATCCATTACATGTGTGAGGAGGGGGCCGATGACCTGCTGGGCCTGAGGGGTGAGTTGCAAGGTACAGATGCGGAAGCCTCCATCCAGACCTCTGGACCTCCCCCTTCCTACCCTGCCATCCATCACCTGCCTGAGCCGTTTGCACAGCTGCCCCTTTGCTTCCGGCTGCTGTTTGCCAAGATGTCCCAGAGACATTCTATTCCGGCCCCGTACCCCCACCCCCGCACTTCAGTCCTCTACTAAAGAGCAGGCAGGTGTGACAGTGCTGTGTGGTCCCTGCCTAGATCAAGCTCACACTCGCTTCCGGTCACACTCATTTACACACACCCAAACCCATTACTGTCTCCCAACATGTGCCCACTCTGAATCACAGACACTAAAAAACAGATACTGGCCAGAAGAGTATCCTGAGGTGTTCACTCAAACGTGTCCCAAGCCTGCCTCCGAGTCTCTCGGGCGGTCGCATCCACACACTCGCACGACGATGACCTGCTTGCATCAAACCTGCACACATCACGAACAGGCGCCCTCCATCACACCCAATTACGCGTGACCTCAACAGCTCTCACATCCCGCAGAACCGGGTTTCAGTTCCACTGTGCCTGAGCGTTCAGCTCAGCAGAGGTAGGGACTAAGGCGCTTGCCGCCCACAGCGTCCAGAGTGGCAAGAAAGAAGCTTTTCAGCGTCTCCACCATCTCCCGGTGGAACGCGCAGCGCGCGATCTGCTGCAGCCGGTCCGGGCGCTGCCTGTGCGGTGAGCGCAGCAGCGGCATCCCGGGGCTGTGGGCGGAGGCAAGGACTCTAGCTTGAGGTTCTTTGAGGCAGAGCAGAAATTAGCCCCTAGGTGTGCCGTCCGTGGCGCGAGTCACGGAACTCCAGGTACCCCGGGGTCGTGTCCGCACCTTTGTCCTCAGTCCCCAGAAGCGTCGAAATTTCTTAGCACGACACCCCTGCCTCGCGCTACATCTCTTCCCCCTAGGGGGTTGGTGGCCTCCGTGCTCAAAGGAGGCAGCGGGAACGCCTAACTTCTAAGATGCCCTTAATTGATCTCCTCCTTCTTAACTACAGCGAGGGAATAACAACTCGGGGCTGGGGACTGGGTATCTAAGACTCGCTCTCCGCAGGGTCCGCCGGCAGGGCGGCCACAGGACCCGGGACTGGAACTGGCCCGGGAGGACACCGGCGCGTGTCAGGCGCAGAGCGTGAAACAGGCAAGCTGCGCGCAGAGCAGGGCTTGGATGGCGGATCTTGGGCACAATGAGCCCCGGATCCTGAAGGAAGATAACCCCTGCTGAGACCCTGTCCGGAGCCTTGGAGCTTTTCAGCAGTTTAGGCTCGGATCTCCGGCCTGGGTTTTCGGTGCAGAGCTGCTTGAAGAGTTGCGAAGGCCGCAGTGCGGGCACTGAGTGGGGCGTAGTGCTTGGGCCTCTGCCACTGGGGCTGTAGCAGAAGGGTATTTGCGCTCAGCTACCACATACTTCAGCGGAAATGATTTTTTTCCAAGACCAGAGGTTTCTAACATAAGAACCTCCTGAAACCGTTTGTAAGTGTGTGTGTCTGTGATGTGTGTTTTCCTAAAGAGAGAGTTCATAGCTTTCGCCCGTGCCACGGTGACCGCAAAATGAAAGCCAGTAGACGCAGATTTTGTGGCCATGTCACTTTGAGGGGTCGGAATTCTACTCCTGACTGTGGTGTGTGTCTTCAGCCTTCAGAATAGACACGTACTCCCCACTATCAAATCTTTGGCAGCTACAAATCAAAGGCTGGTGCCGTGGGGCGCTAACCAGAGTCTGCGTCCAGAGGGCGCTAGTGTAGCCCCGAGCAGTTTCAAGACTGACTGTAAAAGTCTGTCTCTTTAGGACAGGAGGGACGGTCATTAACTCACCTCTCAAGCACTCCTTGAGTTTGTAGGAATTGCCTGGCTCCTTGCTGGGGGCCGAAAGTTTTTTTCGTTTTTGTTTGAAAATCATTTTCTCCAGCAATTAGCACCATGCCAGGCACCCTAGTAGACGATCCGCCAAAGTTAAATGAATGAAAATTCATTCTGGCAAATTCACCAGTTTCACAAGGTAGCTTGCAGAAAATTCGGACCTAGTTAGAGCGGCATTTCGCTTTGCTTTCCGAAATCCACAAACTATTCAGCCAGACTCCTCCCATTTTATTTGTCACAGCAAGTCGGTTCCCAGGTAGAAGTTTTCAGGAATGAGGCAGGGAAGTAAGGATTTCGTCTAGGGTTCTCTCTAAAGACTGAGATCTTCTGGTGCAAAATGCGAAGTCATTCTCTGAGCCCATCCCGGATTTACTGAGCGAGCGAAGGAAGGGTAGAGCTTCCCGTGAGCGGATCACTTAGATTTCATCCCGCTATTCCTGGAACTTCTCTGAGTTTCAGTACTAAACAGAGCATGGTCTAACGGAAGTCGCCAAGGAAAATGCTGATTTTAAAAAAATAGTCGCTTGACTATTTGACCCTTGATTTTTACTGTCTTACTTCCTAACTTAAAAATCTGGAAACCAGGGTCAGTTTTGAAACAATCTGATTTTGGAAAAAAACATTTTTACAACACTCCAATAAAGTCTAACTGTAATGTTTGTTCCCATTCGTTTAGACCAGATTCCTGTACCCTTTGCTTAAGAAATAAAAATAAACATGAAGTCTGGTTGAAAATTCTTACGTGAATTTCCACGTGATTAAAAAAGTCACACCTGAAGGCTTGAGTTCAGAGCTCAAGTTAAATTTATTACTGCTCTACAATTCCTTTATAATATGGACTCAACCACAAAATCTCAGCAGTAGCAACAGCACCACCAGCAACAGTAATACAACAGCCCACAACACATACATTTTCTTCAGCCTGGTAGAAACGTGGAGCTATCAAATTAACTGGAAAAAATCCCAACTGAAAATCGATTGCACTGTTTAAAGAAGGGCAGAAATCAAAGCTTTCCATCATCGTGTTTACTGAAGAACATGCCAAGAGAAGTAGTTGCTTCTGAATCATTTTCCTAAGACACTTTTAGACTGCAGTAAAGCTGCTTCTGGGGAAGGGAGTACAGAAATGGCTGCCAAAGAGACAGCGAGATTCACAATAACCAAGATACAGAAACAGCCTAAGTGTCCATTGATGAATGAATTATTAAAGAAAATGTGGTGTGTGTTTATCACACACACACAATGGAATATTAGTCAGCAGTATTATTCAGAAGAAGGAAATATTGTCATTTGTGCCAACATGGCTGAACCTGGGGAATATTATGACACACAAAATAAGTGAGGCACAGAAAGACACGTAATACATGATCTCACTTATATGTAGAATCTCAAAAAACAAGTCGAACTCAGTAACAAAGGTTAGAATGGTGATTATTTGGGGCTGCGGTTGGGGGTAAAAGAGAAATACTAGTTAAAGGATACAACCTTTCAGTTATAAGATGAGTAAGTTCTGGAGACCTAATATACAGCCTGGTGACTATAGTTAACATATGCTTGAAATTTGCAAAGAGAGTAGATCTCAAGAGCTCTAAGCGCACACACACACACACACACACAGGAAACTATGTGAGGTAATGATATGTTAATTAACTTGATTGTTGCAATCATTTCACAAAGTATACATGTATCAAAATATCATATTGTATACCTTAAAAATAAAAACCTTTAATATGGAAATAAAAGTGAAAAAAAAAAAGAGTGAGAGACAGCTGAAATTCCCCAGTGGGAATTTTGCTGAAGACTTTAGAAGAGGGGCATCTGTATAAATACTGAAGAGGATATCAATGTTTTACTAATAACCTAGATATAGAATTATCTAAAAGATGTTGCATGTGCAGTAAGTATGAAAAGTCATATAAATCATATTAAATTGAAACAAAGAAAAGATATTATAAATATTATAACTACCATCAACTAAGTTCCATCCGTGTGCCAGGCACTGTGTGTATATTATCTTTCTTACTCTCAACAGTTTAATAAGATAGATATTTTTATCTTTGTTGTATATGCAAGGGAATAGTAAGAGTATTTGGCTTGAATTAATTATATTTTCCAGGCTCCTTTTGAGGACCTGAAACATAGCTTATCTCTCTGCCATGTCAGGTAAGAGGTCTGGTCCCCTGGATCCAGGCACTGACTCAGAGGAAGATATGGGCATGTCTGCCTGCTTCAGGGCTAATGTGATTTGTAGTGAGAGACTCAATCAGCAGGCATAAATCATTTACAATTCCTGTACCAATATTTGGGAACATTGACAGTTTTGCAGCAGGAAAATAAACATTGGTGCCACCACTTAAGATAAGTAAATTGCTAAAGAATAAAACCCAAATCAGATTTATAATAATATTCATAAGATAAAATTTTAAAACACTTGAGTTCAAACAAACAAAAATCCAAATGACTTAACTTCCTATATTTAGCATCATGCATTACTTCATCTTGTCTGAAATTGTGGTTGATTTTATGGAGTGTTCTATTTTGCCAGTGGATATGGGGGTTGAGATGGGATGAGATAGGAGTTAGTAGAAACAGTGCTGGGAGTCAGGAGTTAGGGTTCTAATTCTCACCCCTAAGGGTATGGCTTTGAGAAAATCATTTGGGCCTCTGTTTCCACATCTGATATATGAACTTTTATGGGATCGAGGGATTCCTAAATTCCCTTTTAATTCTGACATTCTATGAACATGCTGTGAATTTTATGCTGCTTTACAGTACTTTCCTATAACACCTGCTATTTGGCTTCCTCCACTTACACTGGCAGGTACCATTGTCTTCTAAAAGAACAACTGAGGAGTTCAACATGAAGGAGGAAGGATATGTCATTCTTTGCAGTGACACAATCAGAAAAGGTACTGCTCCCCCACCTAAATATGAGGGATAAGTGATTTTCAGAAGAGACAGGAGAAGAAGGGACAAATGTCCTGGTCCTTGTCTCCTTGTCAACAAAAGATGTACTGGTACCCTTTGAAAGGGGACAGAGAGGATGCCAGCTGAACTGGGAGCACTAAGTTCTCTGCTTTGTGAAAATGAATCTGCAATGAACTCCTGGTCTTTGTCTGGATGCCCATCTTTCTGCAAGTTGTCAGCAGAAGCTTTTCAATGTGGCTACTTGGTGAGTTCACATACAGCCCAACCCATAGTTCTGATGGAGCCTGAAAATCAGCCCTGAAAAGTTCTCCTCAGAGGATGCCTCTGAAGTGAGAGGCATGAAAAAAGAGGCTAACCTTCAGGTAGGTCCAGCCAATATTTTAACAAATATTCAATAAATAATTTGGTTGGAAGGTAAATCAATTGAATATGCATTGAGAAATATATTATGTCAAGTAGTACATACAATAAATACATAAAATGCATTTGTTTAGAGGGGTTATAAAATTATAATTATATGGCTATACATGTTTGGAAATATTCTGTATTAGTAGAAATAGAATGAACCAAGTAAGTACTTTTATTAAAATATATGAGGAGCAGGTGAAAGAAAGAAGTGTAGGACTATTTATATCTTTGTTACCAAAAAGCAAAGAGAAAAGTATGGCTAGTTAACTGGAGTTAATGAAGAGACCCCCACCAGCTTTTCTAACTAGGCTCTCTTCTTGTGTTAATGACATTGTGTCCACAAATGCTGTGTGCAAATGAGGCAATCAGGTAGAGCCATCCTTGATCTCCAGATCATCTTGGGTGGGTTTGGAGTGCATTATGAGTAGAGAAAAAAGACTGAGATCATATGGCTAAGGCCTTGTATTGCAAATAAAGAAGATATGCTGAGTTTTTGTGTTTGAGACCATCTTGGGCCTACCTGTTGGTCTCCTGCTGGTATAACCTGAGAAATGTGAGTAAATCCAGGTTGCCTCACCTTCTATGTTTGCTGTCATCATTTTATGTAAGGACCCCTGGACTAGGGAATAGTAGAGTTTGTTCTCTTGGTGGCCATTGAGAGCTAAGTTAGGTTGCTAGTAATTGGGTGACCTGATGCCTCATTTGTTTCTCCCTGAACTCTATTGCTGTCAGAGGTTCAGCATTATCTAGAGGAAGTGAGATAATGAAGTTAACAGGATTGAGGGTTCACCATATGCAGGAAAAGGTGGAAATGAATAAGACCGATTTACTAAAAGCACTATGTGGTCTCTCAGGGAGACAAGACCCACACAACTGAAATAATGAAAGAAGAATACAAGATAGTGAATAAGTATACTAGTTTCTCATTGCTGCTGTAACAAATTACCACAAATTTAGTGGCTTAAAACAACACACATTTATTATATTACATTTTTGTAGGTTAGAAGTTCAACATCCAACATGGGTCTCACTGGTCTAAAATGTTTGCAGGGCTGTTTTTCTTTCTATAGGTTCTAGGGGAGAATCCATTTCCTTTCAATTTCCAGCTTCTAGAGGCCTCCCAAGTTCCTTAGCTCATGGCCGCCTTCCTCTGTCTTCAAACCCAAAGTGGAATACATCTCACATCACATCACTGACCTCCTTTTTTGCTTCCCTCTTTTACTTGACAGGATCCTTGTGATTACCTTAGGGCCAACTCCTGGAGAATCCAGGATAATCTCTCTATCTCAGGGTCCTCTATTTAATCACATCTGCAAGGTCCCTTTTGCTCTGTTCTCAGGGATTAGGGTGTGAACATTTTGGGGGAGGTCATTCTTATGTCTGCCATAATAAGTAAAGGCTGGGCTAATTGGCCAGGAATGTAAATGATGGGGGTTGGAGAAACAGGCTGCAAGCACTTTTAGGAAGCCTCCCAGAGATGGTGGGGCCAGAACCAGAAAGTGTCTAAATGGGGGAAATGACAGAGTCTCTGTTGAGGGATCCATCTACTGGGTTGGGGAAGAGGATGAGGAGAAAAGACAAGCCCTCTTTATATCAGGTGCCATCCTCTATGCCTCTTTTGCTGGGAAGGGAGACCTCCTGAATATGTACTGTATGGTTGTTGGCATTCACTCCTCAGGTGGACTGTCTAGAAATCATGAAATCTCATGTATCAGAAGTTTCTCTTTTATCAACTTCCAATTTATTATGTGTCCCTTTTATATTCATGTTTAGATATGCTGTAAACAAAGGGGAGATACTGAGCCAACTGGTGTCAGATTTGGTGCAGACATCTCTGGGGTGAATTTCCAGTAGGGGTAGGGAATGAAACCTTTGCCACCACATTAGTCCATGTCTTAGCATATTATGATGGTGCTATTAAATCTTAAAGTTGGAGCTTAGCCTTTGAACCCATGGCTTAGATATCTTGCTAGACTCCTTTGACAAATAACCAAAGAGCAGGTTTCTAATAAATTGATCATTGAATTAAAACACATTTGAAAAAAATCCACTTAAAAAAATTTAGTGGCTTCGCTGACGTTGGGCAGGCAATAGGGAATTGCTAAAACATGAGGGGTGTGTAGGTGAGCCTCAGGACTTTCCAGCACCCAGTGTGGGGAAGATTTCTAATGTCTCCCTACTCCCATGAGATAAGTTGGTAGTTATTCATACTCAGGCACTGGGGCTTGTGAAGATTTTATGTGTAACTCCTCCCTACCATGGGACATATTAACTGCCATTAGAGCTTAGAACAAGGGACACCAAGTCAGTACATTTTAGGTTAGATCAGAAATGAGAAAAACATTTATGGCAGAAAGAAAGAATGGGATTTTATTTCTATGGGGGTTTTCCTGGCCTCTCATTCTTGGAAAATGAGAGGGCTTAACTGAGATTTTTGTAGAGTGGAGCTGACTGTTGCCCAGGGAACAATTCTTCCCAACCTCAGTGGTACTTTATTTGCTGTAGGCACCAGGAGAGGTTCCTTCCAAGGTCCAGAGGCTATTTTTATGGTGACTTCAGCTGCCAGGGAAAGAGCTGAGTATAGTGGAAAAGGGCCAGGCTGGTCACTGAGAGGTGGATGGACTTGGTGGGTGACGTCAAGGAATTACTCAGGATGGATTCCTTTAACATGATTAAAATTCTCCCTTGGCTCAGACTACCCGGATCTAGAATGGCTCTTCACTCCCTGGCCAGGAACATTGTTCCGTGGAACAAGAGAGATAGAGATAGGAAGCTTCCCATGGTACCAGAAAGCTCATTACAGAGATGACTCTTTTATGGGTATTGCCAGGGAATAATAAGTTACATATAAGGGGATTTCTTATATAAATAGACTCTGACTGAGATTATGAAGAGTGGGGCTTTGAGGTCTTATGCAACTGGATTTGAGTCTTGGCTCTACCACTCGCTTATTGTTCTTAGGCAGATAATAATCTCCCTAAACTACAGTTTCTGAACATGTAAAATGGGGATAGTAAGAACTACCTAGGAGGGTTAAAGCTATTTTATGCTAGAATACCTGATGCATTGCTTGGCATGAAGCAAATTCTTAAGAGTGGTGGCCATTATTATTAAAACAAGAACTTATTCCTTGAAGTGCCAAATGACATCAGCTTAATACAGTAAATTAAATAAAATCATTACACATTCCTCTGTCTTCTTAAGAGGCCAATCTATAAGCCTTTAATTCTCAGAATAAAACTAATTGCCAAGGCCACAACAGAATGGCTCTGCCTTTCCCAACCCTCTCAGATTCATGCCTGGCTGCATTGCAGCCTCACTGCCCAGCAGGATTAAGCACCTGGCATATTACCAGGATATGTAGAGTAGGCACTGTAGAGTGATGGCTATTATTGTCGTTATGACAAAAGCTTACCCCTTCAAGTGCCAAACTATATCAATTTAGTTTGAAAAATTAGAAAAAAATGGATTTCACACACCTCTACATTTTTATAAAGAATAAACCAAATATAGTTTCAATTCTTTCTTGACAATTCATTGTCACCATCATAAGAATATCACTTAATGTGTTGGCCCACATGTTGGACCAATAGCCTCAAGCAAGATCATACCACACTGTCTTTCTTTTTGAGGTGTAATATACATGTAATTTTATGATTATTCTATTTTTTTTCTTCAGTTTGTCTCCTATCGCTTATTACTGGTTTCAAGTAATATAGTAGTAATCTATCTACTTCCATTTTCATTTGGTACACAGCAAAACAAACAATAAAACACCAACAAAAACAAAAACCAAGCTTAGTAGAATGGTATGGGAACAAAGAACTTATAGTCATGGAGTATGGACCTGTAAATACTGGTCAAGAACTATAGAAAGGGGACTTTTTGGACATCTGCTCAACTAATTTGTACTCAAGAGAACAGAAGCAAAGCTTTTCAGAATTATGTTTAGGCACACAGCAGATACTGAGTGTGCTCTTATGGTCTTTTGGTCAGGAACTTCATGGTCTTTTGCAACAACGGCTTCAATTGACTTCTGCTTAGGGAAACCAAACAGAACAAGCAAACATGGTAGAGCTGTGTGTGCATGAAGAGCCTATAGACCTTGAGTGAGAACTTCTTAATGGTCATGATGGCAATAATGGATCACTGTGACACCATTACAGTTATTCATATATGGGTTTTTTTGGTCTTTTTTTCTCAGCTTTGTCTGGCTTAAGGGAGGTTGCCAGGCCAGTGACACCTGATGAGTGGGTGTTTTGTAGTTTCTTTCAGGAGGTAGAATACTGGTGAAGACAAAGTCCATGATGTGGGAAGTTGTCTCAGTCTGCTATCTGTTAGCTTTGACACAATACCTGAAACTGGGTAATTGATAGAGAAAAGGAATTCATTTCTTATAGTTATGGAGGTTGAGAAGTACAAGGTTGAGGGGCCACATCTGGTGAGGGCCTTGTTGCTGGTGGGGTCTCCCTGCAAAGTCCTGAGGTGGCACAGGGCAGCACATGGAGAAGGGTTTGTGTGTGCTTGTTCCTCTCCTTATAAAGCCACTAGTACCGCTCCCATGACAACCCATCAATCCATTAACCATTTCCTTAATCCGTCAATAGATTAATTCATCCATGAGGGCAGAGCTTTCATAATCCAATCACCTCTTAATGACCCCCACCTCTCAATACTGCCTCATTGAGGATTAAGTTTCCATATGAGTTTTGGAGGGGACATTAAAACTGTAGACAAGGGTTCAGTGATCCAGGTTGCAATTTTATGAGGATTATGTCTCTAATTAATAGGGTTCTGAGGACTTGAGTAGAAATGGTATCTTTATTTCCAGGAAAATATCTAATTGGTCCTTGGAGCTGAGGAAAGATCAATCAATTTTCAGGTTTTCAGATCTTATATTGATTTCTGTACTGCAAAGTCATTCTTTGGAATCAAAAACCCTAGAGGATCTTAAAAGGCCCTTTGGAAACCCCTTAGACCTGGTGCCAGTTGTCTTAGGCGTACTTTTAAGCAGTAGTGAAACATGCTTAAGCAATCGATGCCTAATTTGTCTTCAGCACCAACAAGTATTATTTACAGATAACCTCCAGTTAAATGAGAATGTAGTGACCAGGCTGCCTAAGGAGTCCAAGGACTGAGCAAAGACCACAGGTTAGTGAATGGTTCTTCCTTTTTCCCTCCTTTGCCTTGTGGTAAGTCTGGCAATGACTTGATTCTTTTGTCTTCGTCTCAGAATTTCAAGATTTATTGCCCAAAAGACTGCTAAAAAATCCTTTTTCCTCTCTGTAGGAAGATAGAGATTCCAGGTTCCTGCAGGTCTTAAAGCAGGATAAGGAGAGGTTGTAGAGAAAGTTTATTTTTACTTCTGTCATGTATATTGAACAGGAAATGTCTACACAAGCCTTCTGGCTTTTATGTTCCTTCTCTGAGGTCCTACTATGTATGGGGTAAAGTTAGATCATATGCAGTTGCCAGATCATATAGAGATCATGTTAGGAAAGTTGTTCTAGTGATTTGACCTCTGTTTATATGTTTTACAAATAGTTACATGTAATTAAAATAGCTGTGAGGCCCATTCCAGTCTTATTCTTTTAGTTTATTTAAATGGAGAGGGAGTGAAGGAGGTCAATATAGAAGAATAAAGAACAAATGAAGGATGTTATGTGACAGCAATTAGATTTACTAGGGGGTTAGTTGAGAAATACTGGTGATGATTATTTTATTATATTTTGGTGGTGAATGTCTGCTCGAATTCCTGGTAAGCACTTCTAGAAGAAGCAGTGTTCAAGAAAGCTTCTTTCAGGGGGTTCTTGTTCAAGATGGCAGACAGAAGCAGCTAGTGTGTGCATCGCTTTCACTGAGAGGAAACAAAATGGGTTCAAGTGATTCTTGTGCCTCAGCCTCTGGAGTAGCTGGGACTGCAGGCACACGTCACCATGCCTGGCTAATTTTTTTTGTTTTTAATAGAGACAGAGTTTCACTATGTTTTTGCCAGGCTGGTCTCAAACTCCTGACCTCAGGTCATCCGCCCAACTCGGCCTCCCAAAATGCTGGGATTACAGGTGTGAGCCACCGTGCTGGCAAGAAGTGCCTGCCCTTTTAAGGCTGAATAGCCTTCCATTGTATGAATGAACTGCACTGCGCTTTTTCATTCATCTGTCCATGGAACCTTGGGTTGCTTCCACGTTTTTGGCTGTTGTGAAGAATGCTGCTATGAATATGGGTGTACAAATATCTCTTCCACTCCTGACTTCTAATTCTAGATGGTAGGTACCCACAAATGCAACTGCGGGATCATCTGATAATTCTGTTTCTAATTTTTCAAGTACACGCCATACTGTTTTCCCTGTTCCTGCACAGTTTTACATTCTGATCATGTTTGAGCATTCCTACTTCCCTCCAGTTTCACCATTGCTTGTTTGTTTATCATATCCATCCTAATGTGTGGTATCACAGTTTTGGTTTGATTTGCACTTCCCTATGATTAGTGATTTTGAATACCATTTTATATGGTTATTGGCCATTGGTATATCTTTCTTAGGGAGATGTCTACTCAAGTCTTCTGACCATTGTTAATGGGATGCCTTAGGTTTCTTGTTGTTTAGTTCTAGCGGTTCTTTATATATTATGGATATCAGCCTCTTTTCAGATATATGGTTTGCAAATATTTTTCCTAATCCATGGATTATTTTTTCACTCAGTTCATGGTGTTTTTTGATGCATAAAAATATTTCTCATTTAGCTGTAATCCAAGAAATCTAATTTTCTTTTGTTGCCTATGCTTTTGGTGTCATATCCCAGAAAGCATTCCCCACTCTGATGTCATAAAGGTTTTGCCAGCATTTTCTTTTAGGCATTTTATGGTTTTAGCTTTTGGGGTTAGGTCTTTGATCCAGTTTGTGTTAGTTTTTGCATCTCGTGTGACATAGGGTCCACCTTCATTTTTCTGCATGTGGAAATCAAGTTTCTCCAACACCATTTGTTGAAAAGGCTGCATTTCCACCAATGAATTTTCTTGGCACTCATGTTAAAAATCATTTGAACATGTATGTGAGAAGTAATTTCTGGGCTCAAGAACAAACAAACAACAGACAACAGGTAAAGATGTAGCGTGGGCCGGGTGCGGTTGCTCACGCCTGTAATCCTAACATTTTGGGAGGCCGAGGCGGGTGGGTCACCTGAGGTTGGGAGTTCAAGGCCAGCCTGACCAAGAGGGAGAAACCTGGTCTCTACTAAAAATAAAAATTAGCTGGGTGTGGTGGTGCATGCCTGTAATCTCGGCTACTCGGGAGGCTGAGGCAGGAGAATTGCTTGAACCCAGGAGTCGGAGTTTGCAGTGAGCCGAGATCACGCCATTGCACTCCAGCCTGGGCAACAAGAATGAAATGCCATCTCAAAAAATAAATAAATAAATAAAATAAAATAAAAAATAAAAATACAGGATGATTTCAAGAGTTCCAATCCAGCCTAAAAAACAAGAGTATAGAAGGGTGTAACTGGAGCAGAAAGAGAATAACTTAGAAACCACCATAATGAGAAAGTTAGGAATCTTCTTTCCAAGCCATCTGGAAATATGCAATAAATATTTGTGAACTAAAATTTCCATACTGTACTGTCAAACAATAGGACTCATTTGCTCCATCTTTTTGTATTTTATACCCAGTTATCAACTTCTCTTCATTCCCCATCGCACCCCTTTTCTTTCTAGCCTCTGCTAACCACCTTTATAATCTCCACCTTCATGAGACTCCTTTTGTGTGTATGAGTTTGTTGGAGTCTCATTCTGTTGCCCAAGTTGGAGCAAGATCTTGGCTCACTGCAACCTCTGCCTTTTAGATTCAAGCAATTCTCCTGCCTCAGTCTCCCAAGTAGCTGGGACTACAGGCATGCACCACCACCCCCAGGTAATTTTTATATTTTTAGTAGAGATGTGGTTTCACCATGTTTGCCAGGCTGGTCTCAAACTCGTGGCCTCAAGTGATCCATCCGACTTGGCCTCCCAAAGTGCTGGGATTACAGGCATGAGCCACCACACCTGGCCAATATTTTCTTTTTTGTTCCTACATATAAGTGATGACATGTAATATTTGTCATTCTGCGCCTGGCTTATTTCACTTAATATACTGACCTGCAATCTCATCCATTTTTGCTGCAGTGGAGAGTATTTTATTCCTTTTTAGTCTGAATAATACTTTATTGTGTGTGTATACCACAGTGTCTTAATTGAAACAAATTTTTTAAAAACAAATATTTTAAAAATGTTTCGGAATGAGAAACTTTAGGAACACCGTGACCATTTTATTTTCTATTTCCCATTTTATGTATGTACAAGTGTGAAATAAAGCAGCAATCAGTGTGTGTATAAATCTATCGCTTCAACAAATGTAAAATGAAAATGCTAAGTGGTAAGACAAAAGAGCATAATAAAAATTTTTTATAGTGTTGAAGGACAATGCATTTGAAGATAACATTTGAAGAAATTATATTACAATTAAGTTCTATTCTTACTCATCAGAGCTTGATCCCTCTAGGAACTTCATCATTGGAACCATCTCTTTTGCTTAAAAAAAAAAAAAATCCTCATACCCACACAGGTACATGTAAATCAGAATCTTAGGTAATGAGACTCAGGCCTCATCATTTGTAAGCTACCCAGGTGATTTCAATCAAAGCCAAGATTGAAGACCAGTGACATGGATCTCTATACATAACCTGCCTAAATAGATTCCCTAGAAGCAGCTTATAAAGGAATTCCACATGAACTGTGGGAAAGGATGTGAATTTGATGTACAGGATTCCTCACTTAACATCTTTGACAGTCTCTTGAAAACTGCACCTTTAAGCAAAATTATGTATAGTGAAACCAATTTATTTCTCATCAACATTATAACTAGACAACTTTGAACAAACCAATGGTGTTGGAGGACCTGCTGTACATTGTTTCCATAAAGTCAATTTTCAGGGAATTACAAAATGAAGTGAGGACTTCCTGTATATAAAAAGATGGTTGTGATTCCACCTGGACGACAGGGTTATTGTTCAGAAACTAAAGGAGGCCGCCTAGGTATAGAGGATTCAGTCATGAGGTTTATGCTATACAAAGGATCCCAGAATACTCACCCATTCCAGTTAAAGGCATAACAAAGAAAGCAATATTCACATAGGAAATATGGAAAGGAATATAAGCCATCAAGCAACAAAAGTAATGTGACAAAGGGGGCAGGATTTGCAGATGTAGAGATTTAATGTGGTTGCCCTTTCTAACCCACACAAGAAAAAGGATGAAACAGATCATGAGATTAGACTTTCCTCCTGCACAGCCTCCACAGGGCACTTTGAATGCCCCTGTTTCTCAGGCTGCAGATGAAGGGGTTCAGCATGGGGGTGACCATAGCGTACAACACTGATGCCACCACACCATTCCTGGGGGCTGGTGACACAGCTGAAGTCAGGTACATGCCAATGCCTGTTCCATAAAATAAGCAAACAATTGCCAGGTGAGAGCCACAGGTGGAGAAGGCTTTATACTTCCCATCTGACAATGGAATTCTTAGAATGGAGGGCACAATTTTATAGTAAGACAAAAGGATCCCTGAAATGGGAAGAAAACCAAATATAGTACTATCTAAATGTATGAATATGTTACTGATGACAGTCAGAACAGGCAAGGTTGAGAAGTTGAGATCAGTCACAGAAAAAATTAGAGATTTCCACATTCTTGAAGCAGGTGAATTGTAACAATCCAGTTGTGCAGCTAGGAATCCAACAGGCTAAGGAAAAAGACATCAACACTAAGAAGACACAGAGGTGAGGATTCATGATGACTGGGTAGTGCAGGGGGTGACAGATGGCCACAAATCAGTCATAGGCCATCACAGTCAGGAGCATGTCATCTATACATACAAAAAGGACAAAGAAAGGTATCTGTGTCAGACAGCCTGCATGGGAGATGACTCTGCTATGTGATTGCATGTCTACAATCATCTTGGGGACCGTGGCCAAGGTGAAACCAATGTCAGGCAAGGACAGGTTGGAGAGGAAGAAGTACATGGGGATGTGGAGGTGGGAGTCAGGGCTGACGGCCAGGATGATGAGCAGGTTCCCCAGCATCGTGACCAGGCACATGGATAGGAACAGCCCAGCAAGGAGTGGCTGCAGTTCTGGATCCTCTGAGAGTCCCAGGAGGAGGAATTCTGAGACACCTGTGAGATTCTGTGGCTCTGTGTGACTTGGACACCTTGAGAAGAAAAAAGGATTGGAAAAAATAAAAGATAAAAACCAGGACTTAATGTTGTGTGTATATTTCGGATACAAGCAATTCACAAGGAACATTTTCACACTTGAGGACCATACACCCTCAGCAATATTTCTCAGTTGTGACAAACCCAAAAATCTCAGAATTATTACATGATTTACTTTTTTGCTATTCAACTCTTTCTGTGCATACCTACTTTAGAGAAAATCCACTGGAGAATGTTAGAAGACCAAAACCTAATATATAACAAATCTAAGATCTCAGTAAAATATGGCCTACTCTTTTCAGAAAAAATAAAAAATGTTCTTCTCTCTCTAGGAAAACAAACTCAGTCTAATTTAAAAATTAAGAAGCAGTGAAATACACTTTATTTTATTCTGACACTGTGCAACAAATTCCTTTGATGTAGAATATTTATAAGCACTATACAAGAGCTAGGATCACGTTATCTAAAAATGAAATCGAACCTTATAGTTCTTAATCAAAAGACCTTTTTACATGCCAGTTACTTTTCATATTTATTATCATCCTTAGGTTTTCTGACATAATTTCTTCATAAAAGTAAATGCACACTCAAACATGGGAGCTATGTTTCCAGATTTATTTAATATATAACTCTCTGCCAAGCACGTTGGCTCACACCTGTATTCCCAGCACTTTGGAAGGCCGAGGCTGGTGGATCACCTGAGGTCAGAAGTTCCAGACCAGCCTGACCAGCATGGTGATACCCCATCTCTACTGAAAATACGAAATTAGCCAGGTGTGGTGGTGGGCATCTGTAATCCCAGCCACTCAGGAGGCTGAAGCAGGAGAATCCCTTAGAACCTGGGATGTAGAAGTTGTACACCCTGTGATATTATTTTTGATATCCTAGGGAGATATTGCTTCTAATGTCATAGTGGGCATACACCCTGTGATATTATTTGTAATATCCTACAAAGATACTACTGCTAATATCACAGTGGGTGTATACCCTGTGATATTATTCATAATATTTTACTGAGATATTACTCCTGATATCACAGTGAGTGTACACCATGTTTGTACACTTGGTGATATTATTCACAATAACCTAAAAATTACTTTAATATCACAGTGGGTGTACACCCTGTGATATTATTTGTAATATCCTAGGAAGATATTGCTCCTAATATCACAGTGGTTGTACATCCTGTGATATTATTCATAATAACCCAGGGAATTATTACTCCTAATATCACAGTGGGTGTACGCTCTGTGATATTATTCATAATATCCTAGAGAAATATTTTTCCCAATATCACAGTGGATGTACACACTTTTATATGAAAAGTAATATCCTAGGGAGATATTACTCCTAATATCACAGTGGGTGTGCACCATAAATGAACACCCTGTGATGTTATTTGTAATATTCTAGGGAGAAATTACTCCTAATATGACAGTGATAGTTTGTTGTTATTCATAATATCCAAGGGAGATATTGCACCTGTCACAGTGGGTGTAAACCATGTGTGTACATTCTGTGATGTTATTCGTAATGTTTTAGAAAGTTATTGTTCCTAATGCCACAGAGGGTGTATACCATGTGTGTGTACTCTGAGAGGTTATTCATAATATCCTAGGGATATATTTCTCCTAATATCACAGTGGGTGTATATCATATGTGTACACCCTGTACTATTATTTGTTATATCCTGTGCAGATATTACTCCTAATATCATAGTGGGTGCACACCATGGGTGTAAAATCTGTGATGTTATTCATAGTGTCCTAGGGAGATATTACTCCTAATGTCATAGTGGGTGTACAGCCTGTGACATTATTCATAATATCCTGGGGTGGTATTATTCCTATTATCACAGTGGGTGTACACCCTGTGATATTATTTATGATATTCTAGGGGATATTATGGTATACACTGCGATATTTTTGTATTATTTTAGGGAGATAGTTCTTCTAAAGTCACAGTGGGTTTACACCATGTGTATTTGTAATATTCTAGGGAGATATTACTCCTAATATCACTGTGAGTGTACACCCTGCGATGTTATTTGTAACGTTTTAGGGAGATATTACTTCTAAAGTCACAGTGGGTGTAAGATATTCTTCTTAATATTTTAGGGAGATATTACCTCTAATATCACAGTGGGTGTACACCCTGTGATATTCCTCATAATATCCTATGGATACATTACTCCTAATGTATCACCTAGTAGTGATATTGTTCATAATGTCCAGGAAGGGAGAGAATTATATTACACCACAATATTGCAGGGGTTGGGGAAGAATGATATTACACACAATATCACGTGGGATGTACACCTCCCCTGTGATATTGTTTCTCATATCCATGGGGTGAGAGGGTGATATTACTCCAAATATCGCTGGGGTTGTACACACTCCCTGTGATATTGTTGCTAATATCCAGGAGGGAGAGGATGATATTACTTCCAATATCATAGGAGGTGTACAACCCCCTGTGATATTGTTCCTAATATCCAAGGGGGAGAGGATGATATTATTTCCAATATCGTGGAGGGTGTCCATGATATGGTTCGTAATATCCTAGGGGGCAGAAGGGGGTGACATTACTCCCCGCATCGCGGGGGGTGTCCATCCCCCTGTGATATGGTTCGTAATATCCAGGGCGGGAGAGGGGGGTGATATTACTCCCCATATCGTGGGGGGGGTCCACTCCCTTGTGATATGGTTCGTAATATCGGGGGGGAGAGGGGCGTGATATTACTCCCCATATCGCAAAGTGTGTCCACCTCCCTGTGATATGGTTCATAATATCCAGGGCAGGAGAGGGGGGTGATATTAATCCCCATATCGCAAGAAGTTTACACCAACCCCTGTGATATTGCTTCTAATATATAGGGAGGGAAAGGATTATATTACTCCCAATATCGAAGGGTGTGTACACCCCCACCCCCCCGTGGTGTTGTTTATAATATCCAGGGAACGAGAGGATGATGTTACTCCCGAAATTGCAGAGGGTGTACTCTACCCCTGTGATATTGTTCCTAATATTCATGGGAGAATGGATGATACTACTTCCAATATTGCAGGGGTTGTACACCCCCCTGTGATATTGTTCGTAATATAAAGGGAGGGAGAGGATGACATTACATTCAATATCGCGAGGGGTGTACGCCCCGTCCGTGTTATTGTTCCTAATATCCAGGTGGGGAGAAGAAGATATTACTCCGAATATCGCAGTGTTGTACATTTCCTGTGTGTTATATTTTCTAAAATACAGGGAGAGAGAGGAGAGGATTACCTCCAATTTGGCAGGTAATTTACACTCCCCGTAATATTGTTCCTAATATCGAGGGGGGAGATGATAATATTATCCTAAGTATTGCAGAGGGTCTACACCATCTCTGTGATATTATTCCTAATTTCCAGGGGGAGAGAGTATGATATTACTCCCAATATCGTAAAAGTGTACACCCCTGCTGTGATATTGTTCCTAATATCTGGGGGATGGGGCGAGTATGATATTACTCCCAATATGGCAGTGGGTGTACATTCCCCCTGTGTTATTGTTTCTAATATACAAGAGGGAGAGGATAGTATTTTTCCCAATTTGGCAGGTACTTTACACCGTCCTTGTAATATTGTTCCTAATATCGAGGGGAGAAGACAATAATATTACCCTAAATATTGCAGGGGTGTACACCACCCCTGTGATATTGTTCCTAATTTCCAGGGGGAGAAAGGATGATATTACTCCCAATATCGTAAAAGTGTACAAACCCCTATGATATTGTTTCAAATATTCAGGGAGGGCAAGTATGATCTTCCTCCCAATCTAGAAGGGGGAATACATCCCCCAGTAATATGGTTCCTAATATCCAGTGGGGGAGGGGATGACATTACTCCCAATATCGCAGGAGGTGTACACCCCTCTGTCATATTGTTCATAATGTTCAAAGGGAAAGATAATATTACTCGAAATATTGTTAATGCCTTGTGTCTCCAGCCGCCTGTGATATGGTTCGTAATATCCAGCAGGGGAGAGTGTGGTGATATTACTCCCCATATTGTGGGGGATGTCCGTCCCCCGTGACATGATTTGTAATATCCAGGTGGGGAGAGGGGCATATTCCTCCCCATATCGCAGGGGTGTCCACCCCCCTGTGACATGGTTCGTAATATCCAGATGGTGGAGAGGGGGGTGATATTACTCCCCATATCGCAAGGGGTGTCCACCCCCCTGTGACACGGTTCATAAAAACCAGGGCGGGAGAGAAAGGTGATATTACTCCCCATATAGTGGGTGGTATCCACCCCCCTGTGACATGGATCATAATACCCTGGGGGAGGGGGGTGATAGTGCTCCCCATAT
Organism: Homo sapiens; assembly: GCF_000001405.40. Classification (NCBI taxonomy): domain Eukaryota; kingdom Metazoa; phylum Chordata; class Mammalia; order Primates; family Hominidae; genus Homo; species Homo sapiens. The sequence continues at coordinate 14,992,997 of NC_000011.10, forward strand.
TGTGGGGGTTGTTCACCCCCCTGTGACACAGTTTGTAATATCTGGTGGCAGAGAGTGAGGTGATATTACTCCCCCATCTTGGGGGGTGTCCACCCCCCTGTGACATGGTTCGTAATATCCAGGTGGTGAGAGTGGGGTGATATTACTCTGCATATCACAGAGGATTTTTCCCCCACTGTGACATGGTTCATAATATCCAGTTGGGGGAGAGGGGGGTGATTTTACTCCCCATATTGCAAAGGGTGTCCACCCCCCATGACATGGTTCGTAATATCCAGGGGGGAGAGGAGTGTGATATTACTCCCCATATCGTTGGGGGTGTTTAACCGCCTGTGACATGGTTCATAATATCCACTGCGGGGAAAGGGGTGTGATATTACTCCTCATATTGTGGGGGATGTCCACCTCCCTATGACATGGTTTGTAATATCCAGTGGGGGAAGAGGGGGGTGATAATACTCCCCATATCATGGGGGGTGTCCACGCCTCGTGACATGGTTTGTAATATCGAGCGGGGGATAGCTGAATCAATCAAGCAGAAGCAAGGATATCAGAGATTGAAGATCAACTTAGTGAAATAAAGCGAGAAGACAAAACTAGAGAAAAAAGAATAAAAAGGAACGAATAAAACCTCCAAGAAATATGGGACTATGTGACAAGACCAAATCTACGTTTGATTGGTGTACCTGAAAGTAACAAGGAGAATAGAACCAAGTTGAAAAATACTCTTCAGGATATTATCCAGGAGAACTTCCCCAACCTAGAAAGACAGGCCAACATTCAAATTCAGGAAATACAGAGAATACTACTAAGATACTCCTCGAGAAGAGCAACCCCAAGACACATAATCATCAGACCCACCAAAGTTGAAATGAAGGAAAAAATGTTAAGGGCAACCAGAGAGGAAGGTCAGGTTATCCACAAAAGGAAGCCCATAAGACTAACAGCGAATCTCTCAGCAGAAAACCTAGAAGCTGGAAGACAGTGGGGGCCAATATTCAACATTCTTAAAGAAAAGAATTTTCAACTCAGAATTTCATGTACAGCCAAACTAAGCTTCATAAGTGAAGGAGAAATAAAATCTCTTACAGATAAGGAAATGCTGAGAGATTTTGTCACCAGCAGGCCTGCCTTACAAGAGATCCTGAAGGAAGCACAAAATATGGAAAGGAACAACCAGTATCAGCCACTGGAAAAACATACCAAATGGTAAAGTCCATTGACACTTTGAAGAAACTGCATCAACTAATGGGCAAAATAACCAGCTAGCATCATAATGACAGGATCAAATTCACACATAACAATATTAACCTTAAATGTAAATGGGCTAAATGCCCCCAATTAAAAGACACAGACTGGCAAATTGGATAAAGAGTCAAGACCCATCAGATCAGTGTGCTGTACTCAGGATACCGATCTCACCTGCAAAGACACACATAGGCTCAAAATAAAGGGATGGAGGAATATTTACCAAGCAAATGGAAAACCAAAAAAAAAAAAAAATAGCAGGAGTTGCCATCCTAATCTCTGATAAAACAGACTTTAAACCAACAAAAATCAAAAGAGACAAAGAAGGGCATTACATAATGGTAAAGGGATCAATGCATCAAGAAGAGCTAACTATCCTAAATATATATGCACCCAGTACAGAAGCACTCAGATTCATAAAGCAAGTACTTAGAGACCTACAAGGAGACTTAGACTCCCACACAATAATAGTGGGAGACTGTAACATCCCACTGTCAATATTAGATCAACGAGACAGAAAATTAACAAGGATATTCAGGACTTGAACTCAGCTCTGGACCAAGCAGACCTAATAGACATCTACAGAACTCTCCACCCCAAATCAACAGAGTATACATTCTTCTCAGCACCTCATCGCACTTATTCCAAACTTGACCACATAATTGGAAGCAAAACACTCCTCAGCAAATGCAAAAGAACGGAAATCATAACCAACAGTCTCTCAGACCACAGTGCAATCAAATTAGAACTCAGGATTAAGAAACTCACTCAAAACCACACAACTACACAGAAACTGAACAACCTGCTCCTGAATGATTACTGGGTAAATAACGAAATGAAGGAAGAAATAAAGACGTTTTTTGAAACCAATGAGAACAAAGACACAATGCAGCAGAATCTCTGGGATACATTTAAAGCAGTGTGTAGAGGGAAATTTATAGCACTAAATGCCCACAAGAGAAAGCAGAAAAGATCTAAAATCAACACCCTAACATCAACATTAAAAGAACTAGAGAAGAAAGAGCAAACAAACTCAAAAGCTAGCAGAAAACAAGAGATAACTAAGATCAGAGCAGAACTGAAGGAGATAGAGATACGAAAAACCCTTCAAAAAATCAATGAATCCAGGACCTATTTTTTTGAAAAGATCCACAAAATAGATAGACCACTAGCCAGATTAGTAAAGAAGAAAAGACGGAAGAATCAAATAGACGCGATAAAAAATGATAAAGGGGATATCACCACTGATCACACAGAAATACAAACTACCATCAGAGAATACTATAAACACCTCAATGCAAATAAACTAGAAAATCTAGAAGAAATGGATACATTCCTGGACACATACACAGTCCCAAGTCTAAACCAGGAAGAAGTCGAATCCCTGAATAGGCCCATAACAAAATCTGAAATTGAGGCAGTAATTAATAGCCTACCAACCAAAAAAAGTCCAGGACCAGACGGATTCACAGCCAAATTCTACCAGAGGTACAAAGAGGAGCTGGTACCATTCCTTCTCAAATTATTCTAAATAATAGAAAAAGAGGGAATCCTCCCAAACTCAATTTGTGAGGTCAGCATCATCCTGATACCAAAATCTTGCAGAGACACAACATAAAAAGAAAATTTCAGGCCAATATCCCTGATGAACATCAATGCAAAAATCCTCAATAAAATACTGGCAAACCGAATCGAGCAGCGCATCAAAAAGCCTATCCACCACAATCAACTCAGCTTCATCCCTGGGATGCAAGGCTGGTTTAACATACACAAATCAATAAACGTAATCCATCACATAAACAGAACCAGCAACAAAAACCACGTGATTATCTCAATAGATTCAGAAAAGGCCTTCGACAAAATTGAACACCCCTTCATGCTAAAAACTCTCAATAAACTAGGTATCAATGGAATGTATCTCAAAATAATAAGAGCTATTTATGACAAACCCGCAGCCAATATCACACTGAGTGGGCACAAACTAGAAGCATTCTCTTTAAAAACTGGCACAAGACAAGGATCCCTCTTTCACCACTCCTATTGAACATAGTATTGGAAGTTCTGGCCAGGGCAATCAGGCAAGAGAAAGAAATAAAGCGTATTTAAATAGGAAAAGAGGAAGTCAAATTGTCTCTGTTTGCAGATGACATGATTGTATATGTAGAAAACCCCATCGTGTCAACCCCAAACCTCCTTAAGCTGTCAAGCAACTTCAGCAAAGTCTCAGGATACAAAATCAATGTGCAAAAATCACAAGCATTCCTATACACCATAACAGACAAACAGAGAGCCAAATCATGAGTAAACTTCCATTCACAATTGCTACTAAGAGAATAAAATAACTAGGAATACAACTTACAAGGGATGTGAAGGACCTCTTCAAGGAGAACTACAAACCACTGCTCAAGGAAATAAGAGAGGTCACAAACAAATGGAAAAACATTTCATGCTCTTGGATAGGAAGAATCAGTATCGTGAAAATGGCCATACTGCCCAAAGTAATTTATTGATTCAATGGTATCCCCATCAAGCTCCCATTGACTTTCTTCACAGAATTGGAAAAAACTACTTTAAACTTCATATGGAACCAGAAAACAGCCCGCATAGCCAAGACTATCCTAAGCAAAAAGAACAAAGCTGGAGGCATTGCGCTACCTGACTTCAAACTATATTACAAGGCTACAGTAACCAAAATAGCATGGTACTGGTACCAACACAGATATACAGACCAATGGAACAGAACAGAGGCCTCAGAAGTAACACCACACATCTACAACCATCTGATCTTTGACAAACCTCATACAAACAAGCAATAGGGAAAGGATTCTCTGTTTAATAAATGGTGTTGGAAAAACTGGCTAGCCATATGCAGAAAATTGAAACTGGACTGTTCCTTACACCTTATACAAAAATTAACTGAAGTTGGATTAAAGACTTAAACGAAAGACCTAAAACCATAAAAATCCTAGAAGAAAACCTAGGCAATACCATTCAGCACATAAGCATGAGCAAAGACTTCATGTCCAAAACACCAAAAGCAATGGGAACAAAAGCCAAAATTGACAAATGGGATCTAATTAAACGAAAGAGCTTCTGTGCAGCAAAAGAAACTATCATCGGAGTGAACATGCAACCTACAGAATGGGAGAAAATTTTTGCACTCTATCTATCTGACAAAGGGCTAATATCCAGAATCTACAAAGAACTTAAAACAAATTTACAAGAAAAAACAACCCCATCAAAAAGTGGGCAAAGGATATTAACATACACTTCTCAAAAGAAGACATTTATGCAGCCAAGAAACATATGCAAAAAGACTCATCATCACTGGTCATTAGAGAAATGCAAATCAAAACCACAATGAAATACCATCTCATGCCAGTTAGAATGGTGATCATTAAAAAGTCAGGAAACAACAGATGCTGGAGAGGATGTGGAGAAATAGGAACACTTTTACACTGTTGGTGGGAAGGTAAATTAGTTCAACCATTGTGGAAGACAGTGTGGCAATTCCTCAAGGATCTAGAACTAGAAATACCATTTGACCCAGCAATCCCATTATTGGGTATATACCCAAAGGATTATGAATCATTCTACTATAAAGACACATGCACATGTATGTTTATCATGGCACTATTCACAATAGCAAATACTTGGATCCAACCCAAATGTCCATCAATGATAGACTGGATAAAGAAAATGTGGCACATATACACTATGGAATACTATGCAGCCATAAAAAGGATGAGTTCATGTCCTTTGCAGGGACATGGATGAAGCTGGAAACTATCATTCTCAGCAAACCAAAACAAGAATACAAAACCAAACACCGCATGTTCTCACTCATAAGTGGGAGTTGAACAATGAGAACACATGGACACAGGGACGGGAACATCACACACCAGGGCCTATTGAGGGGTGAAGGGCTAGGGGAGGGATAGCATTAGGAGAAATACCTAATGTATTTGACAGGTTGATGGGTGCAGCAAACCACCATAGCATGTGTATACCTATGTAACAAAACTGCACGTTCTGCACATGTACCCCAGAACTTAAAATGTAATAAAAAAAAGAAAGATTCCAAGCATACATTTACCTATACAAAATCAGACAAAAAACACTGATACATAGGTGGTAGGCAAGTAGATAAATAAGAATAGTTTTATAATTAAGTTTCATGCTATACATGCCTTTTAAATGTACTTCATTAATTATATTTGAATTCAATAGAATAAAATAAGCTTAAGGAACTGCTGAATTGTAAGTAAATATTTAATAACAGGATCATACAATTTATCATGAATTAAAGCTGTACTTTGCATTTTTTAGTGCATATGTCTTCTTTAGACAGTAAGAATATTTTCCCTGCTATAAAAATACTTTCTCATACCTTCTCATTTTTCTTAGTCATAAAATTATTTTATTTTGTCAGAGCATATAGTACTTTTTACAGTAGGAAAACAGGAATGAATTAACACAAAATTTGAATGAAACTTAAAACAAAGCCTTGCATAAAATGTATCACATTATTTCAGGAGTATGATTCTGGGAATCAGATATTATATGTTACCTTGCAATTTTTTCCAAGTTACAATTTATATACTATCAGATACACCCATTTTAAGAGCACTCACAGTTTGATTAATTTTGACAAATGTGTATACACATGTAATCACCACCATATTTAAGATGTAGAATATTTTTATCACCCCAAAAGTTTCCCTTCTTCCCCTTCCCAGCCAATCACCCTTTTCCTCACCCATACTTCCACTGATCTGCTGTGATTGTAGATTAGATTAGTTTTCTAGAGTTTCCAATAATCGTAACCATACATTATATACTCTTTTATCTGCATTCTTTTTGGAACCTATCCATGTTGTGTATATCAGTAGTTTGTTTCTTTTTACTTCTGAGTAATAGTTCATTGTATGAATGTACCACATTGTGTTTATTCACTTGATGGACATTTTGGCTGTTTGTAGTTTTTGTCTTTCATAAAAAAAAATCTGTGAACAATCTTGTACATATTGTTTTGTGGAAATATGTTTTTATTTTTCTTGGGTAAATACCTAGAAGTGTCATTGCTGTATTACATGATAAGCATATGTTTAATTTTATAAGCTGCCAAACCATTTACCAAAATGATTGTAACAATTTACATTCCCGTCAATTATTTATGACAATTCCACTTGTTCCACATTCTCCTCAACACTTAGCATTGTCAGCTTTTAAAATTTTTAGCCATTCTACTAGTGGTGTATTTGTATCTCACTGTGGTTTTGATTTGCATTTTCCTGATGACTAATAATCTTAGCATCTTTTGATGTGTGTATTGACCATTTGTGTATCTTCTTTTGTGGAATGTTTGTCAAAACCTTCCGCCTGTCTTTTAACTGAGTGGATGTCTTCTAACATTGAGTCATAAGAGTTCTTATAAATTGTGAGACTTATACATATCTGATATATATTTAGATATCAGTTTTTGTCAGATGTATGTATTATGAATATTTTCTCCCAGCCTGTGGCATTTCTTTAAAAAGCAGGAGGTTTTAGTTTTATGCAGTCCAATGTTTCATGCTTTTTGTTTCCTATGTAAAGAAATCCTTACCAACTCCAGGGTCACAAAGATTTTCTCCTGCGCTTTCTTCTCTAAGTTTTATAGTTTTAGCTTTTATGCTTAGGTCTATGGTCCTTTTCAAGTTAATGTTTTGGTATGGTGTGGGATCAAGATTTCTTTTTTTTTTTAATCTTACATGAATATTCAGTTGTTGCAGTACCATTTGTTAAAAAGATTATCCTCTTCTCATTGAATTGGCTTGGAACTTTTGTCAAAATCAGTTGACCACATGCATATATTTCTATTTCTGAACTCTTCTGTTGCATTGATCTGTATATTTATCCTTATTCCATTACCACACTGTCTTAATTACTGTAGTTTACATTAAGTCTTGAAAACAAGTAGTGTGAGTTCTCCTGATTTATTCTTTTTCAAAATGGTTTTGGCTATTGTAGGTCCTTTACATTTTGATTTATTACTATTTCTCACAGGTTTTTTTTTTGTAGATTTCTCCAAATTTGGTACTTACATTGTATCACCATCTGTGAATGAAAGCAGTTTTATATCTTTCTCTCCAATATGTATAACTTGTGTTTATTTTTCTTATCTTATTGCATTGACTTTGACATCCAGTACAATGTTAAATAAACATGATGGTTGTAAACATTTTTGCTTTGTTTACAATCTTTGGGGGAAAGCATTCATTTATTCACAAGTAAATGTGATGTCAACTTCAGGGTATTTATAGATTGTTTTGATCAAATTCCTTCTATTCTATAAAAACTGAGACTTTTTACCATAAATTTGACTATGTCAAATGTATTTTCTACACCTATTAAGATGTTCTATTTTTATTTTTTTAATGTTATTTTGTTGAATTGCATTGATTGATTTGAAATATTAAACAAACTTTGCATATCTGGGATAAATTCCACTTGTTCAAGATACATAATACTTTGTACATATTATTTGATGCAATTTGTTACTATTATAGTATTAAGGATTTATTTTGTCTATGTAGATGATGGATATTAAATTAACCCGTAGTTTCTTTTTCCTATAACATTTTCATCTTTTTTCTTTAAATCAGGGTAATGCTAGCTTCAGAAAGTGAGTTGGGATGGGTATCTCATTCTTAATCCTCTAAGTGATTTTGTGTAATTTTCACTTCATATACTTCATTTTTCTTCTCTTGCAGTTCCACTCAGTTTCATTTTTTAAATCTTCCATTTTTCTCCTCATTACATTCATGTTTTTATTTAAATTCTTAAGCATATTAAACACATTTTTAAAGTGATTTTTATCTTTCTTGCTACTAATTCCACCTTATTATTTCTGTATCTGTTTCTATGGAATTATTTTTTTATTTGGGTACATTTTCTTCTATTTTTGCATATCTATCAATTTTTGATTGAATGTTAAACATTGTAAACATTTTATTGTTAAGTGCTGGATTTTGTTGTATTTCTTTAAAGGAAATTAATTTTGTTCCGGCAAGAAATTCAACTACTTGTGATTCAGTTTGATCTTTTCTAGGCTTGTTTTAAAACTTTTTTTGCGTTTTGAGGGTGTGTTTAAAGTCACTGTTCCTGTAGTACCAGTTTAGCTCCGGATAGGCTTCTTGTGGCGTCTCTAGTAAATTTCATATGCATTTAACTATATCATTCTGCCCTGGCTGGAAGGAACTTGAATAATTCTGGCTCTGAATAAGCTATGGATATTATTTGGCTTCTACTTCCTGGTAATTTTTCTTTTTCTACATGTTGTTATTTGTACAGTCTTGTTAAATTTTATGCTATTCATGGACAGATTATTATTCAGTCAAAGACTCAAAGGGACTCCCATTCAATTACCCAGAGCCCTTTTTTCTAAATAGTCATCCTCTCTGCAATATTCTACCTTGCAAAATCTAGTTGCCTGGGCCACCCTAAACTCTAATCTCTGTTTCCTCAACTCAGGGAAAACCCCTCATACTTCGATCAGCTTCCCTATATCTGCACTCATGGGCCATAAATTGTCTATAGGCTAAAATTGGAAGCTATTGTAGGATTCACCTATTTTCCTTCTGTCAGGGATCACAACCCTTTACTGAATTTGTCCAGTGTCCAAACACTTTTATTTTATGTATATTTGGCCAGCTTTCTAATTGTTCCCGGTTAGAGAGTACATCCATGTTCTTTTACTCCCTCTTGACTGTAAGCAAAACCTACAGTATTAAATAATAATCAGAATCTGTCATTGATGTTTCTCCATACATATTTGGGGGGGATGCTGTGTACCATTTTAATCTGATGATTTTGATTTACAGATTTTATTATTTCAAGGATTTTTTTCTGGATTCTATTTCTAAACAATTTTTGGGGGCATTCTATTTGTTGGGTTCACTATTTTTGGGACATCAAATATCCTCAATGTGAGATTTTCTTTCTCTGATTTCTATGTCTATTTTTTACCCCATTTGTTTTACTCTTTTTTCTATTAATTTATGATTATTGGATTAAACCTTCCAACTGTTTTTATTTAAGTATTGCTTTATATATCCTGTTCAGGTAATTTCTAGTTTATAGACAATGTTATTTTGACTTGTTTTTATTTCCTTAAGTTTGCAATTTCTATTTTTCTTTCAATTCTGTTACTTTGTTTTCCATTTAGACTTTAAGCTCTTGATTTACTGATTTCATATTTACTAAGTAGATCTATAAAGCTCAGAACTTGCAGGCAATTTGTTTCTATATTCTATGTTATGTTATTATCCGACTGGGTTATTTGACAGTTCTTGCTTACTTTCTGGATTATTTGCTTCCTGGGAATGAATTCTGTTTGATATCTCTCTCAATTTATTTGAGAATTGTTTTTCTTTTCTGATTGGAGGTCTAGATATTTCTTTCCACTCACTTTTCTGAAGGCAGTTTATACCTTGGGTCTTGACCTAAATGTTAGTTACTTAGAGAGGCTTTCTCTTATTCTCTTATCTAAATTAGGATTCCACTGTTATTCTCCATCTCTGAACCCTGGTCTTTTCCTTTATAGCATTTATTACAATGTGTGATTTTGATCACAATTTGAGAAAGAAAATTCCTTTTATCTTTGAGGTAATTTTTGCTCACACCCCAAAAGGTTTACCAGTGCCATCAAGGGTTGTTTTTTTTTTAGTTTTTAGCATTAGAAATTTCATCATAGTAACTTGCTATCTGGTGAATAAAAAAAATTACTGTGAAACTTTCAGAGAATTTTAAAGAAAAATAACTAGTTTATAAACAGCACAGATAATATAGCTTGCTTGGGGCATGAATAAATGTCTAAATGTCATTGGAAGATATTGATTTTCACAGCTAGTTTGTTTGATCCTTTCTATTAAAGTCCTTACCCAGTGCTAAATGATCAATACCACTTAAGAGTGTTCTCAGAACATCACAAAAAAAGATGATTAAAAGGACAAAAATGTATGGATAAAACAAAAATCTGATGCTCTTTTTGGTCCTGTCTGAAAATGATATTTTACTCTATGCCCCAAATCTACCCCATGCACATTCTGAAAATTTCTGACTTCATCTTTTCAGACTTTTTATTCTCTCTCTCTCTCTCATATATAGATAGCTATATAACTACTTTTTATTTTGTGCACTGTCATTGGCACAACTTAACTGTGGCCAGACAAAACATGTGAGGAATTTACATGCTTGAAACCAAAACATTATTATATTTTTGTGATATATCTAGAGCCAACTGAAAGGAATTAGAAAAAAACACCACAAAATTTAGTTGGGCAGAAAAGTGGTTAAATCCAACGTGGGTGTTTCAAAATACCATTTGTCCCAATTAACTCACTATAAAAGAGCCCAGCATATTCTATTCCAAAGTAGAATCATTTTGGAAGCAAATAATATATTTTGTTTAACAATGGTGCATTCCTTTTAGAGTATAAAAGCCTCTGGGATGCCAAAATGGTTTATTTGAAACTTTTGTTGCTGGTATTTAGAAAGTAAATCCTAAAGATTTTGTTAAAATTTTTGGCAAGTCAAATGGTTTCTAACTGTTTGTTTTCAACAAAACTGAAAAAGATTCAAATCAAGATATCTTGTACATCGTTAAAAATTATTTTTAAAGCTAGATTAGCAGGTGCTTTCTGGCATTTAACTCAGAAGTAGTTCAAAGAATTGTGATATTGCAATGACAAAACTTCTTCCATTCCCATTCTCATTTTTTATGTGAATGAAGTTTCTTAACTCTTACATCCATTAAAACAACAACTACCAGATAGTGTGAGAATTGCTGCTGAGCATTTTTTTTATTTTAGTAGTATGTAAGAATTGTCCATGGATGATGGAACTGATTAAAAAATATCCATCTTGTTAAGAGATGCATTTCTAGTAAAAATTGACTGTCTATATAATTAATATAAATGTAATATGTTTATGTTTAATCAATTCTATTATAAATATTTGTAATGATAATTCATTTTAGAAGAAAATTTTATAAAGTATTATAGATATGAGAAATGAAAATATATATTCATCTATTTTTTCAAGAAGAATAAAATGAATGAGTAAAAAACTCTCAACAATAAAATGTAATGCATTATGATGAAATTCAAGGGAAATAGAAGTATGTAAAATTTTTGACAGTTAAAGAAAAGCCTGCTCCTTTATTTCTGAAATGGATGATATCATTATCAAGTTGCTATGGTATTTAGATTCCAAAGGCTGTATTTAAAAGAGCAAGACATTGAGAGGCCAAGGCAAGCAGATCACTTGAGGTCAGGAGCTCAAGACCAGCTTGGCCAACATGGTGAAACCTCATCTCTACTAGAAATACAAAAATTAACTGGATGTGGTGGCATGCTCCTGTAATCCCAGCTACTTGGGAGGCTGAGGCAGGAGAACCACTTGAACCTGGGAAGCAGAGATTGCAGTGAGCTTAGATCATGCCACTGCACTCCAGCCTGGGCAACAGACTAAAGTGCAGACTCCATCTGGAAAAAGAGAAAAAGAGCAATGCAATAGCTTAAAATGTCAATAGTTATAATATATTGGAAAGTTTATATTTTCTATTTTATAACTATTTAAATTTATGAGAAACATTTAGGTGTCACCTAAAAAAAGTTAGTGAGCAAAATTGTTTGAAGATCACTGTACTAAGCTATGCAGACTTGTAATAATCTCAGTTAGTTTAACTTTTGTAATCTGAAAAAGTAGACATAATTATATCAAATTTACAGAGTACTGTGAGAGTTAAATGAAATAATAAATGCAAACATCCTAGCAATAAAAAAGGTCTCAATGAATGTTAAGTTTATTTTCAAGTGAAGACTCCAAGTTGAACTGACCTTTCTAAGAAAGATGGTGTGAGGCCTGCCCCAGCTCCAATGAGAGAGGTTATAGAAGCCATACCTTGGGTTAGCAGCCCTGGGTAAGGTGTAGGGACAGGCCAAAAATTCCAGAGAAATGAAGAGACATATCTGGGTACTACTTAATTGGGGCAGGACCAGAACAGGAAACCAAACAATTTCCCACTTCTCCACATACAAAACATTTCCTATGTGTCTGGTGCAGTGTGTCAAAGCCATTTCAATCATATAATTTAATCCCATGAACAAACTAAAACAAAGGTTTTCCAATGAGATTTTCTCTGACCCACTACATTCAAATTGCAAGTTCATCCCCATTTCCTGCTTAATTTTTCCATTATACACAACATCTGGCATTTCATATATTTTATTTTTTATTTGTCTGTTCCCCACTAGAATGTAGTAAGGTAGAAATCATGAGTTTTGTTTACCATACTATATTCACCACCTGCAATAGTGTTGGGCATGTAGTAGGTGTTTACTGAATTCAATGTATCAATAAATATTTAAAAACTTAAAGGAAAAATATTTTAGGGGACAATGTTTATGAACCAAGTGAAAACTTGTGGGATGAATGCAAGAACAAAAATGTGGACAAATAAGTGTTGAAGGGGCCTGTCTGAAGGGTACTAATTAATAAATCATTTTCATTCTGGAAAAATCTTTCCAGTGCTTTCAAAACTCTGCTTTGTGTTTTGTTCAGGCAGAGTTAATTAGTGCTCCATGAATAAAGGTTCCATAGTAAAATAAGCTTGAGAAATCTTTTTGGAAATTCATGACATTAAAAGACTGAAAGAAAAAACATAAATGAAAATATAATCTTAAATTTTGTTTAAGGGAAAGTGAATTTATTTGTGCAGAATACATTTTTCTTCACTTACTTTTAAACGTTTTCCATTGAATATTAGCTTATGAATTTCTGCTTTTTAGGCATACCTCAGTTCTATGTTCTTAGTGACATCTTGCTGAAAACAGTGCTCTGAATACGTGACATGAGGCTAGAGAAAGTCATAACTGAAGGGACAGACTAAGTGAATGGCGGCTTGGAGCACCAACCTATAAAGAGGCTAAGACATCTCTAGGCTATTGGAAATATGCCACCAGTTCTGTTTTCCACTACTAGATGGAAAATGGTGAAATGCACATGGTTCTTACTTCTGCTGAAGGAGATAGTGCCCTCTAGTGGAAATTAAAACAAAAAGACCCTCCTTGCTGGCGTCAATTGCTAGAGCTGTGCTCCTCACTAACCACTACACGTGGCTATTTAAAATTTTAATTTCCTATGTTTTAAATTAAAATTTCTGTTTCTCAGCTAAGTTGTATTAGCCACACTTCCAGAGCTCAACAGCCACATGTGGCTAGCGGTTACTGTACTGGATAGCACAGAAATAGAACATTCTCACCTTTGGACAAAGTTTGTACGGGGTGTACCACTAACCCCAAGCTAAGCAGCTGACATGCCTTAAGTCTGTTGTCATAGTCAACTAAAATTCCCAAACCATTAAAATGCCTGGTATTGTGCTTTTTACTAGGAATGAGTGATTCACTTTGTTGTTGAATTTTTCATTTCTTAAAAATACCTCTCAAGAAGTAATTTCAGAAAAAAACCACAATTTCAAATATTTTAACTTTAAATAAACAAAAATGCTACATTAAACATAGCTTTTATAGCATAAAAAGGCATACTATTTTTTATTTATGGAAAATTAGTTTTATTGTATCCCTACTAAATAATATTGAACAATTTTACAAAGAATTTTGGCTTAAAGCAGTGTCATATTTTTAGCTTATTTGTATTCTCTATCCTACACTTTTCTAGGTGGGCTCTATCTTCCTCAACTTCAGTAAGGAATAATGAGAGTTACTAAAGTTTCAGGCTTGCGTTATTTCTGGAAATCCAAAATACTCACGAAAACTATTTGGAAGGCAAGTTTTGTCATAAACAATCCATGGCATTTATCCTGCATGAAAGCTGGGTAGTAGCACAAGAAAACCAATAAAGATTCACAAACATTTGGCTTACTTATTCTGGTCATGTCCATATGTGTAAAAGAGGCAACTGGCAGGCATCATGCCCAAGAAATTCTCATCAATTAAAATCCACTTTGGGAGGCTGAGGTGGGCAGATTATGAGGTCAGGAGTTCGAGACCAGCCTGGCCAACATGGTGAAACACTCCTTCTACTAAAAAGACAAAATGAAGCCAGGCATGGTGGCACACGCCTGTAATCCCAGCTACTCGGGAGGCTGAGGCAGGAGAATTGCTTGAATCTGGTTGGCAGAGGTTGCAGTGAGCCAAAATCGCACCACTGCACTCCAGCCTGGGTGGCAGAGCAAGACTCTGTCTCAAAAAAAAAAAAATTATCTTTTGTTTATTGCTGTAACCATTCTCTTAAAAGCCTCAGTCAGTATCCTCTGCACACACTTCCTTCAAAATCTATCTCATATATAACATTCTAAGTGCTAGAAAAATATTAAAAGTGTCTCTTTCTTTTTCTTATGTCATTGACTTGAATTGTCTTGCTGGCTGAGACATATTTTTGATGCTTATTAAGTTAAATTACCTCTTTCTACGGAGTCAATTCATTCTATCATAAAACACAGCATGCAAAATATTACTGACAATGTATGACCTCATAATTATGTATTTTACATAGAATCTTTTACAAAATGCTTTTCTCTATATATTCATTAGCTTGACAATTTGTTGTTATTTTAATGTAATGTATTTCCTCTTGTCAGCACATTGGGAACTGGGGTTTCTTGATCAGGCCTTGGGAAAAGTGCATTTGAATAGAAGCTTGAGAGATTAGTTGTCACTAACAAATTAAACATAAGACAAATAAGTGTAGCATCTTGCAATATGTACCCAAAAGCTAACTATACATATATATGGAAAGCCTGGGGGAGACATGGCTCAGTAGATACATTTGTGAAAAATATTTGGTGGTTTTAGTGATTCTTGGTTTTGAGATATGTTGGCAAAATGACAGTGTAGTGGATACTAATTGGGACAACTGTTTGACTATCCCTTCTCCTCTCTGAGAACAACAATAACACACAGGGTTAGGTCTCCATTGATCATGTCTGATCTAAATGACCTGCAGCGAACTTGCCCCGGTGGCGTGAAAAAGACTGGCCAGCCAACCTCTGTTCCCAAGATTTGTCACTCAGAACTAAGGAGAGAGAGTTTGTTAATGACATGTGAGATACGGCACCTGTCAGTCCTATATTTCCCAGCATGAGTGTCCTGGAAGGATTTATGCCTTTCAAGTTCTAGTCAAGTAACTGTCAGGTCAGTTTGCCCATTCTGTGCAGTAAAATAAGATGTAGCCATTTATGCCTAGTGATCCATTATTGGAACGCTAAGCTAGTGGGAGTCATTTATATCCTGCTGCTCAAGTTCATCACCAAGGTCTGATTTTTCACCAAAATATGGCAACTTCCAGCATAAATGGGTTAAAATCTCAGTTATTGTCCTCTGTACAAACTTCTTCCAAAATTCTTTTCTTTACTCTTTATCCTTCAAAATCTCCTATATTTTCAGTGACTTTTTTTTTTTTGCCTAAGCTCATTTGAGTTGGCTTTCTATCACTTGCAACCAAAGTTGAGAATACATATTGTTGTCAAAGGAACTAATGTAATCTTAGTTTACAATACTGTAAGTAGTTAAGACAAGATGAGTGATACCCATATTTTATTTTAAACTGTTGCAATATAGTGATTCTGGATGTCAAATTTGATGGTGAAGAGATTCAAAGTTACATCATATAAAAAAGGAGTTTGAAAGAATTAGGAATTTAACTTAGAAAAGAGACTCCATTTGAATGATAGCCTGCTATGTGGCTATTAGATTTGTTTTATACTGATTTAAAGGAACTTGAAAATTATCTGAAGTCCAACATGCTTTCAATGCCTAAATCTCTTCTATTTACTGCCTAGTAGATAGCTGACTTATTCTTGATAAATCCAGTGATTTAAAAATAATTCCGCTAAGAGCTATTGAGTACCCACTGTGTGCTAACTACTGTACTAGAATGTGTTTTGGCAATGAGGAGAGATATTGTCTCTGACCTTGTGGCAACTATGGGTTCGCTAAGGAATTAACTACCACTTGACACATCTCATCTTTAGATAATTCAGAAAATTCTTCCTGGGACCAGTGGAAAAACATTATAGAAATACATGATCTATTTGAATAGTTTGAAAATGGCTAAATCTAAATGAGACCAGATATTTAGACAGAATTGGATAACATCCAGTCTTAGATTACATGAAAATAAGGGCACCTTTTGTACAAGTGGTTTCCAATATTGGGACTGCAGACCACAAGGAATCCAAGGAGTTACTTAAAAAGGTTTAGGAATCCACATGTGCTTTAGTAATAATTTTGGATTAATAAGTAATATTGCTACCACTATTATGTAAGTGACCTTTGAAATTTTCATCCACTCATGCATTCATCATTCAATATGTAGAAGATCTATCAGGTTCTAGATATCGTTCTAAAAGCTGGAGGAAAAATCCAGAACAAAAACATTCGGAAAGACTGGGAGTCACCACTTTGTGCTCCTTGCAATACTCAGCATATTTACTTTATGCTTTTATCAGAATGTCAGATGGCAAATCTATGATTCTGTTGGCTTTTGGGGAGTGGGCAGACTGGGCTTTTCATATGCAAAGTTGATAAACAAGTTGTTAGGATATAAATAGTACTCTGTAAGCCATATGATCCAGGATGACTCAAAAGTTTTAGGACTTTTATTTTGACCTATGGTAGTGGATAAAATATAACTTGACCAAAACTACATTATTTTTCTATGTTCACACAAAAAGAGTTTCTTCTTTTCTTATGGCAGTTAATTTAATATGAAACAGGCCTGTTCAAAAATAATGAGATGTCTGTTTCCATGGTAGCTTTACAAGAACTGTCCACAAAGCAGAAGATTTCAAAAGCTCCAGTAACCTGTCCTCAGAATTGTGTGGTTGTTAATAATCTTGGGAGACCCTGCAGTCCTAGGGCATATGGTATCAGAAGTGAGAAAAGAAAACAATCAAGCTCTGTTCTTTGCCCCTTTCTTTGCACAGGGCTAAAAGGTGAGGGCAAGACTACAGAGACCCATTAGTCAAGATACATCTTAAAAAGAATTAGTTAAAACCAGTGAATTGTGCACTATCCCAGTGCTATCTGTTGTGGGACACATTTTTATTGCCTGTATTACAAAGAATAATACATAAGTGTTCACAAGAGCAGTGCCTTCTTCCAATATTACTGATAAAATCAATACTATCTATGCATAGTCATGTTAAAATACAGAAAATCTTCTAGGTTATAAGCAGATAAAAAGGGACTCTACAGTATTAATATACTTAAAAGAAAGATATGTCAAAAGAATGGAGTGTTGGCATGAAATATGGTAAACATGGTGTCAAAGAGGAATATTTTGGCAGCATTTATACAGTGTTGTCTAGAAAATGAAGAGAAACCAAATTGTTACTTATATCTCTGCTGTAGGACAGAGATTTTTTTAAAAATCAGGTTTTATTATGGCTTGAATGAAATCTCTCTGTGGTTTATACATTTCTGTGCTTGCCAAGTAATTATTAAAAATTCTTAAATTGCTTGTTGATTAACTAGCTGCCAGGAAGCAGACACAGTATACTATTCATTGTGGAGGTATACATTCCATTGTATATTAACATGTTTTCATGGAAGATCTGATCAGTGAATTTGGGTATAGAGTATGACTGATAGCCTAAATTAGTAAATTTGACTGTCTAGCTTATGTATGTATCATTTATTGAGAATCTGAGATCCACCAGCTCATGTTCATGGATAAAATGAAGACTAGAAAAGGAGACTATAACATTGGACAATGATGTCATCTCATGAGACTCTGTCTAAGCAATTAGTTATTTACCCTAGGTGAATTATTTTCCACCTACCTTCTGGTCCTCTGACCTATAAATCAGTCAGACATTGGAAATGTGGAAGATTAGTCTCATTTGTTAGGTGCTTTACAAAGAACAAACAAACAAACAAAAAAACTGGAAAAAGATCTCTCTGTCCAGATATATGGTTTTATTTCCACCTCACCTATGAACATCCAATTCCCAAATTGATATCTATATAGGCATAGATGATTTAATATAGTACACACTTTATTTGAAAAAATTGCATTTATACATTATAGATGCCAATTAAAAATTCCCAGATTTCAAACACTTAAGTTGAATGATTCTTATGAATTTTTTTGTTGTTAATATTTTAAGTGGTTTGATAAGGAGAATTAGGAACAATGAGGACAAATGTTTTGAAGATCTTTTTCAGGCTTAACTCAGGTACAAATCTGGTTTAAGTTGTATTGATCATCACAGATTAGCTATAAACTAAACTCTGGCTATGACTAAATATGTTGGATTGAATGACTTATAAGTACCTTTTAATTTTTAAAAGTTGATAAACAGGATGAGGAGTGTAACTGCCCAATAGGTTCACCTTGCTTGCTGCCTAGACAGAGCCGATTTATCAAGAAAGGGTAATTGCAATAGAGAAAGACTTACTCACACAGAGCCAGCTGTGCAGGATACAGAAGTTTTATTATTAATCAAATCAGTCTCCTGAAAAACTCGGGGACTAAAGTTTTTAAGGATAATTTGGTGGGTAGGGGCTCACGAAGTGGGGAGTGCTGATCGGTCAAGTTGGAGTGAGTTTTTCTTGCTGTCTTCTATTCCTGGGTAGGGTTGCAGAACTGTTTGAGCCAGATTACAGGTCTGGGCAGTGTCAGCTGTGCATCAGAATGCAGGGTCTGCAAAATATCACAAACACTGATCTGAGGTTTTACAATAGTGATGTTATTGCCAGGAGCAATTTGGTAGGCTTAGAATCTTGCAGCCTCCAGCTGCAAAAGTCCTAAACCATAATTTCTAATGTTGTGGCTAATTTGTTAGTCCTGGAAAGGCAGTCTAGTTCCCAGGCAGGAAGCGGTTTGTTTCGGGAAAGGGCTGTTAATCATCTTTGTTTCAAAGCTAATTTATAATCTAAATTCCTCCCAAAGTTAGTCTGGCATATTCCTAGGACAGCCTGGAGGTTAAAGCAAGATGGAGTTGGTTAGGTCAGATCTCTTTCACTGTAATAATTTTCTCAGTTATGATTTTTGCGAAGGTGGTTTCAATCCCTCCCTTTGGATTTATAACACCTTATTCTTCAAGTGTGGGCTACGAAGTTGGGAAAAATGAAAACTGCTCTAACCTTTTCCTGCTGACAGGGGGATAGATGTTGACCCCAAGGTAAGAGGAGTGGAACTGCTTTGCAGCTGTTTGCACATACTCTTGGGTGCCTCATTAAGGTTTCAAAGCTTGCATGACAAGGGCGTTAGTATTCTCATCTATAGTTTTAGCAAAGAACAGTGAACTATAAGGTAAATAATGAGTCCCAGGATAAAGACTGAAAGCCTTAGCTTCAGAAGTTTTGGAGAATTGATCTTAAACTCTGGGGGATCCAGGTGAATAGCTTGGAGAACAAATTCGACATGGGGTTACTAACAGAGAGAGATTTGGGTCAGAGGTTGTTAGACAGATTGGGGTAGACAGGACAGAGCGAATTTAAATGTACTGCCCCAAATCTTTTTTTGTCAGTTGCCTAGTCCTGAGACTAGATCAGTTCAGCTCAACAGCTATCTTATGTATCAGGAGGTTCATTGCAAATGGGCTAAGCCTCTTAAGTTATAGAGGAGGAAGGTGGTGGCAATCTGACACGTTTTTATTGCCTGTATTACAAAGAATAAGCTTCAGTTTTCAGGGCCTCAGGTAAAAGGTAGTAGCCATTTCATTGAGTCCAAGTCAGAAAAGTGAAACAAAAATCTGAGAGTGTTAGTTTGGGGACTTGCAGCCCACAAAGAATTCAGGATTTAGTTCAAACTATAGAAAATAATAAAAATTCAAGAACAACTAACAACAGATATACTATAGTTTTTTGAAACACATTTTTTCTCTCTCCAGTCCCCACTTTTATTAAACACAAATCATAGTAGGACAAGTTTGCTTGCAAAATAAATCTTAGTTTTATTATGCTTGGCCTGATTATTTGCATAAAGTGCATTAGGAATAATTATTTTCCATACAAATTGTAGAATTAATCTTAAACTTTTTAAAATTGGCTTTGCTGAAAGTTTGTTCCATAAGGAATATCAGGTTACACTCTTTTTTTTTTTTTTTTTTGAGATGGAGTCTCACTCTGTTGCCCAAGCTGGAGTGCAGTGGCAGGATCTCAGCTCACTGCAAGCTCCGCCTCCTGGGTTCACGCCATTCTCCTGCCTCAGCCTCCCAAGTAGCTGGGACTACAAGCACTCGCCATCACACCCGGCTAATTCAGATTACACTCTTTAAAGCCTTGAGCCTAGTTGCAAATTTGTGACATCGAATACCTAGTTTAGTTGGGTAAATTCTTCTTGTCTTGAGGTCTCAGGATAACGTGGGGGCTCCTGGGTCTGTAAGAAAGTGACATTCTTTACCTACCTTGGGCCATGAACCCTGTACAGGTATGAGGCCAGTTAGCCCAATGGGCTTTTTTTTTTTTTTTTTTTTGATGGGTCTTGCTCTGTCACCCAGGTTGGAGTGGAGTGGTGCAATCTTAGGTCACTGCAACCTCCGCCTTCTGGGTTAAAGGGATTCCCCTGCCTCAGCCTCCCAAGTAGCTGGGACTACAGGTGCCCGCCACCACATCCAGCTAATGTTTTTGTATTTTAATAGAGATGGGGTTTCACTGTGTTGGCCAGGATGGTCTCAATCTCCTGATCTCGTGGTCCACCCACCTTGACCTCCCAAAGTGCTGGGATTACAGGCATGAGCCACCATGCCTGGCACCCAATGGGGTTTTATTGGCTCTACAAGTCAAGTTTGATTCCTAAGAAAAAAAAAAAAGCACACCATTCCAGTCAAATCTTTGGTAAAATAACTGGCATCTCCAATTGTGTTCTGTTACAAAAGAAAACAGATTCTTATTACACTTATGAAAATAACTATACTGCCATAAGTTGAGTATACTCACAAATAGTTTCTAAATTCTGGAGAAATCAGGTAAGAGAGAAAATGATATGCTCTGAGCTTTGTTTACAAGAGTATACTTTACTCAATCGCTAAAAGTTGTAAATAGCTCAAAAGGAAAAAAGTTCTCTTAATTCTGAAAAATAAAAGGATTAGCAATGTTTAACATATCAGCTCTCCATGAGAGTCTTAGAAGTTTTTTTTCTCTATTCCAATAGCACAATTTCTAAAGTTATCAGAGACCTGTATTCAAGAGTACCCATCAGAGTTTTCTATCAGATTATAAACCACCTTTTGAAAAGAATCAAAACAAGACAACAATTATCTGTGGGTGACAAAATTCTCAGGACGACCATAGTTAAAAATGCAATTAAAAAAGAAATCTGGTCATCTCTGTGACACACAACAATTTAACATAAGAATTGTAATTGGGGGAGGGGCTATCAAAATCTGATGGAGCCATTAGGGGGAGAGGTGGCAGTGGTATCCACGAATCACCATTCTCAGTCTTTTCTGCCTGTGGGCTCTGGAGACTCAGGACAGTCTGGAAGACAGTCTGGAAGAGGGAGATCCCCCCAAGCACAGCACACCTGCTCTGCCAAGGGGCAGCCAGACTACCTATTTAAGCAGGTCCCTGATCCCATTTCCCCTGACTGGGTGAGAACTCCCAACAGGGGTCTCCAGACACCTCATACAAAAGCCTCTAGTTGGCATCAGGTCAGTGCCCCTCTGGGACAGAGTTCCCAGAAGAAGGAGCAGGCAACCATCTTTGCTGTGTTGCAGCCTCCACTGGTGATACCACCAGGTACAGGAGGGACTCAAGTGAATAAAGTCTGGAGTGGAACCCCAGGAAACCACAGCAGCCCTATAGAAGAGAGGCCTAACTGCTAAAAGAAAAATAAACAGAAAGCAGCAACAACAACAACATCAATGTAAAAGGCCCCACAAACTCACCAGCCAAAGCTCAGAAACTTTAAAGATTGAAGGTAGATAAACCCACAAAGTTGAGGAAGAATCAATGCAAAAACATGAAAACTCAAAAAGCCAGAGTGCTTCTTCTCCTCCAAATTATGTCAACACTTCTTCAGCAAGGGCACAGATCTGGGCTGAGGCTGAGATGGATGAATTGACAGAAGTAGGCTTCAGAAGTGGGCAAAAATGAACTTTGCTGAGCTAAAGAAGTATGTTCTAACTAATTTCAAAGAAGCTAAGAACCAAGATAAAACATTACAGGAGTTGTTCACCAGAATAACCAGTTTAGAGAGAAACATAAATGACCTGATGGAGCTGGAAAACACAAGATGAGAACTTCACAATACAAACACAAGTATCAATAGCTGAATAGACCAAGCAAAAGAAAGAATATCAGAACTTGAAGATTATCCTGCTGAAATAAGGCAGGCAGACAAGATTAGAGAAAAAAGAAAGAGAAGGAGGAGCAAAACCTCTGAGAAATATGAGATTATGTAAAAAGATCGAACTTATGACTGATTGAGTTACCTGAAAGACATGGGGTGAACATAACCAAGTTGGAAAACACACTTCCATATGACAGGAGGATATCATTTAGGATATGCCAGCAGGATATCATCCAGGAGAACTTCCCCAACCTATCAAGACAGGCCAACATTCAAATTCAGGAAAACCAGAGAACCCCAGTAAGATACTTTATGAGAAGATCAACCCCAAGACACATAATCATCAGATTCTCCAAGTTCAAAATGGTGAAAAATGTTAAGGGCAGCCAGAGAGACAGGCCAGGTCACCTACAAAGGGAAGCCCATCAAACTAACAGTGGACATTTCTGCAGAAACTCTACAACCCAAAATAGATTGGGGGCCAATATTCAAGATTCTTAACAAAGGAATTTCCAACCTGTAATTTCATATCTGGCCAAACTAAGCTTCATAAGCGAAGGAGAAATAAGATTTGCTTGTCCTTTTCAGACAAGCAAATGCTGAGAGAATTCATCACCACCAGGCCTGTCTTGCATGAGCTCCTGAAGGAAGCACTAAATATGGAAAGGAAAAACTGTTACCAGCTAGTACAAAAACACACTGGAGTACACAGACCAATGACACTATGAAGCAATTACATAAATAAGTCTGCAAAATAACCAGCAAACATCATGACAGGATGAAATTCACTCATAGCAATACTTACCTTAAATGTACATAAGCTAAATACCCCAATTACAAGGCACAGAATGGCAAGCTGGATAAAGGGTCAAGACCCATTGGTGTGCTGTATTCAAGAGACCCATCTCACATGCAAAGACACACATAGACTGAAAATAAAGGGATCTAGGAAAATTTACCAAGCAAATGGAAAGCAGAAAAAAGCAGGGGTTGCAATTCTAGTGATATGGTTTGGCTGTGTCTCCCCACCCAAATCTCGCCTTGAATTGTAATAATCCCTATGTGTCAAGGGCGGGACCAGGTGGAGATAATTGAATCATGGAGGCAGTTTCTGCCATGCTGTTCTCATGATAGTGAGGGAATTCTCAGAAGATCTGATGGTTTTGAAAGGGGTTTTCCCCTTTGCTTGGTGCTCATACTCTCCTGCTTCCCTATGAAGAGGTGCCTTCCATCATGATTGTAAATTTCCTGACGCCTCCCCAGCCATGCTGGACTGTGAGTCAATTAAACCTTTTTCCTTTATAAGTTACCCAGTCTTGGGTATGTCTTTATTAGTGGTGTGAGAATGGTCTGATACAGCAAATTGCTACCAGGAGTGGGGCACTGCTGTAAAGATATGCAAAAATGTGAAAGTGACTTTGGAAGTGGGTAACAGGCAGAGGTTGTAACAGTTTAGAGGGTTCAGAAGAAGACAGGAAAATGTAGGAATGTTTGGAACTTCCTAGAGACTTGTTGAATGGTTTTGACCAAAATGCTGATAGTAATATGGATGGACAATGAATTCCAGCCTGAGCTGGTCTCAGATGGAGATTAGGAACTTCTTGGGAACTGGAGCAAAGGTGACTCTTGCTATGCTTTAACAAAGAAACTGGTTACTTTTTGCCCCTGCCCTACAGAACTGTGATACTTTGGACTTGAGAGACATAATTTAGGGTATCTGGTGGAAGAAATGTCTATGCAGCAAAGCTTTCATGAGGTGACAGAGCATAAAAGTTTGGAAAATTTGCAACCTGATGATGCAGTAGAAAAGAAAAACCTATTTTCTGAGAAGAAATTCAAGCAGGATGCAGAAATTGGTGTAAGTATTGAGAAGCCAAATGCTAATTGCCAAAACAATGGAGGAAATGCCTCCAGGACATGTCAGACACCTTTATGGCAGCCCCTCCCATCACAGGCCCGGAGGCCTAGCAGAGAAACATGGTTCTCTGGGCTGGGTCAAGGGCCCCCTGCTGTGTGAAACCTCAGTACTTGGTGTCCTGTTTTCCAGCTGCTCCAGCCATAGCCAAAATTGGCTAAAGTATAGCTCAGGGCATTGCTTCAGAGGGTGCAAGGCCCAAGCCTTGGCAAATTTCATGTGGTGTTGGTCCTGTGGGGACACATAAAGCAAGAATTGAAGTTTGAAAACCTCCACATAGATTTCAGAGGATATAAGGAAATGCATGGATGTATAGGCCTGGAAAAGCCACACTCAATGCCAGCCCATGAAAGCAGCCAGGAGGTGGGCTATACTCTGCAAAGCCACAGAGGTGGAGCTTCCCAAGGCTGTGGGAGCCCACCTCTTGCATCAGTGTGACCTGGATGTAAGACATGGAGTCAAATGAGATCATTTTGAAACTTTAAGGTTTAATGATTGCCCCACTGGATTTCGGACTTGCATGGGGCCTGTAGCCCCTTTGTTGTGGCCAATTCCTTCCATTTGGAATGGGTGTATTTATCCAATGCCTGTACCCCCATTGTATCTAGGAAGTAACTAATTTGCTTTTGATTTTATAGGCTCATAGGCAGAAGGGATGTGCCTTGTCTCAGATGAGACTTTGGACTTGGACTTTTGGGTGAATACTTGAATGAGTTAAGATTTTGGGGGACTGTTGGAAGGGCATGATTTTGTTTTGAAATGTGATAACATAAGATTTGGGAGGGCTGAGGGGCAGAATGATATGGTTTGTTTCTCTGTGCCCCCCCAAATCTCACCTTGAATTGTAATAATCCCTATAGGTCAAGGGAATGATCAGGTGGAGATAATTGAAACATGAGGGCTGTTTCTACCTTACTGTTCTCATAATAGTGAGGGAGTTCTCATGAGATCTGCTGGTTTTATAAGGGGCTTCTCTGTTCACTTGGTGCTCATTCTCTCTCCTGCTACCTTGTGAAGAGGTGCCTTCTTCCATAATTGTAAATTTCCTCAGGCCTCTCCAGCCATGCTGGGTTGTGAGTGAATTAAATCTCTTTCCTTTATAAATTACTCAGTTTGGGGTATGTCTTTATTAGCAGTGTGAGAGTGGACTAATACAACTAGTTTCTGACAAAACAAACTTTACAGCAGCAAATATAAAAAAAGACAAAGAAAGGCATTATATAATGGTAAAGGGTTCAATTCAACAAGAAGAGCTAATTCTCCTAAATATATATGCACTCAGTACAGGAGTACTCAGATTCATAAACAAGTTCTTAGAGACCTACAAAAAGATTTAGACTCCTGCACAATAATAGTGGGAGACTTTAACACCCCACTGTCAATGTTAGAAAGTTAAGACAGAAAATTAATAAAGATATTCGGAACTTGAACTCAGCTGTAGATCAAATGGACCTGATAGATATCTACAGAGCTCTCCACCCAAAAACAACAGAATATCATTCTTGTCCATGCCATATGGCATGGAACTTACTCTAAAATTGATCACATAATTGGAAATAAAACCCTTCTCAGCAAATACAAAAGAACTGAAATCACAACAAACAGTCTCTCAGACCACAATGCAATCAAATTAGAATTCAAGATTAAGAAACTCACTCAAAACCACACAAGTACAAGAAAATTGAACAACTTGCTCCTGAAAGACTCTTGGGTAAATGATGAAATTAATATAGAAATCAAGAAGTTCTTTGAAACTAACTAGAACAAAGAGACAACATACCAGAATCTCTGGAATGCAGCTAAAGTAGTGTTAAGAGGGAAATTTATAGCACTAAATGCCCACATCAAAAAGCTAGAAGGATCTCAAATCGACATTCTAATATTACAATGAAATGAACTAGAAAACCAAGAGCAAACAAACCCCAGAGCTAGCAGAAGACAAGAAATAACCAAGCTCAGAGCAGAACTAAAGGAGATAGAGACACAAAAAGACCCTTAAAAAAATCAGTGAATCCAAGAGCTGTTTTTTTTTGGAAAAAAAAAAAAAAAGATAAAATAAATAGACCACTAGCCAGACTAATGAATAAGAAAAGAGAGAAGAATCAAATAGATGCAATAAAAAATGATAAAGGGTATATCACCACTGATCCCACAGAAATACAAACAACCAACAAAGAATGTTATAAACACCTCTATGCAAATAAACTAGAAAATCTAGAAGAAATGGATAAATTCCTAAACACATACACCTTCCCAAGACTGAACCAGGAAGAAGTTGAATCCCTGAATAAACCAATAATAAGTTGTGAAATTGAGGCAGTAATAAATAGCCTACCAACCAAAAAAAGCCCAGGACCAGATGGATTTACAGCTGAATTCTATCAGACTTAGAATTCTACCAGAGGTTAAAAGAGGAGCTGGTACCATTTCTTCTGAAACTATTCCAAACAATTGAAAAGGAAGAACTCCTCCCTAACTCATTTTATGAGACCAGCATCATCCTAATACCAAAACCTGGCAGAGATACAACAAAAAAGAGCACTTCAGGCCAATATCTCTGATGAACATCAATGCAAAAATCCTCGATAAAATACTTGCAAACTGCCAGCAGCACATCAAAAAGTTTATCCACCACAATCAAATTGGCTTCATCACTGGGATGCAAGGCTGGTTCAACATATGCAAATTAATAAATGTAATTCATCACATAATTATAATTAAAGACAAAAGCCACATGGTTATTTCAATAGATGTAGAAAAGGCCTTCAAAAAAATTCAATATTCTTTCATGTTAAAAACTCTCAATAAACAAGGTATTGAAGGAATATACCTCAAAATGATTAGAGCCATTTATGAACAAAACCACAGCCAGTATTACACTAAATGGGCAAAAGTTGGAAGCATTCCCCTTGAAAACTTGTCCAAGACAAGTATATCTTCTCTCATCACTCCTATTCAACATGGTATTGGAAGTTCTGGCCTGGACAATCAGGCAACAGAAAGAAATAAAGCATATCCAAATAGGAAAAGACAAAGTAAAATTGTCTTTGTTTGCAGATGACATAATTCTATATCTAGAAAACCCCTTATTCTCAGCCCAAAAGCTTTTTAAACTGATAAGCAACTTCAGCAAAGTCTCAGGATACAAAATCAATGTGCAAATATCACAAGCATCTGTCTACACCAACAACAGACAAGCAGAGAGCCAAATCATGAATGAACTCCCATTTGCAATTGTTACAAAGAGAATAAAACAAATACCAAGGAATACAGGTAACAAAGGAAGTGAAGGACCTCTTCAAGGAGAACTACAACTACTCCCCAAGGAAATCAGAAGGACACAAACAGATGCTCTGGGTAGGAAGAATCAATATCGTGAAAATGGCCATACTGCCCAAAGTAATTTACAGATTCAATGCTATTCCCATCAAGCTACCATTGACATTCTTCACAGAATTAGAAAAAACAATTTTAAAACTCATATGAAACCAAAAAAGAACTCATATAGCCAAGACAATTCCAAGCAAAAAGAACAAAGCTGGAGGTATCATGCTACTCGACTTCAAGCTATGCTACAAGGCTACAGTAACCAAAATAGCATAGTACTGATATAAAAACAGAGACATAGACTACTGTAACAAAATAGAGAACTCAGAAATAAGACCACACATCTATAACCATCTGTTCTTCCACAAACCTGACAAAAACAAGCAATGGGGAAAGTATTCCCAATTTAATAAATGGTGCTGGGAAAACTGGCTAGCCATATGCAGAAAATTGAAATTAAAAGTAGACCCCTTCCTTACTCCTTAAACAAAAATTAACTCAAGATGGATTGGATGTAAAACCCAAAGCTATTAAAAACTCCAGAAGAAAACCTAGGTTAATGTCATTCAGGACATAGGCACAGGCAAAAGTTTCATGCAATTGATGAAAACAATTGCAACTAAAAAGCAAAAATTGACAAATGGGATCTAATTAAACTAAAGAGCTTCTGCACAGCAATAGAAACTATTATCTGAGTGAACATACAACCTACAGAGAGGGAGTAAATTTTTGCAATCTAACCATCTGATAAAGGTCTAATATACAGAATCTATAAGAAACTTAAATTTACAAGAAAAAAAGCAATCCCATTAAAAAGTGGGCAAATGACATGAATAGACACTTCTCAAAAGAATGTCTTCTTAAGAAGACAACAAACATATGACATATGACAAGGAGAGCAACATCACTGATCATTAGAGAAATGCAAATTGCAATCACAATGAGATACCATCTCATACCAGTCAGAATGGCAATTATTGAAAAGTCAAATAACAACAGATGCTGTAGAGGTTGCAGAGAAATAGAAACACTTTTACACTGTTGGTGGGAATGTAAATTAGTTCAACCATTATGGAGGACAGAGTGGCAATTCCTCAAAGATCTAGAACCAGAAATATCATTTGGCACAGCAATCCCGTTACTGAGCATATACGCAAAGGAATATACATCATTCTATTATAAAGATAACATGCATGTGTATGTTCATTGCAGCACTATTCATAATAGCAAAGACAGAGAATCAACCCAAATGGCCATCAATGATAGACTGGATAAAGAAAATGAGGTACATATATACCATGGAATAGTATGCAGCTGTAAAAAGAAATGAGATCATGTCCTTTGCAGGGACATGGATGGAGCTGGAAGCCATTATTCTCAGCAAACTAACACAGGAACAGAAAACCAAACACCACATGTTCTCCCTTGCAAGTGGGAGCTGAACAGTGAGAACACATGGCTGCAGGGAGGAGAGCAACACACTCTGGGGCCTGTTAGGGGGAGGTGAAGGGAGGGATAGTATTAGGAAAAATAGCTAATGCATACTGGGCTTAATAGTGAGATGATGGGTTGACAGGTGCAGCAAACTATGGTGACACATATTTGCCTATGTAACAAACCTACACACCCTGCACATGTACCCCAGAACTTTAAAAAAATTATGACTAATAACATTTACTGAGACATGTCAGCATTTTAGGAATCTTATTATTAATTTCGTAACACATATTAACATATTTATATGAATATAACTCAAAGAAAGTTAAACACCATTTTAAATTTGACAGTGTTTCCTGTATGATTTTAATACATCAAGTAAGCTGAATATGTCTCTTTTGGACTTTTGGGGACCTTTTTTTAAATTTAGAATATGATCTTGGAAGGCTTGCCAAATATTAAAGGTTTAAAACACTGGATATCACAAAATATGATCACAGGTTATTCATTTAGCTGAAATGGTAACTCAAAAAAATTTTAAAAGGCAAAAATCCATACTTGCTGATAGAAGAGAGAATCAGCTTTCTAAACAAGACCCAATAAAGGCAGCATGAAGCCAGTGAAATCTATCTCTTCTCCCTCCCCGCTCCCGTTTTTGTAGTTTACTCAAAAGGCAAACAAAAATCTTTTATTGTCTCTCAATATTCTATAAAATTTTTTTTCAAAAGAGAAACCCAAATTTTATTTTTGTATTAGTGTATCTTTAATGCTAAAGCTGGTTTTTAATTAAATTTTATAAATCTATTCAGTTTTAACTAGTTTGTTCATAAAGTAAGATTTTCATAAACTTTTTATAACTTTATAATATTTTTGTTAAAGAACAAATCAATGTTCAAAAAAATCCTGTTACTTTGACATATGGGCCAAGATTCTGGCCCTATGTCAGTGTGCATTTGTTTTAATATTTAATTTATGGAAGAACTAAATAATAAATACCCTTTTAATTTTAGTCAACTTGCCTACTGGCAGAATTCTTTATAAAGTTAATTTTTCATAAACCTTCTATAACTTGCTTAAGCTTTCAATTTTATTTTCTTTCTTACAAGAAAATATAATTCTTAAATTTTCTAAATTAGACAAAATTAGTTTTTTGAAAAAAAGATATTCCTATGACTTTGTATCAAAAGCACATAATTTTTCTTTTTAGTGTAAGCAATTTTAATTAGATAGGTGCAGAGTCTAGGATGCACAACAGAACTGCAGATAAAGTCTGACTGTTTCCAGCACAGCTAGGAGACATGGCTAGCTCCACATGTCCCCAGGCCTTAATTAGAATCTATTGACTCTAAAGCATGTAAATTACACAGTTTTCAAAAGTCAAAGAAACAGTTTATGACATTAAAGTATTTAACAAATCTAATCTCTGACTTAATTTAGACCAAATGTCTAAATTTTGAAGACATTTTTATTTTACTAATAATCTTTAAAACTGTTTTTATTTCCCAAAGATTACTAAAGTCACATGAACTAGAAGGCATTAGAGTTTCTATTTGTCTGACAAAATATTTAAGTACTTTCATTTTCTTTAAGCCAATTAATTAGAGCTCCTTTATATAAAGATCAAACACACAACACTTATAAATACAGAGACAGAAGAAGATGTAGCAGTTGTGAGTTTTTTTTTTCATTTTATGAACCTTATCTCACAACTCATACAGGCCATCTATGACATACGTGGACTTTCTGACTTGTCCTATATTTTCCTCTTTCTTCAATAATTCGTCATTCTACTTTAGGACTGGAATTTACTGTAAAAGATCCTTTCTCATGTTAAATTTCTTTTCTTTATAACCTTCCTTACCATAAATACATCTTCAGATCCATAAATTTCTTTACATATCTATCCTCTACTAAAGTAATTTCTGATGCCTCCTAAAGTCAAAAATGTCGGGTAATGTGATGCAAAATAGAGCAGAGCCTTAGATTTTGAGAGGAAACTGTCTCTTACACTTCTTGGGGTTCCATGAGGAAAACAGAGATTTCTCCCAAAATATGCCCTGTGGCACCTTCTCTGTTTTTCCCAAGGAGTCCCAGGCTCTCAGAAATTACCTTAGGTCCTCTCATGTGGGCATCAAGGTGTCAAGAAGACATACTGGGGAAATAGTTCAGTAGACTGAGAAGAAAAACAAACAAGAAATTTTTCTCAAAAAAAGGAAAAAAAAAAACAAGATCCAAGTAGAGAAAAGTCATAAAAGCCTTTTAAATATATATGTATAGTATATATACATATATAAATATATATCTTGAATATTCATTTTTAGTTAAGCTGGTTTTAACCATAGAGTTCTTTAAATAATTTATTTTTTATCTCTTATATGTGACTCTAGCCAGGACAGACAGCCAATATTTCTGGCTTTTGAATTCTACCACAGGTAACCTCCCATACAAAATTAGTAAGTCTTAACTAAGGTTATGACTTAACCATGGATGCATAAGCTATCTCAGAGATGATAAGCAGTTTCTTCTCTTTCTTTCTTTCTTTTCTTTTCTTTCTTTCTTTCTCTCTTTCTTTCTTTCTTTCCTTCTTTTTCTTTCTTTCTTTTTCTTTCTTTCTTTCTTCCTTTCTTCCTTCCATCCTTTCTTCTGTCCTTCCTTCCTTCCTTCCTTCCTTTCTTCCTTTTGTTCTTTTTTCCAAGATTTAGAATCTCCCTAAAGGTAGTTCAGAGAAAGAAAAAATCAAGACAGAAAATCAGAAGCAGTCCACTCAGGGGGGAAATGAATCAATACATGACAAAAAAAAGAACACAAATAACAAACCAGAATGGACTCATTCCTTAAGCCAAGAATTGAACTTGGGCTACCATTGTCAAAAGACAAAGCCTTAGCCACTGAGCTGCAGCACTGAGCAGTTTCCATTGCTTTTTCCAGAAGGAGGCTACAGCAGCCAATTTCGAGCTTGCAAAGGCTTTTAACTGCTGCTTTTAGGGCCAACTATGATATGAACCCCAAAATTCCTCTCCTCTAGATGGCAGAGACCAAGAGAAAGTATCCCCACATGGCCACAAGGTTAAACTCTCAAGGACATAAAACAAGAGAGAGAAACTTCATCCATTACTGGTTTCAGGGACCTGCAGCAAAGTTTGTAACCAACAAGCCTGCTAGGCTGGTGTGAAAAGCAGGTGTATAGGGTTCTTAAGCCCACATTCTATCCTGTGATACTCATCTCTCAATGACAGAATGACACAGAAAGACAAATTCCTGCCACAAAGTACACCAGATTCACTACAGCCTAAGAGTAGTCTCACAAATTCTTTTTTCTATTAATCAAACCCTTGCAGAGGAGACAAACAGTGATGACATTTACTGTATACACACACA
Source organism: Homo sapiens (assembly GCF_000001405.40). NCBI lineage: Eukaryota > Metazoa > Chordata > Mammalia > Primates > Hominidae > Homo > Homo sapiens. Next base: position 15,025,608 of record NC_000011.10, read on the forward strand.
CACACACACACACACACACACACACAGAGGCCAGAAGCCTGGCTGGTAAGAAATTCTTACCCTTTTTGCTGGCACACCATGTTTCTGGGTTCCCTTTCTCTGCAGCTTCCAGAAGAATGGAGTGGCTTTTGATGACCCTGCTCCCTCTGCCACAGCTGTGGGGGGCAGATCATGTCAAAAAAGAAAATTATCCATTATGTTTTATGGAATCATAGACAAAACTTTTCAATTTTGCAAGATACTGCCCAATAGGTTGCATGAGTTACCAAATTAACATTTTCCTTCCCAGCTGAGGAAAATATACATAACAAACGGACACTAGTTACCTCGGTCAGCACCCAATATCAACATGGCAAGACTCAAACTTTCTCCCCTTGGTCCTTGTCACCTTTGATCCACTCAAGGTGGGGAGGGATGACCTCTGACTGGGAATTTTGGAGGTGTTCTCTGGGCAAGATGAAGAGCAGACAGTCATCCCAAGTCAGGCCTGTTGAGCTTTCTTCAGGACTCACCAAATGTGACCAGAACTTGGGTTCTCCAAGTTAGGCCTGCTGGACTTCTGTCAGCAATTCCTTTAGAGATCCCCTCCACATATACAAACACACACACACAAAAATACAAGACAGACAAAAGGTCTTCCAAACCAAGATCCCTAACCAAGAATTCCAAGAGTATTCCTTCCAAACTAGCCGCCTATTCTCCAACTGAGAAATCTCCCCCAAATCTTTCTGACTGAGGAGAAATCTCCTGAATCACGATTCTTCCTACTAATTAGAAAGAGCCAACAGAGATCCCCGAAGGAGCTCAAAAAATTTGGATAAGAAAGGAGGTGTTGGCAGTTCCTAGAATACTCACCAAATCGGCTACAGTTACAGACACTCCATGATGGGGCTATAGACAGACATCCTGTGATAGGACTACAGTTACAGACACTCTGTGGTGGAACTACAGACAGACACTCTGCAGTGGGGATACAGACAGACCCACCACCATGTGGCTACAGACAGACACTCCACTATGGGGCTACAGTTATGGGATAGGACATGTCCCCAGGACTATTTCTTTATTGCAATTAAATCCATGCACATTAGATCAGCAGTGCCCTACCGGTAGAGATGGTACTAGAGTAGAGTCAGCCCCTGTCCAGGAGAACTAGATGGTCACTTGGCTGGCCTCTGGATTGGTTGCCAGAGGGGGCTATTGAACCATTAACAGGTAGCCACAAGGGCAATCCCAGATGAGCCCCCAAATGTGTAACTGCCCAATGGGTTCACCTTGCCCACTGCCTAGATACAGCTGATTTATCAAGACAGGGGAATTGCAATAAAGAAAGACTTATTCACACAGAGCTTGTTGTGTGGGAGACTGAAGTTTTATTATTATTCAAATCAGTCTCCTGGAAAACTCGGGGACTGAAGTTTTTAAGGATAATTTGGTGGGTAGGGGTCATGAAGTGAGGAGTGCTAATTGGTTAGGTTGGAGATGAAATCATAGGGGGTCAGAATGAGTTTTTCTTGCTGTCTTCTGCTCCTGGATGGGATTGCAGAACTGGTTGCACCAGATTACAGGTCTGGGTGGTGTCAGCTGGTGCATCATAATGCAGGGTTTGCAAAATATCACGAGCACTGATCTGAGGTTTTACAATAGTGATGTCATTGCCAGGAGCAATTTGGGAGGCTTAGAATCTTGCAGCCTCCAGCTGCGTGACTACTAAACCATAATTTCTAATCTTGTGACCAACTTGTTAGTCCTGCAAAGGTGGTCTAGTTCCCAGGCAGGAAGGGGTTTATTTTGGGAAAGGGCTATTATCATCTTTGTTTCAAAGCTAACTTATAACCTAAGTTTCTCCCAAAGTTAGTCTGGCTTATTCCTAGGAATGAACAAGGACAGCTTGGGGGTTAGAAGCAAGATGGAGTCGGTTAGGTCAGATCTCTTTCACTGTAATAATTTTCTCAGTTATGATATTTGCACGGGTGGTTTCAGGAGTCCAGTACAGAGTAAAATGCATGGACCAGGAAGCTTAAGGGTGTTCTTTGTATTGTATGCTTGGTGTGAGCTATGAGGGATGTTTAAAAGCAGAAAAAATTGCTATCAGTAAGAAGATTCAGGCATCCTTTTTTATCTAGATGGGAGAAAAATAATAAATTGATTGTATATTCAGAAGAAAACCAGATTGTTCAGTAGAAAAATTCATTTCCTGGAATTGAAATCACCATCAAATATCATTTTTAAATGGATTTTATTTTCAAAATGAAAAAGGCTTTTTGTTTGTTTCTGATTATAAAAGTAATGGGATTAATGGGAAAGATAATGGTATAAGTGCACATTTATCTATGCCTTATATTTACTGAAATGAAGTAAAACAATGAACTAAAAGAAAGTAAACTTCATTAATGCTGGAACTAGAGCAGGCTTCATCTTTATAAAACAATCTCGGGATAAAGGATGCCAAGGGCAGGTTCATGATCTTCCTGTTCATGTGCACAGTGGGCTGGGCTGTGGGAAGTGGGTGGAGCTGGGTCACAGGAACCTCAGTGGCACGTCTCAATCAGAGGAGCAGATACTGTTGGCATGATTGGGCTGGAGGCAGAATGGAAAACATCTTACTTAGAATGAAGTGAGGCCTAGAAGAGAAATTGTATGACTAAATAATGCCATTATGATTCTATGACTTCCCAAGCAGTAGAGATCTACAGGTGAACATTTACTGCAGCTGCAAACCAGGAATAATAGTATTGATTTGCAAAATTAAATGTACACTAAGCTTTTAAGACCTCTCAATATTGAAAATAGATTGCATATCAGAAGTAGTAAAATAAATCCAAATTTAGGGTATGCCTCCCATGGAATATGGCATAGCACAGAATGAATAATAAATGTTTTAAAATAAATACAGTAAGAAAATGCAGTCAAATTTCCCAGACTGCAGTTGCAGATAGACACAGCTCCATACCCACTGATCCACCTGCCCATGATAGACAGCTTATACCAGAGAAGAGAGAATATTTCCTGTAAAAATCCCTCCCTTTAGCATTAGTGCTAATGGCAAGATCAAAATAATGCTTGAGTAAATAGGAAGGAGACTCAAGGAGTTTCTACCAATACTAATCAGGGACAAATTTTAGACTTGCATTAAGAGATACATATGCAGGAAAATATTCAGCATGCAAACCAAATAAACATTTTATAGTGAAAAGGATTAAAAGAACATTTTATGCAAAAGATGGATGAAAGTAACATTTTGGAACATTTACTCTAGGAAACAGAAACATTTTAACTATAACCACATTGTGCTTTCAGGGAAATTAAAGAAAACAAGGATTCAAGCAGGAAATTTTATGATAGGGTGAGATAGAAAGCTACTGGAAAAACTAAGGTAAAAAGAAAAGGAAGAAAAGGATCACTTTCCAGACATAAATAACATTATACTAATGTTAGTTTCCTGCTTTAATAATGATACTGTATTTCTGTAAGTTGTTTATATGTGTGTATACATGTGTGTATGTACATATATGTGTATGTATATATATATATATATATATATATATATATCCAGTTATATCTATACAGATCTCACTGTTGCACTGTTGAACAATGAGATCTATATCCCAGCATCTAGAGCACTGGGATATAGTAGGTACTCAATAAATATTTTTTGAATGAATGAATCAATTTCACTCATAGTGGTGTGCCATAGTGGTAAAGAGTAATCATCAGAATTATTCAGGGAGTTGTTTAAAAATACAGAAATCTAGGTTTCATCCCATATCTATTTAATTAGAATCGCTGAGGATGTAATAGAAATTGATAAGAACAGAACAATAGTGAGCGACTTCAACATATGCCTCTCATGATCACACCCAGTGACTCACTTGGAGAATTTGAGCTTCTTGTCTCAGCCATTTGAGGCTCATCATGTCTATAAGTCCTGATTCCTGGGGTTGGGGGATGGGTATTATTCTACCTGGGCACAGTCAGGATTCTATCAAGCCTCAAGTTATGGCTGCTGCCTGGTAATTTTTGTCTCTCCCTGCTAGTAAAACAATAGAGAAAGAAAAAACTTACTATACTATGGGGTAGTTAACCCTGATCACTGTAAGGAGGTATGGTTGATGCTAAATAATGGAAGCAGGGAGAAGTATATCTGGAACCCAGGGAACCTGCTGGGGTATTGCTTTGTATTTCCAACCCAGTTTTAACTGTGAATAGGCAATTACAACAAAGATGACCCAACAAAGACTTGATAACTAGAGGCTTTGGCTCCTTAGGGATGAAAATTAGGGTCACAACACCACGAAAGCAATTCAGACCAGCAGAAGTAGTAGACAATGGTGGAAAGAAATCTGAAGTGGATAGTAAAGGGGTAACATAATAAATATCAGTGATGATCTTGAGATCAACAACTGCAGCAGGGATTCTATGGTATGAATCTGTGTCCCTTCAAAATTCTGATCTTGTAATTTAAATCCTAAGGTGATGGTATTAAAAGGTGAGGTGTTTTTGGAAGTGATTAAGTCATGAGGGCTCTAACTTCATGAATGGGAATAATGAAGTTTATTATGAAAAAGGTTTCAGAGAGCTGTCTAGCCCTTCCATCTCTTCTGTATGTGAGGACACAGTGTTAGTTCCTTTTTGCCCTTCTACCACGTGAGGATGCAATGAGAAGGTGCCATCTTGGAAGCAGAAAGCAGCCCTGACCAGACAATGAATCTGTTGGCACCTTGAGCTTGGACTCCCTGCCTCCAGAACTGCGAAAAAAATAAATTTCTGTTCTTTGTACATTACCCAATCTCAGGTATTTTATAGCAGCACAAACAGACTAAGACAGCTTATTCCATTAACACTTCTCACAAAAAGTCCCATTTTTCCCTAGAATTGTGAACAGCCACTATCCTGAAGAATTAGTGGAGTAAACTTAGTGTGAGGAATAGCGGATCCGAACAGCACAAGACCTGGGCTGTAGCAGATATTGTTAGTACTCTGCCTACATCTCCTTGGATCCCTTTTACAACTATCATGCTCATCAGCTTCTGCATCTTTTTGTCAGGGGTCTCTGGAGACCCTTTATCTCTTCACGTAGAGAGCCAGTTGTTCTTGGGAATTCACAAACCTGAAGGTTAGCTCTTAACCAATGACTGATGAGTGTGCAGAATTTAAATATTCTAGCTCCTCAGCTCCTGGGCAGGACTAATATTATAATCTACACTGTATCCAAAGCTCCTCTGTGGGACCGAGTCAAAATTACCCTACTGGGGACTTGTCTTGATATTGCACTCTTGCTAGAGTGTTTTCCATCTCATTTTTCCTTTATTACCAGTTTTTCTTGGTGATTTTTTTTTTTCCCTGTAGAGATGAGGTCTCATTTTGTTGCCCAGGCTGGTCTCAGACTCCTGGGCTCAGGCAATCCTCCTGTCTTAGCCTCCCAAGGGCTGGGATTATAGGCATGAGCCACTATGCCTGGCCCAGTAATATTTCTTAATAAATCTCATTCACAGGTTCTGATTCTGGGGAATCTGATTTCAGAAACTGATAATATGGTTGGGGTTTAGGAAGTGTAAATGATTAAGGTAGAATTTCACCAGTTTGACATGATGGCAATTTGAATCATTACTAAGATGATTTGTAGTTTTTAAGACATGCATATTTCTAACTGTCTGCATTTTTGGACTGAAACGCTTGTGCAACACACACATATACCCAGCATTAAATATTTAGATTGTATCTAGACACTGAGAATTCCCAGTTAACGAAGACTACAGCTATAATTTGAATGTGTCCCCTCCAAAATTCAGCTATTAGGAATGTGACAGAATTAAGAGGTGGAGTCTTTAAGAGGTGATTAGGCTATTAGGCTCCTTCCTTATAAGTGGGATTGGGTCTATATAAAAGAGGCTTCAACCTAACAAAAAAGTGGTTGTCTTCAAGTCAAAGAGAGAGGTCTCAGGAGAAACCAAACCTGCTGACACTCTGATTTTGAACTCCCAGACTCCAGAACTGTGAGAAAATAAATTTCTGTTGTTTAAGCCACCCAGTCTGTATATTTGATTATGGCAGTCCTAGCAGACTAATGTACATACAGTTGATCCTTGAACAACTGAATATTAGTTTGAACTAATATGGGTCCACTTGGGTTTGAACTGCTAGGGTAGACTTGTGGATTTTTTTCAAAAAATATTACATCAAGTGTGCCTACATATCCTGTTTCCCCTTCCACCTACTCCACCTCTTCCACCTCTGCCATCTCTGAGACAGTAAAGACAAACTCTTCCCCTTCCTCCTCCTCCTCAGCCTACTCTAGGTAAAGACAATGGGAACGAAGACCTTCATGATAACCCACTTCCACTTAATGAATAGTACATGTATTTTCTCTGTCTTATGATTTTCTTAATAACATTTTATTTTTTCTAGCTTACTTTATTGTAAGAATTCAGTATATAATACATATAACATTTAGAAAAAGAGGCTTCATGCAGTGTTCGTCTAGCTTGCCCTTCAGCCTTTGGCCATGTGAGGACACTGCATTCCTCCACTCAGCAGGATGCAGCAGCTGGGCGCCATCTTGGAGACGGAGAGCAGCCCTCAACAGATACTGAATCTTTTGGTCCTTTGTTCTTGGACTTCCCAGCCTCCATAACCGTGAAAAAATAAGTTTCTGTTTTTTATAAATTACCCAGTCTGTGGTATTTTGTTATAGCAGCATAAATAGACTAAGAGAAAAACCAAATCTATTGTTTTGTTTTACAAATGAAACTAGAAGATGTGTGCTGCTTCATGATTCAAGTCCTGGTTTTGTTGCTATTCTGGAGCACCAAAGAAAGAGTCACCATTGATGTCTGTTCTATGCAAGAGTGGAACCCTTCAAAAAGGAACAATTATGCACCATTACCAAAGAAAGAATATTCCTCCAGCTTCTGCTCATTTTCCACACTGTTCCATCTGTCTGAAACTCTTAGCATTATGATGCACTCCAGTCCGTTGAGAGTTTTATAGTGTAACCAGCAATGGCACCAATGATTACTCTGAGAAAAACATGGCACATGGGAGAGTCCAAAAGCCTTTTATAAAGATAACACACCTGTGCCCTAGTGACCATGAGCAAAGAAAAATATCTCAAGGCCAATTCTGGCTTTCCATTCTTATAAAGTATTCCTTAAATCATAAAGGGATCTGGTATTTGGCTAATGCGAGCACACAGAAGAGAAATAGCATTATAGCTGGAGTGTGAACCAATGCAAACCTTTGTTAAAGATGAGGAAACTGAGTCTCAGAAAAAGGAAGAGAAATAGTGAGCTAGTGTAGAGTTAGAACTAGGACTTCTATTGGGAACTTCTATTGGGATGGGGTTACATTTTGGATTGTTTATTGTTGGTAAGTAAGAAAACTATTAATTTTTTTCATTCTCTTCTGGGCAGATAAGCATATCACAAATGATGATTTATATCCTGCTATCTAATATTTATCCCTTTTAATTTTCTTGCCTTAATATATTATTTATGATATGGAATAGTTGCAATTATGTGGGTTTTTCTTGTCTTGCTCCTGATATTAGTGAGAAGGCTTCTAATATTCTATCATTGGGAAAAACATTTTTTATAGGTAGGAATCCTTTATCAAGTCATGGAAATTTTCTTTTATTCTTAACTTGCTAAGGGTTTTTCTTTTTTCTTTTCTTTCTTTCATTTGCTTGCTTGCTTGATTTGAGGGAGGAGTGTTGATTTTTTAAATATGGGAAGTTAGCACAATAACTAAGAGGTCTGTTTCTAGAGACCAACAGCCTAGATTTCAATCCTCGCTTCACTGTATACTGGTGGTGCATCCTTAAACAAGTTACTTAACTGCCGTATCACTCAGGGAAATGTAAATATTACCTAACTAACAAAGTTGTGAGAATTAAATGAGATGATAGATATGAAGCTTATGGCACAGAAGTGCCCAGTATGTGTAACCTGACTACTAGTCAGCCTTGATTCTTATATTGGTATCCATGTCAAAGAGCTGCATAGAATCATGTGATCTTAGTTTGCATCTAGGCCAGCTGGTTCTCAGACTTTTAGATTATATACATTGTAACACAAATTATTTTAAGATCTGTGGTGAAGATATTCTTATCAGCTTTTTATTTACCATATAAGGTTACTAATAAAAGAAACAAAACATACAACTATAACAATGTTAAATGTGAAAAAAGTTCATTTAATGCCTTAAAATGAGGAAGAGTGCAATCTCAAAATAAAAGACGGCCTTCTAAAGTGAATAAATATGATGTTTTGGGGAATTTATTATATTGTTCTCCTTTTTCTCATTCACCACAGAGCAGTGAACATGACATGGATGGGTAAGTTTGGGAGCCTCTGACCCAGGCCCATCTCTCACCTAATGCAAGAATCATTCTTCCTCCTGCATCCCTCTCAGCCTCTGATGGACTCTTCCAGAAGTGAGGTGCTTCATTTCTGAACAATCTGGTTAAAAATTATTCTCTGAACTAGCTTCCTTATAACTTCAATTCACTGTTACTTGGATTGCTGTTTGGAAGCAACACTGAGTAAATTTGTTCTTGTTCAACAAATGCCTGTCAACTGTTGAGACAATATTTTTTCCCCCTCACCTCACAATCATCCTTACTTGAGAGTCAATATCCATGATACTTTCAACCTCTTCTTAACTGCATAGCCTTTAAGATCTCTTCACTTTGTATTTCTCTTCTCTGAATACAGTCAAGTTTCTCAAACTCTTTCTTAATTTGTAGAATCACCTCATTTACAACAATAGGATCTGGCATGATAATGGTTTAGTCAGGAACATTTGGTTGGGAGTGTGAATGTAACATGTAGCCTGCTCAGGTAGAAAAAATTCCTGGTTATGAGGGACTTCTATAAGAGGTAGTGTTATGGGATCTTTAGGATGCCAGTTTTCCGGCTAGAAACCTCTGTGGCTGGTGGTGCCTTTGTCTGAGTTCTTGTCCTGCATCCTGGAAGAATGAGGTATGCAGACAAGTGGAGGGTGAACAAGATGAAGGGGAGCTTTACTGAGCTCAGAGGAGACCTACAGTGGGTAGCTTCTCTTTGTAGGCAGGTGGGTAGCTCCTCTCTGTAGGTGGGTCATCTTGTGGAGTGTTCAGCTCTCAGCACAGAGGAGGTTCTGGAGAGGGTGGCTCCTTTCCGCCTACAGGTCCTCTTGTCCTCTCTGCACCTCTCACTGGAGAGGATAGCTCCTTTCTGTCTGTTATGTCCAGCTATCACTAGAGGCAGTAGCTCCTCTCTGCAGCTGGTCCTTCGTTGTCTGTCTGTGTCCCTCCGTCCTCTGCCTTGCTCTGGCTGATCCCAGGGCTTTTATGGACATGAGAGGGGAGGAAGTGCATGCTGATTGGTCCATGGGTGGCCATGGGCAGGCCGGAAGAAGCACCACAAGTCCCCACTCTGGTCTGCGGGACTGGCAGTCTGTCCCCCAGCCTTCAGGCCCTCCCTGGCCCAAAGGTAGGGCTTTACCAGAAACTGCCCCTTCCACCCAGGAATCTGTCTGCCTCCCACTGGCATTCATGCCCCCAGGACTCTGCCCCACTTTGCTCCCAGATCAAAGGGGGCACTGACAGCTGGAGATGCCAGACACTGGGGGCAAGCACTTCTGAGCCTGTCAGGGGATGGGGGCCCAAGAGTGCAGGGATGCCTGAGTCTGTAGCCAGGTTTGGGTGGTGGCAGCTGGGAGGGAGGTGGGGCTCCTGCCCACTCAGTGGCCCGAATCAGTAGCAGCAGTTTGGGTGGCTGCGGCTTTGCCCAGGAGGGCAGGGATCCTGCCTGCTCCCAACCCTCCAAGAGCACAGGAAGCTCGGATCCACAGTCGCAATTTGGGCAGCCGCAGCCCCGCCCAGGAGGGCGGGGCTCCTGCCTGCTCCATGGTGCAGGCTGGGTCTGCAGGCGCGGTTTGGGCACCTGCGGAGCTCCCGCTCCCACTCAGAAGGGGTGGGGCTCCCACCTGCTCCATGAAATCTGCAGTCCCAGCTGTTCCTCCCTGCTGCAGCTGGCATGATGGCAGCGGCAAGCCACCTGGAGCAGTAGCTGCCATCAGTAGCTCACCTTGTTTTGAGGTTAAGAAGCAGTTTGAAGGAGCTAGTGATTAAAAATATAGACTTTGGCATCAGACAGAATTGGCTTGAGTTCACGTGCATCTTTGAATAAGTTTCTTAACCTCTCTAAGTCCAAGTAAGGTTTAAATGATTATATTTATGAAGATCTTAAAATGGTGCCTGGCATATAGCAAATACTAAATTAATGTTACATAATCTTTCTATTCTTATTCATTTTAAGCATCAGCATCTTAACTGCAATTGTTATTTGGGTGCAGCCTGTCCAGAAATCTATTTATAATAATGTCTGGGAATATTCTTTAGCTCGACATTATACAATAATTTAAAAAAAGGCTAAACTGAGAATATCTGAGTCCACATTATGGAATGGGAAACCACAGTGAGTTTAATTATATGGGTAACTTCAGGATAACCATTTTTATTATTTATTATTAACTTTAATTTTTTGAAAAAAATCCACAAGTCGACCCTAGCAGTTCAAACCCAAGTGGACCCATATTAGTAGATGGAAGGGGAAACAGGATATGTAGGCACCTACTCCAGAGAAATACATGTATTTTCTCTGTCTTATGATTTTCTTAATAACATTTTATTTTTTCTAGCTTACTTTATTGTAAGAATTCAGTATATAATACATATAACATTTAGAAAAAGAGGCTTCATGCAGTGTTCGTCTAGCTTGCCCTTCAGCCTTTGGCCATGTGAGGACACTGCATTCCTCCCCTCAGCAGGATGCAGCAGCTGGGCGCCATCTTGGAGACGAAGAGCAGCCCTCAACAGATACTGAATCTTTTGGTCCTTTGTTCTTGGACTTCCCAGCCTCCATAACTGTGAAAAAATAAGTTTCTGTTTTTTATAAATTACTCAGTCTGTGGTATTTTGTTATAGCAGCATAAATAGACTAAGAGAAAAACCAAATCTATTGTTTTGTTTTACAAATGAAACTAGAAGATGTGTGTTACCTGTGTATCTTCTCAGGGAGGGCTGGAGACAGAGATCCTGGACCTTTCTCTCTCTCCTCCTCCTTACTTGCTCCTTCCCACAGTAGGAGGAACGAATTATCTGCTGGATGTAACTTACAAGAACATAGCAGCAGTCGTAACTTTAGTAGGGGCAGGATAATGACAATAAAGAGTGGGCTTTTCTCTCTTCCTTTTTTGGGCTTCTTGCTGATGAGGAGTCAGCATGTGGGTAGGACACAGAGACCTGGCTCAGGAAGGTCAGCTGAATTCCCATTCTCTTAGTATTGGCTTCTTTATCACACTTGGACAACTAAGGTCAATCCTTTACCTCCAATTCAGGAGGAAGCTCCATGCTGGCCTCTGGTCTAAATCACTTTCTCCAATCTTTGGAAAAAAGCTAATTGACATTATGATTTAACTCTAATGTTAATCTATAATGATGGTAGCTATAACATGAGATTCTGATATCCATGTCCATTTCTTTAGCCATTGAATAATGAGTTATTAACTTATTCACCCACTCACTCATTCATACATTAATTTTGGAGATTTACTGCTCAATATTTGTTGAGTGCCTACTGTGTACCAGGGACTCTCTTAGGCACTGCAGCTACAACAGTGTACAAAACAGACTAAAATATCTACCCCAGTGAGACTTACATTTTAGTAGGGAAGTCAGACCATAAATGATGGAAATAAAATATAAAAGTATAAGAAATATAAAATGTGATATATGCTGCTAAGGAAAAGTAAAGCAGAGAATAAGGTTAGGAAGTGTTGTAACTGGGATGGGGTCATATTTTGGATTGGGTGTTCAGTAAAGGCATTATAGAAATGGGAAAGGACTGAAGGAAGAGAAGAAGCAAGATCTGAGCTACCTAGGGGATGGGTCCTGGTAGAATGAACAGGATGTGCACAGGCCAGGGTGGAGATGGCCAGTGTGGCTGAACAGGATTTTGACACTTCGAAAGCAAGAGAAGCCTCTGGAGGATTTTAAGCACAGGGGTGATATGATATGCCCTATATTTTAACAGTGCACAGAAAAGATACAATTTCTGCCCTTGTGAAATTTATATTCTAATAGAGGATGCAGATGATAAACAAAATTAATAAGTAAAATTTATAGATGGAAGATGATGCTACTAAAGGAGAATAAGTGAGGGAGAGAGGGCATTTCGGCCACCATGTTGAGAACAGATTGTTGTGGGGCCTTAGAGAGAGTGTGAGTGTGGCTAGAAGAGGGACAAGTTAGAGGTCATTGCAGCAACTGAGGCAAGAGATAGTGAGAGTGACTGAGAGCAGGATGGTAGCAGTGGAGGTGGTGGGACATGGCCAATTTGGGACATATTTAGAAGGCAGAGCCAACTGGTCTCTGCTGTTAGATTGAATGTATGGTGTGAGAGAAAGAGAATTCAGGGATGACTCCGAGGTTTTTAGGCTAAGTGACTGGAAGGATGGCGTCTCCTTTAACTAAGAGGTGGAAGGAGCAGGTTTTGGAGAAACTAGGAGTTCGTTTTGAACCTGTTGTTTGCAAGGCCTAACATACATCCAAGTAGATATGTTGAGGGGGGTGAACTGGAGTTAAGACAGAAAATTTGGCATGGATTTTTCCTTTTCAGGTCATGCTTATCTTGAGCCATCATTTTGCACCAAGAAGCAGTGAAGAGCATTAGTTCTACAGTATGATTCCCCGGGCTCAAGTGTGGCTTTAAAAGCTTTATGCTGTTCGGCAATTATTGAACCTCTCACTGCCTCAATTTTGTCATCTGTAAAATAGGAAATAATTGTGTGACTCAGGATTGTTGTGTGAAAGAAATGAGTTCATCCCTTTCATGATCTTGGTATTGAGCATGGAATGAAATATTATTCAAAAAATTTTGAAAAAGTTATAATAGCAGTAGCTAACACTAATATAGCCTTCATTTTATGCCCAACACTATTCTAGAAACTTTGTAATATATTAACTGATTTATCACTCAAAAAACCCTAGGAGGCTGATACTATTACTTCCTAATGGCATGGAGATGGCATGGATGGTTAAGTTACACAGGTAGCAGGTGGTAGAGCTGGAGTTCAATCCCAGGCAGTCTGGCTTCAAAGGCCATGAACTTTGATACCACACTGCACTATCTTTCCGACCATGTTAGCTATGGGTATTATTTTCCTGGGTTTTTCCTTCCTCTTATGAGAGCATCCATTCTTAATCTACTTATGAAGCGGCTCAAAGTTCACTTAGAGTCCAGTATTTATCAATTGTACTTCTAAGGCATATGGTTACCTTCAATATACTTTGCAAAATAAAATATCGAATTGCCCTAGGAATGACCCAACTCCCCATTTGCCAGGTCCTGTTGCTTCCTGTCCTTCTCTAATTTGAGCACTCCGTCTTCTGTATCGGGTGATAAGCATTCTGTCTTTGCAATAGCAATGCAGAGATTCAGGCCTGCCTACTTTAATGAGAAGAGATTCTTGGTTGAGATTCCATCTCCCATGGCTGCTACCACTTGGGGGCATTCTTGTTTTACCATTTCAGGTCCACTGGTATGTGCACAATAGTTGCATAGCTAGGTGGTAACTCATAAACATTTGGGTTCACTCTTGCCATACCATATCATAAATAGAATATTTTATTTCTAACAGATATTTTAAACCTCTATCCAGCATCTTGTTAGGTAAAATATAATATTTTAAAAATGAAGCAAATGTTTTTTAATCATGTAAAGATTCCAAGTATTTAGTTATAATCATAGTATATGTACAATAACAAATTAAAGCAATGGCTTTGGCATGTGCTTGTGAAAATAACAGAACGAGATATTTTAAGGAAAAGTCCTAATTACATAATTGGAGTAAAAATGGACTCTTTGAACTCTCGCATAAATAATGATATAAACCAGTGGTTGTCAAATCCGAGCATGGGCCAAATCCATTTGGGGCCTGTGAGCTAAGAAACCTTTTTATATTTTTAAATTGTTGAAAAAAAAGATGAATGATATTTTGTGACACATGAAATCATATGCAGTGCAAATTGAGGCATCTATAAATAAAGTTTTATTGGAACATAGTCATACTTATTCACACAATATTGATGGCTGCCTTCACACCACAGTGACAGAGTTGAATAGTTGTGATACAGATCATATAGCCTGCAGAGTCTAAAATATTTACTATCTGCTCTTTGCAGAAAAAGTCTGTCGATCTCTGATGTAACCTAATAAGCAAATAATGCTCCAAGTGTCCTTGCTAAGGCCAGAGTTCTACAACAGGGTTTGTGTGCTCCTCTGTTCAGAATAGGCAGAGACTTCATTTGGCTACAGATGCTGATTGCAATCAGAGGAGACAGTCAGGGGAAAAACATTCTGCCTAATTCCATATAACACTCCATTTTTATCTTAATATGCGCTTCCTTTGAAAAGAAGATGGTTCTTATAAATTGTTGTTTTGTTTTCGAGAAACAAAACAGTCATGGATGTAGAAACACATCTTGAAAGCCTCAGTAAAAGAGGACTTTTGTTTTTCAGAATGAAAGTTATTTTATTATTTTCTCATTATAAAACCATATGTTTAGTGCAAAACAGTAGAAAAGCCACAGAGAAGCTAAACATGAAAGCAAAAACTACCTAAAAGCTCACCTCTCAGAAATAATCAGTTTGACATAAGTTTATCCTGTGGCTTAACAGAATTATTACAGAAAATTTTATTAACACAAAATATTTCGTTGCCAGCCTGGCAAAGGCAATCTGATGTTGGTGTGTATGCAGCTGAGGAGCCCTTTCCACGGTGAGGGTGGTCAGGTGGCCCACCTTCCTACTCCACAGGGAAGTCCATTGTCTTTTTGCAGGAAACTAGTAGGTCTGATCACTGTCTAAACTTCAGGTAGCTCAGTTTACCTTGGGGATAAAAGCAGGAAAATGTTCTACAGAAAGCATTGCATATGCATCCATTTATTTACTTTTCAACCAACCAATCCGTGAATAGTAAGCATATTAGTTTTCCACTGCTGCTGTAACAAATGAACACAAATTTAATGGCTTTAAAACAGCACAAACTTTTTCTCTTAGATTTCTGGTGGTCAGAAGTCTCAGATCAAGGTGTTGGCAGAACTGTCTTCCTTCTGGAGGCTTTTGAGAAAAATACATTTCTTTACTTTTTCTAGATTCTAGAGGCCAAGTGCATTTCTTGGCTTGTGGCACCTTCCTCCATTTTCAAAATACATCACTCCAATATCTGGTTTTGTGATCATATCTCCCTTTTTCTCAATATCTTGCCTCCCTTTTTTAAGGATCCTTCTAATTACACTGGGCCACTTGCTAATCCAGGATAATCTCCCACTTCAAGATCCGTAATTTAATCATATCTGCAAAATCCCTTTTGCCAGGTAAGGTCACATAGTCACAGGGTATAGGGATTAGGACATGGACATCTTTGGGAGGCCATTTTTCTGTCTACCACAAGAAGTGAGCACCTGTTTTGTTCCAGACACTGAACTAGGCTCTGGGAAACTAGAGATGAAAAGCTGAATTCCAGGCCAGAGGTAACAGATATGGGGCAATGTGCAAATTCCACAGAGAAGGTGTCCTTTGCTGGAAATAAATATTTGTTTTCCTCATCAACGTTATAATAAAATGATGTTATTCAGGAATCTGCTATATTGAGGAGAAATGAGTCTCTTTGTGTAAGATCCCATTGGATTTCCCTGATGAGAATTTCAACCAAACAAGGTTTCAATGGGATTAAATGTAAGATAGTTTATGGGTAGAATTTATCCTCTGCTTTCAATCTCAGGGAATGTAATAAAAGGACAGAGCACGTTTTCTACTGTGCTGTAGAAATGACTCAGAAATTTGCTTACAGGTTTGACTCTAGGCTTCACCCTTCCCACTTAAAGTTATTTATCCCCAACATGAAGGAGAGATCCAACTTAGGGTTCAAGATGACCTGAGTAATTGACATTTTCTACCGCAATGCAGTGTGCCGAATGCTGAGAAGGTGATACCAAAGGATTACTAGACCCTATGGTTAATATGAAGTAAAAAAGCATGTGAAACCCTCTGCCCTGTGTTTTTCTCCTACTTTCCTGAGATTTCCATCTCAAAGAAATTTAACATATCAAAGTGCAGTCAAGCCTAGAAAGATCATTCCTGATTTGGGGCAGATTCTCAAAAAGAGGGAAAGCTTTTTGGGTGAATGAGACATTTTAGGAAGTTATTTTAACTTGGGAAATAATAAATTCCATTACTAACAGAGCTATAGGTATTAGGCAGGTTAGTGTTTTGCATTAGATAGCAGGCTTTACAAACCAAAAGTAGATGCAAGTATTTAAGTGCATTAGTCAGAAATCTTTTGGTTTTAAATTACAAGAGGCCCATCTCAGAGTAGTTTAAAGTAAAAAAAAAGATTCATTGACTAACATGAGTGGGGGATTAAAGATATAATTCTGTATTCAGTCATGGCTGAATCTACAATTGAAGTAATGCCATTAGATTGTCTCTATTTCTGTATATCTTGACTCTGCATTCCTCTGTATTTGTTCTTTTTCAGCGTGGTGGCAAAGATGCATGCCGGTATCCTTAGGCATACATTTTCCTTTCAGCGAATGATTTCTAAACAAAAGGAGCACCATTTTCCCAGTAGCTCCAGGAAGAGTCCCAGGAGTGACTCTAGTTGGATTGGCTTAAGTCACATTCCCCTCCCTGAAGCTTTCAATTTTAAGAGGGATGTGGACTTTTATAAGTCAGGCCTGGGTCATGTGCCTATTTCATAAACTAGAAATAAGTTCAGTTCTCCAACTACACGTGGACAAAAAATGGAGCAGGGATGCTTCCCCAAAAAGGTGCTAACTAGATAGAAGGCACTGATTCCTATTGGATGTGCTCATCTATGAGGGTTGGCTGCAGCAGTAGACATCACCCAGGGGTACCATAGGAAAGTGGTGGTGGATGCCCTGTGGTGACCAATATCTCTTACTTGTGAACATTCGTGAGAAACCCCCATCCCAGAAGTCCCCACAATACCATGCTAAGGGGCAAATTTGTTGGAAGCAAGGGAGGTTTTTCATCAGCAGATAAATAACCTGTGGAAGCCTGAGTTACATGGGTAAAGCCATAAATTAAAATCAAAGTGAGAATTTGAAGTCAGATATTGTATAGCAGGGCTAAAAGGGAATCAATTTGTGTTAAAAGGCTCCATTTTTAATGCTTGCCAATTTTTTTTTTTTTTTTTTTTTGAGACAGAGTCTCACTCTGTCACCCAGGCTGGAGTGCAGTGGCGTGATCTCGGCTCACTGCAAGCTGCGCCTCCCGGGTTCACGCCATTCTCCTGCCTCAGCCTCCCGAGTAGCTGGGACTGCAGGCACCCGCCACCAAGCCCGGTTAATTTTTTGTATTTTTAGTGGAGATGGGGTTTCACTGTGTTAGCCAGGATGGTCTTGATCTCCTCACCTCGTGATCCTCCCACCTCGGCCTCCCAAAGTGTTGGGATTACAGGTGTGAGCCACCGCACCCGGCCGTGATGTTTCTTTTATACTGTGCATGCTGCTGCTTGGAAAGATGGAAGCTGATTTATGGTGGTAGAAAGGAGCAAGTTAGTGAAGGATGAGAAGGAAGAAATGTGGAGGGGAGCTGAAGATGGGAAGAGCAGAGAACTGGTATGCATTTAGATTGAATTTAAAGGTCATAATTAAGGAATTTATATAAATATATATATTACACAGCAATAAGAAGTTTAAAAATGTTAGTCTTTCATTTATTGGTGCAGTTCTTGGGCACTGAAATAGATTCACTTCTCCACCAAAATGTCCTCTACTCTTTTTATGGGGGTCTTTTCAAACAGTTCCAGGCAAGCAGAAGAAGCAATCTATTTCCTGGACATATTTTCTGTTAAATAATAGTGCTGGAGTAACTCTTGAATTTAATGGATACTTTGTAGTACATACTCAGTTGGTTACTTCTATAATATTTTAAAGTTTTTTGGAGTGATTTAAGATGGACTGAATTTGGTGAAAAGGGAATGGAAATTGGATGTAAGGATACGAGTTTCCTTTTTTTTTTTTTTTTGAGACAGAGTATCACTCTGTTGCCCAGGCTGGACTGCGGTGGCACGATCTCGGCTCACCATAACCTTTGCCTCCCAGGTTCAAGCGATTCTCCTGCCTCAGCCTCCCAAGAAGCTGGGATTACAGGTGCATACCACCATCCCCATCTAATTTTTGTACTTTTAGTAGAGACGGGGTTTTGCCATGTTGGCCAGGCTGGTCTCAAACTCCTGACTTCAGGTGATCCACCCTCCTCAGCCTCCCAAAGTGCTGGGATTATAGGTGTGAGCCACTGTGCCCGGCCAAGAGTTTCCTTCTTAACTTCATCATATACTAGATGTATAATCTTTGGATTATACATTAGTATAATTTGGATTATACATTAATTAATCTCCCTCAGTCCCTGTATTCCAATCTATAAACTAGATATAATAATACCTACCCAGAAGCTTGCTTTGAACAATAAAATAGGTAAAGACTCTGCAAAGTGCCTGGCACATTTTTGGGCATAAATAAATATTTGTGCAACAGACAAAACTTGTTGTGGAATCATAGAAACGATAATCTCACATTTCAGTTGTCACACATTTCCCACAAATTTATCTATGGCCTGGTCTTTTTCATAAATTTCCATAGAGTGAGTGATTTATTAGGTGAAGCCCCTGAGAGTGGTGAGCTCAAAGAGGCTTTCAGGAAATACTTCCACCACTGGAATTTTAGTAGCCTGCTCCTTTTTCCAAATCCTATTTAGTCAGGGTTAAATATGCTGGACCATCAATCTGAATATAAATACATACTTATTTTTTAAAACCTCAGAGACAAATTACAAATTATGACCTATAAATGAACCCAGGGCATTTCTGCTTCTTCTTGGAAGATTTCCAAGATGCCATTAAAGAGACTTGCAGTTGCTTATTAGTATATTTAAGCACTACCCTCTCCAGACTCACTATGCCAAGGAATAGTGGTTAAGAATTGATCTGCTTGTGGCCAGATGGGCCAGCAAAAAGTATAGCAAAAATCACTTAGGGAAGGTAGATATAACAATGTGTGTGATCTTATTGCAGATGGCATTTATCTTAGTCTGCTTGGGCTTCATAGCAAAACACCATACACTGGGTGGCTTAAACAGTAAACAATTTATTTCTCTGGTCCCTGAGGCTAGAAGTCCAAGACCAAGATGCAAGCAAGGTAGATTTCATTTTGATGCCTCTTCTCTGAGTGGGTGCCATCTCATCGTGTGCTCACATGACCTCTTCTTTGTGTGAAAGAGAAGAGAGAGAGCTCTGGTGTCTCTTCTTCTTACAAGTATACTTATAAGAAGTATACTTCTCATACTTAAGAACTTACAGACTTCTTATGGTATGCATCATGGGGGCCCCACCCTCATGACCTCACCTAAACCCAGCTATCTCCAACGGCCCTACCTTCAAATGCTACCACATTGAGGGTTAGGGCTTCAACATATGAATCTCGGGGGGACACAAACATTCAGTCCACAACAGCATTTATGAGTGTCAAAAGATGTGGGGAAATATGGCCACAATCCAAAAGACTCATAACCTCTTCAATCTGACTGTTCATCCCTCCAATGCAAAACTAACTGATTATTGTATTAAGTCATCATTCCCTTTTCCCCAACACACCTCAGCAATTTTAAAACCAGTTCTACCTTGCACCCAGAGAATTATTTTAGAATTTACCATGTCACACAATTACTGCCTACTCATCACTAAATATTGTGACTTTGACAATACTACCCTTTTTTGAGGGGGAAGAGAACATAATATTTGTAATAAATGAATATTTGTATAAATAAACAAATTTTGAAAGCTGTTTGAAGTTGAGTTTTGTAGAATTATCCTACATGAAGTCTATAAGAAGGAAAACTAGAAGATAAGAATTTATCACTGTCAGTTTAGTATTATCCCAGGGAAACAAAGATTATCTATCAGAGGGTTCTGATCCTCTTTTGTGGGTAGGATCTTACCAGCCTTTGTTAGTGATGAGATAAAATATCCCTGTTGGCTATCAACTTTCTTGTACCTTATTTTTTCCTGTTCACTAAGAAAGATCCTGATGACTAATTTGGCTTCTCAGGTATCTTGATAGGAGGAAGAGTAAGCTCCAAAAAGTGGCATAAATTCTGGTCCTTGGAAAGAGGAAGGCATACATTGTAAACCTTACATACCTCAGGTTTTGGTGAGTTCAATTTATGAGAGTCAGTTCTCCAAGTCTGGTCAACCCTGGTGGACTGAAAAAAAAATGAGTTTCTAGACTTCAAAGCATCGAACAAAAGCCCAGTAAACAGACCAGAGCAAGATATTCAGCTCAGTGAGAACTTGCTTGAATTGCCAGCCAGTGTATCTTTGTCTCATGTCTTCTTGCTTGAACAAATCTGAATGGTCATACAGAGTGGTCATGTCAGTTGCCACCTGCCAGCTGTTGTGTCATCTTCACTGACACAGAAAACTAACTCCCCTCGCCATCCCCACACAACAGCTCTACCCCATGAATAGAATACTTGGCAGCATACACAGCAACTATGCCAGAATGCTGCAGACATAAAATAGAATCATATTTTCAGGATCTCTGATAATTTCTTCATATATAACATGCCACCTCCTCAGAGTCCACCACCCCTTAAAACAGCCTAGTTTTAAAGGGACACTTTTTATGCTAAGAATCAGTGAAGGGTTTTAGAAGCATTTAAAAAAATTGAGTACAATTGTGTATTCTTCCTTTGAGTGGAAGGTTATATATGGGTACAGTTACAACACCCAGCCCAGCCAGAACTGTATCTCTGAGCACAGTTGATAGTATCTGAAGTTAGAAACTGTGTTCTGAAGGAAGATGAGCTAAAAACTTTGAGGCGGCTGGGCACAGTGGCTCATGCCTGTAATCCCAGCACTTTGGGAGGCCGGGACGGGCAAATCACCTGAGGTCAGGAGTTTGAGACCAGTCTGGCCAACATGGCGAAACCCCGTCTCTACTAAAAATACAAAAATTCGGTGGGTGTGGTGGCAGGCACCTGTAATCCCAGCTACTAGGGAGGCTGAGGCAGGAGAATCGCTTGAGCCTGGGAGGCAGAGGTTGCAGTGAGCTGAGATTGCGTCACTGCACTCCAGATGGGGGGACAGAGTGAGACTCCATCTCAAAACAAAACAAAATAAATAAATAAATAAATAAATAAATAAATAAATAATAAAAAATAAAAACTTTGAGGCAAGTTAAGTAGAAGGCATTTTTACTCATTCACATTGCAGACTAAGGCATCCTGGTAGTTTTCTGTCCACTAACCAATTTTTTAATACAGATATTCTGGATTCACTCTTTTTTCTGGGTCTTTCTGGATTTTTCCCTATTCTCCAAACAGAATCTTGCTGTCAGTATAGTCTCTGTAATTCTTCAGGGTACAAGTTCCATTGAACTGCATGCATTAACACTATGCTTTAACTTTAAACAGACCTTTGTCCTTAGAGCAGCTGTCTCTATGAATATTTCATCAGTGAATGTTTACTGGTAACATTTTAAATTCTCCTTTATTTTAAACAACTTCCCTGGATCTCTTTGTTTTTTTTTTTTAATTAGAGTTGTCTAATTTTTTCTTAAATCTCTTACTGGAGACCATATTCTAGATATCCTAGGAATATATAGGTATAACAAGCAGAGGCTTTCTTTAAGTAGAGATATCAGTGATGATCTGTCTGTGTATTGCTCACATAAAATATCTCCACAAAAAATAATAATTCTTCTGATAATGGAATAGTGAAGTGTATAAGGCACACAAAGATACAATTCAAGAATAAATCTTCCAAAGAGACAAAAATAGAGGTGCCTCGAGTATCTTTAAATATCAGGATTTTGACTGAAGCCACAGGCCTCAAGTTGCTCACTAAACTATGCCTAAAATGTCAAGCTGGACTAAAAAGTCCAGTCTGGTGCTAAGACTATCAGTTATGCAATGATAAATATTCCTTCCTTTGAGAACCAAGGTGTCCTCTGAGTCCTAACATGTATATGCTAAATGAGCTATTCAATAGATGTATCCAAACCACTGATCCAAATGCTCATGTGGCTTTATGACATGTCACTAGAAATTCCTTTCCAGTTTGAAGTCAATCAATCAGTGTCTTTTAGTTTTTGTCATTTAACCAGTTGTCTTTCATATAGTCCAAATATATGCTTCTTGTCTACCAGGATTTCATGAGATCCATACCAGAACCTAAGGTTGTGGGCATGGAAAGCATCAAATTTTACTTGTATGTCCCTGGGAGTAATGGTGAGAGGTGACAATCTTATTTCCACATCTTAGTTGTCTTTTCTAGCTACTGAGGACACAGCACAACACGTAAGTTATTGGTTTAATACATATGTTGCATCTGGCAGGAGAGCTCCCCAATGCTACAGAATATCCCTGAGTTGATGCCTAATGTAAGCCCATCACCATTAACCCTAATGACATTTCACCATTTCATAAACTGGATACTTCTGGGGTTGGGTACAGAGAAAGCTAATTGCTGCACTTCCTTTAAGGTACATGGATATCTTTGTCTCAGGCAATGTTACATGGGACATAATATCAACAGATCAGGCATTCTTAAGTCTAAGAGAAGTGGTGCTGAACAGGGAAGGAAAACTCATATTCAAAGTATGACTTGATTATGGTAAGGACAAATAACTACCCTTTCTAGGCTATGTGGAATGTTCTCTGGACTCTAAACCAGGTTAACTCCATAAAATTATACCAATTAAGTGAAGCAGCTACTTGATAACCTCTACACTCAATTTCCTGCTGTTCTGTGTCCCAGTTAACCACAGGTAAAAGAAGCCTCAGTAATTGTGAGGCCTGCGTGGCAGAGTTCATAGCTACACTGCTTACCACTTAAGTGGAGTCCTCTGTCCTTCAGATCAGTGAACAATCCAACTCCAAATCCATCATGAGGTTTACTTTTCCAGGGCCACTGCCAGTGTTGTCTTAGCATGGGTTTCCTAGAAAACAGAATCTGAGGCAAAAACTTATATCCTAACATTGCAGAGTAGAATTTAATGCCAAGAAAGCAGAAGTAAGGGAAAATGGGAAGTAACACAAGGGAAAGAGGGAGGGCAAACATGATGGGAAGTGCTGGTGAGCTGGCCACCACTCTTAGATAATGAACAAAGCTGATGACTTGGCCTCATAGGATATCTTCAGAGAAGCCAAATATAGCATTACTGCACCTTTGAAATAGCTCATGGTTCAGAGACTGGAGGGGGTGAAGTGGGAAAGAAAGGGAGGAAGGGAGATCCTCTAGTGTCTTCTAGTGTCCTCTCCCATTGATTAATTAAGCTCATCCCATGAGGTGTTACTTCTCTTGCACTTTTGGGTTGGGTTGTATTGCCTCTTCTTTCCAGGAAGCTGCTGGGGAAGCAGAGCTCGTACTGGTCCCTCCTTCTCAATCAGCTCTATGTCTGGGGTCATTTGATCTATATGTGTGTGGTTGGAGAGAGGGCAGCTTCAGTGACCTGGCTTTGTGACTATGGGAACTGTGTTAAGGGTACTTGGTTGAAGGAGGGGTGAATACAAACTGTGAGAAGTAGGTATAGCCATAAGAATCTGGAAGTAATGCATAAATTGAGTGTTGCTATAACAGAATACCACAGACTGGGAAATTTATAATGAACAAAAATTTATTGGCTTATGGTCCTGGAGGCTGTGAAGTCCAATACTGAGGGGAGGGCATCTTGCAGGGGCCTTCTTGCTGTGTCATCCCATGGTGGAAGAGAGGATGAGAAAGAGAGAGAATAGCAGGCCAAACTCATCTTTTTATTATGAACCCACCCCAGTAATAATGAACCCATTCCCACCATAACAGCATTAATCCATCCATGAGGGAAGAGCCTTCATGGTCTAAACAGCTCTCATTAGGCCTCACCTACATTATTAGGCTTTCATTAGGCCTCACCAACATTATTGCATTGGGGATTAAGTTTCCAACACACAAACTCTGAGGGACACATTCAAACCATAGAACTGCATCTGGTAAAGGCTCAGAAAATTGTGTTGAGAAAATATACCTATACCCCATTAGACTCTTTTCTGCCTAGAAATTCCACAGGAATAATCAAGAATACATTTCCAGCCTGTATTCTCATAAAACATTTATACTTCTTGCATCCCTAGGGCACCTAGCAAAGTGCCTGGCACACAAAATGCTCTAGGCAATTTAGGCTTTAGAAGCCTTTAGAAGCCTTATAATTCTTAGGAAGCTGTCTCCAGTGTCTGATGGACCCAGTGGACAAATTATCACACTATGGATTTATCTTCTCACAAAGTGTACATATTAGAAAAAAAGAGGAAAAGAAAAAACCTACTTTCCATGACATTTAATTGAATTGCCTGGTTCGTTTCTATAACTTAAATCACATAACCTACTGGAAATAATTTTTACCCCACTTGTACACCCTTGACTATTTTTTTCCTTGAACATAGAGAAATGTAAACCATTTTCTTATTAGAATAGGACATTTGAATTCATGTGCTTTTTAATAATTCAGAGCTGTTTAATTTTGGACTTAAAACAAGCAAGAATATCCTTTAACACAGATTCTATGCTTTGTAGGTAACTTTTATGTTTAGTTTGTGAGGAAAGAATGAAGATTGGAGGTGGTAGGTGGTAAGAAGAAATCCAAGGGGAAGTAGAGATCTATTAATTGGTATTTGGAAATGGAAGAAAGTTTTTTTGCTTGTTCTTTTTTTTTGAACCACAGAATCCTGTATTACAATCAATTAACATATTAAAATTGATTATCAGTATTGATAAATTAGTTTTCTTAGTCAATATTTCAGGTGTTTGAGCTATCATTCAGTGAAATTCACCCAACATCACTGTTATATCCTTTGAGAATTTATATATTAATATAACAAGTAAAAACAATTACTGGAATGGTTTGGCTAGACTGTGCTAATCATCTGCAATAATTCATATTAAATAAAGATCTTCACTGTTCTTGGACATGGATGGGTATGTAAGGGAATTACTACATAGTCTATTCAATTAGAACACATGCAGGAACTAAGACTCCATTAAATCAACCTCATTCAGGTATTACTCCTTAGCAGCATTTGAAAGGTGTCTTTTTTTTACAGTTTTATTTGGCAAGGATAAACTATATGAAAATGGGCATTGTTTATAATTAGCTAACATATTTATTACCTGTAATATGCATGCTTTACAATTATGCATTATCATTCATATGTATAGCTCTTAGGTGTATGGAAATTGTGAAATAATTGTCTTCAATTTCTATTATTATTTCTATTATTATTATTATTAAAATGATCCTGCTTCAAAGGAACTGCATGCCCTGAGAAATAATCAAGCCAGGCTGTTTTAGGGCTTTGCTATTGAATTACCTATTTCGTGTTGAGCACACACTTGTTGCATTGCCAAACTCAAGGTCTAAGGTGCTTTAATGGTAGACAGAATAGTTGAGATAGAGGATGGAAGAGGGAAGGATGAGCAAGACTTACAAAACTTACAAAAACTCCTGTCTGTTTAGCTATCTAAAATTCAACCATGAGCTCTATAGTCTTTATGGTTGTTTGAGTGTTGCTCATTGAGTTCTTTAAGAATTACCAAAAACTGGCCAGGTGTGGTGGCTCATGCCTGTAATTCCAGCACTTTGGGAGGCCAAGGCGGGGGGATTACTTGAGGTCAGGAGTTCGACACCAGCCTGGCCAACATGGTGAAACCCAGTCTGTACTAAAAGTACAAAAATTAGTCAATGTGGTGGCACACAGCTATAGTCCCAGGTACTTGGGAGGCTGAGGCAGAAGAACTGCTTGAACCTGGGAGGCTGAGGCAGAAGAACTGCTTGAACCTGGGAGGCAGAGGTTGTAGTGAGCTGAGATCGTGCCACTGCATTCCAGCCTGGGCAACAGAGGAAGACTCCGTCTCAGAAAACAAACAAACAAACAAACAACTCCCCCCCACCAAAAAAAAAACCCTTTGTTAGCCTCTGTCTTGCATTTCCTGTTTGCCTATTTTAATTGTGAATCCTCTATGGTAAACTAGTTTCACCACAGCAGAATGTCTTACCAGTGCCCGTACTGCCACCTTAGGAGGCCTGGAATTGCAATGCTCCTCAGACCACTTGCCAGCTGCTTAGCTATATTGCTGGAGCTCCTTTAGGCCATCTCTTCACATCACTGATTTTTTTTTTCTTTTTTGCTAATAGTTATAACTAGATTACTAGGAGCCAGTGTCCCAGGATCCTCATATAGCACTGGATTAATACCTTCCCTACTTCTGTTATGACCCAATACTTAGCACTGAATTCCTGTACTGGCCCTCATTGATTGCTGCCTAGCTGTCTGCTCCATTATCAGGACAGAACTCCAACACTCTGGTTTTCATCCTTCCACAGCGGGAGGGGGAATTTTGGTTTCCAGTTCTCCCTATTTTCTGATTGGGTGTTGGGGTGAGATCCATACTCTATGACGTGAAATATTTCAGACTCTTGAGTGGTCCCTCCCTCAAGGAAATCCTCCAGGAAAACAGGATTCCTGATCACTGTGTTTGACTAATGAGATCTGACACTCAGTACTGATGGCTTCTGGAATTAAAAATGTGAGGCAGTGTCCACCTAGGCACTAGCTTCGACAACCCATCTCTCTTTTGCCTGTGTCTGTATTTAACTTTAAATTGGTTTTTCGTAATTCCTATTCTGATGTTGCCAACTCAGAGGTTGCAGTCCAGGGCCACCTGGATTATGACCAATGTGAAATCTTATGAGAACCCCATGGCAAGTCCTGTGAGAATGAAATGGAAACAGAATAGATAACTTTGGAGAAAAAGACCATCAAAGCATGTCTGAGAACATTTTGGTTTGTATCATTGGTCTCCAGGGCCAGTCCTAGTGACAACATTGTTCAGAACAGGGCAATTTGTATATACAGCATCTCTCCATCTTTCATTTTCAAAAGGATTTATTTTTATCCCCAAAATATCTTCCAGTTTATTTGTCCTAAGGATCCCTGCTTCTTTGGCAGTTTTCCGCTGGCCACATTAGTTGGAAACCTCTCTGAGCACCTCTGCTTGGCTGCCAATCCCTATCTGACTGACAGCATCTAAGAGATGACCTCCTCTGGGAATAAGCAGGAAAATTTCTGAGGAATAACTAAAAGTCTTGTAGAAAACAAAGCCTTCTTCCAACCACTTACAGTTTTCCTCTAAGTGCTCAGCAAAGAGAAACAGCTTGTGGAAATCTTTCTCCTTGTGTTTGCCTTTTGAGGGCCAGCAAAATTTTTCTCTTCAT
Source organism: Homo sapiens (assembly GCF_000001405.40). Lineage (NCBI taxonomy): Eukaryota > Metazoa > Chordata > Mammalia > Primates > Hominidae > Homo > Homo sapiens. Next base: position 15,052,984 of record NC_000011.10, read on the forward strand.
TATATAGGACTGTTTGGGTGGAACAGTAACTTAGAGATGTCATCATCTCATGGAAGGGTCTTGTCTTTAATGGGCAGAGCAGGTGAAGGCCTGTAGAAATGTGAGCACAGTGTAAAAGGATTTTACACTGCAGTGTCAATAATGACAACGTTTTTAATTGAGAAGAGCATTGCTGTGCATGAGCCAAGAGACTCCTTCTGCAGCTGTTGGGAACCATTTCCTCCAGGACTCATCCTGCTAGTCTGTCATCAGGTGAGAGTGTCTCTTGGGCTGCCTGCCAGTTCTTGGATGGCTGAAACACTTGCCTGGGTTCTGGCTGCTCACCTCACAGTGCTCTGTGAACAGAGTTGCCCAGAGTGACTCACACAGAAAACTGTTACCTCATTTTGTTGAATTCCATTGTGTGGGCTGAAGGTTGAGTTTGGCTGGGAGAGAGGAAAGTGAGGACCAGAGATGAGGCGACTAATTGACAATCCCAATTATGAAATGACACATGAGAACATCAAAGGTCTTAGAAAGGAAGGTAAGGTGAGGGATTTGCCCTCTATTGGATTTCTTTTGCTGCAGGGTACTTGTGAGTCACAGACTGAACTGGGGGCAGGCACAGTGAGTTCAAGAGGGTTGATGCAATGATATGAAAATGTTTCAGTGAACAACCTCCAGTGAAATCTCACAGGGCATAAGGGTAAGAAATGACTCTCATTTCAACTGAATGAAAAGCAATAACCTTGAGAAACCCCATTACTGAGTGGCTGTCCTGGTGCTAGTGTAGCTCAGATGCAAGCTGGGCTTTACAAACCCCTTACAAGATAGGGTTAGCTTAAATCCTTATTTCATGCTTTATAGTCTTTGGGCTCTAGTTTTCATGTGTACTGACTTTGATCCTGCTTCATGTGGGCTCTGAGATAAAATTCAATTCCTTCCTTGATTTCTAAAAAATGTCCAGTTTAACAAAATAGAAAAAATTATAGTCAATTTTATTAAAGATATGGGGGTTATAGGAAAAGTCACATCACAGCTTGCCAGGTAAAAAAGCTAACTTTTCATATTAGGCATTTCTGTTTTTTCAATGTTTTTTGTCTTCATCTAATCCGTAACTACCAAGGCAAGCTTCTCATTTGCTCATCACCTCTGTGAGCACTTAGGCTTCTGCTGTTTCTACTTTCTCCTACTTTTTTTCACTCATCCCTTCCAGACTGTCCTAAGGGGACTTTAAATTTTCTTCCCTCTATTATGCAGAACAATTCACTTTTTCCTGACTTCAAATCACAGACTTTGATAACCAAACCCAATAAGGATCCAATAAAACAACGGTAATGATGAATAATCAAAACAAAAAAAAGCAAAAAAGTTTTTGCACCACTATTATTCATTTAACCAATATTTGCTGAGTGGTTACCATGTCAAGTACTGTTCTAGATACTAACCATCTCTGGACAGAAATTTGCACAGCATCTTTACCCTTTCAGGATTTTACCTGATTTCAATTAGAATATCACATTGGTTGCCCTTGGGCCCAGATTTTTGTCTAGTTCTGATTTCTGCAAACAGTTCCTTCACTCATTCTATCCTGGAAGACAATCTGTGGATGGGTCAGAGAAGTAGTCAACTAAGGAGACCCTGGATTCTAGTTTTGGGGCTGGAGACTTCCTCTCTGAAAGTTTCTATGGTGTTTGTCACAGTCTTCAGATATACTGAAGAGATAACCAAAGGACAGTGATGGCCTAGACAAGACTGAATTTGGTCCTCCAAATGGATTTAGTTTTCCAAGAACCTTCTTTTCTTTCTTTCTTTCTTTTTTTTTTTTGAGATGGAATCTCACTCTGCCACCCAGGCTGGAGTGCAGTGGTAGGGTCTAGACTCGCTGCAACCTCCACCTCCTGGGTTCAAGCGATTCTTCTGCCTCAGCCTCCCAAGTAGCTTGGATTACAGGTGCCTGCTACCATGACCAGCTACCTTTTGTATTTTTAGTAAAGATGGGGTTTCACTATGTTGGCCAGGTTGGTCTCGAACTCCTGACCTCAGGTGATCTGCCTGCCTCGGCCTCCCAAAGTGCTGGAATTACAGGCATGAGCCACTGCACCCAGTACCAAGAGCCTTCTGTAATGACTATGGCTGGGCACCTGGAGAGATAGTTGGCATCACCTAGAATTTGACATGCCTGTTTGGCATGATTGAGCTGAGGTGGCTATTCATCAAGAGCTTCTTGATTCTTCTTAAAGACCTACAATTGCTATGAAAAAGGCAAATACACGTAAATATTGAAAGTGTGGCCACTGAAATCTGACTGCTTTATACTTAAACCCTCTCTTACTAGATATGAAATTGGGCTAGTATTTAACTTCTCTATCCTCAGGTTTCTCAGCTCGAAAGCAAGGATAACAGTATTTACATCATAGGGCTGTTGTAAGGATTGTGTGAAGTTGCATAGTAAGTATTCATAGGCTTCCATCAGACTTGAGATGTTTATTAACCCAACCTTTATGCTGGACACTCTTCCAGGTACTGGGGTTAAAGTGATGGACAAGGTATTCAAAGAGACTTCTCCCAAGGAGCTTACATTCTAGTGAAGGAAGACAAATAATATTCAAACAAGTATATTTCAGAGATAATTTCAGAGAATGCTGAGTTCTGTAAGGGAAGTAAAACAGTTTAATGTCATAAAGAAATTAAAAGGACTTTTTTAGGTAGGTGGGCAGCAAAGGTATTTTTAAAGTAGATGACACTGATTTTTACGCTGAACACTAAAACTTGGTTCAGCATCACTGATCAGTGATTCAGTGATTTTTGAGCCAGCTCTCAAGAGTGATGACGTGGTATGTGTGTTGAAGCAGTGCCAAAGAAGGGAAGATTGACAGGTGAGAGAAAGCTTTTTAGGATGACAAACCAACAAGTGCAAAGGCTCTGGAGTGGGAAAGGTCTTGTTGTTTCAGTTCTAGGATTTTTTAAAAAGCCAATGTGAGTATATGGGTGAGGGGAGACTGGCATAAGAGGATCCTGGTGAGACAGAGAGGAGCTAGACCACATAAGAAATTATTTAGTGTAGGAAAATGATTTAATTTTTAAACCTAACTATACAGATTTGTCAGAAGGGGAGTGACTCAATATAATCTATACTTTTAAAAGATTACTCTGAGAGTCATATGGAGGGGAAATTACGTGGGCAACAGTTAAAGCCAGGAGACTAGTTATGAGACTACTGCACTTGTATAGGTAGGAGATGATGGTGGCTTAGTCCAGGAGGTGGAGTCCTAGTGGAGGTGGAGAGAAAGTGATGGATTTGGGATGTGTTTGGGGGTGAGGGGAATAAAGTTAGTAGGACACACTAGTGGATTGAATATAGACAAGGGGAAAGGAAGTTATTTGTGCTGCCATTTACTATGATAGGGGAAAGTGTGTATGTGGGGGATCAGATTTGGATGGAAAAACCAAAAATTCTTGTATCGGAAATGGTTAGAGAGGATTATTAGACATCCACAAAAAGTTGTATGTGGCTTACTCGATACTTATTCAAAGGCTTCTTGCATGCAAGCCTTTCTACAGAGGGTAGAAAATTTAACACTTGATTTCCCAAGTTCTCTTGAAGCTAGAGTTCCGCACAGACTTAGGTTCTAGAAATCAGAGGCATTTGTGAACACTTGGAAGGCAAAAGTGAGCACTTGGACATGATGGCTGTTTGAGAGGAGATGGGATATTATGGGAAGTCACTTGGAATCAAAACTGCTACAGGTGAGGAGCAATGGACTTCCTACTAGAACATTTCCATGATGTGGTTTGTTTTCCTGGATGTTATTTCTGACTATGTGGGATCCAGACCTGACTCCCTGGCCTTTTAAAAAAATTTTGTAAGCTCCTCAGCATCCTGTCTTTATATGCAGCTAAGCCCCTAGATTATTACAACGCCAAATGTTAACAATTAGCATTATTGTTAATAGTCATACTGCCATCTCCCATGATCCTCTTTCGTTTCAGGAGAACTTATGAAAATTTAATTTTAACTCATCAGAAAGAGAATTAAAAACACCTATACACATAAACAAACCTAATTTAATTTTCTTAATTGATAAACAGAAGAAATTCGTCAGTAATTTCGTGGCTAAGGAAAGTTCCAAGATCCTAGGTTTGAAAAAATAGGGTTTGTCCAACAAGAAATAACAGATTGATCCATGAAAACTTATAAATCAGGATTGGGATACTCCCCCTGCTCCCCTTCAACCTTCATCCAGCCTTAGCAAGCAAGTCCTTTCTATATTCCTTTGAGCTGAGGGCTTCTGTGTGGGTTCTGGTCTTATTGCTGTGAGAGAATAGAGGACACTGAGTTTTCTTTGTGTTTGCCTATTGATTAAAGGGATGCTGAAGATAACTGTCATTAAGACTGCCAAGGGCCTTCCAGATGCTCTGGGGAAAGGCCTTAAGAATAAGATGGGCTGGAGTAGCCAATGAGGTCACATCATCATATAACAGTCTGTTGGCTAATCTTTTGCAACATGATATGGATGGGTAAACTTATTCCTGACTATTTTTAGGGAGGATCAGTAAGCAGTGGCAGTCTCTTTGTAATTATAATCTGGGCTATAGCAGGCTGTCTCAGTGCTCTGACAGGATTTGCCATTCCTATTTGTATCCATAGTTCTCTACTATAAGACCTATGATTCTCTGCCTAGGCATTTTCTCTGGCCACAGAAGCTTGGCCGTGCAGGACTGGCTAGATGTGCTGGGGCATCAGCATCCCTGGGAACTACCCCTTAATAATGACAGACTGGAGTTGGTGGATAAATAACTTAACACTCCTTGGGTGGGACAATTCTGAGACATGCTCTCTACAGTGTTCCAGAGGGTCTCCGGAGGATAAGGCCTCAGTTCCCTACAGCAGTAACCTGCTCATGATCATATTCTGTAAAGGCTACCTTTCCTCCTCTGTCTCACTTTCCTGTTTCCTTACCAATGCAACTCCCAAAGAAATGGTTTGTACTCAAATTCTCATCTTAGGATCTGCTTCTGGAGAAACCCAAAGTCAGATAACGGTTAACATTTATATAGCACTTACTATTGGCTGCACATTTTTCTAAGAACTTTGTGATTATTACCTTATGGAATCCTCACAACAGCCCTAGGAAATAAGTAATAATATTATCCCTATTTTACAAAACAGGATCCAGAACTCAGAAAGTTTAAGCGATTTGCCTATGGTCACATAGCTAATAAATGTGGGAGCCAGAATTTGAAAAACAGTGTGTGGCTCCACAGTCTGCATGCAACAACTACATGATACTATAGACCAGTGCTGTCCCAAAGAGTAGCCACTAGCCACATATAGATAATTACTTTTAAATTAATTAAAAATAAATAAAATTAGAAATTCAGCTCTTCAATTACGATAGTTATATTTCACGTGTTCAAGAGCCACATGTGTCTAGTATCTGTTATACCAGATGGTTCAGATGTGGAACACTTCTATTATTGCAGAAAGTTCTATTGGACAGCACTGTTACCCAAGACCCTCTTTTAAATGTATGGTCTTTCTCAAACTTCCTTAACACCACAGAAACAGTGAAAGAAACTACAGAAACACTCACCGGCTGGGCATGGTGGCTCACACCTGTAATCCCAGCACTTTGGGAGGACGAGGCGGTTGGATCATGAGGTCAGGAGTTTGAGACCTGCCTGACCAACATGGTGAAACCCTGTCTCTACTAAAAACACAAAAATTAGCCTGGCATGGTGGTACGTGCCTGTAATCCCAGCTACTCAGGAGGCTGAGGCAGGAGAATCGTTTGAACCCGGGAGGTGGAAGTTTCAGTGAGCCGAGATTGCACCATTGCACTCCAGCCTGGATGACAGAGCAAGACTCCATCTCAAAAAAAAAAAGAAAGAAAGAAAGAAAGAAAGAAAAACACTCACCTATTCAGAAACTTCCTCTATAGAGGCCATAGTGAGAGCTAGAAAAGATAGGAAAATGGCCTTTGAGTAGCTGCAGTAAATGTCATAATTCAATGCTCTAGACCCCTTTAGCATTCTTCAGCTCTGCATGTAGGAGAGACACCTAGATCCTTTCCTTAACCTCCTTCCTCCTGATTGGCTCCAGCAAGTTCTATTGAGCATGTTTCTATTGTTTTCCTGATGGCATTAAATTAGAAGGTGAATATTGAGGTAGATTGGGCCTGGGGCTAGTGGCAAAGATATTAGAAGAAGAAGAAGCCACCAAAACCCGAAAACATGATCCTGAGATCCTGAGTGTGAAGGAGGCAATGAACAACTAAAAATGGTGGATGATGATCTCTGAAGCATGGCAGCTGGGGGCAGCAAGAGTGGAGATAAACAGCCCAGCCAACTCAGGCTTTTACTTAAGACACAGCACTGTGACTGATGTTCCTTTGATGATGGCTGTGAGTCATCCAGAGAAGGTTAAGAGGAGAGTGTAATGCATTTTAAGAGGGTTTCCATCCAAAGTGACTTTTTTAAAAGGTGCATTTTCCACTTAAAGTATGTTTCTCTTACCTGGGAATTTATCTTAGCAAGAACTGTCATTGTCTGAGAGTGTTGAATGAAGCAGATTTTACACCAATTAGCTTTACAAGGAAGTTCTTATTAAGGACTTGTATTTCTACCTTTTTTGCAGTGTGGAATAATGCTCTCAGACAGGGAGAGAGAGTCAATTTGGGTATTGTAAGTCTGAGCCAAGAGAGAATTTTAATCATCTCAGAGAAACCTAACCTGAGTAATTTTTTGACGTCACTCACTGAGTCTATTTATTAGAGTGATCAGCTTGAGTCTGGGCCACTATGCTTTGCTCATTCTCTGGCAAGCACAGACAACACTAAAAATATTCTGTAGAAGGGACCTCTGCAGGTTAGATGTTGGCATCTCTATTTCTCTGGGGTTTGAGGAGAGCAGCCTGCAGGGCATATGGCCTGTGATGGGGAACAGGACTCAGCTGAAGTAGAGTGCCCAGTGAATTGAGTTTAAATTAGAGGGTTCTGTGAAGATTGTATTTCCACCCTTTAGCCAGTCTTCCTA